>NC_000008.11:71552265-72177265 GCF_000001405.40 Homo sapiens | reverse complement strand
CTGAAATCTAAAGAATGATTTCCTCTCCTGATTTTATTAATTTTTCATACTAAAAAAAGCCTTAAAGATGAGAAGGAAACAAAAATGTATGATAAACAGGAACAGATGAATGTAATTTTATTTTGGATGACTAATGTAGCCATACTGAAGGGGATAAAAAGCCAAGTGATTGTGAACACAGTATTGTTATATCCTCAGATTAAAGACAAAAAAACTATAAACACATATTAATATCATCATTTGTTTGCCCTGTGGTGTGGGTTCACAATTTTGAACCTGCTTTTAGTAATTTCTGATGTTGAGCAAATACATAAATATATTGATGAAAATGCAACAAGAAGTTTTATCACGGGAGAAGAGGTTTAAAAATATAGAAAGGGTGAAGGCTAGAATAACATTTGTGGTGTTGGATTGGAATTGTAGGTATCAATATACATTCATGGCTATATATATATGTGTATATATATGTGTGTGTGTGTGTGTGTGTGTGTTTATACGCATGCATTTTCTTTTACTACCTCTTTCTGCTGAGAGCACCTACAAGCAATGATACTCTGGTAGCACTGAGCACACATAACCCCTAGATCTTGGTTTCTCAAAACCATTCTTCACTAAAAGGAATCCATAAATACATAGTTAATTCCAGAGCTAGAGCAAAGAAGGTGTAAGATGAGCCTGGGATTTCTTATAACACCTGGAATTAAGGAGGTTCTGAAAGAGTAATGGGGGAGTGTCAAAAGGATATAGGAGCCACGTTGAAGGGCCAAATCTGGAGAAAAGTGAGTTTCAAAATAAATAATGATAATAAAAAGTAATGATCCACTCGTAGATAGCCTCTAAGATGGCCCACAATGAACCTTATCTCCTAAGGCTCACACCCCTGTGCAATCCCTCCCACACTGAATGGAGGCTGTGTTAGTAATAGAATGCAGTGGAGGCAGCAGAGCATGACTTCCAGGAGTAGGTCATAAAGGCAATGCAGTTCCCACCTTAGTTTCTTGGATGGCTCACTCTGGGGGAACCCAGAGTCCATGCTGTGGGACACTCAGACAGCCCTGGGGAGAGACCTCCCACCAGCAGCAAACACCAAATTGCCTGCTTTGTGAGTGGCCACCCTGGAGCAGACCCCTCTCCTCCCAGTCTAATTTTCAGAAGACTAGCTGACTCCGGACTGCAACGTCATCAAAGCCCTGAGCCAGACCCATCCAGACAAACCACTCTGAAATTGTGACCCACAGAATGGGTGTGAGACAATAAATGATTACTGTTGTTTTAAATCACTAAGTTTTAGAATGATTAGCTATGCAGTATTGGACAACAAATCCACCCTAGAATAAAATAAGAATTCATGAATTGCCCTGACATTATATAAACAAACAAATGGGACAAATAGAGAAGAAAATGTCTTTTCTTTACAATAGATTGCCAAGTAATACATGTAAATGGATAATGGACTTAGAAAATCACCATTTTGCAACCATCAGAGTAATAATTGAATTGCTAAAATAGTTGTCAGCAGCTGCTAAAATTAGAGGGTGAGAATCTGATGAGGAGCAGGATATTAAGTAGTCTCAAAGTATCTCCCACAAGAGGTGTATTAATGAGGAAGAGGAAAATAGTAACTTTACGTAGGAACAACATGGCAGATACCACCTTAACTGAATAAAGTTAACCTCCTCTGTAATGAGACTGTCACAGGTCATAATACTCCCTTCAAAAACACATAACCTAAATTGAATGAGGAAGAAACACTAGACTAAGCCTAAACTGAGAGGCATTCTATGAAATTATCAAGGCATAAGATTGTAACTCTTTCAGATTAAACTAGACTAAAGAAACATGGTGACTGCATGGAACACATGAGTTTTTGTACTTATGTGTAGCTTTGTTTGTGGGTATAACAGCTTCAAAGAATTTAGCAACCTCTGCCTTTGCAAATGAGCAGAAAATATAATATGGGGTTGGTAACTCTGGAAGCTCTCTAGGTGAAGGACTTGTCACACCCTACCTTGTATGCATTGTGTAAACCTTTCTTATGGACAATGCTTATGTAAACAAAATTATATTTATTTTAAACAGATTAATCTCCAGACTATTTGCTTATCCTATTCATTTTATTCTTCCCTGGGGTCTGATACCTGAAAGGATATAGGTTTGTTTTAATTTCATTCCACCTTCCTCCACCTTGTAACATTGCTACCATAATGTATAAATAGATGATAGTTTTTGAAGATTTTATTATTGGATGTACATATGTGAAATCTTTAGCCTCTGCCCAGGAGGGTAAAAATATGAACTGGCCTTTTCTGAAATAAATTTTACCAATATGGCTAAGATTCTTGCTAAATATTATGAAGGAATTCATTGCATATGTGAATATATTTAAGTGAAACATTAAAAAAAACCCCACCTTCTCACGCCTGTAATCCTAGCCCTGTGGGAGGCCAAGGAGGGCGGATTACAAGGTTAAGAGATTGAGACCATCCTGGCCAACATGGTGAAACCCCGTCTCTACAAAAAATACAAAATTAGCCGGGCGTGGTGGTGCACACCTGTAGTCACAGCTAATCGGGAGACTGAGGCAGGAGAATCACTTGAACCCAGGAGGCAGAGGTTGCAGTGAGCTGAGACCATGCCACTGCACTCCAGCCTGGTGACAGAGTGGGACTCCAACAACAACAACAACAAAAACACCTTATAATCCATGAATCTTTCTAAAAGACATGAGTGTCCTAACTAGAATGCTAAATGTGTTGGTGGGTGATGGTACCTAGGTTTGAAGTAACATGGGACATATGTAGAATATGTGCATAGGAAGTGAAGATTTAGGAAAGGAACAAGTCTAAAAGTCATTTTAAGGGCAACGTGGTCTGCAGCATGACCTTATGAATCTCATTAAATGCTTGGTGTGCTTGGAGTTATGATGGAAACTGATAGAAAGGCAAGTTCTGTGTAACCATTGACATGGTTGAAGTTCTCAGCTCTCATGGGGGAGGGCACTGCAGAAGACTGAGCTACATAAGCAAATAAGCAGCTGCTAACTTGGAAAATGACTCCCTTGGGACTGTCTTCTTTCCTGGGCCTTAGCTTGGTGGATGTTTAAAGATGGTCAATAGTGATTTCCTGCCTCTTTTGGTACTAAGCCATGTTTTCAATAAGACAATTAATAAATTTGGTAGATACCTTAGGTCAGTTCACAGGCAAACAAACTCATAAGAGGATGGGTAACAGTCTGTTCACTGGCTTTCTCTAAATAGATATGGTGAGTCATTTCTTCCCCTTAGGTTACCATCTGCTATGGTCTAGAAATCAGTCCCAATTTAAAGAATTTACTTTCTTCTTCTTTTTCCCCCTTCCACTGATATTCTTGCACAAGAGAAATATTGACCTAGGACACTTACATTCATTTCTTTTTGTGCATGATGAACCATATTTTCTGAAAGTTTTATTCTCTTGCAAACCAGGTAACCTAATAAGATGTATTACCATTTTGATATTTGAAAAGGTAAACAGTAAAATGCTAAATGTTCTGCAAGACTGAAGATTTTGAGTTAAAGAAAATATCAGAGAGCTTCAGAAAATAAATAGCTATGTTATAGCATGCAGAGTTGTCATACAAAATCAGCAGCAATCTAGGCAACTCCAGCAAAGTCTCAGGATACAAAATCAATGTGCAAAAATCACAAGCATTCCTATACACAAACAATAGGCAAACAGAGAGCCAAATTATGAATGAACTCCCATTCATAATTACTATGAGAATAAAATACTTAGGAATACAGCTAACAAGGGATGTGAAGGGCCACTTCAAGGAAAACTACAAACCGCTTCTCAAGGAAATAAGAGAGGACACAAACAAATGGAAAAAATATTCCGTGCTTGTGGATAGGAAGAATCAATATCGTAAAAATGACCATACTGCCCAAAGTAATTTACAGATGCAATGCTATTCCCATTAAAATACCACTGACATTCTTCACAGAATTAGAAAAAACTGCTTTAAAAATCATATGGAACCAAAAAAGAGCCCAAATAGCCAAGACAATCCTAAGCAAAAAGAACAAAGCTGGAGACATCATGCTACCTGACTTCAAACTATACTACAAGGCAGCAGTAACCAAAACAGCATGGTACTGGTACCAAAACAGACACGTAGACCGATGAAACAGAATAGAGATCTCAGAAGTAAGACCACACATCTACAACTATCTGATCTTTGAAAAACCTGAAAAAAACAAGCATGGGGAAAGGATTCCATATTTAAAGAATGGTGCTGGGATAACTGGCTAGCCATATGCAGAATATTAAATCTGGACTCCTTCCTTGTGCCTTATACAAAAATATAATCAAGAAGGATTAAAGACTTATATGTAAAGCCCAAAAGTATAAAAACCCTAGAAGAAAATCTAGGCAGTAACATTGAGGAGATAGGCACAAGCAAAGATTTCATGACAAAAACATCAAAAGCAATTGCAAAAAAAGCCAAAATTGACAAATGGGACCTAATTAAACTAAAGTGGTTCTGCACAGCAAAAGAAACTATCATCAGAGTGAACAGACAACCTAAAGAATGGGAGAAAATTTTTGCAGTCTATCCATCTGATAAAGGTCTAAATTCCAGAATTTACAAGGAACTTAAGCAAATTTACAAGAAAAAAAAATCACATTAAAAAAGTAGGCAAAGGACATAAACAGACACTTCTCAAAAGATGACATTTATGCAGCTAACAAACATGAAAGAAAGCACAGCATTACTGATCAGTAGAGAAATGCAAATCAAAACATCAATGAGATACCGTCTCATGCCAGTCAGAATGGCAATTATTAAAAAGTCAAGAAGCAACAGTTGCTGGTGAGGCTGTGGATAAATTGGAATGCTTTTACACTGTTTGTGGAAAGGTAAATTAGTTCAACCATTGTGGAAAACAGTGTTGCAATTTCTCAAGGACCTAGAACCAGAAATAACATTTGACCCAGCAATCTCATTACTGGGTATATATCCAGAGGAATATAAATCATTCTATTATAGAGATACATGCACGTGTATGTTTATTGTGCCACTATTTACAACAGCAAAGACATAGAATCAACCCAAATGCCCATCAATCACAGACTGGATAAAGAAAATGTGGTACATATACATCAATGGAATACTATGCAGCCATAAAAAGGAATTAGATCATGTCCTTTGCTGAGACACAGATGGAGCTGGAAGCAATTATCCTCAGCAAACTAACACAGGAACCAAAAACCAAACACTGCATGTTCTCACTTATAAGTGGGAGCTGAACAATAAGAACACATGGACACGAGAAGGGGAACAACACCCACTGGGGCCTGTCAGGGGAGTGGGGTGTTGGGGACCATCAGGATAAATAGATAATCCATGCAGGACTTAATACCTAGGTGATTGGTTGATAGGTGCAGCAAACCACCATAGCACACGTTTACCTGTGTAACAAACCTGCACAAATATCCTGAAACTTAATATAAAATTAAATTAAATTAAGAAAAAAACAACAAAAACAAAATCAGCAGCAATCTATGTCAGGCCTACAAATGACAGGTGTCTCTCTCATAGAAACCCACCACATTCAAAGTGAAAGTTATAGGGAATGCTAAGTATCAAAATCATTTCTATAGCATTCTGTTTCTTTTTCTTTTTCCTTTTTTTTTTTTTTTTTTTGGACGCAGTCTCTGTCACCAGGCTGGAGTGCAGTGGCATGATCTCAGCTTACTGCAACCTCCACCTCCCGGGTTCAAACAATTCTCTTGCCTCAGTCTCTCGAGTAGCTGGGACTACAGGTGTGTGCCACCACGCCCAGCAAATTTATTATTATTATTTTTTGTATTTTTAGTAGAGACGGGGTTTCGCCATGTTGGCCAAGATGGTCTCAATCTCTTGACCTCATGATCCGCCCACCTCAGCCTCCCAAATTGCAGGGATTACAGGCATGAGCCACTGTGCCAGGCCCATTCTGTTTCTTTAACTATGTAGCAGATAATTAAATACTTTTACCATAAATAAAAATGGTCATTTTGAGAAGATAAACTTGTTGACAGCTAATGTGCAGAGAGTCCAATGATGGCAATACACTTATGGAGAATTCCTCAATGGTTCAAGGAGTTTCTACTGATCTTATTTGATGTTAATGGTTTGCCATGTATCATCCTGAAGAAGATCTTTAGAGGCAAAAAAGATAATTCATATCTTTAGCCAAGCAACTTCTTGGGATTAAAGAGACACAGAGAGGTATAAATCCTGTTTTTTATGCTGGTTAGATAAAGCCAGTTCTATCTGAGGACACCCCTGTCTGCTGACCTCTAGTAGGGCCCCAATCTGACTGCACCTGCTTGCAATGCAGCCTTGGATGCCCAATTGAGGTGCTTCCTGGGGGCTCACATCATAGCTCCCTCACCAGCAGACTGCACCTGAGCATCAGAGAGCTCTATCAGTGCAGCCTCCACTGACACACAACAGCCCACCCACACCCTCTCCCACTGCAGCCTCCTCCATACCTGCATTGCCAGGATGCACTCACCCATGGCCACACCCCCACTGCTTTGTGAGAATGCACACAGGCAAAGATCACTTCTCCCCCACTAGTGTGTGTGTGCACACGTTCTGTGTCACCCAAATGCTGCCTGTGTGAGCATACCCTGCTGCCCCTGCCTCCCTAATGAACAGGCATCTGGCTGCACTGCCACTGCTGGCAACACTCACATAGATGCAAGCAACCCCACCCTGCTCCCCATACCACCAATGCTGCTGCTGTGAATGTGGAATGGACACTGGTTGCTGGTGGCCCTGCCTCCATCTTGTGCTGCCACTGCCACCACTGTGAACACGTGCATGGATGCCACTAGCTTCATGCCCGCCAATGTCCAGTCCCCACATCTGCCTTTGCCAGTGCAAGTGCAAACATGGACACTGGCAACTTTGTCCCGGCTGTTCCCCACTAACCCCAGCCACTGGCACAAGTGTGCACAGTAATGATACAGCTCCACTCCTGGTGGTCCCTGTCCCAGTCAACACCCATGCATCCTGCTGCACTTCCATGGCCACGGGAATGCATGCAAATGAGCATGGGTCTTGCTGCCACTGCCCAGATGAAGCACTTTAGCTGGCACCACCCATCAGAGTGTTGTGGCCAGCAGACCAGGAATACCTTAGCACCTCAGCTCAGCAGGTTCTGAATCTCAAGGGGCCAGTGAACAAAGCCAGGGCCTGGTACCAGCTCCCTAGAGTTAGAGTATACAGCCCAGTAGTGCTGAGCTGAGCCATGGCCCCCTAAATTCTTCTGGAAATGAGGCCAGTTGATTGAATCCACCTTATACCGCAATCAAACTCCCAAGGGTATCAAAGAAAGTACAAGTAGAGAAACTCATCCAAAGGACAGTATTTTCAAAGATTAAAGGAACATCAGCCCACACAGATGAGAAAGAACCAGCACAAGAACTGGACAACTAAAAAAGCCAGAATGCCTTATTTCCCTCAATGAAGACACTAGTGCCCCAGCAATGATTCTTATCTAGTCTCAAATGGATGAAATGGCAGAAACAGAATTTAGAATATGGAAGGAATGAAGATCTTCAACATTCAGGAGAAAGTTGAAACCCAATCCAAGGAATCTAAAAAAATACAATAAAATGATACAGGAAATGAAAGATGAAATGGCCATTTTAAGAAATAATGAAAGTGATTTGATAGAGCTGAAAACTTCACTTTAACAATTTTATAAGATAATCACAAGTATTAGCAGCAGAATTAAGCAACTGAGAAAACAATCTCAGAGCTAGAAGACTGGTTCTCCAAAATAACTCAGGCAGAAAAAAATAAAGAAAAAAGAATAAAGAAGAATGAACAAAGTCTCTGAGACATATTAAATTATGTAAAGAGACTAAATCTATGACTCATAGGCATCCCTGAAGGAGAGAGAAAGAAACCAAGAAACTTGGAAAACGTATTTAAGAGTATCACCCATGAAAATATCCCCAATGTCACTAAAGAAGCCAACCATATTTCAACTTCAGGAAATACAGAGAACCCTGCAAGATACTATACAAGACAATCATCCCCTATGTATCACCTTGTATATGTCTATACAAGACACATAGTAATCAAAGGTCTCCAATATCAAACTGAGAGAAAAAATATCAAAGGCAGCTAGAGAGAAAGGTCATGTTACTTACCAAGGGAACTCAATCAGGCTAACAGTGGACTTTTAGCAGAAATTCTACAGGCCAGAAGAGATTGGGGACATATATTCAACATTTTTAAAGATAATAAGCCCAACCAAGAATTTCATTTCCAGCCAAACTAAGCATCGAAAATGAAGGAGAAATAAGATCCTTTTTCAGACAAGCAAATGCTAAGGGAATTCATTACCACCAGACCTGAATTATAGCAGATCCTTAAGGGAGTGCTAAATATGGAAAAGAAAAACCACTACAAACCACCACAAAAACACAGTGAAGTACATAAACTATTGACACTATAAAGCAACCACAAATCAAGTCTACATAAAAACCAGCTAACAACATGATAACAGGATCAAATCTGCACATATCAATATTAACCATGAATGTAAATGCATTAAATGTCCCAATTAAAAGGTGCAGAGTAGTGGCGAATTGGATAAAGAAACAAGATCCAACTATATGCTGTTTTCAAGAGACATATCTCACATGCAATGTGAGATGTCCACCCAGCTCAAAGTAAAGGAGAAAAATCTACCAAGAAAATGGAAAACAGAAAAAAGCAAGAGTTGCTCTTCTAATTTCAGACAAAACAGACTTTAAACCATCAATGATCAAAAAAGAAAAAGAAGGGCATTACATAATGTTAAAGAGTTCAATTCAGCAAGAAAAACTATCTCAAATATATATGGATCCAATACAAGAGCACTCAGATTCCTAAAGTAAGGTTTTAGAGATCTATAAAGAGACTTAGCTAACTACACAATAATAGTGGAAGACTTCAACACTCCACTGACAGTATTTATTAGACAGATCATCAAGGCAAAACACTAACAAAGATATTTGGGACCTTAACTTGACACTTGACCAAATAGACCTAACAGACATTTACAGAAATCTCCACCCAATAACGAATATACATTTATCTTATCTGCACATTGCACATACTCTAAAATCAACAACACAGTCAGCCGTAAAACAATCCCCAGCAAATTAAAAACACACACACACACATAAAACCAACCACACTATCAGACTACAGCACAATAAAAAGTAGGAATCAACACTAAGAAAATCACTCAAAATCAAACAATTGTATGGAAATTAAACCACCTTCTCCTGAATGATTTTTAGGTAAACAATGAGTTTAAGGCAAAAATCAAGAAATTCTTTGAAACTAATGAGAACAAAACATACCAGAATCTCTGGGACACAGCTTAATCAGTATTAAGAGGGAAGTGTATGTGCTAAATATCCACATCAAAAAGTTAAAACAATCTCAAATTAAATTAACAATATAATATCACACCTAGAGAAATTAGAGAAAGAAGAGTAAACCAATTCTAAAGCTAGCAGAAGAAAACAAATAACAAAAATCAGAGCTGGACTGATGGAAATTGAGATGGTGTAAACCATACAAAAAATCAATGAATCCAGGAGTTTGTTTCATGAAAGAATAAATATGATTGATAGATTGTTAGTTACACTAATAAAGAAGAAAACAGAGAAGCTCCAAATAAACACAATAAGAAATTATAAAGAGGACATTACTATCCACCCCCACAGAAGTACAAAAAACCCTAAGAGACTACTATGAACACCTCTACACTCACAAACTGGAAAACCTAGAAGAAATGGATAAATTTCTAGAAACACATAACCTCCCAAGTTTGAACCAGAAATAAATTGAATCCCTGAATAGACCAATAATGAGTTCTGAAATTGTATCAGTAAAGAAAAATCTATCAACCAGAATAAGTCCAGGACCAGATGGATTCACAGCTGAATTCTGCCAGATGTATAAAGAGCTGGTATTCCTACTAAAACTAATCCAAGAAACTGAGGAGGCTGGACTCTTCCCTAACTCATTCTGTGTGACCAGCATTATTCTGATACCAAAACCTGGCAGAGACACAACAAAAAAGGAAAACTTCAGTCCAGTATCCCCAGTGAACATAGATGCAAAAATCCTTAACAAAATACTAGCAAATTAAATACAGCAGCACATCAAAAAGCTAATTCACCATGATCAACTAGGCTTTATCTCTGGTATGTAAGTTTGGTTCAACATACACAAGTCAATAAATATGACACATCACATAAACAGAACTGAAAACAAAACCCACATCATCATCTCAATAGATGCAGAAAATGTTTTCAATAAAATTCAACATTCTTTCATGTTAAAATTTCTCAACGAACTAGGCATTGAAGGAGAATAGCTCAAAATAGTAAGAGCCATCTATGACAAACCCACACTTAACACCATCCTGAATGGGAAATAGTTGGAAGCATTTCCCTTGAGAACATCAACAAGAAAAAAAGAGCCACTCTCACCACTCTTTTTCAACACAGTACTGGAAGTCCTAGCTAGAACAATCAGGCAAGAAATAGAAATAAAAGGCACTCAAGTAGGAAGAGAGAGAGTCAAACTATATCTCTTCACAGATGGTATGTTTCTCTACCTAGAAAATCCTATAGACTCAGCCCAAAAGTTGCTAGATGTGATAAACAACTTCAGCAAAGTTTCAGTGTACAAAATCAATGTACAAAAACCAGTAGCATTTCTATGAAAAAACAACATCCAAGCCAATAATGCAATCTCATTCACAATAGCCACAAAAAGAGTAAAATACCCAAGAATAACTAACCAGGAGGTGAAAGATCATGACAATGAGAATTATAAAACACTGCTCAAAGAAGTCAGAGATGACACAAACAAATGAGAAAAATGTTCCATGCTCATGGATAGGAAGAATCAATATTGTTAAAATGGCCATACTGCCCAAAGAGATTTATAGATTCATGCTATTCCTAACAAATTACCAATGACATTCTTCATAGAATTAGAACAAACTAGTTTAAAATTCACATGAAAGCAAAAATGATAATAATAATAATAATAATAATGAGCCTGGCCAGTTGTGGTGGCTCACACCTGAAATCCCAGCACTTTGGGAGGCTGAGGCGGATGGATAACAAGGTCAGGAGATTGAGACCATCCTGGCTAACACGGCAAAACCCTCTCTCTACTAAAAATCCAAAAAAAAAAAAAAAAAATTAGCCAGGCATGGTGGCACATGCCTATAGTCCAGCTACTCAGGAGGCTGAGATGGGAGAATCACTTGAACCTGGGAGGCAGAGGTTGCAGTGAGCCGAGGTCACGCCACTGCACTCCAGCCTGGGTGACAGAGTGAGACTCCATCTCAAAAAAAAAAAAAAAAAAAAAAAGCCTGAATAGCCAAGACTATCCTAAGCAAAAGAACAAACTGAAGGCATCACATTACCTGACTTCAAACTATTCTACAAGCTACAGTAACCAAAACAACAATGATAGTGGTACAAAAACAGGCCCACAGACCAATGGAATAGGATAGAGAGCCTATAAATAAGGCCACACACCTACAACCATTTGATCTCCCAAAAAGTCTACAAAAAAACAGTAATGGGGAACTGACTCCCTATTCAATACATGGTGCTGGAGTAACTGGCTACCCATATGCCGAAGATTGAAACTGGACCCCTTTTTTACATTATATACAAAAATCAACTCAAGATGGGTTGAATACGTAAATTTAAAATCTAAAACTATAAAATCTTTGGAAGATAACCTAGGAAATACCATTTGGATATAGGCCCTGTAAAAGATTTCATGATGAAGACACCAAAATCAGTTGCAGCAAAACCAAAAACAGATGAATGGGACCTAATTAAACTAAAGAGCTCCTATGAAGCAAAAGAAACTATTAATAGCATAAGCAGACAACCTACAGAGTGGGAGAAAATATATGCAAACTGTGCATCTGACAAAGGCCTAATACCCAGAATCTGTAAGGAATTTAAATTCACAAGCAGAGAAACAAACAACCCCACTGAACAGTGGGCAAAGAACCTGAACAGACACTTTTCAAACAAGACATATATGTGGCAACTAGCATATGAAAAAATGCTCAACATCACCAATAAGTAGAGAAATGCAAATCAAAGCCACAATGAGATACCATCTCACATCAGTCAGAATTGCTATTATTAAAAAGTCAAAAAATAATAGATGCTGGTGAGGTTGCAGAGAAAAGGGAACATTTATACACTGCTGATGGGAATGTAAACTAGTTTGGCCTTTGTGGAAAGGAGTTTGACAATTTCTCAAGGAACTCAAAGTAGAATTACTATTAGACCCAGCAATCCCATTACTGGGTATATACCCAAAGGAATATAAATTGTTCTACCACAACGATACCTGAATAGGCATATTCAGACACCTGAATATGAATAGAATATGAATATGTTCATTGCAGCATTATTCACAAAAGCAAAGACATGAAATAAACCTAAATGCCCATCAAAAGTAGACTGGATAAAGAAAATTGGTACATCCATGGAATGCTACACAGCCATACGAAAGAATGAGATTAGGTCCTTTGCAGGAACATGGATGTAGCCAGAGGTCATTATCTTAAGTGAATAAATGCAGGAACAGAAAACCAAATATTCAGTTTCTTCCTCATTTTGGGAGCTAAGCATTAAGTACTATACTAATCCATTCTTTTACTGCTATAAAGAATTACCAGAGACTGGGTAATTTATAAATAAAACAGGTATAATCAGCTCACGGTTCTGCAGGCTGTACAGGTTTCTGCTTCTAGGAAGGCTTCAGGAAACTTACAACCATGGTGAAAGGCAAAGGGGAAGCAAGCATATCTTTACATGGCCAGCAGGAGGGTGGGGGGAGGTGCTACACACTTTTAAACAACCAGATCTCATGAGAACTCTGTCATGAGACAGCACTAGGGGGATGGTGCGAAACCATTAGACACCACCTCTATGATTCAGTCACCTTCTACCAGTCTCCTCTTCCAATGTTGGGGATTACAATTTGACATGAGATTTGAGTGGGGACACAGAGCCAAACCATATCAAGCACATATGGACACAAACAGGGGAACAACTGACAGCAGGGCCTACTGGAAGGTGGAGGGTGGGAAGAGGGCAAGGATCCAAAAACTACCCATCGGGTACTATGCTGATTACCTGGGTGACAAAATTATCTGTACACCAAACCCCTGTGACATGCCATGTGCCTGTATAACAAACCTGGACATGTACCCCTGAACCTAAAATAAAAGTTTAAAAAAGTGGTGAGTGAGCAAATGTGAACAAAAATATATTCTCACCTGGCGCAACATGTAAGATACCAACCATCTGTTCATTTCATTTTCCAGGAAACAGAAAGAACGGGAATAAACTTCTTATTTTAATTGAAGAAAAAAGAAAGGGTGAGGTCATTTAGTGCATTTAGTAGGTCCAGAAACTGCCATCTATTAGGTTTTCAGATTTTCAGTGGGCTTACCATACTATTGCTTAGCCCTGATCAACCCACTGCCTGGAAAATATTTTTCCCTTCCAGATTTATTTTTGCTGGAAAATCACCCCTGCCAGGCTCTTAAACTGAAGCTGCTGTTGATGCTTCTGACGCCTGCACACCCAGGGCCATTGTTCTCAAAGTGTGGTTCCCTGGACCAGAACTATTAGCCTCACCAAGGACTTTTTAAGAATGCTGATTCTCAGACCCCACCCAGCTCTACAGAATTGGAAACTCTGGAGCTGAGGCCCAGCAGCTCCAGTTTTAACAAACCCTCTAGGTGATTCGAATGCATCCTAAATGTTTAAGAAGCACTGCCCAAGGGGATGAGAGAGAACCATATCTCAAACATGAGGATCTCAATATAGTTTTTCCCTCGAATTCTATATATTTGTCACATGTGCTCCCTGCAGGCATACCTACAGACACCTATGGTAACTGTGTTCCCATCTAGAAATGATTTGGCATTTTGAAACCAGAGTCTATGAATAAGCCAAGTGAATTCTAAAATAATCTCTCCAATTTCCTCCTTGGTCCTGCTTGCAGATGGAATTTTGGGCAGCAAATCTAGTCTTTTCTGTCTAGCTGTTAATCACTTAAAGGAAGCATTATGTAACACGGGTAGAATTGAACTGCCTTAGCAGCCCCAGCTAGGAGGACAGCAAAACCAGTAAAAATTGTTCTCGCCCCAACATTTTAATAAGTAAAGAATGCCTCTTTGCTCTCTGGTTGCATCTTCCCCTAGGCAATGACTGCATGATGAGCTCCAGGGTGAGCTTGTACCTGGTTCTCCCTGTGCCTGCTGGAGGCTTGTGCTCAAGCTGGGGCCCTTGCAGTTGGGGCCATGGGAGAACCAAGTTCTTCTCCACTCCTTGCTGAGGCCCAAACTTCTGTAGGTTCAGTAAGTCTGAGCACCATTTTCTTGAGTCCTCAAAGTACACTCCCCTGTGTATACAAACAGCCATGGCGTGCACATAAAATTGTCATAAGTTGAGGTTACCCAGTATGATAAAAATTTCATTATAGCTTCCAGATCCATCCATGTCCCTGTGAAGGACATGATTTATTTCCTTTTTATGGCTGCATAGTATTCCATAGTGTATATGTACCACATTTTCTTTATCCAGTCTATCATTGGTGGGCATTTGGGTTGATTCCATGTATTTGCAATTGTGAATTATCCTCAGCAAACTAATGCAGGAACAGAAAACCAAACACTGCATGTTCTCACTTACAAGTGGGAGCTGAACAATGAGAACACATGGACACAGGGAGGAGAACAACACACTGGGATCTGTCTGTCGGGGTGGGGGCAGGGGGAGGGAGAGCATCAGGATAAACAGTTAATGCATGCAGGACTTAATACCTAGGTGATGGGTGGGTAGGTGCAGCAAACCACCATGGCACATGTTTACTTATGTAACAAACCTGCACATTTTGCACATGGATCCTAGAACTTAAAATAAAACTAAATTTAAAAAAATTCACCATAGGCCACTGCACAATTTTAAAATCTCATCTGATCTCATATGATCCTGTAGAAAATGTGAAGGTCAATTACTCTTTATACATTGAAGTCCAAAGTCCAAAGCCACAAAACCTTGCTCCCACGAACAGCCTGTCTTCCCCAAATTCCCCTCTTGTCTTTATATTTGTCAGTGTTCCTTGTTCATGCACTAAGTATTGAGGTATGTGACAGGTTCTAAAATAAAAACTCACACTTTTATCTCAGCTGGAGATCTGAATAGGCTGAGAAATGAAACATGAAGCGAGACATAAAATATACTATGACAAAGGCTAAATTGGAGACTAACGCTTAGTTCGGAGGACAAATGCACAGCTTGTGAAAGCCAGGCTGACAGGCAGTGGCAGAGCTTGGGAGTGCAGAGGGAAATGGGAGGTTGCTATGCACCCCTTCTCCAAGAGGAAGAGGGCAGAGCTGAGCCAAGCAAGCTCCCTTCATCCTTCCTGAAAAGTATCTTCCTCAGAGTTGACACGTAATAGTCAGAGGAGTTTTCCACCTCCTGGGAACAGACTGAGCAAAGGAGCAGAAGGAGGCTCAGGCTTGAATTACACCAACTGAGCTCCTTCACGTGGAAATAAACAGCAGTGGCCAGGTGCGGTGGCTCATGCCTGTAATCCCAACACTTTGGGAGGCCCAGGTGGGCAGATCACCTGAGGTCAGGAGTTTCAGACCAGCCTGACCAAAATGGCGAAACCCCATCTCTACTGAAAATACAAAGCTTTTCCAGGCGTGGTGGCAGGCACCTGCAATCCCAGCTACTCAGGAGGCTGAGGCATGAGAATTGCTTGAACCCGGGTAGCAGAGGTTGCAGTGAGCCGAGATCACACCACTGCACCCCAGCCTGGGCGACAGAATGAGATATCTTCAAAAAAAAAAAAAAAAAGGAGAAAAAAAAAAAAAGAAACAGCAGCATTGGGTTTTTCCCTCGCAAAGAAGAAAATATTTTTAATAATCTTTTTCCATGACATATGTGAGTTATTCATCTAATATGTGGAGGGCCTGGGTACACATGCTATTTAAATATGCTTTTAAAAATTGTGTCCAGCACTTAAAAGCAAAGCACTTTAAGAAATACAAGCTTTTTTGGTCAGGCACAGTGGCTTCTGCCTGTAATCCCAGTGTTTGGGAAGGCTAAGGTGAGAGAATTGCTTAAAGTCAGGATTTTGAAACCAGCCTGGGCAACATAGTGAGATGCCTTCTCTACAAAAAATAAAAATAAATTAGCTCTGCATGATGGCACACACCTGTAGTCCCAGCTATGGGCAAAAGCAGGAGGATTCATTGAGGCCAGAAGTTTGAGACTGCAGTGAGCTATGATTGTGCCACTGCACTCCAGTTTGGGTGACAGAGCAAGATCCTGCCTCTTAAAAAAGAAAAATAAAATAGCTTGTTGAGTCAAAATATGTATCACAGGTTGGTTTATAAAACTTCACAGCAAACTGCAGATTTAAAAAAAATGTATTACAAAGGGTACAATTTCAATGAGTGGGTGAAATGGGTCAAGTGGAAAGAATTTCTAGTTTCCTGCAAGGAACAATAATTGATTCTGCTTTGTGCCTCTCTCCCTTTTACAACTAAAGATGGGTGGAGCAGAAAGCTACATGGAGTCAAAGCTAGTTTTTCTCTTTTGAAAGCGTGCAACTTCACTGAATATTTGTGCTAAACAACTTGTTCTTCTCAGTTACCAGCTTTTTCAATGTGAGATTAGTGTTGAAAATTCATCGACTGTAATCAATCTGCCTTTAAATATATATTACATTGGAAAAAAATGACTTCATGAGAGTTCTGCCTTGTGGCATTCCAATTTTGTAGAACTATGATAAAAACTCCTTGATAAAAGCTTCTTAGTTTGAGTATTAAGGAATCTAATGAATTTTTAAGTAGCCTACTTTATAAAAAAATGATAAATCAAAGAGAATTGCTATGGTTTAAATGTTTGTGCCCCATTCAAAATTTGTGTTGAAACTTAATTCCCAATGCAACAGAATAAAGAGATGGAGCCTTCAGGAGGGGTTAGACCATGTAGGCTAATGGATTAGTGCCTTATTAAAGGGTTTATGCCATGTGAGGATATAGTATTCATTCCCTCTGAAGGATGCGGCCACAAAGCTGTATCTTGGAAGCAGAGAGGGCAGCTTTCACCAACCATCAACTTGCCAGTGCCTTGATCTCAGACTTCCCAGCCTCCAGAACTGTGAGAAATAAATTTATGTTGTTTATAAGTGACTCAGTCTCAGGTATTTTGTTATAACCCCACGAACGGACTAAGACAAGAGTACTATAAAAATTGGTTAAATCATTTAAATTTTTGACAAGTTTTCTGATTCAAAATAATTTGTAACTGTTTCTTGTATATAGGTGTATGTCTCTAACTCTGGAATGACTTTCTATAATATCAGTGATTTTTTTACCCAGGATTCCTTTAAATGATGGGTATAATGCTACTCATGTAATGACATCATTAAGTAAAATACTAGCTCACAGTTGTAGTGTGACTGTAAAATCTGAAAGGTCTAAGAGTTTGTAAATTTGAAAACACCACACCTGAGGGAAAATTCAATTCAATTAAATTGATAGAAAATCACATTTCCCTTTTAACCACCATGCTTCCACTTTGAAGAGGAGATCATCTAAATATAATGCCTTAAGGTTAGCAAAATTTTAACTATTTTGACTTTTAGTTTAAAAGAGAAATTGGCTGCTCCATACATCACTCACCAGATCAAGCCATTCTTGCGAGCAGCTGGTTTTTGCACAGTGAAGGTGGTCCAGAGAGATGACATCTCTGTGTGGAGTGTGGATTTCAGGTGTGGATGGGGTGTTTAGCACCCAGGGCACAGTGTGAGGAGTGCAGGCAGGCCAAGAAGCTATAGACACTGAGCCAGCACAGTGATCCAAGCCCAGAGCTTAGTCCTGATCACAAGGATCCATCTACTAAAGAATTGACAAGCCCAACAAAGCACAGGGGAGGACAAAATTAAGCCCTCATAATCAGGCTTTGAACAACATTGATAAAGGCAAACTTTTAAAATGATTCTTTTTTAGTGTTTCTTTGATGCTTTGTCTCATTGGCATTATTTGGTAGCATTGACTTTGAATGTTCATTTTCAAAGCAGGCATTTGAGATGAGCTACAGGTCACTTGGGATGATTTTGTTGAAAATTGATAATAATCCATTGTGATTGGCAAGTTTGTGTAGAGAGTTTGGGACAATTTGGATATAGAAAAGTCCTATCCAGAGCTACTCAAAATTTTCTTCTATAACCACTCACCCTTTACTTTTCTATACACCTATTGCAATGGAGAAATAGCTTTTACAATTTGATGCGAATTTCATGCAAAAGTTTGATAAAAATTTTGAGCATCAACTGCGCATTGAATAAGAGAAAATCCTTGCATTCAAGTTAGTGAATGAGAAAATTAACAATTATAATTACAGTGACAACGATATGCAAAAAGACTGTGTAAGGTAATTTTGTCTAGTCCAGGAATTGAATGGAGGCTTCCTAGAGGAAATGCTGCTTGAATTGTGCCTGAATAAATAGTTCTTAGCCAGGAAAGAAGGGAGGGTGGTCAGAGAATATTTCTAGTGAATGGAGCAAAATGGATAAAACCCCAGAGGTATGAAAAAGAGAGATGGGAAACAGCAGTGTGTCCAGGGAGACACAAGCAGTTGAAAGCATGACAGGGCAGAGTGAGAGACTGGAGTGGTGGGGGTTGAGGCTGGGTCATTACATGGAGCAGGTCATGGTGAACAGTGTTAAGAGCTCTGGTCTTAATCCTTAGGCAATGCAGGAGCCATGGGAGAGTGTTGAGTGGCAAAGATGTCTTTAGAAAGACATGGCTGTGGGGAGAAAGGATTTGAGGAAGACAAAACAAAATAAGGAAACCATCATGTGAAACATTGCAGTAGGAGAGAGATGATGAAAGACTGAATAAGGCAATAGCTATGAGGATGGAGAGTTGAGAGATGGATTTGGAAACTATCAGGAGCTAAAATCAGTACAATGTGGGGAAAGTGAAGGAGAAAAAGGTGAGATGGTGGACTCAGTATCTGACTTGGGTAACTGATGGGCTGTAGTGGAAATACAGCTTACAGGAGAAGCAGACTTAGAAGAATGTAAGTTTAGTTATAGATATTTCACATGGGAGCTGCCCAGGTGAAGATGTCCATGAAGTAGCTGGATCTAGCTTTGAGAAGTATTGCCCAGGTAAGGGTTGCTGCTTCTACAGATTTGGAAATCAGCAGCACAGCGACAGGAATTAAAACTGTGAAATGAGTGGGATAACCCAGGGAGAATGTGTGGAATGCTGAGACCCATGGTAAGAGGCAGCATATGAATGGGAGGTCCACAAAGGACAAAAAAAGTATCCATCAGCTCACAGAAGAGGCAAGAAGAGGTGGGTTGAAGGGTGGCACTGGGGGGTGAGCTTTACAGAGAACTAGTGGGATTGGAGAGAATCTGATCAAGAGTTAGGTCAGGAAAAAGACTGGGGATTCCCCTTAAAAGTATAATTTTAACAGCCTTCTCTGATTAGGTATGCTTACATAGTTGAACAAGATTTAACCCACAAAGTCAATTTGAGAAACATGTTGACTTGTGGCCTAAGTCATTTGTATCAACCAGCACAGTGTACTGCAGTAACAATAGCTACTATCATACATGACTATATATATTTAAATTAATTCAAAGTAAATAAAGTTAAAACTTGGTTCCTCAGCAGCACTAGTGGCACTACTTACTAATAGTACTAGTAGCACCAATACATTTCAAGTGCTCAGTAGATACATTTGGTTATGATCCTAGTGGCTATCATATTGAACAGCACAGATATATGACAGAAAGTTCTATTGGGCATTGCTAATCTAGAAAATAATTGATTGGTCTGTTATTGCCTAAGGAAGGAGCCATGCAATCAAAATGCAGCTCACCTGTAGGCAAATTACAGATGTGGTCTCAGTAATTATTCAGTTCTATGTTTTATATACTTGACATTACAGTGTTAGTACTAAAAGACTTTGAAAACTGAAATTATTTGGAGCTAATTGCAGGAAATTCATATTTAGCAGTACTAAGTAGAGGTGTTTTCCTTTCCCTTGTGTGTTCAGAGTTGGTAAAATGTGGATATGCTGCCAATCATCTGTGTGATTAGGGAAATTAAACTAAGCATTTTAAGTTCGCGTTTACTTTCTCAAAATCCACCAAATGACCCAAACCTTGTATGTACTAAGGGACACTTTGCTCTTAGGAAAAAAAAATATTTTTACCATTTTTAATCCAAGCCAATGATCTAAACTGGTTCCATAGTTCAATGGCATAAAGTAAGAGGGGAGTGGGCACCAAAATACTGTTTCACTGAGAAAAAATGTAGGCTAAAAAGTAAAAGTATCTCCTTAAATTTGTGTTTTTTAAGAAATTATTCTTCATATTGGAGAGTATTAATGTTAGCTTCTACTGATAAACATTAGTAATAATCACAAAACATTAAAATGAAATTAATATCTATCATAAAAATGACTTAAAAGATGAAGGTAGGAGTTCACCAAAAAGCTTATTTGCTATAGTATTTAATACTGCCTTTGATAATAAAACAATGGCTATCATGGTGATATGGTTTGGATCTGTGTCCCCACCCAAATCTCAAGTTGAAATGTATTCCCAGGTCCAGGCACGGTGGCTCACACCTGTAATCTCAGCACTTTGGAAGTAGAGGCAGGTGGATCACGAGAAGCCAGGAGTTTGATACCAGCCTGGGCAACAAAGGGAAATGAAACCACATCTGAAAAAAAAAAAATAGCCAGGTGTGGTCAAGCACACCTGTTGTCCCAGCTACTCCGGAGGCTGAGGTGGGAGGTTTGCTTGAAGCTCCAGGAGGTCGGGAGACTCTGCCAGAAAGAAAGAGAAAGGAAGGAAGGAAGGAAGGAAGGAAGGAAGGAAGGAAGGAAGGAAGGAAGGAAGGAAAAGAGAAGGAAAGGAAAGGAAAGGAAAAGAAAGAAAAGAAATACCCAAGGTGAAGTCTTGAGGGGGGTGATTGGATCATGGAGGCGGTTTCTAATGCATTAGCACCATCCCTCTAGCGCTGTTCTTGTGATAGAGTTCTCATGAGATCTGGTTGTTTAAAAGTGTGTAGCACCTCCCCCCTCACTCTCTTGCCCCTGCTCCAGCCATGTAAGATGTGCCTGCTTCCCCTTCACTTTCCATTATGATTGTAAGTTTCCTGAGGCCTTCCCAGAAGCAGAAGCCACTATGCTTCCTGTACAGCATGCAGAACCATACAAATTACCCAGTCTCAGGTATTTCTTTATACCAGTGCAAGAATGGACAAATAATACACATGGGGATGCTGGCCAGGTGGAAGATGCTGCTAGCCTGGCTGATTCAAGCATGAAGCATGGCGGGGCCAGCTGGTGCATTGCCTAGATATATCAAGTGCCTGCTTAATTGGCAGCAAAGTGCAAATGGCTAATTCTCTCTCTCTCCCTCCTCTCTCTCTCTCTCTCTGTGTGTGTGTCTGTGTGTGTGTGTGTGTGTGTGTGTGTGTGTGTGTGTGTGTGTGTGGTGTGTGCTTATGTGTGTTTTTCTGACTTGGTCAGCTCCATAATAAAAAATAAATTCTCAGCTTTGCCACACGAATCTATAAGAGACATTAAATAGTCTAACCAAAGTCTAGAAGAGTAATGGTGAGAATATGAAGGGGAAAGGAAATGAGAAAGAAACGCAAAACAAAGTAATGATGTCCAAGAAAAACAGAAGCTATTTAGCAAGAGCTGAAAATCTGTTATTCTAAAGGCGGCCAGGAGGTGGCAGCAGAGCTGCGGGTAAGACGGCATGCTCTTCCTAATAAGTGGAACTGAAACGGACAACGCGCACAACCATTTCTCTTTATGATACAAAGCCAGTAGCACAATCTAAGTAGCCATATCCTCAGGAGAAATCTGCTTTCACCCTGAGAATGACTGATTTTAAGCATAATTTAAAGAATTTACACAGTCTCTGCTTTAAAGGAATGAGGGTGCTATGGGGCGTGGACAGAGAGCAACAAGCCCACCATGAGAGAAGAAGATAGACTATTGTCCCCACTAGGAGAGGCCGTCCTAGGAGAAGAACAGCTCCCTGTTGTATGTGATTATAGGAAACCCTTCCAGGTGGCTCAATGCATGGGAAGCAGCGATTCGAAAGCAGTCTCTCAGACAATCTGAGATGGAGGAACTGAGCTGCTCGCTGCTGCTGCGTGTCACTGATGTGCACACAAGAAGCTTGTATTAGGCCTGCTTCTGGCCAGAACGAGCAGCTCCTGATAAGGTGGTGAGGATTATAGAGGTGAAAAGCAGGTGGGAAGCAGGTGGGATGCAGGTGCCGAGGCAGACACCAGAACCGAGGTCCTCAGTCAGTGCGAAGAAGACACCAGAACCGAGATCCTCAAGTGCGAGGAAGACACCAGAACCGAGATCCTCCGTCAGTGCGAGACAGATATGAGAACCGAGATCCTCAGTCAATGAGAGGAAGATATGAGAACCGAGATCCTCAGTCAGTGCGAGGGAGACATCAAAACAGAGATCCTCAGTCAGTGCGAGGAAGACATCAGAACCGAGATCCTCAGTCAGTGTGAGGAAGATATGAGAACCGAGATCCTCAGTCAGTGCGAGGAAGACATCAGAACCGACGTCCTCAGTCAGTGCGAGGAAGACACCGTTTTCAGCTTGGGCTGCACAATAGGGTCCCATGGGTTGTTTTAAAAGAGTCATACTCATGACCAACCAAATCAAAATCTCCAGGAGCAGGACCAAGACATCTATATTTTTGAATCGCTGGAGGACACCAAAGTGCAGGCGAAGTTAAGAACTGGTGGCTTGGAGTTGACATCTGGGACATGGAAGGCGAGAGGGAGCTGGGGCCAGGGAGGAGGAGGCAGGAAGGCAAGAAGGAACTTTCAGGTCAGTCAGTGGTGTTCCAAGGAGGTACACGTTTTTAAAAAAATCTGACCATTCATTTATTTGTTTGTTCACTGCTTGATACAATTACATGATCCCCGCATTGGATTAAGCATTGAGTACATGCAAGTAAATAAGACTTGGACATGAGCCTCTGGAAGTGCACCATCCATGCCTTGTAAATATGTGAGGACCACACTGCTGACAGTCAGGAAACCATTGTCACATGGTGGGGAGTTGAATGGGGAGCAAGGCAAGTGCTGAGCATCAGAGAAATGCTAACGCTGACTTGTCTTGGAGTTAAAATGATACACATGCTATTTAAGGTGGGGAAAGGGTGGTTTAAGTTTATTTAACAGCCCCTACTCATGGCGTTCTCAGCTGGTCCTGAGATATCCAGTTGCCAAGGCCACACTCTGCAGGAGGGCCTGTTCATTACCAGGGTCTAATAAAAACCGGGTTACCAGGAAAGGTTCAGTGAAAAGACTCAGTGAAGGTGTAGCAGATTCAGCAGTGTGGAGCCCCAGGAGAAGGAAGGGTCCTGATGCTTCCACTGAAGAAATGACAGATGTTGAACAAAATTAATGCATACTAATAGCTTGCCAATATGACCTAGACATTTCCTTAAGCAAACTGAGGCTGTGGGGGTGATCCCCCTCAATATTTTATTCACTTTTACCTATGACGTCTACTTCCATCCATTCTTTCACTCACCAACAAGAGATGTAGTGTTTACCATCTGCTAAGATTCAGGATCTCAGGCCTCAGAAAATTTACAGCTTGGGAGGAGCCAAGATGGCTGAATAGGAACAGCTCCGGTCTACAGCTCCCAGCGTGAGCGACGCAGAAGACGGGTGATTTCTGCATTTCCATCTGAGGTACCGGGTTCATCTCACTAGGAAGTGCCAGACAGTGGGCGCAGGTCAGTGGGTGTGCGCACCGTGCGCGAGCCGAAGCAGGGCGAGGCATTGCCTCACTTGGGAAGCGCAAGGGGTCAGGGAGTTCCCTTTCCGAGTCAAAGAAAGGGGTGACGGACACACCTGGAAAATCGGGTCACTCCCACCCGAATATTGCGCTTTTCAGTCCGGCTTAAAAAACGGCGCACCACGAGACTATATCCCACACCTGGCTCGGAGGGGCCTACGCCCACGGAATCTCGCTGATTGCTAGCACAGCAGTCTGAGATCAAACTGCAAGGCGGCAGCGAGGCTGGGGGAGGGGCGCCCGCCATTGCCCAGGCTTGCTTAGGTAAACAAAGCAGCCGGGAAGCTCGAACTGGGTGGAGCCCACCACAGCTCAAGGAGGCCTGCCTGCCTCTGTAGGCTCCACCTCTGGGGGCAGGGCACAGACAAAAAGACAGCAGTAACCTCTGCAGACTTAAGTGTCCCTGTCTGACAGCTTTGAAGAGAGCAGTGGTTCTCCCAGCATGCAGCTGGAGATCTGAGAACCGGCAGACTGCCTCCTCAAGTGGGTCCCTGACCCCTGTCCCCCGAGCAGCCTAACTGGGAGGCACCCCCAGCAGGGGCACACTGACACCTCACACGGCAGGGTATTCCAACAGACCTGCAGCTGAGGGTCCTGTCTGTTAGAAGGAAAACTAACAAACAGAAAGGACATCCACACCGAAAACCCATCTGTACATCACCATCATCAAAGACCAAAAGTAGATAAAACCACAAAGATGGGGAGAAAACAGAACAGAAAAACTGAAAACTCTAAAATGCAGAGCGCCTCTCCTCCAAAGGAACGCAGTTCCTCACCAGCAACAGAACAAAGCTGGATGGAGAATGACTTTGACGAGCTGAGAGAAGAAGGCTTCAGACGATCAAATTACTCTGAGCTACGGGAGGACATTCAAACCAAAGGCAAAGAAGTTGAAAACTTTGAAAAAAATTTAGAAGAATGTATAACTAGAATAACCAATACAGAGAAGTGCTTAAAGGAGCTGATGGAGCTGAAAACCAAGGCTCGAGAACTACGTGAAGAATGCAGAAGCCTCAGGAGCCGATGCGATCAACTGGAAGAAAGGGTATCAGCAATGGAAGATGAAATGAATGAAATGAAGCGAGAAGGGAAGTTTAGAGAAAAAAGAATAAAAAGAACTGAGCAAAGCCTCCAAGAAATATGGGACTATGTGAAAAGACCAAATCTACGTCTGATTGGTGTACCTGAAAGTGATGGGGAGAATGGAACCAAGTTGGAAAACACTCTGCAGGATATTATCCAGGAGAACTTCCCCAATCTAGCAAGGCAGGCCAACGTTCAGATTCAGGAAATACAGAGAACGCCACAAAGATACTCCTCGAGAAGAGTAACTCCAAGACACATAATTGTCAGACTCACCAAAGTTGAAATGAAGGAAAAAATGTTAAGGGCAGCCAGAGAGAAAGGTCGGGTTACCCTCAAAGGGAAGCCCATCAGACTAACAGTGGATCTCTCGGCAGAAACCCTACAAGCCAGAAGAGAGTGGGGGCCAATATTCAACATTCTTAAAGAAAAGAATTTTCAACCCAGAATTTCATATCCAACCAAACAAAGCTTCATAAGTGAAGGAGAAATAAAATACTTTACAGACAAGCAAATGCTGAGAGATTTTGTCACCACCAGTCCTGCCCTAAAAGAGCTCCTGAAGGAAGCGCTAAACATGGAAAGGAACAACCGGTACCAGCCACTGCAAAATCATGCCAAAAGGTAAAGACCATCGAGACTAGGAAGAAACTGCATCAACTAACAAGCAAAATCACCAGCTAACATCATAATGACAGGATCAAATTCACACATAACAATATTAACTTTAAATGTAAATGGACTAAATGCTCCAATTAAAAGACACAGACTGGCAAATTGGATAAAGAGTCAAGACCCATCAGTGTGCTATATTCAGGAAACCCATCTCACGTGCAGAGACACACATAGGCTCAAAATAAAAGGATGGAGGAAGATCTACCAAGCAAATAGAAAACAAAAAAAGGCAGGGGTTGCAATTCTAGTCTCTGATAAAACAGACTTTAAACCAACAAAGATCAAAAGAGACAAAGAAGGCCATTACATAATGGTAAATGGATCATTTCAACAAGAAGAGCTAACTATCCTAAATATATATGCACCCAATACAGGAGCACCCAGATTCATAAAGCAAGTCCTGAGTGACCTACAAAGAGACTTAGACTCCCACACATTAATAATGGGAGACTTTAACACCCCACTGTCAACATTAGACAGATCAACGAGACAGAAAGTCAACAAGGATACCCAGGAATTGAACTCAGCTCTGCACCAAGTGGACCTAATAGACATCTACAGAACTCTCCACCCCAAATCAACAGAATATACATTTTTTTTAGCACCACAACACACCTATTCCAAAATTGACCACATAGTTGGAAGTAAAGCTCTCCTCAGCAAATGTAAAAGAACAGAAATTATAACAAACTGTCTCTCAGACCACAGTGCAATCAAACTAGAACTCAGGATTAAGAATCTCACTCAAAGCTGCTCAACTACATGGAAACTGAACAACCTGCTCCTGAATGACTACTGGGTACATAACGAAATGAAGGCAGAAATAAAGATGTTCTTTGAAACCAACGAGAACAAAGACACAACATACCAGAATCTCTGGGACGCATTCAAAGCAGTGTGTAGAGGGAAATTTATAGCACTAAATGCCCACAAGAGAAAGCAGGAAAGATCCAAAATTGACACCCTAACATCACAATTAAAAGAACTAGAAAAGCAAGAGCAAACACATTCAAAAGCTAGCAGAAGGCAAGAAATAACTAAAATCAGAGCAGAACTGAAGGAAATAGAGACACAAAAAACCCTTCAAAAAATCAATGAATCCAGGAGCTGGTTTTTTGAAAGGATCAACAAAATTGATAGACCGCTAGCAAGACTAACAAAGAAAAAAAGAGAGAAGAATCAAATAGACACAATAAAAAATGATAAAGGGGATATCACCACTGATCCCACAGAAATACAAACTACCATCAGAGAATACTACAAACACCTCTACGCAAATAAACTAGAAAATCTAGAAGAAATGGATAAATTCCTCAACACATACACTCTCCCAAGACTAAACCAGGAAGAAGTTGAATCTCTGAATAGACCAATAACAGGAGCTGAAATTGTGGCAATAATCAATAGTTTACCAACCAAAAAGAGTCCAGGACCAGATGGATTCACAGCCAAATTCTACCAGAGGTACAAGGAGGAACTGGTACCATTCCTTCTGAAACTATTCCAATCAATAGAAAAAGAGGGAATCCTCCCTAACTCATTTTATGAGGCCAGCATCATTCTGATACCAAAGCCGGGCAGATACACAACCAAAAAAGAGAATTTTAGACCAATATCCTTGATGAACATTGATGCAAAAATCCTCAATAAAATACTGGCAAAACGAATCCAACAGCACATCAAAAAGCTTATCCACCATGATCAAGTGGGCTTCATCCCTGGGATGCAAGGCTGGTTCAATATATGCAAATCAAGAAATGTAATCCATCATATAAACAGAGCCAAAGACAAAAACCACATGATTATCTCAATAGATGCAGAAAAAGCCTTTGACAAAATTCAACAACCCTTCATGCTAAAAACTCTCAATAAATTAGGTATTGATGGGACGTATTTCAAAATAATAAGAGCTATCTATGACAAACCCACAGCCAATATCACACTGAATGGGCAAAAACTGGAAACATTCCCTTTGAAAACTGGCACAAGACAGGTATGCCCTCTCTCACCACTCCTATTCAACATAGTGTTGGAAGTTCTGGCCAGGGCAATTAGGCAGGAGAAGGAAATAAAGGGTATTCAATTAGGAAAAGAGGAAGTCAAATTGTCCCTGTTTGCAGACGACATGATTGTATATCTAGAAAACCCCATTGTCTCAGCCCAAAATCTCCTTAAGCTGATAAGCAACTTCAGCAAAGTCTCAGGATACAAAATCAATGTACAAAAATCACAAGCATTCTTATACACCAACAACAGGCAAACAGAGAGCCAAATCATGAGTGAACTCCCATTCACAATTGCTTCAAAGAGAATAAAATACCTAGGAATCCAACTTACAAGGGATGTGAAGGACCTCTTCAAGGAAAACTACAAACCACTGCTCAAGGAAATAAAAGAGGATACAAACAAATGGAAGAACATTCCATGCTCATGGGTAGGAAGAATCAATATCGTGAAAATGGCCATACTGCCCAAGGTAATTTACAGAATCAATGCCATCCCCATAAAGCTACCAATGACTTTCTTCACAGAAATGGAAAAAACTACTTTCAAGTTCATATGGAACCAAAAAAGAGCCCGCATCACCAAGTCAATCCTAAGCCAAAAGAACAAAGCTGGAGGCATCACACTACCTGACTTCAAACTATACTACAAGGCTACAGTAACCAAAACAGCATGGTACTGGTACCAAAACAGAGATATAGATCAATGGAACAGAACAGAGCCCTCAGAAATAACGCCACATATCTACAACTATCTGATCTTTGACAAACCTGAGAAAAACAAGCAATGGGGAAAGGATTCCCTATTTAATAAATGGTGCTGGGAAAACTGGCTAGCCATATGTAGAAAGCTGAAACTGGATCCCTTCCTTACACCTTATACAAAAATCAATTCAAGATGGATAAAAGATTTAAACGTTAGACCTAAAACCATAAAAACCCTAGAAGAAAACCTAGGCATTACCATTCAGGACATAGGCATGGGCAAGGACTTCATATCCAAAACACCAAAAGCAATGGCAACAAAAGACAAAATTGACAAATGGGATCTAATTAAACTAAAGAGCTTCTGCACAGCAAAAGAAACTACCATCAGAGTGAACAGGCAACCTACAAAATGGGAGAAAATTTTCGCAACCTACTCATCTCACAAAGGGCTAATATCCAGAATCTACAATGAACTCAAACAAATTTACAAGAAAAAAACAAACAACCCCATCAAAAAGTGGGCGAAGGACATGAACAGACACTTCTCAAAAGAAGACATTTATGCAGCCAAAAAACACATGAAAAAATGCTCACCATCACTGGCCATCAGAGAAATGCAAATCAAAACCACAATGAGATACCATCTCACACCAGTTAGAATGGCGATCATTAAAAAGTCAGGAAACAACAGGTGCTGGAGAGGATGTGGAGAAATAGGAACACTTTTACACTGTTGGTGGGACTGTAAACTAGTTCAACCATTGTGGAAGACAGTGTGGCGATTCCTCAAGGATCTAGAACTAGAAATACCATTTGACTCAGCCATCCCATTACTGGGTATATACCCAAATGACTATAAATCATGCTGCTATAAAGACACATGCACACGTATGTTTATTGCAGCATTATTCACAATAGCAAAGACTTGGAACCAACCCAAATGTCCAACAATGATAGAATGGATTAAGAAAATGTGGCACATATACACCATGGAATACTATGCAGCCATAAAAAATGATGAGTTCATGTCCTTTGTAGGGACATGGATGAAATTGGAAATCATCATTCTCAGTAAATTATCGCAAGAACAAAAAACCAAACACCGCATATTCTCACTCATAGGTGGGAATTGAACAATGAGATCACATGGACACAGGAAGGGGAATATCACACTCTGGGGACTGTGGTGGGGTGGGGGGAGGGGGGAGGGATAGCATTGGGAGATATACCTAATGCTAGATGACGAGTTAGTGGGTGCAGCGCACCAGCATGGCACATGTATACATATGTAACTAACCTGCACAATGTGCACATGTACCCTAAAACTTAAAGTATAATAAAAAAAATATAAAAGAAGAAAATTTACAGCTTACGGGGGGAAGATCCTTGCACATCTCCTCCATGCTCAGGAGATGAGGGGCTTCTACTCTTGTCCAAGATCCGTTCTTCCATCATGCCAACTCTACCCATGACCTTGATTCCAAACCTTTGGCATCCTCCAGGACCTGCTCCATCTTCAACCTTATCTTCCTTTTCTATGCACTCTCCTTCTCTATCAGTTTCTTCTCCTCAGCAGGTATGGATAGAAATATGTTTCCATCTTACAAAAAAACCCTCTGAACCTGTCTTCATCTTGGGTCCCAATAAACACCACCCAGCAAACCCACATCAGTGGTTATAAGAACCCCTGTTCTTATAATGCAAACTTCTTGAAACCACTATCAATACTTTCTTACCTCTTCTTTCTCATCTCTAAACTCTCTAACATTGTCTAATCTGTTTCCCATTCTTGTGTCTCTCAAATATATCCTACATGTGGCAAAAAAGTGAAATTGCCCTACCTCAAATTTAATCTTTTCTTCCATATTCAAACCTCAGTATCACTTAGGATAGAGTTCAATTCCTGACCAGAGTGTATGAGGCCATGCCTCCCTCCCTGACCTCAATGGTGACACTCCAGTAACCCCGAACAGCCATGGTTCCCAACACAGGCCATGCCTTGTCACATTTCTGTGTCTTTGTCCCTACTCTCTTCTCTCCCTGCAGTGCCCTATCCCTTCCCCTTTCCCAGCTTTGCCTGAATTTTCCTACACATTCTTTAACACCAGGCTCAAGTATCACTTTGTCCGAGAGGTTTTTCCTGATGTCCCAGGTCCTAGCTGGATAACTAAACTGATGTGTGTGTTTCTATAATACCCTATGTGTATCTCTAGAATGCATGTACTAATAGCCTAATTATCTGTTTGTGAGTCTGTGTTATATTTATCTGCTTCTGTGTTTGTCTTCACCTCCTTTACAGCAAAAAATAGAAGATTAATAGTTTAATGATACATGGAAGAATCCAAAAAATTGGAAACAATATTATAGTAAATTACTCAGTTTTTAACATTATTTAATATTTTCCTTACACATCTATTTTAAATATCTATCTAAATCTAGGCATCTTGTGTATTTCAAAAAGAGTTATTGTAATATTAAAATTATGGAACTAATTAATCTAATTAATTATTGGAATAATAATCATCCCAAAGAGCTGATTATTTGGAAAAAAATCAGAAGATGATTTTTTTGGCAAAAAAGCAACAAACTTTGGAAAATCTAAGCAAAAGTTTAAAAAATTTAAGAACCTAAATACTCGAAGAAGTTTATTATTGTCATAAAATATCATGCCCCATGGTATGTTAAATTTAAAAGTGAGAATAAACAACTATTTTTTGAAAACTGTCAAATTGATTAAGTATGAAGCATACAATATATGTAGATAATAACCAAGTGTCAAATTTAAACACTTATCAAATAGTCTACATAAAATATTTTGAGTTTCTACAAGTGATTTATTTAAATATTTCAGGGAACATTTAATTTATGCACTATTATATTAAATTGTTTCAGAACATAGAAAGTGATATGATTCACAATTCAGCCTAACAAAGCAAACATACAAAAAATATTTGTACCTAAAATCTGTATTAGTGCCAAAACAAACAAACAAAAAAGGAAAAAATCAAAAATCCCACAAGAAACACAGAAAACCAGGGAAACCTCAGTTAGGGAGATTTATAATGAAAGTCTCACTGAAAATATTAGCAAACAGAATGCAGCCATATATAGTAAATCATAAACCTTGATCATAACTTATTTATTTGAGAAAAACAGGGATGATTGAATACATGGGGAGTCATCAGTGTGGCACCTCAGTCTTGGAGGAAAGACTATACAAATTTCTCAATTTTATAATGATGGCATTTTATTAAATTAAATGCCCATTTCTAAGAAATTCTCTTTTTCAGACTAGGTCTAGAATAATGGCCCTGTAACAGAATAAAGAGTCTCAAGTATGGATTTTGACAAGTTTACATTTTCTCTATTTTTAGCAAATATACAGTGGTTTCAAAGAGAAGAATTTGGTAAATTGTTTTGAAATCCAAACTGTTTACAATTATGTCATAAAAACCTCACATTGTGGTTTGCAGTATAGTTATGCAATTATTATGCCAGGTGGTGGCTCTTCAATAAGAGGACTAGATAATTAAAAACTTTGGGCCGGGCATGGTGGCTCATGCCTGTAATCCCAGCACTTTGAGATGCGGAGGCGGGTGGATCACTTGAGGTCAGAGATTCGAGACCAGCCAGGCCAACATGGTGAAACCCCGTTTCTACTAAAAAATACAAAAATTAGCTGGGGGTGGTGGCACGCACCTGTAATCCCACCTACTCAGGAGGCTGAGACAGGAGAATCACTTGAACCCGGGAGGCGAAGGTTGCAGTGAGCCGAGATTGTGCCATTGCACTCCAGCCTGGGAGACAGAGCAAGACTCCTTCTCAAAAAAAAAAAAAAAAAAAAAAAAAAAAAACTTGGTAATGATTTTCCTGTAAGCTATGCCTGTATAGTTCTGGACTTAAGAAATATCTCTATAATGGCCTCTTTATAAAACTTGGTAAATATTTTTGCTGGAGCATAAAAAATAATTATATGAAATAAAAATGGAACACAATTTACTTAAAGTGATTTTAAAATTAGAAATACGAATTTTCTTTCCGTTAATTATCTTCCAGGAGTAATCTAATAGCAGTGATGTTACCTTTTGCTAAATGACATCATAAATAAAAGGACTATTAAAATATCTTAGAAAAATCTGATAGATCCTCTTAGTGACCCTTATTCTTGGGGTTTGAGGATGATGGGTAATCATTTCCCTCCACAGTACAGTCCCCTGCCCCAAATCAAAACCAGTTAAGAAATAGAACTTACGCGGGGAGATGAAAAACAAGTTTACAAATGGATAAAGCTTCCTGTGTGATGTGAGGACGTATTAGGCTGCCAAATTACTTCCTCACTGAAGTTGACTTTCCGGGCATGAGTATAGGCTTCTTCTGCTGTGGGCGGAGCCAGCCAGGGGAAACTGACCACAACGGGAAGCTGAGAGAAGCTTAGCCTGAAGCAAACACACTCAGCCCATCCCGAAATTCACCAATAAGATAAGCTATTTCTCTTCACCTGGGAAAGAGTGAGTGAGGTACACATTCTAAAACTAGAGAAAAGGTGTCAATTCCTAACTTATGGACTGACAGAAAGTATAGTTGCTCCTGCCACATGTAATATTATCAGTCAGTTCCCAGATAACTTTCACGGAGCAAATCATCACTGATCATTCGATGATTGTACGGTTTAAGGATTAGGTTTAATGTGATTTTAAAAAAAAAGAAAACAGAAAACAATGATGGCTTAAGCAAGAAGGAAGCTAATTTCTCTCTCATGCAAAAGACATTCAGAGGCTTGTAATCCAGGCTAGCTTTGCAGCTGCATTAATTATCCAAAGTCTAACTCCTTTCTGTTCTTTGCTCTGCCAGCTGTCTTCCACATGGCACAAGATGGCTTCTGAAGCCCCAGCCATTATATGAGATCCATATTAAGTGCTGAAGAAAAGAAAAAAGAAGTGGAGAAGAGTATGCTTATGCTTCTTCTTATTAAAGAAATTTTCTCAAAACAGCACACAATACTTCTCTATTTTTCACTTATTTGCCGAAACTTAGTAACATGGCCATTCCTTGCTGCTGAGGAGCCTAAAATGTTGTCGTTTGTCAGTGTTCAGTTAATATTAGGGCCATATTAGAAAGCAAAAGGGGGAGGATGTATTTGGGGGCAACTAGCTGACTCTTATTGATAAAGCAACCTGTGAATGAATGATGGCAGATAGCAACCCCTCTAATCTCCTGAAATGAGTTTTTAAAGCATTCAAATTCTTTTAAATTAAATTCTTACTCTTACCCATTTTCAATAGCATACAGTTATGTGGCGGTATCAAGTTGTAAATCCAACTCTCCGTGGGACACAAGATAATGATTTCATTAAACTGATACTTGTGTCAACTTCTCAATTCATATCTTACATCCATGGTGAAGAGAAAGTGAAAGAACATATTTTAATAACAAAAAAGTAATCAAACCTGCATAAATTTGGTAACTTCTTCCCTTATATTTATACTTAGAAATAAGTTCCTTTTTTTAGAACCACTACGCATTTCACCTGCATATGTCAAGTGAAGAACAAACTCTTGAACTTGAGCCAGTCCGGATTCCCATAGGGGTAAATTTAAGTTCTATTCAATCCTAAGAAAATCAGCTTTAGCCAACCACCCCATGAATTCAAATTGGATTGAGAGAGAAAGCTCCTGGAAAGTTGATATGAATGAAACCCACAAGTTTCCCCTGCTTCCAGGCTGCCTTAGAGCTTCATATTCTCATTTGGACTGGAAACACTCTGAGCTCAGAAAGCTTCCTGGGACTAACCTTGCATGCACTCAAAATCCAGGAAATTCCAGGGATTTCTGATGCCCTAAAGAGACAAGGAAGGAACACTTTTTCCAGATGCCATTTCATTATGTTACGTTAAGGTACACAAGGTGGTGGCTGAACAGTATCAATTTTGACAAGAGGGTGCCATCTTTTTCACTGTGGGCAAACACCAAATTCTCCCTCCCATCAGAATCTCATTTGAGCCATCAATTTTCAGAATCCAATGTCATACTTAATATAGTCACATCTCCCACCTTACACTAAGAACCACCTTTGGTTACTTGCTGTTTCAGGAAACTAATTGAAAATCAGAATTGGTTGGCAGCAGATGAACTGAGTTCCTGGAGAACACCAATTCCCATGAAATTCTACAAAAGAAAAAGGAACACAGGAATGTTACATCCCTCTTGGTGATGGCTGGCCAGGGTGCAGTTCAGAGAGCTTGAGGATCACTGGACACTCTGTGTAGTTAGTTACCTTTCTTGCTTTTTCATGACTCAATCTTTCACTGAATAGGTTTGGCAGTAAATTTCACTAAGATTTCAGAAATTCGAATTATAATTTCAGTTCTACCAACTGGATATATTTACTTAAGTCTGTTTTCTGTTCTAAAAAATTTGAAGGTTGGATTCAGTAGCCTCTAACCATTTTCAGTTTAAAAATTCTGTGATTTTAAGCAGTTTTTGAAAACTTACTCTTTGGATGATATCTTAGAGGAATGTGTTTCAGCATTTCCACATTTAGAAGAGGCAATCTTTGCTTTAAAGAAAACAGCTGTTTCACTGTATGCAACATGGACTTTGTTAATTGTACTTGTGATCTCTATTTTGTAATAGCTACCATTTGTTGAACTCTAAAGTATTAAAGAATTTTTTCATTGCAAACCATAACATAAATTGAAATTTTGGATCCTTAAAGAAAACTTTTTTAAAGGATTTCATGAGCATATACCTAAGAAATGTGACTATTTATGTAGTGGTTTCCTTAATTTTACAAACCCTAATGCCCTTGCTGCTACAACATAGGAAACTGTTGCAGGCAAAAAGGAAAATACATACCTTGAGAAAGATAAGGTGGGTTTTTTTTTCCCAAGAGAAAATAAAATCTGATAAACTTGGATTAAAGTTGAAGAAACATTGAATAGCAAAACAGCTCACCCCACGAGCTCTTTTTTAAATGAGTGGGTCTATGTAACCACATACCAGTGGACCAAGAGAGTAGTATATAGTAATTTCTTTCACAGGGAGTAGGGAAAAAAATATTAGATTGAATGTTATGAAAAATTTTGTAGGTCAAAATTGGTTGAATGTTGGTAATTTAATATGATTTGGCTAAACAGTTCTTCCTACATATGAGTGTCAAGTACCTATTCTACCTGAATGTGGTGCAAGGGCACCAAGGATGCAGGAATATAATTATCCTTAGTAATATCAGATCCTTAGGAATGACATCATGAGAGGTATCAGGCTGGGCCCCTGCCAAAGAGGAACCTGACAACAGGGAACCTTCAAAGGAAACAGAGGCCATGTTAGTAGTCAGGGGTGGGGGGTAGTAAAAAGGTGATGAGGCCATGAGGGAATATATAGATGGCTTAGGGCACTGTCTAACTTGCATCTAGTTGCCCCAGAATTAGTTGTATCCCTATCCCAGACATGTTGGGGAGGGAACAAAGCACAATCTTAACTCTGCTTTGTTTGTGACAATAACACATTTGAAGCACCCATCCAAGGGAATGAAGTAGAAAACACAGAGATGATTGATTGACAGGCAATGATACCACACTTTCCTGCTTCTCCAGGGTCCTGCAACTCCTTCCTTAACACTTTTCCCAGCCCTTGCCAAGGTGCATTTCTTAGGACTTAGCCTTAGTCCCTAGGCGTTCATCCCTCCTCTCCACGAGCGCTTTCCTATTTATATAATTTCATCTCACTTCCTGTTCCCTTAAGAGCCCTCTTATCTTGATTTCTCTTCTGTCCTATGGGTACAATACTTCTTTTCTGGTTAATTTCTCCCATGTGAGAAACTATAAATGTTCTATTAAGATCTTTAAATGCCTACTCCTTTGTAAATGTTCTTAATCTTCTTTGTCTGCATGTCTTGTGTAGTCCAAGATTGTAAACCCTTTGAAGCTTGATATAGAAAAACTGGGGTCACAGAAGAAGAGATAATAGATGTGAAAGTGCACTTATTATTAATTAGTAGAATGGAAGCCTCACCTATCCAGGATATTTGGAATACTGGAATATTGGAATTTTCAAATAGGTATTTGGAAACCTCAAATTTCTGGATGTACCACTAGCAGATACCATAAACTGAGAAGAAGTACTGAGAGAGCCTGAGAAACCCAAATAGGTATCCTAGTACCCAAGCACAAACATTCATGAATGTTTCACACATGGCACCAAGTCCAAATCCACTTCTGCTTACCGTGTACAGATACCTGACACATTTGAGAACCTGGTTTCCATGGTAGATTGGAAGCAGCAAGATAGCCAATATAAGAAGTGTCCAAACAAGACAGTTAATATGAGTGTATTAATTCATTCTCACACCACTATAAAGAAATACCTGAGGCTGGATGCAGTGGCTTACGCCTGTAATCCCAACATTTTGGGAGGCCAAGGAGGCCAGATCACCTGAGGTCAGGAATTCAAGACAAGCCTGGCCAACATGGTGAAACCCTGTCTTTACTAAAAATAAAAAATTAGCCCGGCGTGGTGACATATGCCTGTAATCCCAGTTACTCTGGAAGGCTGAGACAGGAGAATCGCTTGAACCTGGGAGGCAGAGGTTGCAGTGAGCCAAGATCACACCATTGCACTCCAGCCTGGGTGGCAGAGCAAGACTCTGTCTCGAAAAAAAAAAAAAAAAGAAAGAAATACCTGAGACTGGGTAATTTACAAAGAAAAGATGTTCAATTGGCTCACAGTTCTTCAGGCTGTTCAGGAAGCATGGCAGCATCTGCTTCAGGGAGCTTTTACTCATGGTGGAAGGCAAAGCAGGAGCAGTCATCTTACATGGCAGGAGCAGGAGGAGGAGAAAGAGTGGGGAGGTGCCACACACTTTTAACCAGCCAGCTCTTGTGAGAACTCTGCCAGAAGGGCAGTACTAGGGGGATGCTGCTAACGCATTCATGAGAAACCACCTCCAATATCCAATTACCTCCCACCAGGCCACACCTTCAACACTGGGGATTACAATTGACACAAGATTTGTGCAGGGACACAGATCCAAACCATATCAATGGGTATATATGAAGACCCAACATCTGAAAAAAAGAAATGGAAGTTTTGTTGATTAGCGTAGGGGCAAATAGTCATATATTTTGATTGATACGGGCTATAATAAAATTTATAATAAAATTCAGAAAAGAATATGTTAAGAACATATTTTTAATAAAAAAGTAAGTAAGTGGTTTTTAAAGTAAGTGTCAAAACATAAAAGTTAGTCAGGAAAAAATTATATCCAAAGGTTATTTATTTACTTAATTCTTTATGTTGGGGTGAAAATGATAATAGTCATCCAGAAATTCAGCTCTCTGGATTGACTTATCCTCCAAGAAGTCTAGATAATTGAAATTCTACTATTTAATTATTAACTTAGTGTGAGCTTAATAAATATTATTGATTATTACCTAAATGACAAATGTAAACTAAACTTTCATTACATCCAGCTAGTAGAAGCTTTTGGGAAGAATATGATACGTAAGCAATTTTACTTTTAGTTGTGACAGGGTCATAGGTTACATAGATAAAGGGAAGCCCAGGGACATACGTTAACCTAGCTTTGTAAAGTTTTTGAATTTCTATTTTTACTTACATGCTTAGTGACAAATCGGGGAATGTGGCACCTTTGCAAGGTGAATGAGAAACTTAGTTTTAAATGTCTAAATCAAAGGGTTATGACCAATCTGGCAGTTTTACTGAATAGCGTCCATGCAGACCATGTGGCTGGGTGTAGCGCTGTAAAATGTTAAAAGTCCATGGTCAATGATCAAGGTCAGTACACCTATCAGAGTGCATTTCTGGGCAGTGAAGGAGCCTGTCCACATCAATCTGGCCGTTACCCTTGGCAGCCAGCACAACACTGGGACAAAAAAGCAGAGGAAGACACAGAGAAGAGCTCTCACAGGACACAACCACCTAGAGAAGTCTTTTTCACCTAACACATGACAGGCGGTGGACACCCAGACAGCATGGCTGAAGGGCAACCTCCTTTACACAGAATTGATGAAGACTACTTTTAAAGCCTGGCATTTGCCTGGCCTAGAGTTATCAATTACAATGAAGTCCCTAGCAAAGTAATAACCATCCCAGGGCACTTTTACACAGGACAAGAATAGCGTAAGACAAACAGTGAAGTATCAGTGGGATCTGGACACAATGTAGCACAGGAAAGGTGAGAACACTTTGCTTAAGCATATCTGCTGTTATGGGTTGAACTGTGGTCCCCCCAAATATGTGGGCTAAAGTCCTAACTTTCCATATTTCAGAAAGAGGCCTTATTTGGAAATAGGGTCATTGCAGACGTAATTAGCTAAGATGAGGTCCTGCTGGAGTAGGATGGCCCCTAATCTAATATGACTGGCATTCTTATAAAAAGGGGAAATTTGGACCCAGAGACATCACATAGGGAGGACACAATGTAAAGGGAAAGGCAGAAATCATCAGAGTGATGCTTTTACAAATGAAGGACCATTAAAGATTGCCAGCAGCCCACCAGAAGCTAGGAGAGAGGCATGGGATAGATTCTCCCTCCTAGCCTTCAGAAGGAACCAACCCTACCAACGTCTCAGAATAAGTTTTGAATTTCTTTTCTCCAGAACTGTGAGACAATAGATTTCTGTTGTTTAAGCCACCCAGGTTGTGGCACTTTGTTTATGGTTGCCCTAGGAAACCAACACACCTGTTTCTTCAGTTCCTTGGGAAGAATTAAAAACTAACTACCAGAACATCATTGTATAGCATTTATTAAGTATTGTATGGAGAGAAAGAAAAAGAAATAATAGGTAGAAACATTTTAATTAATTCTAATTGCTTTATTTCTACTCATATTTACTTGTCTATTCCTCTATCTACCTTATTTCTATCCATAGTTAAGGTAACTGCATAGAGAACTGTCCATCAATCTCATTTCATGCAGTGAGGTCAGTCATTCTCAGCTGCTTCTTGCTGTTGCTATAGTACATTCTAAGCACTATTAGAGATATTTGCATTCAAGATTCTGTTGACCTGGGGCGGGAAGGCGGGGCGCAGACCAATGAAAGTGTGCCTTGAATGGAGTGGCACATCAACCACACTCCTGTGGCGTGCACCACAGGTCAGATCAGGAAATTAACAACTATATGTTGAGCCACTACTATGTACAGGGCTCACTGTGAGGCATTTGGGGACCATACATATGTTAATAACTGCTGAGCTGGACATCAGCAGGAGTACGGGCGTCATTTTTTCAGTTTTTTATTACTAACACCCTGAATGGAAAGAAGGTGCCGAGTTGGTAGGCCAAATCACAGGACTCTTTTGACTTTATGTTGGGTTCGATATCACCAAGGCCTGGCAAAGCCTGACTGACTACAGCACCTTCCTCTTCCTCATAAAGACGTTCATTCACCAGGCATCCCTACTTTCTGGGCATTTGCAGGAGTGAAGCCTGGTCACCTAGAAACAGAATGGTCAAGAAAGTCAAAGATAGTTTATTATTATATAATTACAATAAATCACTTACATATACTTCCCCCATTTATAAAGGGAAATTTTCTCATAATCTCTAAAAATGTATATATTTATCTTCTTCATTTCTATTATGGAAGAATATTTATGGATTTAGAGGTAACATGATTTTGAAGTAGTTGATAATTGGTTTTCTGTTTATTTGCTTCGATTTTTTATGTGTGACTTTCTGGAAGATGTTTTATGGAAATCATAGAATACCGTATCCACTCTACTGTGTTCAAGAAGTCCACCGGTAATGAAAGCTTCCCGCATGTGCTACTTCGCCCTTACCAGATAAAATACCCTCTCTTCCAGGATGGCCCTCAGCAGACCGTGGCTTTTAAAACGGCATCATTGAACTACAATTAGAAGTGGCTTCCTGACTTACACACCAATTAAACTACTTTCGGAAACTATTTGCTTCCTTAATGGGATGGGAAGAGCAGCCAAACAGCAATCATGGATGCAGTGGGCAGACAAGATGAAGATTCTAGTGGAAATAAGGTGATGAAATCTGAGTTATTTCATTAGCGTCCAGTGTTTTGTTATAAATCAATTATCATAGAATGTTTTCAAATTGTTAGGAGCACCTTAAATTGGATATATCTGTAATTAGCTGTATATAAACTCTGAACGCATATCCTGTGGCACCTGTAAGTAGCAGTTCTGCCTTCCTTCACCAAGATCAATCTAGCTTACTATACGTTTATCAAACATATTTTAGATGGGCATGGAGTGGTTTGAATAAACACAGCAACTATTTTGGCCTTGGAAAAATGTAGAGAACTATTTGGAGACATTTTAAATCATGAAAATGAATGACTCTGGCTTGGGATATAATAACTGGGAAAAAAATTATACCCCAACTCACTCTTGTTCCAAAAAAGCCGTGTTCTCCCCTCTTTTGAAAAGACTTTTCTTCCAATTATTTATTCTAATCTAAAAAATGTCTTCATTTTAAAAATGTTGATTGATCATTTAACATGGATCCCAGGTCAAATGCCCATCAGAGCCAGGGAATGTTGCACCCAGAAAAGGCCCCAGCCAAGTCAAGAAATAAGGAAAGTGACAGTATGTGTTGGGAGCCAACGGAGAGTGGTGAGGATTGTTGTAAATCGGACATTCTCCATAACTGCCTCTTGCTCTTCGGACTTGTTACTGTTCAAGAATGCTGGCCTAGATTTTTTTTTTTTTTTTTTTTTTTTTGAGACAGGGTCTCTGTCTGTCACCCAGGCTGCAGTGCAGTAGTACAATTATTGCTCACTGCAGCCTCAACCTCCCAGGCTCAAACAATCCTCCCACATTATCCCTCCAGGCAGCTGCAACTACAGGCACATGCCGTCATGTCCAGCTAATGTTTCTATTTCTTGTAGAGATGGGGCCTCACTATATTGCCCAGGCTGCTGTCAAACTCCTGGCCTCACGTAATCCTCCTGCCTCAGCCTCCCAAATTGCTAGGATTGTAGGCATAAGCCACTGCACCCAGCCTGGCCTAGATTTTAATGTCAAATTTTTCCAAGTTCTTTGCAGGTTGAATAAAACAGCTTCATGGCCTCCAGACAGACTATGGTTTATAGTTTGTGCTCTCTAAGTAAGGTCTAGTGCTCATTCATTGTGTTGAAAGAGTATTCCTTGTCTTCGAGAAGATTGCAGTCACTGAATTATGATAATGGAGGTAAAGAAGATTCCATGCAAACAGAAAAAGGAGAAGCTTTATCTATCCTAAGCCAGAGCTTGGGCAGGAGGGGATGGGTGGAGGTGATTGGTAAAGGAATGCTTCAGGAGGACAATCAACTTTATCTGGAATGGAGATTAGAGGGGGGCGGGCGCAGACACAGAAGGGGGCAAAATGTACTGTAGGTACAGCACAGAGCAGAAGCCAAGGCATGCAGGTATATGCAGAAAAGCATAGAAGCTGAGACTATGGTTCTGTATGCCTGGGGTCCAGGTGAGGTGGGGAGATGGAAGCTGTGGCTGAAGAGAAATCAGACCATGAAGAACACAGGCAGATCCGCTTTATGGAATTTGGGCTGAGGTGAAATATTTAAAATGTTGCTGTTCTTAGTTATTCATATTTTATTCAAGTTCCAAAGAATGATTCTCTAGTTGTGGAATTTAATGAACTAGCAATCTGGTTTGGATGTGTATTTCTAAAAAATGACACAAGATAAACTGTTGGTTTATTTATTATTATAGTTATGGTATTTTTTTTAGTTTTATAAAATTATTATTGATATAAAATCACCTTTACATTTGATTGATACTGTAAACTTTGCAATTGAAATAGTTTTGACATAGGTATACACCTGTGAAACTGTCACCTCTGTCTAGGTAATGAACATTGAACTCCTTACCAAAAATGTCCCCATGCCCCATTGTAATCACTCCCCTCTCCCACTGCCCCACCCTGTTCCTTGGCAACACTGATCTGTTTTCAGTTACCATAGATTAGCTCACATATAGAACTTTATTCAAATGGAATCCTGTAATATGTGCTCTTTATTATCTGGCTTCTTTCACCCTGCATAATTACTTGGAGATTTATCCATGTTGCTATGAGCATCAAATAGCTCCTAAAACAAGAGCTTATGAGTCTACCAGTAGCTTCACACTCTCCTCAATGCTTGTTATTGTTAGGGACAAGCTGCCCCAGGAGCCCCCCCACCTCAATGCAGCTGACTCTTACCCTGAATACTCTGCAGCTGCATTCTTGAACCCTTATCTAGGCGCCACAGCAACCTCACCAGACTTGCTGAGCAAAACCTGATTACAGCCCCCAGGGCAGCACAGGGGAGGTTATGACAATCTGGATAAACCTAAGTTACACCCTCTTGTAAATTCCTACATTCACAGGATAATATATTGTAAGCTGGTCACAAGATGTATGTGGTAAAGTCAACCAACAACCCCAGGGTCTCTCCGCACTATATAAACTCCTCATTTTATAAGCTCAAGGCTGCCTTCTCTGACTGTGGTGGTGCAGCCCAGCAGGTTAATAAACTTACTTGCCTGACCTTGGGTCTTTCTCATTCTTTCTCTCAGCCAAACTTACATTTTGGTGCCGAAACCCAGAAAGGGATAGGCTCTGGCTGGGTGTCCTTAGAGGACTTGCTCTCTCTCAATCTCTCTCTCTTTCTGTCTCTCTCTCTCTCCTCTATAACCCCTCACCTGGCCAACCTCCCCTTCCCGAACCTGCCAAAGACCCAGAGCATCCTCCCTGTTAAAAAATCTGATGGCTCATACCAACTCGTTCAGGACCTCTGAGCCATCAATCAGGCTGTCCTCCCTATTCATCCTGTAATCCCTAACCCCTATACACTTATTTCTCTCGTCCCCTCCAACACCACCCACTACACCGCAATTGACTTAAAAGATGCCTTCTTTATCATTCCCGTACACCCTGATTCCCAAAACCTCTTTGCTTTCACCTGGACTGACCCTGACACCCTCCAGTCACAACAACTCACATGAACTGTCATCCCTCAGAGCTTCAGGGATAGCTCTTATTTCTTCGGAGACCTCACCTCCTTATTACCTGTCTCCCAGTTGTCTCCTTCAATACGTGGACAACCTTCTTCTTTGCAGCCCCTTTCTAAAAGACTCTCAAACTCACACAGCTGCTCTCTTAAACTTCCTCGCTACCAAATGATATGGGGTCTCCTCGTCCAAGGCCCAATTCCCCACCTCCATGGTGTCCTACTTAGGAATTCAACTTTCCCCTGGGGCCCAGGCTATGACCCCAGCCCCAGCAGCATTAATAGATAATCTACCCCCGCCCTCCTCCAAAAGCAAAATCCTTTCCTTCCTAGGCCTAGCAGGCTTCTTTAGAATATGGATTCCCAACTTTGCCCTCCTATCTTGCCCCCTCTAGGAAGTGGCCAAAGGCCCCCTCAATGAACCCTAAATCCTTCACATAATATACTCCCCAGCTTCCACAAACTCCAAACTGCTCTTTTCACTGCGACAGCTCTGTCCTTACCTGATATCTCCCAACCTTTCACTCTCTATACTGCCGAAAGCCAAGGAATAGCCCTCGGTGTCTTAGGACAACAGAAAGGAAATCCTCCTTCTTTTGCCCCTGTAGCTTATCTCTCTAAACAACTAGATAACACAGTCAAAGGGTGGCCAACCTGCCTTAAAGCACTAGCAGCGGTGGCCATTTTAGCTCTAGAAAACAGGAAACTAACTTTCAGCCAGAATAATCTACAAGATCTCCTCTCCTCCTGAGCATTAGCCTAATGAGGAATTGATCTGAGTTGGGATTGGCTTGCAGTTTTACTTAGTTTCAGTTTGTCACTCATATCAAATGTTGTGAAGGTGGTTTTGGGCTTCACCCTTAGCAGGACTTTATAAACATCGTGGAAAAAAGAGACCTCTGCTTTCTGTTCAACCTCATGTCCAGGCACCACCTGGAAAGTGATGCAGGGAGAATTCCAAGAGAGAATTGTTGGATGAGAGGGTTAGCTTTGAGTCTGGGCTCCCTTTAGCTTGAATTTCACCACTCAACTCCTACATGACCATTGAAAATGTGATTTGTTTCCCTTTGTCCTTTCTAAATCCTGTCTGGGACAGGCTTCTCTTTTGGCTGCCCCTCCACCAGCCTTGATAATTTCCCTCAGTGATGGAAGCAGCCACCCTCCTGTGCTGGCCTAGGAATGAGTTGCCTCTCTCTGGAATTATATTACTTCTGAAACTCTTAAATAGTTCAAAAAATAGATTTTTTCAAAAAGCTTATCTAGTATTTTCTCATTGTTATGATAGGAGCAATAATCTTTTTCGAGCTTCTATATCCTAAATGGAAGAGTAACCAATAAATTCTTAAGGATATTATTAGAATCAATAAACTTGCTAATAGATAGAAAAATAAAATATTCAACATGATAAGATTTCAGAACTTTTCTACCTAATATTTAAGGTGAAATAAGTTATAGTATGGCATTTTCCCCCCAAGCAATAAGAGACATGACTTACTGACTTTTACACTATGTTGTTTGGTATATTGTTCTCTAATACCCGAATTAATTTTTTATATTTTTTACTTTGACACATCAAAGAGAAATACGAGCTCAAATATAACATTCTTAATATTATCTTAGACTTACTTTGGTAGGTGAAGAAAAAAATAAAGGAAGAAAGATAAATAGGGAAGGAAAGGGAAAAAAGGAGGAGAAACAGAAAATAAAATTTATCTGAATACAAAATACTTCTAAATTTCTTCACTTTAGGAACATAATTCTTTAAGTAATGCAAATTGTCAGAATAAATTATCATATGAGATTATAAGAATTCTGGCAGAAATTGTGAAAGAAAATATGGCCAATTCATTGTGAAAATGTTAACTAGATACCTGTTATTGCAACTAACGGATGGCTAGACCTTCAAGTTTCCTTATTAAATATATTTGCAGGGAAAAAAATAGGTCACAGCAAAACAACAAAGGGTCCTAAGCTGGCTGAAGAAAATTACTATAAACCTAATCTAGAATGATGTATTAATCATCCCTTTTCCAGCCTGGGCAACATAGGGAGACCCCATCCCTACAAATAACACCAATTAAAAAAAAAGATAACTGGGTGTGGTGATGTGTACCTGTAGTCACAGCTACTTGGGAGGCTGAGGTGGGGGGATCACTGGAGCGCAGGAGTTTGAGGCTGCAGTGAGCTGTGATTGCTCTACTGCACTCTAGCCTGGATGACAGAGTGAGACTCTGTATCAACAAAAAGAAAGGAGAAGAAAAAGGAAGGAGGGAAGGAAGGAAGGAAGGAAAAGAGAAATCAAACCTTTTTATTTTCTCTATTTCTGGTGCTTTGTCATCTGGGGCCTTGCTAAACCTGGAGAGACTGACCCTCTTAGGGCAGCCACTTCCTAGAGATATTAAACTGCTCATCCTTGGAAGTGTGCCTTTCATATGTAAACCAACCAGTCCAGAACCTACACACCCTTCACCTCCTGTGTCGGGCTCTTACACTGAGGACTAATATTTCCTGCCCCAATCACTGCAGGGCCAGGTACCCTGACAGCTCAGGACAGCTCCTACAGCTCACAGCTCACTGAAATTGATCAAACCAAACAATTTCTAAACCTGCTTACCCTGCCTCACCCATTCCTTCCCATGGAAACCATGATAGAGGCTGTTGTTCACATTCCCCACCCTCTCTTCCCTCTGTCTCCTCACCAAACCTGGTGCTTTCCTGCCTGGCATAGCATGATCTACCTTTTGGGAACTGTGACTGACAAACTACTTTTCAATGGCAATCATCTCTGATATATTGGTCTCACCATATCTGAATAATAATGAAATTTACATTAAACATGGCTTCATTCTTTATTCCTTTTCTTCTCAAGAAACATAAGAAAGGCTAGAGCCATCAACAAATGATTATTACACTAAAAAAATAAGAAAAATATGACTGCTTTTGGATACCTATCATGTGTACTGTCTTAGCTGTCTTCTTAACAGATCCTCATAGAATTTTTAAAACAGCACTCTGAGTTAGGTATATTATTATCCCTATTTTACAGACAAGTAAACTGAGGTTCAGGGAGGTTTCTCACATGGTAAGTGGAGCAGTCAGAATTAGCAGGACCATATGATACCAAAGCCATTGTTCTATAACTGAACCATACAAATCAACCAAAAAACATTGATCTGAAAGATCAGAAGCAGAGAGATTTTATAGAGCTGAATGCTAGGTGTCTGTGATAAATTTTAAAATGAATAGTTACAGATATAGATGGAACTATCATTTGGAATTGAATCTGTGCTTTATACTTCTGGAATATGTAAATGTCTTTTTATAAAGACACATAAATTAGGCAAGTGGACAGGGTGAATAATCTGGAATCAAAAAGAATGGATGTTAATGCAGACTTGACTTTAGGAACCACCTTGAAAAGGAATTTCTGGGGGACACAAACATTTGGGGACACAGGCTCTTCCAAGCACAAACCATTCTGTAAAAAAATAATGTTCTTTGGCTACCAGACTCATTCTTAGAATAAGGCCTATAAGCTTTAGATACAAAGCTTAGGTAATTGACAAAAGTTAACAACTGTAGAATATTACAAATTTTCAGCACCATTGTATGTTTAATATATATGTTGTGATTTATTTTACATATGCTGTTTTAAAGGATTTGTATTATTTTTACATGGAGTGCTCCAGGCCTTCATTGCCTGGGTATTCCTCCCCTAGAACCTAGTCCTGCCCTTGGTTGCCCAGCAGTGCAGGTAGAAGGCAGGACCACAGTCTGGTGGCTCTGTAAGATTACAGAGCCAGCTCACCAGGATGGTCTGAGGCAACAGGAGATGCAGCCAACTCATGCTGCTGCCTCTACTGGGACACTCTACTGAACTTTTGTCCTTTGATCAGCCAGATAAACATGACTGTACCCTGAGAACCTGTAGTTTTTGTGGAAATTCTGCTTCCCCATATCAATTGCTATCCCTTTCTACTCTAGTGGGATGAAATTGGTCTATAATCCTAAAGTGTGTCTCTGTATAAAGGACTACAGAAAATAAATATGCTTTATTTTAAAATTAGTTTTTCATTGAAGCAGTACAGGTAAGTCAACTCATTACTTTGGGTGTTAGAATTCTTTCACGAGGGCTTTACACTTGGTAGTTTCTTGGGCTTCTTCTATTCTAAAGCCTCCACATTTGCATATTTCAATTCAGGATGCCATAACACTTATCACTGTTCACAGCTCAAGATTTAACTGTTGTTTCTTTTTTTCCTCCTTTCCCTTCCTATGTCTAGACACATCTACTATGGAATCAAACAATATTAGGAGTGTTAATTGGGTTTTCTCAAATTGTCAAGACATAATCTGTGATGTATGTTCTTGGCTGTTTACATTTTCCAGGAAATTTCAATTGGCACCATGTTAATATCATTGTTAATCACAGGTTATTATATTATTTCTATTTTAAATTACCCATGTTTACTATTCCTTGTCTTCTTATGTAAAGAAAATTTGCTGTGAGGAGAGACAGAGGATTTAGAAGTTAGTTTGGTGGCAAACATCCAGTAGCTCCAGAAATTGGTGGAAACATTTGTTTTCCAAAATGAAAAGTAAGAATCGCTTTAATTTCTGTAAGAGAGCTATAATTTTGGTAAAGGTCAATAGTACTATAAATGCTCTAATATTTTAGATAACTATATTCTTATTTTTAACAAAGTTATACATGTACATATTTTAAACAACCAGATAGTTCTGTAAGACTTTAAAAAAATTCTTGTTGATTAAAAAAAAATCTCTTAAAATATTTAAAGAGGTTTATTCTGAGCCAATATGAGTGACCATGGCTCTCAAGAGGTCCTGAGAAAGTGTGCCTGAGGCAATTGGGTTAGTTTGGTTTTATACCTCTTAGGGAGACATGAATGTAGATAAAATCATAAATTAACACATAGAAGGTATGCATATATTGGTTCAGGATTAGAGGTGGGATATCTTCAAGGGGGATGGTTACAGGTTATAGATGGATTCAAAGATTTTCTGACTGGCAATTGGTTGAAAGAGTTAAGATTTGTCTAAAGATTGAAGTCAGTAGAAATGCTTGAGTGAAGATAAAGGAGGTTGTGGAGGCCAAGGTTCTTGTTATGCAGAGAAAGCCTCATTGGTTAACAGTCTTCAGAGAGGATAGATCGTAAATGTCTCTTCTCAGACATTAAAAGTGTCAGCCTCTCATTTAAACTCTCTTAGGTCTCAAGAGACATAAGAAAGCCTAGAGCCATCAACAAATGATTATTACACTAAAAAAATAAGAAAAAGGTGACTGAAAAAAGTGACTTAAAAAGTGCATATGAAAAAGGCCTAGAAAGGGAAGGCCTGGTTGCATTAATTGAGATTCTCTACAGATGCAAATTTCCCCCACAAAAGACAGCTTTGCAGGAGTCATTTCAAAATATGTCAAAGAAATATATGTTGGGGTAAAATATTTTTGTCTTTGGGGTTCTGTTATTGAAGCAGCCTTGTTGTCGGGAGTAACACCTGAGGTTTGTTGTTGCATGGCCATGGAGAACAAGGACATGAACACACAAAGAATGAGGTTGAAAGTATAATAGGTGAAAGAAAGAGAATAGTTCCCTGCTGCAGAGAGGGGGTCCTGGAAAAATGAATTGCCGAATCTGCGGTGAAATGCAGGGGGTTTTATAGATGAGCTAGTGGTGATGTGGTGTCTGATTTACATAGGGCGTGAAAAACTGGTTAAACCAGTTGTGTCATTTGCATAGGGTACAAATCTCTGGTAGCCCCCACCCTAATCTTTTATTATGCAGGTGGGTTTTTTGCCTGAGCTGCACCATACTGCCCATTTCTTTATTACTGTACATGTGGTAACAAAAAAAAAGGGAAGATGGAGCCTCCATGTTGGACATCCCTGGCCCCCAGGTAGCCTTTTTCTGTTGGTGCAGCTGCTGGCATTTCCCTGTGCAAACTTCCAGCTTGCTCTTCTAGGTTTGCAGCTCAATTTTTCAGGCTGATTTTGTTAGAAAACAAATGATTTTGGGGGCTGCTTTTTGTTAGGAAAGAATTCTTCAGAGGACTCTTTCGCCCTCACTATCTGCCCAAATAATTGTTTTCTACCTCCTGTATCACTATGTTGTCATGTGATGCTATATCAGAGTCAGATTGGAATTTGGTATCTTATTGCCATGGAATCTGTTTAGTCAGTCTTAGGATCTCTGCTTTAATGTTAATGCTGGGCATTTGTGCCTAAACTAAAAAAGGGAGAGGCTGTAGTGAGGCCTGTCCAATCTCCCTTCCTGTTTATGGCTGGGAATTCAGTTTTTCAGGTTTCTCTGTGACCTGCAGTTTGACCTGTGGACTTAGGGTTTTATATGTTGGTATGCTTCTGGGGTGTTGCATCCCTCCTTCCCTGATTCTTTCCTTTGAGTGGGCTGCCTTGCATGTGCAGTGGCCTACCAGCACCTGGGAGTAGCCGCATGCGCAGTGTGTTTACTGGACTTGTACACATGCTCACTTGAGGTGTTCTTCCCTTACTAGTTGAATGTTCATAGAGAAGGGTCACATTTCAGTTAAACTCCACCATTTTGCCTCTTAGTGCAAATGCATGAGCCCATTTGCCCAACCTGAGATCTCATCGGGAAGCTGCTGATCACCAACTTGAGCTGTTTTCTATCTATTGGAAGACTGCCTTTCCCTGGTGCTGGCTGTGACCAGTTATTATTTTAGAGAGATAGTTTATAGTTTAATGACCAACTGACCATCACCTATCTGACGGTTGCCTGACATTCCTGGGTGGGTGGGGGAGACCTCCCCTGCCCTGCTCATGCCTGATTAGCTACCTACTGTAACACCAATAGGTAGTTTTTCAACCCTTTTACCCCTCCCTTGTCCATCAAGTAGTCCCCAAGGGGAACCTTAAATAATTGTCAGAAGTCTCAAAGCACGTTGACCAACAAGATAAATGACCTATTTTCTTAGTACTAGGATCCACTTTTCTAGTTTTAAAAAATTTTGATAAGATACACGTACAATTTTATCAACTATTTTTAAGTGTACAGTAGCGTTAAGTAAATTCACATTTTCATGCAACCAATCTCCAGAACTCTTTTCATCTTGCAAAACTGAAATTCCATTCCCTTTAAACGGGAATTATCCAACCTCCTCTTCCTTTCCAAACTACCCCAATTTTACTCTCTGTCTCTATGAATTTGACTACTCTTCATACCTTATGTAAGTGAAATCATACAGCATTTCTTTTCACCATTGATTTATTTCACTTAGCATAATGTCTTCAAATTTCACCTGTGTTGTAGCATGTGTCAGAATCCTTTTCCTTTCTAAGGTTGAGTAATAGTTCATTGTATGTATATACAGTACATTTTGTTTATGCATTCATCTGTTGATGAAAACTTGAGTTGCTTCCATCTTTTGGCTACTTTGAACAATGCTGCTATGAACATGGGTGTATAATATAATTCTTTTAAATTAGTTCTACCTTTGCTCAGACCCTTTCTCAACAGTCTCCAAATTTCTTCCAGTAGGTGTTCTGTTGAAGTTTTCTTTCTTCTTCCTTCTCTCTTACCAATTTCTCCAGAGCACTTTGCTGCACTCATAATCTCAAGGAGGAAAACCATATCCACGAGGGCTCAGTGGTCATCAGGGTTAGCTAAACCTTCAAGGCATATATACTCACAGTAAACTAGGGCTCTCAAGATTAATGGATTTGGTGCATTAGGTAAACTACCATTGTTAGTGATGGCAAATCGGTACAGGCCTGCAGCAACCTCAATTCTTGCCTCCTCAGACAGAGGGGCGTAAAAGGCAGAGTGAGAGATTAAGGCAAGTTTTACAGCAGGAGTGAAAGTTTATTAAAAAGCTTTAGAGGAGGAATGAAAGGAAGTAAAGAACACTTGGAAGAGGGCAAAGTGAATGACTTGAGAGATTCAAGTGCATTGTTTGACCTTTGAACTGGGGTTTTAGACATTGTCATGCTTCTAGGGTCTTGCATTCCTTCTCCTCTAATTCTTCCCTTGGGGTGGGCTGTCTGCATGCACAGTGGACTGTCAGCACTTGGGAGGACCCACATGCACAATTGAGTCCTTTTTCTCTTACCAGTCAAGTGCTTAAACCACCATTTTGCCTCTTAGTGTGGATGCTTGAGCCCATTGGCCCGACTCCTGAGATCTTACTGGGAAGCTTATGATCACCAGCTTCAGGTTTTATCTCTCTATTGAAACACTGACTTGTCCTGGCGCCAGCTGCAACCAATTATTATCTTAGAGAGACAGCTTAACAGCTGTCTGATCATCACCTGATGGTCACCTGACATTCGTGGTTGGGCAAGGGGTGGCCCTCTCTCCTGCCCTCCTCATGTCTTACTAGCCACCTACTGTAACAATATGATTTCAGCTATTTTATGGATGCTATAGTTTTCTGTGATGTAATCTAGAAATTTAACCACAGTTTGTATCAAATTTATGTGGGAATATACTGAATAAACTTTCAGGATGTAATGAGTATACTCATCTATATGTTAGGAATGCCACCTCTAGGTAATCTGTAAATCACAGATACTTGAAATAAAACTTCAGAAATACTTTTAGCTATATTGTAAAAAAAAATATGGGCATAAAGTTGTGTGCTGCCTACAATATTCAAGTCCATAGACATATTTAAGCAACTACAATATTTTAGGTACTGAATATAAGAGTGGCTGCCTATTAATATAAGCTTTAAATATTCTGCCATCTATCTGTATAATGAAACTGTGAGGTGAACATGATCACCCCAATTCCCCTTATGGGGAAGTTGAGGCTTACAGAGTTAACATAACCTACCACATGGTCTGTATGAAAATAACCTATACAGATGGTTCACGTGAGAATCAAATTTGTATAATTCTCATGTGGGTACTTTTACTACCATAATATATAATCAGAATGTACCAGAAAGTCTAGAATATCCTAGCTGAACAGAGGAGAGAAGTCTCGGCATTACAGAATGGACGGGAAGCCCCTCCATGAAATTTTGCATTTAACTTTTGACTTTCATGTAACTAATACTCCAAAAATATGTATTTCAAAAGCAATCTTAAACTGTACGTTTACAAATGTACACACGTTAAGGTCACCATCGCATATGTAGCATACGTTCATTTTCCAAGGGCAGTAGAACACTTTCCTGGTCTGCTTAATATTATAACATACTGTCCCTCAGTCACTTATTATGACAATATGACCCTCCTACACAATTAATAGCAAACTATATGAACATGAAAGACAACTGAACGTCACAACAAAGTATTCCATTTAGATTTTGTAAAGATCATTAGTCATAATCTTTTAAAAGTAATTCTACTTCCTTTATTATAATATTCTTAAACTCCATGTTCTAAAAATACAGTCGTAACTTCTTCACAAGAGGAAAGTGCTTTTACTCTCAATGCTTTTAAATATAACATAATTTATGAGACTGAAAGTATAGATGAAGTATTATCCAGATTTTGATAAAAATTGTATCTGAGAAAAGCTGAAATTGAGATTTCTGTAAATAGCTGGATATAAAATCAAGGTTTACTAAGAGAAGAATGTTTCTAATGAGCTTAATTTCAGGAACTCAGTTTAGAGCTGATTCCCTTGTTACTGGTGCCACTCCTGGAAGAAAACAGTGTGAAAATGATCTGAATCCAAGGAAGAAAAGGGAATGCTCTTGGAAAGCTAATGGGTTTTAAAAGCCTCATCATATTCATCTAGTGAGAACCTGACAAACAACATTAAGCATCGGAAAGCTGAAAAGTGCTCTCTGCGAGCTCAATTTTCCTATTATTAAGCTTCTCACAGTAAACTGAGGTTTCTTATTCAGAAAAGTGCTGAGGAAAACCTCAACCCTATTGAGTAGTAATAACGTAGAAACTCGGAGAAAACAACAAAAAAGTAGCAACGGTAATTGGAAGGGGGTGCATCAGTGAAATAGAAAAGTGGTCATCCGACAAGAGTGCAACAACAATAATAATGGCTGGAGAAGAGATTTTTCTAGTTGGTTGAGACTAGGATGAGATCCCCCTAAATTATTTCACTAATCCCAATTAACAGTCCCAGTTGTGCAATTGTGAGCTGCTACTGGTATAACATTTCATCATTTAAAGCAAATCAATTCTTCCAAGAAACCAGAAGAAAAAGTCCGTTCACCATATGTTAAATTATATTCAGATGCTTGAGAAGAAATAATATTTACTTTTATAAAAACCACTCTCAGTAAGTATTCCATCCTGACTTAAGGTAAGGACATTCCTCATCCAGGTGAATTCCAATAACTTGTAGTTTAAGCCAGCCAGAGCACATAAGTCTCTGGATGGAATGGGCGGTCTTAGTACAGACCCAGCTTCCTGCCCTGTGTTCTTGTATACCCATTCCAGGATTTTCTCATGATGACTCCCAGGGTACCTTCTAGGCCTGGCTCCCCTAATTCGCTTGGGTTGGTGATTCCTTGAAATCACAAACCCAAAGACATCAACTTAGCTTTCTTGTTTTCTCAAAGCCTTTTGAGGCAATTTAACTTCAGAGGCCTGGGTCTCTCCTTTACACATAGACCTTTTACGTGTGAGAATGGCTCTGAAGGGAACTCTAAAACTTAGTCTATTTGAAATGACTTACGGTAGGCCCTTTTTAACTGTAGACCTCCTGTTTAATGAGGACACACATAGAATGCCCACCCATATTATCACCTTAGGCCAGCACCAAAAGGCCCTTCAATCATATGGAAATAAAATATAGTTCCCACCTACAAAGGAAAGAATTAACATCCACCCCCCCAATTCAACCAGGAGACATAATCTTACTGAAAACTTGGAAACAAGAATCCCCTGATGATCAATTACAACTGACATGGAAGGGCCCATATCACACATCGTTGCATATTTGCACTGCTGTTAAACTAAAGGGGTAACTAATTTGGTACACCTATCCAGGATAAAACCTGTTTCTTATGAGTTGCAGGAACAAAAAGGAGGGCATCACGACCTACATTGTGAACCTTTGAAGACCTCTGTTACCTGTTTAAAAGAATCAACACTCAGCCAGAAGTGATAACCATGATGCTGTGGGTGGGAATGGGAGCATTAATTTTTCTTTTTCCTTATTGCAATACTTACTTTCTATTGTGTTAGTCAACTGCCCCCTCCAAGGAAACACCTCTTTTGCCTTTGTTGGGTATAGAGGCTACTCTAAGGCCCAACCAGACACCAAGCTGTCACTGTTAATCTTGCTTGCTCTGCCAATTACCTTGATCTAGTATGGGTGGGAACAAACCCTATAGTAAATATTTCAAAACTTATAGCATCAGAGAGTCATCTTCATGGTGTCAGATTTGTCATCAACATCCGCAAGATAGAAGGTTCCACCTTCAGGCCTATCCAGGGAATCTCACAGCCATCTCCCTAGACTTCCTAACTAACCACAATAATCCCAAAGTACTCAGACCCCTATTGACTTGGGTCAATATTGTATAAGGATTAGGAACTACTAGGTAGACTGTGACTACTGTCTCATTAACTGCTCTCAGATCCTTAACAAATCTATATTCTACATTTGGTTTCTTTACAGATAAAATGGAGGTGTTACATGGAGACTGACAGAATTGTGATAATTCATACTTAGGAACTTCATTATCAAGGGCTGGTTGTCCTTCTGAGCCTCAGGTCTCAAAGGATACTATATCTTCCATGGGTAATTAACACTGGGTTTTAAAATAACCTGGCCTGGGGGTACATTAACAGCTCTACCAGGGACTTCCATGTCTCAGACAGAGGGGTCTACCTAAGAAGCAATTTTCCATGGAAGGGAGCTCTTCTTCTTGTCTGTGTTAAGGCTAGTACTTACAGCTAGGAGTAGTGTCTAGTCCTGGCCTACTGCCTTTTCATGAGTCAGACCAAATTGAACTATGGCCTGTAATGGGGAAAGTAAGTCTCTCTGCAGTATAGGGACAGGGCATACAGGTATAAGCAAAAACTTGTGGAAAAATGTATGGTATCCCCAAAGGACAACCAAGGGGTTGGGTAAATCTCCTCATTTTTGGCTGGCCATCAATCCCTGTTACCATACAAGAGTGGAAAGACTGCAGGCCTTAGAAATGGGTAAAAACTGAGTAGGCTGCTCTCATGTCGAATAAGAACTCAATATTTTTGCCTGCCATATAAAAACTTACCTGAGACTCCTCTGTGGAGATGGTAAGGTGTCCAGTAGTATCTGTGGAGGACGTTGGTCTCCATGGATCCTCTGCTTTCTTGGGTATTATGGGTCTGGATGGCTTAGACTTTTTTTTTTTTGTCACCCAGGCTGGATTGTGGTGGTGCAATCTTGGCTCACTGCAAACTTCACATCCTGGGTTCAAGCAATTCTCGTGCCTAAGCCTCCTGCTTAGACTCCCTTTTAAACCTGGAGCAGTCCTTCCTCCAGTGCCCCTCTACCTACCTTATAGAAGTACACTGAGTTTGGCCTAGAAGCCAGCAATTTGAGGGCTCTTGTCTGAGCATCCCAGATGCTGATCTCACCACATTTCCTCAGGGTAGGCAACCCCAAGGCAGCAGGGAGCCTAAAGCAGCCACTAAGAATTGTGCTTTTTGGCCAATTCTTTTGATTTTCACCTTTTCCTCTGCCCTGTCCCCAGGGCACTGTCTGAGATTTGGCTCAGGGGGGTTTGGGGTCCCATTGCTACCTTTTGTAGCTTCCTCCAAATGTCGTAGGCAGATTGAGTAATAAAATGCACACCCAGGAGAGCTCATCCTTCCAGGAAGTCTTGGTCTGTATTAGTATATTTCTTGAGTGCTTCAATCAAATGGCCCTGAAATAGAATGGGATGTTTACCTTTCTTCTGAGTTATTTATCTCACGTGTCATAATAAATGGACTTAACCATACACATTTTCATAACTTCTGTTAAACAAGTCAGCATGTGATTTCTGCATTTGAGATCTTGGGGACCCCTCTGATAATCTTATTGGGGATCTAGATCTGGAACTGCATCTGCTTCCACACAGTAAACGTCATGGCCTGGGTTACAAGTGGCTACTCCAGCTGCAGTTTCATGGGTAGTACCTAGAATTATTTGTGTTTCCTCTATGGTACAACAAGCACATAATAATATTTGCAGGTCATGCCAAGTTAAATCAAAAGATATGGGCAACTTAATAATCTCCTCCACAAACTTCCCTGGATCCTCTGAAAACTGACCAAATTTCCCCTTGCATAAAGCCAAACTGGACATGGAAAAAGTTGCATATACTTTTATTGTTTCTCCCTCTCTCTCAGCTACCTGCTGCAAAGGACACAGGCTTGACTTTGGGGGTTGATATGGGGCCCCACTCCTGGTAGGACTAGTTGGGCTTACTTCCTCCAGTAGTGGAGGACATTGGTCAGGGATTATAGGTTAAGGGGGAGGGGAATTTGATGATATTGGAGTATAATCCTGAGCTACACAACTGATGGTCCCCCTCAGAATTAGGGAGACTGAGGAGGCTCTAAAGGGGGCACTGCAGACCTCCTAGGAAAAGGATCTAGGAGGGAGTAATCTAGGATATCTGGTGTGGCTTCTGGGTACCTGAGAGTATCATAAGCCAGACACATTCTACAGCTAGCCCTTAGGTTAGGTTGCTCATGTAGGGCCATAAAAGTCTGCACATAAGAAACTTCTTTTCATTTTTCTTCCTTTGTACAGAACAAATCTAATTGTGCCATATCATAATGTAAAGAACTATGCCTAGGCCAGATCTGTTGGTTCGCCAATTTGTATTGAACCCATACATTGTTGCAATAAAAAATATTTTTTTCTTATTCAATTTGTCTACTTTGAATTTACTCCAATTGCCTAAAAGGCACTCCAATAATGAGTCTCTTGGGATGCTCACTGTTATCCCCAGGTCTAGTAAGAATCTTTACAGGGGGTTTCACTTAGCCTGAGTTTAATGAATGCCTAGTTACTTTTCCCTTCTAAATTTCTACTTTCTACAAAGAAGGTGTAAATATGGACAGCAAAAATGTTACAGAAGTGGATCACAAGAAGCAAAAGGGCAGTAGAATGTTGAGCCTAAATTCCAGAGTGAGGAAAGCATCTTAGGTTGGGCAGAAAGGGGTTAAAGAAATGGTGACTGTGGAAAGGAGAAAGCAAAGGGGTGAAGAGCATTTCCCAAGGGGAGATGTCAGAAGTCCCTACTTGCTGGAGGACCTACCCGGTAGCGGAGCCAACAAAAACAATGTTCGAGTGGCCACTTGTCTACTGCTGTAGGTGGTCAGCTATCAGTCCAGGGGTCCAGGAACTCTTGGTTCCTTTGACAAAGATGGGCTTGACCAAAGTCGTTGTAAGACAATACACAGGAAGGGGTCTGGAACTGGCTATTAGGAAAATAATGACCCCTAACTCCAGGTCAGAAAAGGAAAGGCCAAGATTCCCCTAGAGGAAGGGGCTGTAACTCACAATCCTAGAGGGAATGTTCATGCTGAAAATCCCAGAGCATCTAAGGCGTGGCCGACAGTACCAATGCCCAAACACCTGGAGTACCTGAGTGTCAGTCAATGAGGGTCTCCTCACCAAATGCCAACAATCCTGGGGCAGCCATGGGGTGCCAACAGTGAACCCCAGTTCAAATTGGTGTCACGAAGCAACGTGACTCTGGCATCTCAGAGTCAACACAAGAGGAGACCTCTCACAAGCAAGCATCCTGCCTTAAACAATTTCCCAAATACAGTTAACAGGAAGTCAAAAGAAACAAACAAAAAAAAAACTGCAATTAAAACACACATTTTATGACTTAAAATAGAATGACTGATAGAGCAATAAAATGGAATCAGAGAAAGGAACAAGAAAAGGGGTGACAAAGACATGCTTCAGGGCACCCAAATGACAGGAAACTTTTAACTGACTGCTTAGCTAAAGGCTTTTGTTTCCTGTCTCACCCAATATTATTTGGGATGTGGGGGGAGATAGAGGGTATACTCACCCCTCCACAGGAGCCAAAATGACAGCAACTGATCATCCATGTGGGACGCTGGTAAAGTTCTCTTCAGGTTCCCCAGTTTGGGTGGACTCGGCTGTCGTGGTGGGAGAGGCTGCCACCAAACCGGTAACCCATCTGCCTGTGGGTCAGAGCAGTGGGTCTCCTACAAGGCAGTGGCACTACAGCCACTTTCCCATTCACTCAGCTCTGCTGCCTGCTAGGAAAAATGATAGCTCTAAAAAGAGGCTTTGGTTAATGTTATAGCTCTTGCAATGTTAACAGCTCTTTGATATTATAGCCACAGTGTTACAGCTCTTGCAGCCTCGGTCACCGACTGCTTTACCATCTCTCTCTATCACCATCTTGCTCCATCTCTCTGCTCATCGCTTCTCTAGTCATCCTCTCACCGATCACTGTCTCTTCTCCTCTCTTACCTTTGCCTTTGCCTTGCCGACTGCCAACTGCCAATTCTCTCACCATCTGTCACACCATCGTCTTCTCTCCTCAGCTCCACATTGGGCACTACTTGATGCAGAGCAGGCTTAGCCCAGGAAGCTTCTTGGCTTTGCTTAGGAAATAATTCAAGAGTGAGCTAGTAATAGAAGAAAACAGCTTTATTGAAGTGGCAGTGTTACAGCTCCATGACTGCTCCTGCAGAGCAGAGCTGCCCCACAGGCAGCATGAAGAGTAGCAGATCAGAAGTCCTGCAGTCATATTTATGCCCAATTTTTATTACATGCAAATTAAGGGATGGGCTATTCAGAAATTTCTAGAAAATAGGTTGTAACTTCCAGGTCATTGCCATAGCAAGGGACAATAACTTCTGGGTGTTGCCATGGCAGTGGTAAACTGACATGGCACTGGTGGGCATGTCTTATGGAGAAGTGCTTTTGGTGCCTCTTCTCTGTTTCAGCCAATCTTCAATATGGTCCAGAATGGAGTCCTGCCTCCTCTTCAATTTCACTGGTCCACAAATGGAGAGTAATTTAGCCCTGGGATGGACCATACCAAGAGTCATGGATAACTTATTTAGATGATGATATTTAAAACTTTTGAATTGATAATATTTAGATAAAATTTTTAATTTAGAATTGATGCTGGGATGGATTTCAACTTTCGGAATTTTGGAATGAGGTGAATGAATTTCCATATGTGATAGATATAATTTTGGTTGATCAGAGAGTGAAATGTAGTAGTTTGAATAGTGTTTCTGTTAAATTTATGTCTACTCAAAATCTCAGAATGTGATCTCATTTGGGAATAGGGTCTTTGCACATGTAATTAGTTAAGAATTTTGAGGTGAAATCATGCTGGATTTAGGATAAGCCATGAATACAATGACTAGTGTCTTTAAGAAGAGGAAAGGATGCAGAGAGACTCACAGAAGGCAATGTGAAAAATGAGGGCAAGGATTGGAGTGATACATCTACAAGCTAAGGACCACCAAGAATTGCTGGAAACTACCAGAAACTTGGAGAGAGAATGGGATAGCCTCTCCTTTAGAGCCTCTGCAGGAAACAACCATGTTGACATATTTATTTTGGTTTTATGGCCTACTGATTGGCGAAAGAATAAATTCCTATTGTTTTAAGCCACCGAGTTTATGGCAATTTGTTATGGCAGCCCTAGGAAACTAATACAGAAAGGAAGAAAAGAAAAACAAAAACAAAGAACAAGTGTCATAAATAGAAAACAGTTACAAGTAGATATAAAACATTTATAGTAGATATCAATCAAAATTGACCAATAATCACTTTAAACATGAATGGTTTAACTACATCAACTAAGACAGTGATTGTCAAAGTGGGTAAAAAAACCAACTATATGTTTTCTATTAGAAACCTACTTTAAAAGTAGAAACGCTGAGATTGGTTTAAATAAAGGGATGATGGAGAAAAATATACCATGCTAATACTAAACAGAAGAAAGCAGGAGGAGTTATATTAATTTTACATAAAGTGGAATTCAGGACAAGGAAAATTATCAAGAGTAAAGAGGGGCAGGTAACATCACAATGGTGAGAAATTAGGTGCTCTCCCATAAGATCAGGAACATGGCAAAGATTTACCTTCCCATCATCACTCCTGTTCAAGACCATACTGGAATCCTAGCTAGTATAATAAGACAGAAAAAAGGAAAAGTTATATGGATTGGTAGAGAAATAAAATAAAACTGTTCACAGATAACATGACTGTCTATACAGAAAATTCTGAGGAGCCATCAAGAACAACAAAATGCCTGGAACTAATGTGCAGTTACAACACTTTGCATGATATAGGGTTAATATACTAAAGTCAATAGCTTACCTCAATACCAGGAACGTGTAACTGGAATTTGATATTAAAAATCATTTATAATAGCACCAAAACTCACATATTCAGGTATAAATCTAATAAAATATGTATTAGATTATATGTGCAAAAATACAAAACTCTAATAAGAAGAAATCAATAAAGATCTAAATCAATGGAGATAAATTCCATATTTATGGCTTGGAAGACCCAATATAAGTGTCAATTTTCCCAATTGATTTATAGATTAAATGCAATCAAAATCCAGCATGCATGCAACTTTGTAGATACTGACAAACTGATTTTAAAGTTTATATGGAGAGACCAAAGGATTAGAATAGCCAACACAATACTGAAGAGTAAAAAAAACTGAAGGCTTTCTATATCAAAGTATCAAAACTTAATATAGTGGGATGTCCAATCATATAACTGGCTATGAATTGTAAATAAAGGGAATAAACACTGTAAATATTTTTGACACATTTTTCAACAAAGAGAAGAATTATTCAAATTTTTTTTTTTTTTTTTGATTTAAGCTTCTCTGACCAGGAAAATCATCTTTTTAACTGAGAAGGTCGAGGGAAAGAAAGGCTGATATTAGGTCAAGAAATTGAAAGCAGGTTTCTAACTATTTTTTGAAAACTAAACTGAACCTGCAAGTAAGCAGGTTTCTCGGTGTTCTAACATGAGTGTATGCCTCCTTTTCCAAAATAATTCTATCCCAATGAGGGAAATCTTAATAGGAGAGAATGCCACACCACCATGGTAAGCTTAAGAAACTTTGGAAGACTGAAGAAAAACACATACTGAACTGATTTTGTTAAAAGAAATAAAGGTGATTTCTACAGCTATTTTAAAACATTCTCAGATGGATAGCCTATGGAGAGAGGCATTTTTTTTGAGACAGAGTCTCACTCTGTCAGGTTGGAGTACAGTGGCACGATCTTGGCTCCCTGCAACCTCCACCTCCTGGGTTCAAGTGATTCTTCTGCCTCAGTCTCCCGTGTAGCTGGGATTACAGGTGCCTGCCACTGCGCACAGCTAATTTTTGTATTTTTAGTAGAGACGGGGTTTCACCATGTTGACCAGGCTGGTCTCAAACTCCTGACCTCAGGTGATCTGCCTGCCTTGGCGTCCCAAAGTGCTAGGATTACAGGCGTGAGCCACCGGCCTGGCCTAATTTGTTTTCTTGGTGGATCACTCAAATGGAAGGCCAGGAGACTACTGTTGAAAGTGTATTTTTGATCGAAAGAAGCAAGCATTTGACCCAGTCTTTTGTAATATTGAAGAAATATGGTCTGGGTGCTAACATATTTTGTAGTACATATTTTTATTTCTCAAGTGCACTCAAAACTGATGTATTATGTGTACTCAGTGAAGGCATATAAATTGATTGAGGCCAAACCAAATAGAGATCTTTATCAGAGTTGTACAGAATACTGCCCTTCCAAATTATATCTGTAAGGGTTCTCAGTTGCAGACAACAGAATTCACTCAACCTAAGTTAATCGGAAAGGAATGTATTAAATAGTATTAGATACCTATGTTACCTTTTGTACTGTTGGGCACTGGATGCTACACAGTGTAAAAGAAGCTGGGGATCATATCCCCAGTTAAAGAACTTTTACTTTTAATCTCGTTCATCTACGTTTATGTTTGTTGAAGATAAAATGCATAAACATATAATTACTCTAAATTTATATGGGAACATAGTAGAATATGACTACAAATACAAAATTAATAATATTATCCACACTAAAAGTATAGTTTTCAGAATTAGGGCAATAATGATATTACTGACTTCTGCATTGAGACATCCTGTCAAACTTAACCTGTGTTACATCAAAAACCTACACTGCACAAGTGGCTTCTATGAGCACTTCTCTTCCCAGTATCTTGAATAATATCTTAGGCTTTACTAGTTAGCTTAAGAAAAGTCTGAAAGGAGTTTTTACTGGTGAAATTTGTGACTTGTGTATTGTAAATGCCATCTCATTGTTGGAAATAAAGTATTTAAAATATATGAATTGGCTAAAATATTTTAGAAATATTTCATACCCTTACATTAACAGAAGAAGAAAATCTGGCAAGGTCTTATCCTGCATTCTCAAGCATAACTGTTAAGAATTAATCTTTAAATGGTCTTGTGTCCAACCATTCATTACAAGGACTTCTGTTTTCCTAGTACTGACAGAAAATATTCTGAAATGTTGTCATGTGTACATCAGGGATGCTATTATGGATCGGTGGACAGGGAGGGATTTCATTGGGCTGAAATATAATTCTATCTCCTTTTCAGATGAGTTGAATAGAATGAGTAAATTGCTAGAGGTCCACAGCCAGGAAGTGGCAGCTGTGGTTTATACCCAGGCATTCAGACTTGGAGCCCACACGTATAATCCCTAGGCAATCCTAACTCACTGTAATGAGATTCTTTATGCTGTTGTGATTAAAAAAAAAAAGATGAGCTTAAAAACTAATTTTCTCAGAAATTATAAAGAATGAACTGCCTATAATCTCAGCACTTTGGGAGGCTAAGGCAGGTGGATCACTTGAGGTCAGGAGTTTGAAACCGGCCTGGGCAACATGGCAAGACCCCATCTCTATTAAAAAATACAAAGGAAAAGTATTGAGGAGTGTTGGTACGTGCCTATAGTCCCAGCTCCTCAGGAGCTTGAGGTGGGAGTATGGCTTGAGGCCGGGAGGTTGAGCCTGCAGTGAGCCATGATTGCGCCACTGCACTTCAGCTCGAGCAAAAGGGTGAGATCCCATCTCAAAAAAAAAAAAAAAAAAAAAAAAAAAGGAAAAGAAAAAGAAAAGAATGTGAACCAATGTCAAGATTTCTCTGCTTCCTCTCTCTCCTGGCTTCTCCTTTTTTAATAATAAAAATAATCACAGCAGGAGCAATGTGTTAATTGAATACCACTGTATACCTAACATTTACAAAGGACCTATTGGCTCAAATGAAGTTGGTTGAATAAATAAATAATCATAAATTATTTATAACAATATCACTTTATCTGTCACCTTTAATTAAATTTTTCATAATTTTTCAGGTCATAGAGTGACAGATACAAGGATAAGACACCTTACCATGGACAAACATTTGAATCGGTGACCAAGAAAATACAGACGAAATCTGTTCCAGTTTTGTAAAATATAGAAAAGTCACTCAGATCACTAAAAGAATTCAGATAAATACAAGCAAATTGAAGTTTGTTTTAGAACATGCTTGACCTGGAAGTGAAGTAGGAACTAGGAAGATAGTGGGAGCTGGAGTCTACTGAGAGAACAAAGTCTCCAGCAATCTCCTGGACCACGCAATAGGTTCTCAAACTGTGTCCTGCTTCTCTTGGCAGTAGCTCCATTCCCTAGTACTCTCTCAACACTAACTAGTATCATACTTTGCTCTGTGTTTCTTTTCTCCACCTCAGTGTATGAAGTGTGTTCTTTGTAAAGTTGTACCTTTCCATTACAACCCTGGAGGGGCTGATGTGGTACATTGAAAGATGTTTGGAAAAGGGCTTTAGACCCTTGATACTTGCTTCAACCAGAGTAATTTTGTGTTTGCCTTTTGTGCATACATACTGAGATTCTGAGTGAACTTTATTTGAAAGATGTTTGGTACCGCCAGAAAAAAAAAATGTTTGAAAACCTTTGAGCACTCTCTGCTTTTCAAAGTTTCTGTTTTCTTTTGTTTTTCGATAGCCTGACATGGCTAAATCAAACCCCTCACCCATTGATATGGCCTCTTAGATTTCATTTCAGGATTTGACTCTGAATATATTTTGCTTCCACATCAACTGCTCAATACTTTATGCTCTTGGTAATTTTATAAATTCACATTTTGTAAGAAGTAATATGATGGACATAGTCAATTTTTTTCACCTTTCAGCATATGATTTCATTGCCCTTAAATTCTTTTCTCCAGACCAAAAAGCTGTAATTGCAGAGGTCACATACAGGGCAAACCTTGGCTGTGCTGAAAGTGCCCAAGATGTGGCAGATGTCCTGATATGTGTGTTGTGTGGAATTGTGGTTTCTTTATTTTTTTTTTTTTTGTCTTTATTTTTTTTTTTTTCTGAGACAGAGTCTCCCTCTGTTGCCCAGGCTGGAGTGCAATGGTGCAATCATGGCTCATGGCAAAGCCCGCCTCCTGGGTACAAGCAATTCTCCTGCCTCAGCCTCCCAAGTAGCTGGGATTACAGGCATTTGTCACCATGCCCAGCTAATTTTTTGTATTTTAATAGACACGGGATTTCACCATGTTGGCCAGGCTGGTCTCAAACTCCTGACCTCAGGTGATTCACCTGCCTTGTCCTCCCAAAATGCTCTCAGCTGCAATTTTTCTTTCTAAAGCTGAGTCATAACTTTAATAAATGACTCAACGTATTTGACAACTATTTTGTCCTACTGCATTACACTATACTTTTGGGAAAAAGGCAAAACTATGTACACCAAAAATTATTTAGCAAAGTTAAAATAGTAGCATTCCAGAAACGTTGGAAGGGGAAAGACTTTTTATTCTGATAATTTATAGATACATTCAAATGTGTATGACTAAAAGCTGTGTTTCATTATTTACGGGAAGTGTAACATGCTTTCTTATTTTTATTTTTCTTGGAAAAAGTTGTTATTAAAAAAACAAGCTTTTTAAATCTTATACCTTTTACTTATTTTTTATTTTTATTGATACATAGTATTTGTGCATGTTTATGTGGCACATGTGATATTTTGTTACATGCATGGAATGTGTAATGATCAAGTCAGAATATTTGCGGTATTTTCTAGTTATTTTGAAGTATACACTATATTGTTGTTATAGTTACTCTACTCTGCTATAATTTATTCCTTCTAACTGTATGTTTGCACCCATTAATCAACATCTCTTTATCCCCCTTACACCATATTTAAGATATGAAATCAACCTGTATCCATCAGTGAACAAATGGATAAAGAAAATGTGGTGTATATATACACAGTGGAATACTATTTAGCCATAAAAAATAATTGAATCATGTAATTTGCAGCAACATGGATGGAACTGGAGGTTAATATGTTAAGTGAAATAAGCCATGTATGGAAACACAGGTATAGATGTGGGAGCTAAAACAGTTGATCTCATGGAGGTAGAAAGTAGAATGATTCACACCGGCAAAGCTTTCAGTGGTTACGTGGAGCTAGAGTAATGAATTGGAAATTTAAGGGGTTTAATTGCATTAAAAATTTTCTCACAGGTCATTTTGTGAGTTCTAGGTCTGTCTGTACAGGAGGCTGAGGAGGAATGCAAAACACTTCTAAAGAGCAGAGAGGGAGATTCAGTAGTTTTACACCTAAAATATGCCTGCCAATACTCCTCAAGATACTCACCAAAATTTAATTCCATGTGAGATAAGGACCTAAAGAGGTCAATTGACTATCTCTGATGCCAGAAATCAATCTACAATGTTTCAAAAGCAAGGAAGCAAGCAACAAAAATATCTCAATTAAGATCCTGGAAATTACATGTCTTTAAAATAGACATGAATCATACCTAAACTGCATCTTCTTAAAACTGCAACTCAACTCTGACTTGGCACAATTCCTGATGGAATTGAGATGTTCATTCTTTCTACCTACCTTTCTAAGAAAGGAAATAGGGGAACCTCTTTTATGGAGACTTACATTAACTAGAGCCTTTATGTTTTTTTTTTTAATACCAAATGTCTCACATGCAATCAACAATTTCTAAACAGACAGTTGACTCATGAATGATCTTAGATATAGAAGTTAACAGATGAAGACATTAAAGTTCCATCAACAGTATTAATTCAGTGTTAATACAGTGATGTAAAAGTAGGCAAAGTGAACAAGAGGATTGAATACACAATCAGGATATAAATCTACAGATATTTAGACACCTGGTTTATGACAAAACTGAACTAGTAATGCACCTGACAAAAATAACTTAATGGTGCTGGGTTAATTAGATGTTCATATGAAGGACAAATGTACTTTCCCTATCTCATGGCATATATAAAAATCAATTTCATATAGATTATCCATCTATATGTGATAGGAAAAATATCAAAGTTTTTAGAAAGAAATGTAAGAAGTCATCTTTGTGACTTGGAGTAGGCAAAGGTTTTTTAAAATACTACATGAAAAGCATTAAAGATAAAGGAAAACGTTGATAAAGGGGACTATGTTAAAATCAAGAATTTCTGTATATTAAGACACCATTAAGACAACCCACAGAATGGAGAAAGATATTCTCTCACATATACCTGAAAAAAACTTGTATCCAGAACATATGAAGAGTTTTTACCAATCAATTTAAAAAATAGACACATCCAAAGAGAAAATATTGATATTTAAACATACGTTATGTACATACATTATGTACATTATAAAAGAGAATATCCAAATACCCTGAGTATAATAAGTTACATAATTGAGTATAATAAGATACTCAACTTTGTTGCTGTCAGGGAATTGCAAAATAAAACCACAATGTGGCATCACAATACTCCTACCAGAAATAAAAAATGAAAAATATGGAAAATACCAAGTGTTGACAAAGTTGTGGAGAAAGTAGAACACTTAATGCAGATATGAATATAAATTTGTATAGCTCCTTTGGTAAACAGTTTAGTGGTGTCTAATATAACTGAAAATATAATAACCTATGACCCAATAACTTATTTTTAGGTATATATTCAACAAACAATCATAAGCATATGCTCACTGAAGGATATGAAATAGAATTTTCACAGTGCCACTATTTGTAACAGCAAAAATCCTGAAAATTCTGAATGTCTATCAATAGTTAAATGCATAACTAAATGGTGGCATATTCACACATTAGCATATATGACACAATGAGAATGTATGATTTACAGCTACATGAAACAATTCCAAAATATCTCATCCTGATATCGAACAAAAAATCAAGCCACAAGAGTGTACAATCTATGATTTCCTTTATATAAATTATGTAAATAGGCAAACAGAAAATATTAGAAGTTACGATGGTGACTACACTAGAGAAAGCAGGCGTGTTCTTAAAAGGAGCACAGGTGGGGTCTTCTGAAGTCCTGGTAATTTTTTATTTCTTCATTGGGGTGACAGTTACACAGATACATATGTTCAATTTTTGAAAATTAGTTGAGATTTGGCCGCATGCGGCGGCTCACGCCTGTGATCCCAGCACTTTGGGAGGCCGAGGCGGGTGGATCACGAGGTCAGGAGATCGAGACCATCCTGGCTAACACGGTGAAACCCTGTCTCTACTAAAAATACAAAAAATTACCCGGGCGTGGTGGCGGGCGCCTGTAGTCCCAGCTACTTGGGAGGCTGAGGCAGGAGAATGGCGTGAACCTGGGAGGCGGAGCTTGCAGTGAGCCAAGATCGAACCACTGCACTCCAGCCTGGGCGACAAAGCCAGACTCTGTCTCAAAAAAAAAAAAAAAAGAAAGAAAATTAGTTGAGATTCTCTTATTATATATACACTCTTTGAGGTTTTTTTTTTTTTAAAAAAAAACAACAACAAAACAAAACGAAAACAGAGTCTTGCTCTTTCATCCATGTACAGTGGCATGATCATAGCTCATTGCAGCCTGGAATTCCACAGCTCAAGTGATCTTCCTGCCTCAGCCTCTCAAGTAGCTAGGACTACATATATGCGCCACCATGCCCCGCTAAGATAGGTTTTTAATATGTGTATAGAGTTGTTTACAAAGTAGACAGAATAGCATAACAAACCAGCATGTAACCATGCATTCAGCTGCAATGAAAGATCTATGACTAATCTTATGTCAAGTATACTTCCAGTTCCCACTTCCCATATTGTTTTGAAGCAAATATCAGACATCATATCATCTCATCTGTAAATAATTAGTCTGTATCTCTAAATTATAAGGTCTCTTTTTCAAATGGAGCCACAGTAACATTATTATTGGCAATAATTCCTTAACAATATTTTAAAAATTCAGCAAGCATTCAAGTTTCCAAACAAAGCATATATGCAAGTTTTTAATGCTAGAGAAAGAGTTTTTACTTTACTCTCCCTTTCTCCCCTTCTCATTCTGTCTTTCTAAACAGACTTGGAATGGTTCCAGGCTTTTGAAGACATTGGGTCATGACCACCCAGCATCCTAATGTCAGTTAAAAGATGCTTTTAAGGCAGGTTCACAGTCTAGAAATTTTGCAAAGAGGAAGAAGAAAAATGTAGGAATGCAAAGTGATTATAGACACCTTAGTGAAAGTTTTAGGTCAAGGAATCAAATCTGTCAAACAAAACTGAAAGTAAGAGTGTGTCTGGTCTGAGAACTAGAGATATTGCATTATGTAAATAGATACGTGTTCTCAAAGAAAAGGAAATGTAGGGACTTGTCTAGAGTGATCTAGAAGTTCACTCCACTTGAATGGGATATGATTCTCATATTGTTTTATTAACTTTAGAAAAAATCTGATAGTTCAACCTTATGAACTCTACACACATGTACATAAGTATAGTTAATAATAGTTTAATTAAAAAATGACAGTGTTCCCTGAATGTTTTATACACACATGCACATGAACACACGCATACACACACACATTTGAATTCTATGTTTAAAATCCCTCCTTCCAATGGACCTGAATGATAGAGTTTCCCAGTTTGGTTAAATGGTTTTTACTATATATCCTACTTTTGAAATAATAAATATATGAGCAAATATAGTTGATATAATTGCTTTTTAAAAATTAATGTTTTAATTTTTACAATTATAGGAAAGTCTGTATGATAATTCAAGTGGCCAGAAAGTGGAAGTTTAGCTTTCTATCACAAATTGTACTTTTGTGGATTCAAGTGACATAATAACATGCTAGCCATGTTTATTGCTGTGGTTTGAGTATTTATATAAGGGAATTATGGTGCTTCTTGAGCACAGGATGTTTAAACTGATGATATGATGGTGGAATTTGTGTTACTAGGACCTCTATTTATTCAGCAGGTCTTTACGTTAGAAGCCCTGAGTCATCATTGCGGAAGTTGGCCTAAGCTTTTGAAATACAGTGGTGCACTGAGATAACTTTCCAATTAGTAAACCTTTATGGTAACAAAAACAGAGGAGTACACAGGTATAATTATCAGTGCTGATTCCTTCCTCATTGTAATTGGCCTCAGCAGCAGATAAGCAACAGAGAAGCAGGACAGAAATAAACTCCTGCTAGTTGACTTTCTTCTTGAAAATATAACTAATGGGTCTTCCCTCCTCCAGTAAAAAATTAAGTCAAAATTTGAGGGGAAAATCCCTGCTTAATTTTGACTGGTTTGTTCTTTCTCCAGTCCCCCAGAAACATCTTGAAAATTTTTAATAGAAGGGAATGGGTAAAATAATGAAGGCTTTTTTAAAAAAAATTACTATTGTAGTACTTCCTTGGGTCACCACTGGCATTTTAGTGAGAAATTGGAAGAGACTACATATTATAAGGAATGCCTTTCAATGCGGGGAAAATATTTATTGTTTTATTAACAAAAAGTGCAGAGAAAAGCAGTTCCAGGGTTATTTCAGTAACTCAGTGATAACATCAGACGCAGAATCTGTCCATCCTTCTGACCTACCCTGCTAAGTGCTCCAGCTTTCATTCTCCTCCTGTTTGCTTCATGGCACAGATCCAGGCATTAAACCCTCACATGGCAGTGTCCAAAGCTGAAGAAAGGAGTTAGGCAGGAAGAAATGGGCCTTTCATCATATGATTCTCTCCTTTAATCAAGGAGAAAAATTACTTCTGGAAGACCCAGCTCTTATCCAACCTCTTCATATCTCAAATTCTAGATGTTCATACTCAGACTAACCACCAGCAAAGTGGAATGGGATTATCTCGATTAGTTTAGGCAATTTATGGGTTATCTCCTGGAATTCAACAAACAAAACTCAGTATTATTAAAGAGCTAATGACATTAGGTAATCAAGGAACAACACCTCACAGGCTGTACCCTGGCTGTCTTTCATTTGCCATTTTTAACGAAAAGTACTTGCATAGGTTTTCCAACATTGCATTCTCCAACATGTGTTATATGCCAGGTGTAGCAACATAAATCAACATGAAGAGCAAGAAAAACAAATAAAAGCCAATTTACTTTTTAATACTTTAGTGCAGAGACATAACAATTTATATATATATATATATATATATATATATATATATATATATATATATATATATATATATATATATTTAAGGGAAGGCTTGTAAGTCAGGTCATTTATTGGAATGTAAACTTGCTCTAACTAAATGAGTACGTACAGAGGAGGAGAACATTTGAGCTGATGCTTTCAATCCTACAATAACACCGCAAAAAGTCTGTAAAAAGAAGTGTTAATACATGAATGTAAGTTCATCATCACCATGTAAAAATAATAAGAAGTATATACACATTTGATGATAGTTCATCTTTACACACCAGATCCCCAAGTTATTTCTGTGAAGTCAAAATGAAATAAGGCTGTTAAAATGTATCAGAGAATGCCAAAAGATCGCTCTAAAGTCCACTGAAGGAAAGAAAAATCAACAAATGAAGATGGAGATTATATCATAGTTGGTCTCCTGGAACAAACACATCTGAGTTTATCTTGTTTTCCCAAATATTTATTTCATTTGCTAAGAGATCTTTCCTGATGTTTAAAATTTTTCATATGACTAGACACCCTTGTGACTAGAAAACAACACTGTAAAATAGTAATGAGGAAACTTTATAATCAGGCAGCATTTGGCAATATAAGCACCTGATCTGTTGATCATAACAGATTAACCTCTGTGCAGAAAGAAAAATATCTGTTTAGAGAGTATGTACCAAAGTCGAAGGTGTGCAGTGAATCTTCTGTATTTTTGTACTGCCATTGGCCAGGTGGTTCAGCATCTTGTGGGAGTGTGGTCTGTAAAGAGGGCAGATTTTTAATGCTTTAAATCTATGAATTGAATTGGATCTAATTATTTCCACTGAATTGGATTAGAATTGAGTCAGAATCCTCATTCTAGGAAGCTCACCCAAGAAAAAAGACACAAATCTGGAAATTCTGGATACAAGTATAAAAAGTGGAAGAAAGATAGCACTTGGATACAACAGGAAGATGATAAGAAAAGAAAAATAGAGCATTTCAGCTGCTACTTGTGGAGATTCTTGGATGTATTTTTGGGTTTCTTCTTAGCCTGAGCTACTCCTTTATACCACATTCTTACTCCTAACTCAAAATGACACCATTAAAGAGGCAAAGCACATGGTGGTCCAGGTCATATCTCTGAAGACATCATTCTTGGCTCTCCTCTCTTGTTTTTCCCCATTTCCCCAACATTACTGAGGTATAATTGATAATTAAAAATTGTAGGCCAGGTGTGGTGGTTCACATCTGTAATCCCAAAGAAACAAAAATAATAATTAAAAATTGTATATATTTAAGGTATATGACTGCATGATTTAACATATCTATACATTTTGAAATATTCACCTCAACCAGGTTAATTAACATATTCATCACCTCCCATAGTTACCTTTTTTTCCATGATGAGAACATTTAAGATGCATTCCCTCAGCAAATTTCAAGTATACATTATCATTAACTATAGTCATATTGTTGTATTTAGACATTCAGAACTATTTATCTTGCATAACTGAGGAGTTGTACTTCTTGACCAACACCTCCCCACTTCCCCTACATAGCCCCTGGTAATCACTATTCTACTCTGTTTCTACAAGTTTGGAATCTGTGCTTTTTATTCTAGTTATAACACAGAGTGTGGCAGGCCAGGTCTCACTAACAGCTGAGCAGGCAGGTCTCTATGACAACTCTTCAGCACTGACTGAGTGATCAAGTTAAATACTAAAAGCCGAAAAAGAGCCAGTGTTCTTATACAAATGCTAGAATATAATAAAAACCCACCAAGACTTTTGCCCAGGCCTGTCTTGGGCCTTAAAGCATGACAAGATAATGAAGGAATTCTTAATAGGACCCATATAGGATTAAACAAGTTTTACTGGGGGTCTGAAGAAACTCCCCAGACCTCCACAAACAAGTTTACTGGGGGACTGAAGGAACTCCCCAAACCTCCATGGTTTAGCAGGATACAAGATAAGGGTAATCACTGCTGGCACCTAGACCCATCTAGATTAAGTAAATTTATTGAGGGTCCAGATAAATGTCTTCAAAACTCAGACCTGCCTCTGGATTGGATTCGAAGAGGTTAATCACTTATGTCTTTAGATACACGCACACTTCCACACAGACATATAGCTTAGAAGGTATATCAGCGCTGGAAAACTTTGTAATTTTGAGTTGGTCTGGCTACATTTTCCTGGCCTTCTCCCTGTACCTGGTTACAGAATAAACTCTCTTCTTTACCAGTTCATCTGCATCTCATTATTGGGCTGCAAGAATAAACAGCCTGGCCCTCAGTTCGGTCTGGGAACAAACTTGGTGAGCCAGCCAGGAGCCGCTGGGACGATGATGTGTTCAGCAGCCAGCAGCTTGTGACGAGACAGTCTTCAGGAGGATCCCTGCAGCTGCTAGGTGAGATTTTGCAGAGGATCCCTCCTGAGCTGTTCCATGAACAAAATCGTATATCCCTCCCACTACTGGGGAAGAACGGAGATCAGGAGTGGACTCGCGCGAAGAATGAGTTAACTTCACCCTTAATAAGGGACTTATTTTTGTCCTATCTGGGCTTGTTAAGCCATTTGTCCACCAGGGAAGCAATAGGGCTCATTCATACACCCACTTTGCATTTGGTTAAGATCAGGTTTTGAGTTGGTTTTGACTCTGTTCTGCCTGACTGAACTCCTTCTCATGTTCTTGTGTTTGTCCAATATCTGTCTCCACTTGTTTGTGTATCTGTCTTGTCCTTTTTGATAACATATAGGCTCAAAAATGAGAAGTGTTGAGTTCATTACCGCCAGGAGCCCTCTGGGAAGAATCCTGTCAGATTGGTAATAGTTTGGGTATCATCCTATGACTAAAAGGAAATTAGTTTACTATTGTAATAGGATTTGGCCAATGTACGTTTTAGAATCTGAGGGGAGATGGCTGATTTTGGGGACCCTGAGCTATTTAATTATTTATGAGCTAGAGTCATTTTGTAAGTGTTCAGGAAAATGGGAAGAAATAATCTATGTTAAAATATTTATGTTATTACATAATAAGGATGTCAAAGAGAAGGCAGATAAGCTAATGGTGCAGCACCCAGTCAAGGTTTGCCCTGACTCTCAGAGAGATAAGATAAGGACTCAGAAAGCCAAAAATTGATAAATGTCCTTAACCCCATAAGACAAAATATTCCACCTAGCCTGGTGGGGGCTAATGCCCCCCCACCAAGCTAGGCAGGAAAGGAGAAAATCACCACCCCCAGAGTATAAGGAAGCAGCAAGGCTCATCTTTCCCTTTTGGACCAAACAAGGTACTAGTTTTGGCAGGGGAACCATCCAACCTGGAGCTGGGCAATTTCCACTTTGACAGTACCCTGTAGGGGTTAACCAACAGGGGGCTCCGGCTGGTTATTATTGGGCCTACAGCCCTTTTCCACATCCAATTTGTTAAACAGAAATAACTCCAACCCAAGCTATAGGGAGAACCCCCAGAAAATGACTGAGCTGTTCACTACCTTCTTTGTCACTCACCACTCCACATGGGCAGATGTGCAAGCCCTCCTAAACATGCTGTCTGCAGATGAGAGGAGACTAGCATTGGATAAGGCAAAGGAAGAGGCAGAACACCTTCATAATGAAAACCCAGACAATACCCCAGACCCTGACAGGGCAATACCCCATACTAACCCTAACTGGGACCCAAGTGAGGCTAATGGAGGGAGAATGGCCTGCCTGGAGCATTACAGGAGGTGCATCTTCAAGGGCATTAAGTCAGGGGTACCCAAACTTAAAAGCTTAAACAAAGTGCAAGAGCTCCAACAAAGGCCTAATTAGGATCCATCTGAGTTTATGGACATATTTGTCAGACCTACAGGAAGCATCTAGATATAGACCCACAGGTCCCTGAAAATGTTAGGATGGTGAACCTAACTTTTATAGGGCAAAGTGCCCCTGACATTAGGAAGAAACTGCAGAAAATAGAAGGGGCTATTGGGATGAATGCCTCTCAACTGATGGATATCACATCCAAAATTTACCACAATAGGGAGGTAAAGGAAACTAAACTCTGTGGCAGGCAGCAATACTTATGGCAACAGCAGGGAAAACCCCAAGAGGGAAGGGACCTGCAAAGTGGAAAGGGAAAATAAAAAAGGATCAGTGCACATATTGCTGAGAAATGGGGCATTGGAAAAAGGATTAGCCAAATTTAAGCCAAAATTACCCCACGCCAATGATGACTATTATGCCCGGGAATGAATCAGGAAGATTGACGATGCTGGAAACTCCCAGCAGCTCCAAATCTATCTAACATCAAAATTTCCCCATAGGAGCCTTGGTTAGAGTTAACAGTTGGGAAACAAAAATTGGACTTCTTACTCAACACCAGTGCTAGTTATTTGGTAGTTAATACACCGATCACTGAACTTTCTGACACATCTGTGAATATAGTTGGTGTTAGCAGGAAACCGAGATCTGAGCAGTTCCTGTGTCCTCTCTCATGTAAAGTGGGTAATGATCTAATAACTCACCAATTCCTTTAAGTGCTGGACTGCCTGATTCCTTTACTTGGCAGAGATCTGCTATGCAAGTTATAAGATCAAATCGTCTTCAACCCTGAGAAATGTCAGATGTGTCTCCAAGTGCCTCCAGAACATGGACTGCAGCTGCAAGCACTTCTGGCAAGTGCTGAGACCCCATGCCCTAAGGTAGAGATGGTCCCTCAGGAAGTCTTCGACAAGGTAAAACCAGATGTCTGGGCATCAGACCAATCCGGAAGGGCAATTTACATGAGTCTGGTAAAAATCAAACTGAAGGAAGGGGCCCAACCTATCTGAAAAAAAAAATACCCCTCAAAGAGGGAAGTCTTGGAAGCCATCCAGCTAGTCTGAATCCAGTTCTTACAGTATGGCCTAATAAGGCCTTGTCAATCATCTTGCAATACTCCTATCTTGCCTGAGCAAAGAAGCCTCACTCATATGAGTACAGATTTGTGCAAAATCTAAAGGCAATTAATGATATTGTGGAAGACATTCACCCCACTGTGGCTAACCAATACACCATATTTATCTCACTGCCTGGGAATCACGAATGGTTTACAGTGCTAGACTTGAAAGATGACCTCTTTTGCATATCAATGGATGTAGAGAGCCAGCAATTGTTTGTATTTGACTGGACAGACCCTGAGACTGCTGCTCCATTTCAGTATTGCTGGACTGTACTTCCTCAAGTGTTTAAGAACAGCCCAAATATATTTGGAGAGGCTTTGGCTCACAATTTAAGAAATCTACAATTGGAAAATGGAGTATTGTTGCAATATGTGGATGACTTGTTAATTTCTAGCCCCTCTGAGCAAGAGTGCCAGGATAACACTATTAAAACTTTAAACCATCTGTCAGCTTGCAGGTACAAGGTCTCAAGCAAAAATGCCCCAGTATGCAAACAAACTGTGGAATATTTAGGATTTCTCCTACAGATAGGAACCAGAGCCCTGACCATGGAAAGGCAGAATGCAATTGCTTCTATTGCCAAGCCCACCACCAGAAAGCAGCTGAGGGGCTTCCTAGGTATGGCTGGATTTTGTCAGATTTGGATTCCTAATTATGGACTAATGGTAAAGCCTTTATATTAACTGTTAAAAGGAACCAACCATGATCCTTCTGACTGGGAAGCAAGGCACCAATATTTGTTTGAGCAACTGAAGTTTAAGTTACCTGTCCCCCCTGCCTTAGGGCTTCCAAATCCTCATATGCCCTTCCAGCTTTATGTGCATGAGAGATTGGGTTTAGTGCTTGGAGTCCCAGTGCAAAGGTTAGGTGAAGTATTACAACCCATAGTATACTTTTCAAAGTCCTTTTATCTTAGAGCAGTCACTGCCACTTGCCTGCTACTCAGGGAAGCTGTAAAACTAAACTTGGGGCAGCCTGTCACAATATATGTGCCCTACCAAGTGTTACTGTTACTGGAGCAAAAAAGAGGTTACTGGCTGACAGCAGGCTGACTGGGTAGATATCAAGCCATATTTTTAGATGACCCACAGTAAAGCTGCAAAGCGCTGGAACTGTAAACCCTGCTGCATTGTTACCTCTCACCAGGGAGCTGGATGAAGTCCTGCATAACTGTCTAGAGGTCATATACCTAGTGTTTTCCAGCCACCTGGACTTAAAGGATGTAGCCCTCCCATGCACAGATTGAACTTTGTTTCTACACGGGAGTAGCCTGGTCACTGATAGGAAGAGAAATGCCACCTATGCTCTGGTGACCTCCTCAGGGGTAATAGAGGCAAGAACTTTGCTGGCAGGGACCTCAGCACAGAAGGTGGAGTTAATCACCCTCATGAGAGCCTTGTAACTGTTCCAAGGTAAGAATGTCAATATACACACTGACTCCAAGTATGCATTCATGATAGTTCACGCACACGGAACTATATGGAGGGAAAGAGGGCTGCTAAGGGTGGATAACACTGATGTTAAATACACTAAGCAAGCATTAGAATTGTTAGAGGTAATAAAGGCCCCACAGGAAATAGCTGTAATGCATTGCCCTGACCATCAACACAGTAATTCCGAAGTGTCAAGGGACAATGCTTTCCCAGACCACACCACCAGGCATTTAGCCAGTGCCAGCATTGAATCCAGGCACCCTTAATTCCCCAAATAGATTTAATGGCCTTCAAGCCCTGGTACTCTTCGGAAGATGAGAAAGCTGCAGAAGATAAGGGATTCAAACTAAACAAGGAAGGGTGGAGAGTAAACAGTGCAGGCCTAGTCTAGGCACTAGTGCATCTCATCTGCCCACTGTTAAAGTACATTCATGATAGCATGAGTTTGGGGAGAGATGCTTCCTGGCCTTTGTACAAAATTATTTGAAAGGGAAAGGACTAAAGGCCCACTTAGAGGATATAATTCAGCATTGTCACCTGTGTGCCTGGAATGAGCCTAATAATGATAGCCGAGGGCAGCCTGGGCAACAAGAAAGAGGGAGGCACCTGCTAGAACACTAGCAAATAGACTTTACACAGATGCCACCAGCCCCTGGGGGGTATAAATATCTTCTAGTTCTAGTGGACACTTTCTCTGGCTGGGTGGAGGCATACCCATGTCACACTGAATAAGCAAGCAAAGTAGTTAAAGTTTTGCTAAAGTAAGTCATACCACAATATAGGCTCCCTGATGTAATTCATAGTGATAATGGGCCTTCATTCATCTCTGAGATAACAAGTAAACAAAGCTTTGGAAATAAAATGGAAACTGCACTTAGCGTGGAAACCTCAATCTTCTGGACAAATTGAGAGAATGAACTGCACCTTAAAAATAATCATTGCCAAGTTGTGTCAAGAGACTCAGTTGAAATGGATTCAGGGACTTAGTATTGCACTGCTCTGGGTAAGAAAAGGCCCCCAGAAACAGGATGAAAGTAAGTCCTTATGCAATTGTTTTCAAGAGACCCTTTGCTGCTAACCCATCTCAGGTCACCAAAGTGCCCCTAGATAGGGAGTTGGCTATTAAGAATTATGTTGCTCACTTAAGACAAACTCTTAACGTTTTGCATAAGTTTGCCTCTAACAGGGACGCTGTGAATTCTTCAAAAGCCTGCCACCCATTCCTACCTGGTGATCAAGTGCTGCTGAAAGAATGGAGGGAAGCTGGTCCTGCCCAACAACTACAGAAGAAATGGAGAAAGCCCTATGACATGCTCTGGATCACGGGTGCAGCACTGAAACTGGCAGACATTAAGCCTTGGGTCCATCACATGTGAGTGAAAAGATTCCTGCCAGCCAAAAGCCCTGTGGCAGAGGAGTCTCCGGCTGACAGATGGGAGGCAGACCCCCGAGAAGACCTGAAGTTTCTATTCAGAAAACGATAAGACTTTCATAAGACTTTCTCATAATGCTCCTTGCTATGCCTCTCATTGTTTCTGCTCTCACCTCTAATCTTTTCTTACAATTGGCACAGGACTATGCAGAGAACCTGCAAAGAAGCTCCTGCTGGGTCTGTGGCCTATTACTCCTTTCTAGCACCATGGGGTTGCCTTGCTGGGGATACCTCCAGGGGAAGGACTGGATTTACCTGCAAACTTTGCTGGGAAATCTAAAATCTTGGACTGGGTCACAAACGACAGGACTAACCATGGCAAATGTCTCAGAGTGGCCCATAAACAAAACTTTGGAAGGCCCAGGGCAAAAAAAGCCATTCTCTGTCAACAAAACAAGGAATGATGTAATAGCTTTAGCTACTCCCTTGCTGAATCTGAGGGTGTATGTCCAGACTATGATACCAGTATAAAAATTGCTTTCTTCAAATTTGGGACAGATTTATTTGGCTAACTGCCTCCACCGGACGTTTAAGCCAAGTACCCCCCTTATGCTGGGAACAATGGAACCACTCCCTTGACCACTTGCCTAATGTAACTCGAGTTATGGGATGGATTTCACACATTCCACACGAACAAGACCAACATACTATAGTGCTACAACAAAGAGATTTGTTTGCCACCAACTGGTCTCAACAACCTGGCCAAAATTGGTATCCCCCTTACAGAATCAGTGGCTTTGTGGCACCAATTTACGGCCATGACTGCCCTCAGGCCGGTTGGGGTGCTACACTCTAGGTCTCCTAATTGGCACAGGGACACCGGATAAAAACCATCCAAAACCCAGCTAATCTGTTACATATGCTTAACAGACGGACCAGGTCAGTTTTTCACTGGTACGATCATCTGACCTCAATCTTTATGCCCTCAATAGGCTTAGAAACTGTCATATGGCACATAGAGGCACTAGCTAATTTCATGCAGTGAGCCTTGAATGAAAGTCTCTGAAGAATTTCCCTTATGAATGCTGAAATGTACCGTATGCAGAAAGCTATCTTGCAAAATCGAATGGCCCTAGACATTATAACAACAGCCCAAGGGGGAACCTGCACCCTCACCAAAACTGAATTTTGCATGTACGTACCTGACAACTCTGGGAATAATTTTCTGGCATTAAAGTATATGCACCAACAGATTCAGGCAATCTCCAGTCCTGGGCTATCGCTTAATGACTGGATTGCATCAAGGTTTAGTGGAAGGCCTTCCTGGTGGCAGAAAATCCTTGCAGTCCTGGTCATCCTTGCAGGCATGGGCATAATGTTATGTTGTGGAAGGCATCACTGTTGCATATTGCTCTAAAACATCCCTCGAGCTCATATCATGTTTCAGCAGGCACTGCCTCTAAGCCCCAAACGAGAGAGTACTACCAGGAACAAATCGACCTCTTCCACTCCAGTGCTAAGATCGGTGCCCCATAACGATGACCCCCTCTCATCAGGAAGTAGCCAGAAAGATTATGACACCCCATCTGCCTACAATTCTCATAATTAATAAATATACAAGTATGATAGAAAACATGTGCAAATTGACAGTAGGGATTGTGGCAGGCCAGGTCTCACTAACAGCTGAGCAGGCAGGCCTCCATGACAGCTGTTTCAGCACTGACCAAGTTGTTAAGTTAAATATTAAAAGCTGAAAGCCAATGGCCTTATACAAAGGCTGGAGTGTAAAAAAAGCCCACCAAGAGTTTTGCCCAGGCCTTTCCTGGGCCTTGAAGTATAACAAGATAATGAAGGAATTCTTAACAGGACCCATTTATGATTCATCAAGTTTTACTGGGGATCTGAAGGAAACCCCCCAGGCCTCCACAAACAAGTTAATTGGGCGTCTGAAGGAACTCCCCAAACCTCCATGATTTAGCAGGAGATAAGATCAGGGTAATCATCCCAGTACCTGGACCAATCTAGATTAAATAAATTTACTAAGGCTCCAGAGTAAGGTTTTCAAAACTTTGACTTTAGTTGTAGATTACAAGAGGTTAATCACTTATGTCTTTAGATGCATGCATACATACACATAGACATATAGCTTAGAAGATATATAAGCTCTGGAAAACTTTGTAATATTGAATTATTCTGGAGACATTTTCCCAGCCTTCTCCCTGTGCCCAGTTACAGAAATAAACTCTTGTTTCCCAGTTCATCTGCATCTCATTACTGGGCCCAGAGAACAAGCAGCCCTACCTTCGGTTTGGTCCGAGAACAAGAGGACTTTTGGTTTGGCTTACATAGTACTTTTTGTTTGGCTTGCACCGTATTTCTACTTTTTTTATTGTTTCTAATCTGTTTTTGCCTTGCCCACTTGCTCTGGGAGGTGACTCCAGTGAGCTACCTTGTAACTGGCTGCCAGATGGGTTTGGCCAACTTAAGACATCAGTAGAAAATTGAAGAATTGCAAGAAAGAGAATTCAGAGGATTTTTTTTCCTGCTTGCTCCTTTCTGTGCTCTGTCTCTGGGCAACAGTCTTAAGCAGCACTTTCTGTAGCTTGCCAGCACTCAGTGGGCTCTGATAACTTGCTTTCTTCTCCTTTTCCTTCAGCCCTGCAAGGCGGTAATGCACTGCACTGCTGCTTATCACTGCAAGGCGGTAATGCACTGCACTGCTGCTTATCACTGGACATCTCACCATCCTGTGCTTGTCCTGTTAATCCTAACCAGCCCCTGCAAGAAGTCCTTTATTTAAGTCTCTACATTTGACTCATCTGGGGTAATTCTGCTCCCTTCTGGGACCCTGACCACTTAACCGCTAAATTCTAAAATGGGGGTGTTGTCTCATGAAAAAGCAGATTTGACAATACCAGGTCCATATTTGCACATCAAAACAATGACCTAGAGCAGGAAAACAATTGCATCCTTAAAGCCACTGCTTTCTCAGAGGTGGTAATTGACAGGGAATCTTGTTAAAATGAATATTCAGATTAATTAGCTCTGGGGCTGGGCCTGAGATTCTGCCTTTCTAAGAAGTTCTCAGGCGAGGTCACAGTGGAAGGTCTGTGGACCACACTTCGAGTAGATGGGCTTTGAAAAGTACATGGGTTCACTAGTTTCCCCACTGTCAGTGGCTTGCACAGTAATTTTTCCTTCCCTACCTATCTACATTTATTTCTCAAAATTTTTTTCTTAGATCTATTAGAGAGTTAGACCCACTCATTTCTGCTACTCATCTGGCTTGCTATCTTTGCTCTACTGATTCATTTTGGTTGATTTCATTTGCTCTGGTAGCCTCAACTGTACCTTGAACTCGGACCTCTCTTGATCCTCAGATAAATGAGACCCCACTGCCCAGAAACAGAATAATCTCAGAAATGAGAAATCCTCCTTCACTCACCCATATCAAATTCCTTACAATTCATGATGCCTCTGCCTACTATAAAGCTTTTGCAACTACCAGGTCTCACCATTCCCATTTACTGCCCTCAGTCAGGCCCTCATCATCTCCTGCCTGTTAGGACCTCTAACTGTTTCTGCGCCTTCCAATTTATTCCTCAGACAAGCATCAGACTAACTTTTCTGAGAAGCAAATTTAATCTTGCCCCACATTTTTTGGTGTCCCATACAAACTGCGAGATGAAGATAAAACCTTTAACAATCTCACTTCTACTTTGCTATGCAGCCTGTACCCTGTAGGCTTCATGCACTAAGAGTACTGAAAAACTGTGACTCTTTCAGGGTATCAAACTTTATCCACACAGTTTCTTCTCCCTAAAATGCCTTTGCCACCATTTCTTGACTCCTGTAAGCACACCTAAGTGCTTTCCTCTCTAGGAGAAAGTTTTCAGGCCAGAAACCATGTCTAAAAAGACTGAAACCAGTCTTTTGTAGACTTCCATCAACTAGCCCAGAGGGTCTTCAGCAAATCTTAATTGAATAAGAGATTAATGTTTGGCAATATGGTCATTCTAATATTTTATTTCGATGTGTACACCGAGACTTATTTTAAATTTATTAGATATAAAAGAAAACAGATATTGCCTTTGATGTTTTCAATAAAAATGAAGAGATTTGTAAGGGAATGGGGCAGCTGTGTTCACACTGGCTCTCAATTTGGCCTTTATTAGAGATTAACTGGTTATTTACCTGGAGTCTGTGCTTGGAATATCTCAATGAGGGCAACAAATAGTTCATTCAATATTAACCCTAATTTGGATATATTTACCTTAATGAACAAGCAAGTGATCGTAATTTGTTTCATTTTCTTTAACCACAGCACAGGAAATTTATCTGGAAGTATTTCCTTTTGGGCAGGCAATTTTTGTGGACATATTTATGAAGCACAGTCAGGATGAATCAGACCATGAAGGCTCAATGTTTACAGATGAAAATAATAATTACATGAGTAGAGCAGTGAAAGGAGGAGGGGAGGCAGCTTGTTGATGCCTGGAGATTATTAACGTTAGAATTGGCAACTAAAGACGTTTATGGAATCTCTGTTTCTAAGGAACTTTTGGGCAAGTCAGTTCACCACTTTATGCCTTAGTTTCCTCATCTGTAAAATAGGAAAAATATAGGGGCAGCTTCATAAGTTGCTGTAAGAATTCAATGGGATAACAAATGTTAAGCATCTAAATGAAGTAATGCATATAAAACAGGTTATTGTGGTCATTCGATAAATGTGAACAATGCCTGCAAATTCCTGTAAATATCTTGGTGATGTAGAGTTCTGAGAAAGCATAAGCTGCATTAGTTTTCCTGTTATTACAGCAACTCAATTAAAAAGTTACTCTATAGCCATTTCCCCAAAGATTTATCTTATTCCTAAGACCACAATAATAAAGCATGTTTGGCTTTAGAAAAGTCCAAGATATATTGTTTCTCTACCTGAAAGTTTCATAAATGGTCTATCTTGTATTGTGCTCCTAATGCTTTCTTGTATTATTGAAAAAGGATCATCAGCATAATAAATAAGCATTATGTAATGCCACTTGTAAACCCCAGATGATTATGCTATATAGTACTTTATAGTATAATAAGAATTTTCTCATACGTTGTCTGCTTTGTTTCTGACATAACCCTAATGAAGGTGATTTTATTATTTCCATTGTGTGCATAAGGGATCTGAAATTCAGAGAAATAAAATGACCAACCTAAGGTTATAAAATTTTCAGGTGGCAGGTTGGGTGCTAAAACTTCATCTTATTGCAAATGTTACATCATTGCACGACCCTTGTTCTCCTGGCCTGTAAAAGTCTGATTTAGCAGAGCATTGGTGGAGTCTTCGGTGGATAGCCAGGTAATTTGGGTATGGTTTGCTGATTTCCTATTGGGGAAATAGATCAATTTTTGTAGTGCTGTCTGTATTGGTCTATGTTTTGTCTTATTTTATAACATGGGACATTTATAACACTGTATTTATCTCATCCCTGGTGAGCCAACAGAAAAATAAAACCAAAACAACCAAACAAAAGACAGATTACTACTGTTTTTCATAGTAATCCACCATATTATAATTTTAATAAAGATGTAGGTCATTTTTCCACTTAAGTTTTTGCCTTCTAATAGAATATAAAAGGCATATTATTTTAGTTTTTAATAGGATCAAAGATTCTATAACTAAATATACAATACATTATTTCTGTATCACTTTTTGTTCTTTGAGATTTGTTACAGACAACTCAGTATTACCTTTTAATTTTTGAGAGATTTTCTTAATACAACCACGATTTTCTATTCTACTAATTCCAGTTTTGCTAATTGTCTATAAGCTGTTCTTTGTCAGTCAGAGATTTTTTTTACTGCATACGAAATGCCTGCTATTAAAATGTTTAGCTTTGGCTAATAAATAATAACTCAATTATATTATTATCACATAAGCAGGCTTCAAAATACCCTTACTGATCCTACATACTTTGAAATGTTGTTGTCATGAGGTCCACAAGTCATTACTGTTGCTTATAGTGTAATTTTCTATCACTCTAATATTGAAATTTTAAAATCATTATTGCAAATTTCAACACTCAGTATGACTTCTGAGTAATAATAATCGTATGCATTACCATCATCAAGGTTCCCAAAGAATTTACACAGAGATGAAAGCTTTTCACATGAATAAATATCAAAGTTAGAATTCCAATAGTTCTGTACTATTCAAAGCATAATCAGATTCATTTTAAACTTTGCCCAATATCACTGTGATAAATATTAAATATTAATATTTAATATTAAAGCCCTTTTGTCTCTATAACTAAATCACTTAAACACTAGGGTAAGCTGTTCTATTACTTATAACAAATTTCTGGCATGACTGTGGTGCTTTATTTCCAGTGTTGTTGAAGTGCTTACTGTTAATCAATAAATTTAGATTCTCAAGTTGAACTTAGCAAGTCACCTGTGAGATTCTAATTTCCACACTGAAAAAAGACCTTTTGATCCTCATTTTCTTCACCTTTTTGCAACTTTTGCAGTTATATTTTTCTACCATTTTAAAACTGTCATCTCATGGCTTTCTTGATGACGGAGTCTTTTCCTCCTCCTGCCTCTGAACATACCCCACTTTTTCCTCCCTCTGTTCTTCCCAGGAAGTCAAAAATCTTGAAGTCACATTAGACCCTGCTTTCACTCATCTCACCCTCAAATTGTCCTCCAAGTTCAGACTGTCTATGTCCTAGAGGTCTAATAAATCCTTCCCACTCTTAATTTCCACTGCTACAGTTCAAGACTTCAACCTTTCTGAGTTTATGACCATGATGTCATCCTTACTGATTTTACTGACCTTACTCTTGGCCTGCTTACTTCACCACCTACAATGCTGATTGGGTGATCTCAAAAAAAAAAAAAAAAAAAATGGAGTCTTAAATCTTACAAGGTGGACATCCCCATTACAAAAGCATCCATAGTCCTTCTTGCTCTCCTTTCTTTCCATTCCTTCATGAGAACCCATATTGCAATTTCTTCATTTCGCCAACCTCTTTCCCATCTGTGATCTGCACATGCTCTTCCATCTACGATGATCTTGCTCGCATTGGTTTTCCTTTGCTACTCCAATATTCTCCTGGCTAGTTCCCTCACCAAAATCAATACAATATGGACAGCCCTTTCTTCAGAGAGCCTTCCCTGACCAACCCTCACCCATAGCTGTGGTCCCACAGCACCTGAAATATTGACAAATGTGTTTCCTCTTCCTCCTAGGAACTACACTTTCCAACCTCCCTTGCAGTTATTGTAGCTACATGGCCACAACAGACCTGATCCAAAACAATGTCCCCAGAACTGCTCTATGCTCTTTCCCTTTCATGGTTCAATATAAGTGAACATGACAACATAGAAAACCATGAATTGAAGATGAAAGAGGTACTCTGTGGTAGAATGCTTGGTCTCTGAACCATCAGTTGAAAAAAGTCTCTGGCTGATTAAGAATACTGTTTTGGACTTTGCATAATTGAGATACCAACCCTTATTGCCACAGTTAGTGTACATATTACACTCTGCACATTCTGCTGCAAATATCTACTTTCCTTTCTTTCTTATTAACCTGGGAGTTTCTTGGGAGATCCTAATATACCACATCATATATAGTTACTAGTCAATAAATGTTTCTGAATTAATAATTAAGAGTAAATAAAAATGCTTAGGGACAGAAAATAGAGAATGCATCAGATGAGGCATTTTCAATCAAGTTGTCATATTTGATGTCTAAAGTTAGCTTGATTTAGTAAAACATTACAGTTTTCACAAGATAATTTGTTAACTACTTTCTTTAGAAGTTTATGCTTCCCTGAGTCATATCTCTGGGAGACACAGATACATGTTGATGGTATGGGAATTTGCCATATTTTATTTTGGTACATTCTCTTGGATAGTTCAGTTTTGTCTTCAATTTACTGATGCATAACAGATTTTAAGGAGTAAATGACAATGCTGCAATTCTTCATTTACTTTTCTTGATAATCTCTCTTTTATTCAGTAGGAGGATGGCAATTAGTTTTCCACAAAGGCTATGTAATTCTCTTATGACTACTACTGTTAACTATAGTAGTCATCCTTTTTCTGAGATTTCACTTTCTGCAGTTTCAATTACTGTGGTCAACTGCAGCCCAAGCATAGGTGAGTACAATGAATAAGATATTTTAAGAAAGAGCACATTCACATAAATTTTCTTATACTATGTGTTGATAATTGTTCCTTTTTTTATTTTTGTTGTTAATTTCTTGCTGTGTCTAATTGACAAATTAAATTTTATCATATGTACATATTTATAAGGAAAAGATAGTATATATAGGGTTCAGTACTATCTGAGTTTCAGGCATCCACTGGGGGGTCTTAGAAAGTATCTCCCATGGATAAGGGGAAACTACTGGACTTTGGTTTGTGGTTTTGCATTACAAAGGAACCATGGTAGGTGAAACAAACTTATAAGCAATAATTAAATTAAGTGATTGGTTTCAAGTAGACAGTAATAAAATTTCAAAGTTCAAATTATGAATACATAGTGATCACCCACCATGTAGTCTAATAAAAAGGCATAATATTGACTCTTAGAATGAACCACCCCTTATATAATTATATGGGACTATTAAAGTGGGTGCAACCTATTGCCTGTGTGAGGAAAGGAACACTTCTCCGCTTGATTATTTATGCCTGTGTAACATCAGAAACAGGATGTCAATTTCCATGAAGAAAGGTAAGCATACCTTTTCTTCAATATCTTGTAACTTTCCAATTTTTAAAGGATAAGGCATGTATTTCACAAGATGAGTACAGGTTTCTGATATATAAAATAAGTATAATTATTATACTAACATATACATCTGAATGCCAGTTTGGATTTTAACTGTAAAAACAAAGTTCTCATTTTATACTTAATGTTATTTTGTTTCAATCTGACATAGTTACCACCATGAACTAGATGAGGTAAAAACTTTTATACATCTAATTTTGTTTGAATTTTTTGAGCTGTGGTTGTCTAGAATTCACTGAGAAGCTTGTGTCTTAGGATCCTAAAAAGGTTTCCTCTAGACTGGGATAAATTAGTATATTTTTGAAACAGTCAAACAAGAATGTCTTTATAGACTGAAGACAAACTTTGAACTAAAGATATTGTGTTAGCTGCTTAAGATAAATACAATAAAATATTTTTATATAATAAAGTAGCTCAGTATTCTAAAGCTTCCACATATAATAAAATTATTAAATAGCAAAGATTCTTCATGAGATAAGAACTTTTTTTTGTGGTCTTACTCGTGTGGGTTGTGGTGTGAAATGATCTGGGTATAAATTAAGTGCATAGCAAGGAAAGTTGCACCATAGAAGATTTTTATAATTAATAAGTACCTTAAATTGTACTTCCAAATCCTATAAAGTATTACTTGTATTTAGAGAAATCTACTATATCTCTCATTCACTGGCAGATATCACGGAAACATTTTAAATTTTGGCAACTGCTTCAGGTTAAATAGTTAGAATTAAAAATTCACAACAGAAAGATTAAGTTCATCATCTGATTAAGTTAAGTAATAAAATATGTGCATAGTCACAAGAATTTAATACAAATAAGATACATGTATACATCTTATTTTATTCTAAAATTTGAAATACGATTTGCTGTAAAACAAATGACTCTTAGCAAGATTTCCTTTGTCTGGAGGCCAACTTAATTAGCTTTTTTAATATCTCACATTTTAAATAATCTTATCAGATTTGGCTTTTTATTAATTGCATTAATAGTCACTCTAGATCATGGTTGCCAAGAGCCCTGGGAATGGTGCTGCTTTGGATAACCTGTGTATATCAGCTTGTCTTCTGGGGAGTAGAAAGAGCAAGATATGCTTAGGTTTCTCTATAACAAAGTACATTAAGTTTCTCTGATTACCAGTAGAAAACAGCATTTCATAGATGTCAAAGTGGTGTGTGGGTGTGGGTGTGTAATTTATCTCATTACTTATCCATATTAAACAAAATTTTCCATCTGGAACTCAGTTGTCACCAAACTAAAGACACAGCTTGATGAGTAGTAGACTCTCAATGAACATTAGCTCCTTCCTTCCTCCCTGACCCAATACTTTTCTGTCATTCAAATATTTCAAGACAGGCTATAAAGTTATTTTCTCCTTTCCATATGATTTGGAAGAAACAGAATAGAATTTTTTAATTACACAGAAACTAAAAGAAAGCAATTGGATTGAGATTGTTGTCTAAACATGCATATCTACCCTCCTTCCCATCTGAAATCCTATAAAACAGCAAAAAAAAAAAAAAAAAAAAAGTTTTCAAAGAAAAAGTAAATCCAAAACAGGGTGAAAAAAAGAATGCCACCAACAGACTAGAAATGTTAAAGGATTCTGGAAAGATAGACAGTAGATAGGATTGAATATACAAAGTTGTTAAACTGAAGCAAAACATGAACTAAACATAGGCAAAAGAATGCTGTGATGGGAAGAGTGAAGGAGGAGATCTGAACACAAAGTCAATTGCCACAAGATACAAAGACAGCTTCAAGCATTCATCAGACAAGTTATTAATTGAGAAACGAAGGTGAGAGCTAGGCTAGCAAGCACCACTCCCCTCTCTGATCTGTACTAAGCAACAGGCAGCAAAAGTGTCTGCCCATAGGCTAAGGCAGAGTGTGGGCAAGTGGGCCCTGAGGCAGAGCAATGCTCCAGGAAGGACAAGGAGCTCCTGTTCCCAGAATGGGAGCTGAAGCACATAGAGCTGCCCTCCTAGCGGCACAGCCAGCCTCTGTCATCAGAGACTGATCTTAGTGACTAGAGGAGGTAAGTGGACAGAGATCTAAAATACAAAAATGAGCAGAGAGATTATTGAACATTAGAAGGAACTAACATTATTATAATGAGAAAATGAGGTTAATAGGACAAGCAAAGCAGGGCATTAGAATAAAATAAAATTTAAAATGTGAGAATATGTTACATTGACAAAGACTCAATTGGAGACTTTGAAATAAAACTTTCTTCATGCAATTAAAATATATATATATATATATTTGATAGATCCATATAACTGAAAAACAAAACAGTGGGCTGAAAGATCAACTCAAAGAATATTCCTATAATACAATATAAAAGGACAAAGAAAAAATGTGAATGATAAGCTTAAGATACAAGGAAAATGGGTTAAGAAATTTTAATATGCACTCAGAAAAATCAGACAGAGAAAATGGAAAGTACAGGAGCATCTATATGTTCAGCTAGAAATAGACACTGAACATCAATTCCTCCTTCTTTTGCCAACGGCATACTTCAGTTTCTCTTAGGGCAATGGAAACTATTCTTGTCTCATTCTCAATCCATTCTGAGTTTACTCAAATTCAATTTGGGTAAAGCTGGCTCCATGCCTGATTTCAACAGAGGGCATGAATCTCAGGTCTGCATAATCAGATTATTGTTTTTCTGGCTATGGTGACTAGCTAAGAAATTGAAATCATAACCCAATTACAGCCAGTAATACACCATGGAGTTTTACAGAGCTGGTAGAAAATTCAGTCACCATACCACTGGACATAAACTTGGAAGATTTCAGCCTGAGGCTGCCATAGATAAAGAGGTGAGCCTTCAAAGAAGTAGTAAAATTTCTTCCTATAAAAAAAATTAAAAGAAAGAGAAAATCAGCTTTAATGAGAGTGAGACTCTGGTACTTAAATAAGTACCAACATAGGCCATTTTAGTACTGGGATCAATTAGTTTATCTTTTTGTTAAGTCATTTTAGTTGTGTTTTTCTACCACTTGCCATGAAAAGATGACTGAGATATGCAGAAATAAATAATAATACCAATATAATGGAATAAAATTTCCCAAAGCCAAAGAAAGATAATTACTGGATTGAAATGATATTTCCCAATAATTGTTTTAGAGTACAGAACAAGGTAAACAATAGAAAATCTTTATTGAGTTGCATAGTGGTGATATTTCAGAATACCAAGAAGGAATATAAAAATTCTAAAAGAGTTTAGAGAGAAAATAAAATAACTTATAAAGAAATGAATTAGAAACAGATTGATATGACACTGTATCTGCAAAATTGATATTAAGAAGTAACGTCAAAATCTTCCAATTTCTGGAGAAAACAACTGTGAAAGAATTTTGTATTTATTTAAACAATTATTCAATAGGAAGCCAAAATAAGGACAATTTCAGTACAGTAAAAGCTAAAAGAAATTTTAGTACCAACATACCACCTCTGGAAGAATTATGTGTGTACAGAATGCGGAAAACCTAATTTGAATACGAGACAAAGAATGATAAAAATTACAGAATGTATAACTATGGATGGGAGAAGTGATAAAGGAAGACCTAAGCTTATTATATTCTAAATGAGAAAGATATAATAATTAACTCTTGAGTTTGATAAAAATCTTAAGCTTAAGTGTGATTGTTAAAATTAAGGAAAATCATAAGAAAAAGTAGAATGTGCAAGGGCCTGGCATGGTGGCTCACGCCTGTAATCCTAGCACTTTGGGAGGCTGAGGCGGGTGGATCACGAGATCAGGAGATCGAGACCATCCTGGCTAACAGGTTGAAACCCCATCTCTACTAAAAATACAAAAAAATTAGCCGAGCATGGTGGCAGATGCTTGTAATCCCAGCTACTCGGGAAGCTGAGGCAGGAGAATTGCTTGAACCCGGGAGGCAGAGGTTGCGGTGAGCCAAGATCACACCATTGCACTCCAGCCTGGGCGACAGAGCAAGACTGTCTCAAAAAAATAAATAAATAAAAAGTAGAATACGCATTCCCCAAATCAGTAAAGGTTAAAACAAAATGCACAAGGTGAACCTAACCAGGAAGAGGAAATAAAACAATAAAAAAGAAAACAGGAAAATTTTTAAGTCATATGAAAAGAACAAATGCAAACGTATCCATGATCACAATCAATATAAATAAACTAAACTTCCCAATTAAAAAGAAGATTGGGTTAAAAACAAAATAAAACCAACTCTAAGCTGCTTGCATGCAACACATCTAAAGGGAAAAAAAGTACAGATAAACGTTGAAACTAAAAAATAGAAAAATATGTTAGAAAAATAGTAACAAAGAGAAAGATGGTAAGGCAGTGTTAATATCTAGTAAAAATGAAATTCAAGTATAAAAAAATTAAAGAAGATAAATATATATTTCATATTGATTAGATTATAATTCAAGGTATAAATTTACCACCATTGTTATGAACATTTCTGTATTAAAAACATAGTTTATAAGTATATAAATAAATAACTGATTATATACATGACTAAACTGTCAATTCCACAACTGTGGTGGAATCCCTTACTATACATGTTTGCATATCAAGTAAATGAAAAATAATGAGGTAGAAGACTTGAAGAACAATTGATAAGATTTAGCTAATGAATTTATATAAAATGCTATATTAAAAATACTACCTTAAATGGAACTTCAGCCATATATTGGACGATAGAATCTCAACAAATTTTTAAAAAGTGTAGGCAATATAAGATAACTGAGCACTATCAATAAAATCACAAACTAACATGAAAAAGTTTGTTTTGAAAAGTCCCTAGCCATTGAAAATTTAAAACATCATTTTCAATATTTGCATTGAAAAGGAAATTAGAATTCAAATGTTAGAGTTAGTAAGAAATAACTTTTAAAAGCATGCTTTTTCAACACTGATGAGACAACAAAAGTGATTCTCAAATAAAATTTTATCACTGGCCGGGTGCTGAGGTCAGGTTTGTAATCCCAGCACTTTGGGAGGCTGAGGCGGGCAGATCACGAGGTTGGGAGTTCGAGACCAGCCTGGCCGACAGAATGAAACCTCGTCTCTCCTAAAAATACAAAAATCAGCTGGGTGTGGTGGCAGGCACCTGTAATCCCAGTTACTCAGAAGGCTGAGGCAGGAGAATTGCTTGAACCAGGGAGGCAGAGGTTGCAGTGAGTCAAGATCATGCCACTGTACTCCAGCCTGGGAAACAGAGCTAGACCCTGTCTCAAAAAAAAAAAAAAAAAAAAAATTATCATTTTAAGAGCACGTATAAAATAATTTAAAACAGACAAAATAAATAAAGTAAGATAATTTTTAGAAAAACTTCAAAATCAATTCTCAAATAATTTCACATGAAAAAGAAGCTAAATAGGAAGGATAAAAGCAGAAAACATTTCATAAGAAACAAAAAAATAGAAAATAGGACTGCTAAAACCAAAAGTTGTTTCCTTAAAAAATCAAATCTCTAAGAAATAAAAAAAATCTTACAAATTACAAATAAACATCAGAAGCAAGACAGTGGGAACAGATATAGGGAAGATTTAGAAATTTATGAGGATACTATGAATCCCAATACATTTTTAAAAATGTTTATGAAATGGATTATTTTCAAGGAAACTAAAAATTGATAAATTTGACTCAAAAAGACAGAAAATCTAAATAGACAATAACAATACAAAAATCAAAAATACAGTCAAATGCTGAGCCCTAAAATACATCATATTTTAATGGTATCATAGGTGAGTGCTTCCAAAACTAAAATAGATTATAACCTAAACAGTTCTGTAGCCTAATGAAATTCCAGATTGAAATAAAATTTAAAATGACTGTAAGAATGAGAAGCAGATACGTTCATCTATACAAATTTGTCAACTTTCATCTCTGTGACTATGATTATATGTTCAGCTTTTTTAACTAGTACCCAGCTTTCGACTCACTGAACAACAATAAAAAAGTGATTATTTTACTTAATAAATACACATTCATGTAGATAATGACCCTAAGAATTCAGGATAAAAACTAAAATTTAAATTAAAAATATCTGAACAGAAACAGGAGTAGCTACAAACCACATGGGAAACAGATTCTACAGTTTAAGCCCGAGAAAGTTACAGAAAAATTTTTTTTTGTTTGTTCGTTTTTTGTTTTTGTTTTTTGAGATGGTCTCGCTCTGTCACCCCTGCTGGAGTGCAGTGGTGTTATCTCGGCTCACTGCAAGCTCCGCCTCCAGGGTTCATGCCATTCTCCTGCCTCAGCCTCCCGAGTAGCTGGGACTACAGACGCCTGCCACCATGCCCGGCTAATTTTTTTTTTTTTTTGTATTTTTAGTAGAGAAGGGGTTTCACTATGTTAGCCAGGATGGTCTCGATCCCTTGACCTCGTGATCCACCCGCCTCGGCCTCCCAAAGTGCTGGGATTACAGGCGTGAGCCACTGTGCCCGGCCAGAAAATATTTTTAAAAATTAATCAAAACCTGGAGTTGCTGTGATATTCATCTAAAACGTCCAGTTATAAGCCAAAATGTTATAAGACAAGCAAAGAAACAAGTCAGTGTAGCCCATACTCAGAAAGAGGAAAAAAGGAACAAACAGAAACTAATTCTATTTGAGTATAGATGTTAGATTTAGCAGTTAAGTATTTCAAATCAGCTAATATAAAGATGTTGAATGATAAAGAAAACATTTTCAAAGAATGAAAGGAAAATATGTTGAGAATGACAAAACAACAATGGAATTTTAATAAATATAAACTAAAAACAAAAAGAACCAAATGGGCATTCTAGAGTTGAAAAGACAATAATATAAATGAAAAATTTACTAGTAGGTTCAATAGCAGATTTGGAAACAATGAAGAAATAGTAAACTTGAAGACAGATAAATAAAAATTAATCTAAAGCAGAGATAAAAAAGACTAAAAATATTGAACAGAAACATGGACAACATTAAGTTTACCAGCATATACATAATGGAAGTCCCAAAAAGAAAAGAGCAAGAGAAAGGAGAAGAAAAATTATTTGAAGAAATTATGACTGAAAACTGTTCAAATTTGAAAAAAAAAGTATTAATCTACAAATTCAAGAAGGTCCATGAACACTAAGGAAGTTAAACACAAAGATGTCAATACATGGATACCTTAGAGTCAAGTTGCTGAAAGACAGAGAAAAATCTTGAAATTAGGAAGAGAAAAACTACTTATCTAATTGAAAAAAAAAAAGATAATTTGTTGACTTCTCATTGAAAACAATGGAGGCCAGAAGGCAATGTAATAATACTCAAAGTGATGAAAGAAATGTGTATCAAACAAAACTTCTATATCCAGCAAAAAGTATTCCTTATTTTATTTTCCAAGCAGACTTGCCTTATTAGATGTTCTAAAAGAAATCCTTCATATTGAAAGAAAATAGTAGCAGACAGTAACTCAAATCTATTAGAATAAATGAAGACCACTAGCTATGGTAAATAAGTAGGCAAATATAAAAGTCCGTGTGTGTGTTTGTGTATCCTATTTTCTTCTTTTAATTTCTTTTAAAAATGTGAAATTGTTTAAAAAGAAGAATTATAACACACTATTTTAGAGTATATACCATGCATAGATGTATAAATGTATTACATATGACAATAACAACATAAAATGGGAGAGGAAATTGTGATACATTGGAGGAACATTGCCATAGTTTACTGAATTAAACAAGTATTAATCTAAAGTAGACTGTAATAAGTTAAAGATGAACATTGTAATCACTATACTATGAAAATAACCTGAAAACATCCAAACAATCTACCGATGAATTAAAATGGCATGTTAAGACAATTGTTGGATACAAAAGAAGGCAGTAGAGAAAAAACAGAGTGAAAGAAAAATATGTGATACAAACAAACAAATATTAAAATGGCAGTTCCATATCAATAATCATATTAAATGTCAATGATATAATGAGTAAATATTGTAATTAAAAGGGAGAGACTGTCAACCTGTATAAAAGAGAAAGATTCAACTATATGCTATTTATAAGAAACAGTTTAAAAACAAATAGATTAAAATTAACAGGATGGAAAAAGATCTGCCATCTGAATGGTAAGCATAAGTGATCTGGCATGACAATATCAGATAAAATAGACTTTAAAATAAGAAATATTACTAAAGACCATAAAGGAAATTTCATAATGATAAAAAGGAAAATATAGTGGGAAGACAATAATTATAAGTATGCATCTAAGAACAAAGACACTCGCTCAATGGAGTATAAATCCTGACAGAATTGTGAGAAGAAATAGACAATTTAACAATTATAATTTGATATTTTAATATTCTCAGTAACTGATAACATAATAAATAGAAAATCACTAAGAATATAGAAAACTTGAGCAACACTATCACCGAAGTATACCCAATAACATACTGAGAAACTTTACCAAATGATAGCAGAAAATACATTATTTTCAAGTGTATGTAGAACAGTCTACTAGATAGACCATACGCTAGGCATAAAATGTTTCAACAATTCTACATTTGAATTTACGTGGATTGAAACAATACAAAGTATGTTCTTTGACCATAAACAGGGTGAATTGAATATCAACAACAGAAATAAATTTGGGAAAATCCCACATACTTGAAAATTAAGCAACAGAGTTCCAAAAGTAATTTGTGAGCCAAAGAAGAAACCAGAACTGAAAACACGCCAAATCAAAATTTATGAAATGCAGCTACTGTAAAGTTGAGTAAGTATTTTGTATCTTTAAACAATTATATTAGAAGAAAGATCCAAAATCAACAACTGAATGTTCTACCTCAAAAAGGTAAAGGAAGAAGAGCAAATTGAACCCAAATAATTAGAAAGAAAAATTAAAGAAAGAAAAAAATGAAACAAAAGTAGAGAAACAATAGAGAAAATCAATAAAATCAAAAGTTGGTTCTTGAAAAACAATCAACAAAACTGATAAACTATTAGCTAGGAAAGAGATTACATGAATGACAAAAAACAGGAATGAAAGAAGGGGCATTATTACACACCCTACAAGAAACTGATTGACTAAATTGATTGTAAAGGAATTCTATGAACAACTTTGTGCCAACAAACACATAGACAACTTAGATTAAATGGACAAACTTCTCAACAAATTACCAAAATTTACTCAAGCAAAAATATTAAATCAAAATAGCTCTACAAAAGATAAAAATTGAATTAGTAATTAAATATCTTCCCAAAGGCCTGCACTGGTGAATTCTATTAAACCTTTAAAAAAAATAATACCAATATTATACAAACTACTTCAGAAAATAGAAGACAACAGTTTTAAACTTATTCAGGGAGGCCACTACTATACTGATAGCAAAGCTATACAAAGATATCACAAAAAGAGGCAACTACAGATCAATATTCTTCTTGAGCCTAAACACAGAAATCTTTGACAAAATATTAGCAACCTGAATCCAGTAACATATGAAAAGGTTGGTTTAATATTAGAATATCTATTAATATAAAATAATGTAAGTGAGAAAAAAACATGTGATCATCTTAATAGTTGTAGAGACAGTATCAGACAAAATTAAACACCCACTCTTGATAAAAACAAATTATAAAATATTTTCCTCAACCTGATAATAGACATCTATGAAAATCCTACTTTAATGTCATATTTAATGTTGAAAGATATTGCTTTCCCCCTAAGATTGGGAAAAAGGTAAGGATATCCACTCTCTCCTCTTCTATTCAACAATGTCCTAGAGCTTCTAATCAGTGACTGAGGTGGGAAAAAAAATTAAAGGCATACAATTGCAAAAGGAAGAAGCAAACTGTCTTTATTAGCATTGTCTTATATGTTTAAGATTCTAAAAAGTCTCTTAAAAATCTACTAGAATTAATAAGCAAAGTTAGTAATACTGTAGAAAACAAGATCACTTGGAAAATTCAATTGTATTTCTGTAAACAGCAAATCATCTGATGGTAAAATTAAGAAAATCATTTCATTTAAAATAGCTTAAAATTAATAAAATCCTTAGGAATACATTTAACCAAAAATATGCATGAACTGTACATAGAAAACTACAAAGCACTGCTGAGAGAATCAAGACAGATATATATAAACTGAAAATATACCATGTTTATGGATCAGAAGACTCAATATTTTAAACATGGCCCTTCCCACCAAATCAATCTATAGACTAAATGCAACAGGCATACCCAGAAACAATGCTTCATCAGCCATCAAGGCATCCTTCCATCTAGTCAAGTTGACACCTAATATTAACCATCATACTACCCATCTGACAAGAGATTAATAACCTGAATATATAAGTCAAGACCATGTGGTATTGGCTTAAATATAGAGATATTAATCAATGGAAGAAGATAGGGGTCTAGAAACAAACTCTTACATTTGTAGTCAATTGATTTTTGACAATGGTTTGAAGGCAGTTCTATGAGGGATGTATAGTTTTTTTAACAACTAGTAACAGTTGTATATCCATATGCAATAAAAATGAACTTAGACCTCTACCCCACAACCCGAACAAAAAATTAACTCAAAATTGATCTAGTTAAGAGCTGACACTTCTAGAAGAAAATACTGAAGAGAAGCTTTTTAATTTTGAATTGGCAAAAGTTTCTATGGCACCCAAAACACAATATAGGAAATTAACAAATTAGACTTTTATCAAAATTAAAAGTTTTGCTTTTCAAAAGGCACTATTAAGAAAATAAAGAGAAATAACAGCTTCTGAAAAAACTTTGCAAATTATTTATCTGTTTAAAGAGTTATATTTAGAATAAAGAACTCTTACAATTTAATAGTAAGAAGACAACGCAATTTAAAAAGAGGCAAAAGAATTTAATAAATATTTCATCAAGAAAATATATGAGTGAATAATAAGACATGCTAATATGGACAATATCATTAGCCATTAGGGAAATACTAATTAGAGACTCAATGGTATATACCATTAGAATGATCATAATAAAAAAAGATTGACAATACTAAGTTTTGTGAGGCTATGGAGTAAGTAGAATCCTCATACACTGCTGGAGGCCATATAAAATGGTACATCCACTTTGGAAGGTAATTAGGCATTTTCATACAAAGCTAAACACATACTTATCACATTACTCAGCAAATCCACTACTAGGTATCTCTCTAAACAAGAGAAATAAAAATGTATGTCCACAGATTTGTATGAAAATGTTCAGAGCAGCATTATTTATAATAGACCCAAACTGGAAATAATTCAAATGTCTACCAACTGATAAATAGGTAAAGAAAACATGGTATACCCATACAATGGAATACTATTGATCAATAAAAAGGAAGAAACTACTGATATATAGTACAATGTGGGTTAATCTCAAGTGTATTATACTAAGCAAAAGAAGCCAGATACTAAATATTACATAGTGTATGACTCCATGTATCTGAAATTTCTAGAGAAGGCTAAACTATAGAGATAGAAAGTGTGCTCCAAAGACAGATTGAAGGTTGCTTAGGGGTCTGGGTTGGGGAGGGATTTACTGCATCTGGGTCTAAGGAAACTTTTTGGATTGATGGAGATATTCTAAAACTGGATTGTGGAGATAGTTGTATACTTGTATAAATTTACTACAAGTCATCAAACTGTGCACTTTCCATGGGTGCATTTTATGTTTTGTTTCATAAAAGATGCTATTTTCCTTAGCATGTATATTGGGCCCCTTTTCATTAATAACATATCTGGATTAGTGACTTTAAAAATAAATATTTTTATAATTAATTTATAAACAAAACATTTTTAAATTTAAGGAACAAAATAATTAAGGAGAATTTTGGTAATTTAGATTTTTTTCATAAAATGTTATTGAGCAATATGTGCATATAACTATATTTTCCTTGATAATTTAAATAAAATTATTTATTATTATTACTTTTCATTTTCTTGAATAAGGTCCTGTGTAATGTCAAATTGTAATTTGATAATAAAAATTACCTTCAGAAAATTTCTAGGAAGGTTTCTTTTCTCTAATAAGTATCATTTTAAGAGTATAACTGATATAAAAAGCTTGCACATTACTGCTATTCATCAATAAACTTCAAATGAAATAAGATCTTGATTGTAAATAGCTAGATACCATCTTGTTCCTGTTTACATTTTGCATTTTAAGACCAAGATTTGCAATTAATCTTGCAATTAGAGGAAGTTGCCCTGCCTGCCTATGAAAAAGATATTTTTGATGGGTAGGAAATAATTTAATGATTAAGAAGAAACAGTCATGGGAATTCCTGAGAGGTCTTAGGAAGACACTGCCTGAAAAATGCCTAAAAGGAACAAGACCCCCATAATATTTTTTAAAAATTAAACTATCTTTTAATCTATTTGCTTTTATAAGCAGAAAGCAGGAAAAAAATCATATCTATAATATTAACCAACTGTATTTTTCAGTGTTAAAGACAGAGAAGACAAATTAAAAAGAATACATGCTTTGGAGAATGTCAGTGGGGTAGAGAAGCAAGAATGCAGACTCCAGGGGATATTACAAAGGAGGGGTGCTGTTGGCCTGGAGCCACCCTTCTCCCAGAATTCCCCTCAACCATCCATTGCTGGAGTTCCCTGCACTGGCCCACGCTGCCCCCCCCCCCACCCCTGTCACCCCCTGTCTCTCGGGGCCAACAGGGCCATCTGATGCTTGCTGCCATGACATGCCCACTGCCCCAGCTTCCAAAATGATCACTTCGAACATCCTCTTTATTCAGTTTTTGCCTTAGTGACCCTTTCCAGCTAAGTGTTGTGAGAAAAGCAATCGATCAAAATAATCAATGATAAAAAATAAAAAGTCTTAATATTCCTATGAGGCATTTCCATTTTAAAACATTAAACTGGTATATGGAAAATATCAGGTAGGCAGCAATGGCTCAATGAGAGTTATTCTTTTTACCCAACCCTGGGATTCTTTTCTTTATTGGTTTCTCCAAATGCATTACCTCCTTCAACTAAATCATAGCAAGTTGTGCAACTGATTCTTATCTTGCATACCCTGAACACAGATGCTGATGAGAAAAGAGTGCAAAGGTGAAGTTGAACACCTGTATCCTCCAGCAAGCCATACTCATGGACTCATGATGTGGTTAAGTTCAATATTATCCTTCCAAGGAATTCCACTCCAGGGGTGGAATTGATGGCAACCTGCCATATCCATTGGAAGATTTAGGGGGACCTTTCATGGTTCCTCAATATCATCATGTCCACTCTGCCTAGCCCTAAGCTCAGCCCACCACAGCCCCTAGGTCAGAGAGTCCACAAACCGTTGCTGAGTGCACCTATGCCAGTTCCTGGATCCACGGGGGTCTTGAGTTAAGTGCTGGAGATGAGCAGGTGAATACGACAATCCAGGGCCTTCAGGAAGCACCGTCTGTCAAAGCAAAAGACTGTCAAAGCTACATTCTGTCCTGTGCAAGGTATAATCAGCCTTAGAAAGGTTTCTTGCGTTCTAGCCTTGTAAACCTGAACTTACGGCAACAGTTCCCTTGTCTGTACCAGACAGTTCCCTTGTCTGTACGTAAAAGTAGAACCAGCCTCTTCGATTGAGACACTTCGATTGACACTTAATGAAGAGCAGTCCTATAAATATAAGTCTCTCAAATGAAGCTGGGGGCAAACAAACTTGCACCAGTCAGCAGTGGCTTACGTTTAACCTCACCTTTTTATTAACCACCCTTAAACACCAAAGTGTGAGGGGGATCACTGTTATTATCCACAGGAAATGAGACCTGATATTCACAGGGACTTAATCTAGTCCCTCAAACCAGTGCTAGGATGTAGCTATTGTCCCAAACGTTTGGAATGAGAAGTTTTGTTAAAAACGTTATTTCCAAATCAAAGAGGCCGCCAGAAGAAGGTGCACGTGGTGGGAAACACAGGTCTGTAGGATTTTAGTTAGAAAAAACTCCTGAAAACTAAAAATCTTTCCAATATACCCAGTCATTCCCTCTTCCTCTCTCTTTACACCCCCCACCCTCCACCCAACACACACACACACACACACACACACACACACACACACACACACACACTCACATGCAAGGTTGGGGGGCAGGGCAAGGGGCCTCTTAGTTTATTATAACAAATTCTCTGCAATCCACCCCGACCTGACACGCTTGACTCCGTCAGTGCGCTGCTGCAGCTGCAGGACAGCGGGACGGGCGAGTCACTTTGTCCCTGAAGGGGCGAGTCCAAGGCAGACGCGGCGCCGCCGCCCTCTTTGCGAAGGAGCTCCGCGTTTCTACCTCCTCTCCGCGCCCCGCCTGCTTCCTGCACTACAAAAGTAGCGCGGGCCTGAGAACTCCTTCCAGAAGTTCTCCAGGGCTTCCGCAGAGCGACTTTTTCGCTGCCTGTGAGCTGCAGCGCGGGAGAGCTCGGGCTCGCGCGGACCCCAGCGCCTGGCAGGCTGACAGCGCTCTCTCGCCCCAGGTGCCCGCGCGCGTGGTGAGCAGCTGCACCAGGTGGCGTCCGGGGTGGGGTCAATGAAGCGCAGCCTGAGGAAGATGTGGCGCCCTGGAGAAAAGAAGGAGCCCCAGGGCGTTGTCTATGAGGATGTGCCGGACGACACGGAGGATTTCAAGGAATCGCTTAAGGTACTCTGGGGGCTCGCGGGTCTGGAGGGGTTCCGACGTGCGGGCGGGGGTCGGCTGGAGGTTTCCTTGGGGGCAGCCCTTGGTTTGGAGAAAGCGTGGGGGTTGCAAGCTTTGGGGTGTGTGCACAATCCAAGAGGTGACCCTACTAATGACGCGCCCACACAGCGCCTGCTTTATCTATTTTGTTTGCTTGTTTGTCCAACCGAATTCTTGCTCCTGGACGGGCAACTGCAGTCCAGGGAAACCTACTCAAAAAGTATCTGTATCATCTGGCACAAGATCGGGCAGCTGCCTAAAATCAGGACAATTTGGAATGTGTGCCGTTTCACTTGGACCTTTCCGTAGATTTTGTTTAGAACCAAATAGCCGAATGACTGTATCTGGTAGTCGTTGGATAACTATTTAAGAGTTCTGGGGGTTGAGAAGCCTTCTGGTCTAACAGAGTGAAACAGATAAACCAATTGTCTGCACTTAGAGCGTTGCAGAAAATGTCCCCAATAAAACGGAGGCAGGAGTGGCAAATTCCTTCTCCAGGGGTAGGAGCTTCAGGAAACGCTGTGGGGGAGGTGACCTTTTGAAGATGGGTGAGTGACCTGAGGCTCTAGGATGGGCACTTCTATTACTTATGCAGTTATCGGACCTAAAGGCAGCACTAGCTACTACCTGATGGCTTAGTCTAAGGGATAGAGGCTGTTGGGTGCTCAGAGCCCACCACTGGATTTCATCAGATTGTCAGCAGGAGAAAGGGGCTCTTTTAAAATGTTGAGACATCATTAAAAAGGTCTCTCCAAACCCTCATCACAAATCTCTTTCGACAGAGGGACCATGTTAACAGTTTCTTAAGAATTTTCCAGGTTAAAAAAAATGCTTACACAAAAACACACATGCTAATAGATCTTGTTTTATTTGCAAAGTTAAGAACTCACAGATTTCCACTCTGATTTACTCACAAAATGTATTTTTGAATACATTTCAAATTGGCACTTGTAGATTTACCTCACTCTTTTTACCAGCTTCATAATATTCCACTGTATGACTAGATCATGATTTATTTAACCAGTGTTGCACTGATGGACACTTAAGCTGTTTTGTGTTTGTTTTGTTTTGCTGTTACACATGTGACAGAGTATGTCTGTGAGTTTAGATGTAGCTTCTCTGTCTGTCTGTCCCTTGGTACCTTTATGGATATGTCTGTATGTCAAAGTCCTAGCAGGGTCAAGAGGTATGTACAGCTTTAATTTTGGTAGAAATTGACAAATTGCTCTCTAAGCAGGTTGCAGGAATTGGCACTATTGCCAATTGTGTGTGTGAGTCAGGCATGTATAGTTAATCACACACACCAAGTAGCCAGGCCTCCCAAGGTGAGTCTGTTGACATGTCCGGTTTGGCCACAGACATTTTTTGTCCTTCTTAATGTTAGCATGATAACTGTGGTCTTTTGGCTTACTCCAGAGAACTGAGTCATAAATAGATTTCAACCACTGGAATAGTATCTTTACAATTAATATGGTACAGGAAGAAATTTTAAATTTCTAAAATCACCCATGTGGTTTTATTTTCTAGCGATATTTGCCGAAGGATTTCTTAGCAGCGAGTCTCAAAATTATTTGTCTTCGTGTTTCTAATAGTCTTTATTTAGATTTATCATCTACGTAGAGCAACTTATGTTTTTTAAGCCTTTTAGAAGCTACATAGAGTTTGTAGATTGAAGGATTATATCTTTTATTTCATTAACTGTAGTAGTTCCATATCATTTTGTAAAAATCTCTTGTTGAACCCATGACAAAGAAACATATATAACACTATGAAGGGTTTTTTAACCTCTAGAGGGTTTTTGGTTGTTTCCTAATTTAAAAGAAAAGCTGTATAACATATTTTCTCCAGCACATACACAGTATCTCAGGAACACTAACAAAACTGAAGGATCACAGAAAACTTACAAGATGAGAAATGTGGAAAAAGAACCATTGGACTGATGCTTTTAGCCTTTTCCAATTATTTTCTTTCAAGATAGTGAATAGTTTAGCATTTGACTTTCTATTTTTTATCTCTCACCTTAGTTTCCAACCTTTTGGCCACATTGCTACTTATATGTATTTCATTAAAGCAACCTAAAACAGATGTATTTGATATATCTGTTTTAAAGGGTTTAGTTAGAATTAGCTTATCTAAAAGTGATCTAGTCTATTATGTTCTGAATCTAATCACATAGTTCAGATTCCAAAAGAATCTGAAGTGACCCTGTGACAACATGAAACTACATTAAATGAATATATATTTTGTCTAAATGACATCCTTGGCTTACTTTCAGAACTTTAAAAAATCTTTTCAAAGCCTGACAACGTCAGGTACTGATTGAGATGATCTAGTACGTCTGATATGCTCATGTAAAGTATTTAGATGCTGTTTTGTTATTGTGAATTCAATAGTGCCTTGTGAGCATCTGAACCTAGTACTCCCTCTAAAGAGTGTGGAACTGGGTTTGTGTTGACAGCACATCGCTGAACAGACATCCCAAACTGCTCTTTCCGGCACTAGGGAGTGGGCAGCATAATCCCTTTATTACGCAAAGAGCATATCAAATTCAAGTACCAAAATGCTTCCAAATAGATTTAGGCCAACACTTTCTTTGATAGGATGAGACATGGAAAAAGATCCTATTTCTGCAAGAAGCCCATTTTAAATTTATTACTGAATATGTGTAAATTTGGAAGTGGTTGGATGCTCATTGTCATATCCTGTAGTCACTAAAGTTATATGTAGCTTATATGGAATTTAATTTTTTTTAGTTAAAAAGTAACACATCTCAAGAGACTACCATAGAAGAGTGACTTGTTAGGTACTATTCTGTAATAACAAAAGCAAAAACTAAAGTTCAAAAGTTTAAGAAATTAAGTTTTATTATTCCAACCTGACATTTGCTGAATAAATCCTAATATTCTAAATCCTTTCTTAGTTATATTAAGGATACATTAAATACCTTAATACTTCATTTTCACTGATAGCTTTTCTTTTCAGTAGTGAGAAATGCTCTAGTTTTCTTCAAAATGACAAACTGGAGTTTGGACATATATTATCATGTGGCATATGAGACTAGTTATGGTCAATGGTAGAATTGAAGCAAGTATCTGAATCATTTGGGGAAGATTTCTGCATTTCCTTTACAATGAGGAAGAACGGCCTTTATTTCTAAGCATATATGAATGAGTTCATGATAAAAAAATTTATTTCATGTGTTGATCAATCTTGGGGCATTTTCTCAAACCTTCTTTGTGTCCGTAAACATTTTGTGTATTTCAAGAAAAATATTTACCTCATATAAGCATGATAGATAGTTTTGGATAATAATAAGTTCTTTCAGGCTATAAAATGATTATAGCCATAAGTTTTGCATATGCTTGTTTGGTATAATGGTGTTTAAATACCTCTAGGTGGTTTTTGAAGGAAGTGCATATGGATTACAAAACTTTAATAAGCAAAAGAAATTAAAAAGATGTGACGATATGGACACCTTCTTCTTGCATTATGCTGCAGCAGAAGGCCAAATTGAGCTAATGGAGAAGATCACCAGAGATTCCTCTTTGGAAGGTAACAAAATATTACAATTCATCTTCCAGAAATCATTCATCCCATTCAATTAACTAGAAAGAATGGAAGGAAGTGATTTTTAAGGGTAATTAGTGCTAATTATAAAGAGCCTATATATTTCACTTAGAATTGTGGGTTTTCCTACACACCAGCACTCCTCAACTTCTTCTACTGAAATACTGCAAAGCATATTACAGAGATCTAGGACACCCCACAACAAGCACAGACTTCATTTGAATTTTTAGGTAGATTGTAAGAATGCATGTACATTTTATGTATTCCTTTATACTATTTCCATTGAGGTTATTTTACATTTAAATTATCATCATTAAATAAAATTGACACCTCAAGAAGGTGTACCATACTCCCACAGTGATGTTTTCCAGATGCCAGCCTTGTACACTCTACCTTGTTTAGGAAATTCAACTGCAGACAATGAAGGAGGTGGATGCCACAGAGATGAAGGCAGTGAAGTGGTGTGATAAGACCTTTGCTATATAAGATAATTCTGTCAATATTGTGGAAGATGGATTAGAAGTGGAAGCCAAGCTAAAAAGCTATTTTGGTAGTAAAGAGAGGATAAGAGTTCACCAGGGTTGTGAGGCTACAAAAAGGAGACAGGGAGAGGTTCAAGAGATATTGGTGTATAAAGTCAATAGTGCTCGACAGCAAAATAAATGGGAAGAGAAAGGGCAGGGAGTTAGAACTGACTTTGAAATTCTTAAATTTAGGAGATTAGGCTAATAATTTAATCATCCCCCAAAAGGAAGAATATGAGAAAACAGAAAGGAAGTGAGTGCGAAGGTATGAGATTTGGTCACAGTGAGTTTCAAAGGCCCAGGGGACATCCAGTTGGAAATATCCAGCACACAACAGAAATGTAGAAGGAAAGGGCCTGCCCTACAGGAGCGTGATTGCACAGGAAGTCACTGAGACAGTGGAAATGTGTGAAAATCCCTTAGGGGATCACAAAATTGCTAGCAAAGGTAGCTAAGAGTAGAGTACCAACATCAAGAGACAGATGGCAGAGGAAAAGCCAGAAAAAGATGAAGATAGTGAAAATACACATGCCATGGGTGAAGTTACGGGGACAGAAGAGTTAGAAGGAGCCCTTGCCACAAAGAGATCAAGTAGGAAGGAGATCAAGATAAAGCCCCTACATTAGAAGGGTCCAGTGACCTCTATAAAAATAAAAATGATTTCTGAAAAGGGATGAGGATAAAAGCCAAATTCAAGTTATTTAATTAGTGAATGGGAGTTTGTAAGTATAGATCCCTGTTTAAGTTTTGCGCCAAATGGAATGATGAATGGAGTGATTCTTCTTGATCAGACAGAACGGTCAAGAGATGTGTGTGTGTGGGTGTGTACATGCATGTGTGTGTGTATTGTTTAGAATGAAACACTTAGATGAATGAAAGGAAATAGTGGAGAGACACATTTTAAAAAGGAGAGAAACAGAAAACATGGCTATATGGTTCCAAGTACCATGTACCGTAGATGGTCTCCAAATCATATTTATGAGCAAATACTTTTTCTCCTTTCCTGGACGTAAAGATATACTGCCACCAATTTACAAGGCTTATAAAGCAGACAGCCATGTCTATTTTAGAATAGCTATAGGACTTTGCAGGATGAAAAGACATATTACTTATATGCTGAGCTCACGGGGTACATAGTACCATATATGGTATTGCAGAAATATGTGGAAACCACTTGTGGCATCAGGGGCTTAAGCTCAAATTCTAGTCCTGTGGTTTATTAGTAGTGTGTCTTTTTTCTCGTTAACATTTTTTGAATCATTGCTACAGGCCAGGCACTCTGCTGTGATCTTTAAAGACATGACTTAGTATTATTGTCCCAGTAACATTGCAACATCACAAGGTCTCTCTCTCTCTCGTTCTCTTCTCTCTCTCTCTCTCCCTGTGTGTGTGTGTAGGTATATGAATATATGTTTTTTTTTTAATTTTTTTTTTACCAAGTTTGAATACAAGAAAGCTGAGGTTCAGAGAAGTATGGTAACTTTCATACTTCCTTACTAGCTCTGTGATGTTGGCAAGACTTTTAACCTCTCTGGACCTCAACATCTTCCTCCTTCTGAAAATTTGTCATGGTGTTACTTTGCAGGCTATTGGAGGCTTGAATGAAATAATGGTCATGTGAACTTAGCAGAGTGCCTGGGACATAGTTCTTGCTTTTATATAATCCCAATATTTTATTACAATCCCAAAACTCATATAGATAAAAACATATAGCAATAGGAGGATCTATTTCTTATTAATGCTACCTATAGAAATTTAACTCAATTCATAAAGTCACTCTCATGCTTCTATATATTCCCACTAGGTTCCCATTAAATGTTTCGTTAGAACTGAAGCTGTGTTTTTAGTTTCCATAAAAAGATGCAGCTGATTTCATTTGCACTTGGCACTGAGTTTTATAGTGTATAGGCACTCAGGAGGTGTTGAATACAGTCTAAGCAAAATTTAATCCATATTCTGGTTTCTTTTTCTAGTGCTGCATGAAATGGATGATTATGGAAATACCCCTCTGCATTGTGCTGTAGAAAAAAACCAAATTGAAAGCGTTAAGTTTCTTCTCAGCAGAGGAGCAAACCCAAATCTCCGAAACTTCAACATGATGGCTCCTCTCCACATAGCTGTGCAGGGCATGAATAATGAGGTGATGAAGGTAAGGCTACTGGCCGGCTCCAAAGGGCCTGACCGGCGGTGCAGGTGCTGGGACCCAGATCCAGCTCTCTCTGCTTGCACCAGGATGAGCACCTTCTAAGCTTCCATGGCAAACAAAATGCAATTATTACATTTGCTTTACTTCTCACTAACTAATGATGATGATGATGATTAGTTTTGACTTTATTGAATAGTTCTTATTTACCGGGCATTTTCATGAGAGCTTTGTGTGTGTTTGTTTATTGAATTCTCATCTAAGCAAACCCACTATGAAGTAATTCCACTAGTATTCTTATTTCATAGCTGAGTACACTGAGGTGCCAAAAGAATTTGAATAACTTGGCTAACATCACACCACAAGTAAAAATGCAAGACTAAGGAATTTTGTTTTCATCTTTATGTTTTCAGATTTAGGCTTTATCACTTTTACCTGACTGATTTAATGACTAAAAGGAGGAAGGTAATGAGAGACTCAGTGAAAACAGAAAACATAATTATGATTCTCTATTTTTGTTAGAATGGATGGCCTGTCAGACAGATTAGTTAGCAGAAGACATAAGGATACCACTGGGAAACATCCTATTGGTTTTCAAGGTGTAAGAGTAAGTTCGGTCAAATAGAGGAAACCCTGGAAAATTGCTAAAGGGTAAGAATTAGGCCATGGTTTTTAAACTACATCTCAGAGTCTCTCAAACACCCTAGAACACAAACATGCCTAAAGGATGAAGAATGCAATTTACAAATGGAGCATGTTCCAGAAGTTCATTTCTAAGGTAGGCTATTTGGAACTTATAATAAGTTTTCTGGTAGAAACAATATCCAAAGAGTTCCATGAGTTTCAGGCTCCCTTTAGCCCAGAAAACTTTCTCTCAGCCCTCTGAGGCTTTGGCTCCTTTAAGTCTGGCATAAAAGGTTTGAGAGGAGCCACTTTCTGCTTTCCTACTGTACCTTGTATGTGGCTCTATTAAAATCCTTAACACGTGATATTGGAATCAAATGTTCATGTGCTTTTCTTCCCTACTGGCTAATTATCCTTGAGGGAAGAGGTGTGTCTTACTAATTCAAGTATCTCTTATTCCTCAGCACTGTGCTGGTAAATGATGGCTGTTGAATGAATGAATGAATGAGTAAATGGGAGTTCTGGCTGACTGAGAAGGGGAGAGCTGAAGTCTCAGTACCTATGAGATGGGTCAGGGTGGCTCCCTGAAGAGGTTACTAGAAAGTCCTCTGGCAACAAGCTGTTATTTTTTTATTCATTATTCATGAGCCAAGTGCTATTTCTGTATCATCTGGGTTGGGCCACTAGTGACTACAGGGACTCCCGCAGAGATATCAAATATTTCCTCATGGAGCTCTGTGCTCCCTCTGAAGGCTCTTTTCAAGAACACATACCTATTAACTTAATATTGGCCGTGAAAGTGTGGTTTGGGAATTGAAGATAGGTAACTGTTGAAAGACTATTGTTAATTAGAAAGCAGAAATCTCCAGACCAACAAATACAGAAAGGTAGGTATCACATAGAAATGGAAAATAAAGCTCCCAACTGATTCATAAACTCAGTGATAGACATAAAACAAATTTTCCTGGTGACACCAGGACAAGCAGAAAAATAGAGTTCTAAGTAAAATTGACTCTCCTTTATTTGGTCTTACCAACCACAACTATGTGTAAAAATATTTTCAGACTCCTCTGGTTCACCAGAGATGACAGGAATAGAAGGAGGAGAAGGTTTTTTGGAATGTCTCCCCTCATGCTTGCAAACAGCAATCTTTTCTACGTGCCTCTCCCAGTTATGCCCATGGTCCGGCCTGTAAACACCCAGCCCCTGCCAGTTTAGAAGCTGCTCCATTGACTGCTCCACTGACCGTCCCTCAAACCTTCCTCTGCTGCCTATAATGGTTGTAAAGTAAAAAACTGTCATCCACGCATCACTTCAAGTTCTTGCACAATGATTTATGGTATGCATAATATTCCCTGGGACACATTGGCCTGGGGATCAGGGGGTGGTTTTGTTTCTCAGTAGCCTGCAGACCTTAGTCCTTGGGGCTTTAATTCAAACTATCCAGTTGTTTGACCCTTCCATGAGGCTTTCCAGATTCTCAACCAAGGGACCTGTGGAGGGCTCACCTCCAAACCTTCCAGACTTGCCTGGTCATGACTGAATTTGAAGTAGGTGCACAGTTTAGTTGCTCTCTCTGGGATCCCTGCCACATATAACTGAACACAGCTATACCTTTATGATCTATGATTCTAAGAGGGCAAAGAGAGAAAAGCCTCTTCTTGTAGACTTTGGTAGCTATTTTCCATGTGAAACTAGAGTTTCTTAAGAACAGAATGCGATGATGCCTAAAGTCCATGGAAGGAATCTTATGTTCTCATTTCCCTTAATCCGTCAATCATTTCTCCACCTATTCTTATGTACTAAAATCTGAGTTTAATTTTCCTTTATGAGCAGAGCTAATTAATAAACCTAATTCATTTGCTGACACTCACAAGGGATACGTTCTGTTAACAAGAGGCTCTGGTAGGAGGTTGCATACTTTTTTCAAAGAAGTCAAGATTTTTAAGAAACAGCTGATTTAATGAATTCTTTTAACATTATTTAATTATAAGGACATGTCATCATTTATCATAGTCTTTCTGCAGGAGGAAAAGCCTCCAGTAGGCCAATTCAAAGATTTGATGAGACATTTATATGAGATAATTTTGTTACATTGAATATAAAATAAAGACTAGTCAAAGACCTATAGATGCTTGGGCAGTAATCAGATGGCAGTCAACCAGGTGAGGAGGTAACAGATCTTCAATGAAATTCCATCAGAAAAATTGCTTGATCATTTTATCAGGATGCTAATTTCTTACATTGTAGAGAAAGTTTCCATTCCAGGCCAAGTTTGAATTAATTGGGTTACACCACACAAAACTCTGAAGAGAATAGAGTGTCCACTGACATGTCCCAAAATTCTTGCAATCCAGGTAAAAGAAAAATAACTGGAGGAGAAAAAAAATCCCTTCCTGCTTTTTCTCCCTCCCTCCTTCTTTCTCTCTCTTTTACTCTCTTCCTTCTTCCCTACCTCTCTTCCCCCTCCACCATGAGCACTTTCTAATGGCTCCACAAATTTATTTTCCTGAAAATATTAGTTAACATAACTTCACTTACTACAAGTCAGAAGTATTAAGTGAAGCTATGATAACTAGTATCTATAATTCTTATTTTATTTATAATTCCAGAACTCAGTATTGCCTTGATTGTTGTGATGTTGAAATCATGATTATTTCATCTAATGGGGAAATTAGTTAGTACCCACAATGTGCAAGATTTTGTGCCAGATTGTGTGAGAGAAGGATGAATAAAAGATAAACAGACATGGTCCCTGGTATTTGAAAACTTAAACTCTAGTGGAAGGCAAGTACCTTATTTGGAAATCTGCAAAAATTTTGACAATTATTCTCCCCTTTTTTTAGGTCTTGCTTGAGCATAGAACTATTGATGTTAATTTGGAAGGAGAAAATGGAAACACAGCTGTGATCATTGCGTGCACCACAAATAATAGCGAAGCATTGCAGATTTTGGTTTGTATATTTGTCATATCTGTCTGCTTTCTTTATCTTTTCATGAATACAACATGGATTATTATTATTTACAAAATCTCTTAAGTTTTTCTCCTTAGAAAAATATAAAATACAAAAACTAGGTCAGGAAAAAAGTTTTTCTATGTGTTTTTGTATATGTACTCCCTGCTTAAGAGGATCTGAGATTGCTTATAGAAGACTAATAGTAAAGCAGTAAAGAAAATTTCGAGAAAATCAAAGTGAAAAGAAAATACAGGCAGGAAAAGTTGAGATGAAGCTGGTGGTCAGGCTAGAATGCAAAATACAAAGTATAATGGCCTGGATGTTATAAAGATGGATCAAATGTATGATTCTGAGCTTCTGAATAGTCAAAGGAAAGATGAATATAGTCAGTTGCAGACTTATTTGGCCCATAAGAGAAAAGTCAAAGGAAACACAGCTCCCAAGACCTGAAGAAATTATTGTCATTGGGTCTCAAAAACAGAGCCCTGTATGATGTAATGACAAAGGTTCTTAGCCACATGCCTGAGAGTAGAGCCAGCCTTGTCTCTGGTGAGGCTTCCTGGCGTGGTCCAGTGAAGCGATGGAGATGATGGAGATGATGGAGATGATTGTCTACATGACTTCCTCAGTGCTCCATCTGAGTGTGCTGTTAGAATGCCGGCAAATAGACTTTTTTCAAATATTCGTTAGTTACTTGTATGTTATCTAGGCCAGCATCTGTATTTTTACCACTTGATTTTGCCTCTTCACCATCTCAGAGAATAAGAAAATGCAATTAAATAATTTAAAAATATTTACCTAATGTTTAAATGTGCCATACAAATATGTTTTAGCACCTTTACTAGATGGACTTAGAGATAGGTACATACTCTAAGCTGTCATGATTGGACCACAAAGAGAATAAATGATAAAGAGAATAAAAATAAGTTAACTAACACTCAAACCAAGAATTTAGGAAAAGAGCCTTAAATTAACCACAAGAAAATTGGAATAAAGAAAAGTATTGTTGAAAATACTACAGAAAACAATATATTTTTAAAGTCTGGTTTCCTTGCAAGTTTAATTTATGTGTATACTGTATGATAATATTGTTCAAAAAAGCTTTTACTTAACAATATTCTTTAATATATGATTTTACAGAGTACATCTTCAATTTCTGGACTCTCTACATATATATATATATTATATATATATAATTTCTGGACTATTATGTATAGAGTAAACTGATACTACCTCTAAAAGCTGAGATTACAGGTGGTATTGGCTTCTTCACACTTTTCTACTTTTTCACAATAATTTCTTGTAGTAATTAGAGGTACTTAAAACTGAAGGCTAATGATTTACAGAGAATGGTAGTTTAAAATGATTGGATCACATGAAAACATAATATAACATTCAGTTCTTCTAACATCTTTTTAGTTAGGAAACTTCATTAGTGAAAATATTTGATTATCATGGCTTAACAAGAGTAGTGGCACATTCATTTATTAATTTTGCATAAATAAAGGGAAAAGAATCTAGGATATATCACTTTATTTGCATAAGAAACTGAAAATAGTTATGGAAGTCATGATAATGTCTTCAAAAATCTCATTAATCCCATTGAAAAATGTGTTGACTTTATTGCTGTGGTATCAAGATAGATGTTGTGTCTACATTGTTACTTCTTTGGAAGATATAAAATATCTCTATTTCAGAATCTTAGTCTACTTCAAAATTACCTTCTTGCCTAGATTTCATAACATATGAAGCTCTCTATGTACTTTTACATAGACATATAATAGTAAAATGATATGGGAGAGGCACATAAATTCTCATCCACCCTTGCGATTTGGGGTTTAACTGGTGTCATTTTTCATTTTGTCTTTTCTTCCAGCTTAAAAAAGGAGCTAAGCCATGTAAATCAAATAAATGGGGATGTTTCCCTATTCACCAAGCTGCATTTTCAGGTTCCAAAGAATGCATGGAAATAATACTAAGGTTTGGTGAGTTGAGGCTTTTCTATGTTATATACTATAAATAAGTCTATTTTGGTGGATGCTATTAATTTGATTTTTTTTTTTCTTTTGAGATGGAGTCTCACTCTGTCACCCAGGCTGGAGTGCAGTGGTGTGATCTCAGCTCACTGCAACTTCAGCCTTCCAGGTTCAAGTGATTCTCCTGCCTCAGCCTCCTGAGTAACAGGACTATAGGTGCATGCCACCATGCCCATCTAATTTTTTGTATTTTTAGTAGGGATGGGGTTTCACCGTGTTGGCCAGGCTGGTCTCGATCTCCTGACCTCGTGATCCTCCCACCATGACCTCTCAAAGTGCTGGGATTACAGGTGTGAGCCACCACACCCGGCCTAATTTGAAAAATATTTAACAGAATTAAACACAAGCTTTTATGTGTCTCGGTGCCCTTTCATTGTTTTTTTACCTTTGTTCATATTTTTTAACAAAAAACCTCCCTATTATTTATTTTATATATTTGTTATGTTGAATGTTATTTTCTTCTCAAGGTGAAGAGCATGGGTACAGTAGACAGTTGCACATTAACTTTATGAATAATGGGAAAGCCACCCCTCTCCACCTGGCTGTGCAAAATGGTGACTTGGAAATGATCAAAATGTGCCTGGACAATGGTGCACAAATAGACCCAGTGGAGGTAACTCTTCATATTCTATATAACACTTTTATCTTAGAGTTGTCATAAACATATAAAATGCTTTATAGCTCTTTTACAGTTAATTTAGATTGAAATACATACAAGAAATACATATTTCCTTCTGCTTCTGCAGAAGCAGAACAAGAGAATATCCCAAGTTTCAATCTATGTAAAGAATTTTCAGAGCTCCCCAAAACAATTGCAGACACAAATATAGATACAACAAAGACTATATATCTAGTGCAGTTGCCATTAAAGAAGTTAAGGCCTACCCTCAGAAGATGATAATGTTCAGCCAGGAACATTAAAGCCCAATCATGAATGTATTTGGCTTTAGTCCTACTCAGAAGAGTTATCATTTTTAAATTAAGGACCACTTAACTAATTTCTAAGAATATGTATGTGAACGTGTTGACTGTGTTTGGGATCTGACCTTATGGCAGGCATCTCTGACCAAAAGTGGAGAGTTCTGGCCCTTTTTCCTTCAATGTCTGAGTTTTGGGTGGCAACAAGCTCCCCTCCAAGATACTGCAAAGGCCTGTATTTTCTGTAGGAAGAGAAGATTGGATATTAATCTCATGTGGCTTCTGGAAACTTCATAAAAACTCAGAAAAGCTAACACTGCCTTTTAACTTTTTCTATATTGTCCCTTCAATATGGAAATGAAGAGCTGCCAATGGTGGTATGGGGTCTGAAGTCACTTCCTACACTGAATGCTTACAGCAATGAATGGGACATTGTTCTCATGTTCCCTGGGGAAAAGAATGGCATCCAGACAGTAATGGTGGAAGTGTATGCCAAGAGTTGTTATATTAGAAGGAAGCACAATTGTCAGCTACAATTTGTTTGTGGATGCTTTTCTTTGCAGGTCCATAAAATCAAGGAATATCTATCACATTTCAGATGATTAATGGTGATCAGCCTGATAGATATTCCTTGATTTTATGAACCTGGGAAGAAAAAGCTCACAGCTGAATATAAGTTATATTCTTTCATTGAGATTTAAACATTGATTCTAGCATTAAAACCCTTTACAGAAGGGAAGGTGCACAGCCATTCATTTTGCTGCCACCCAGGGAGCCACTGAGATTGTTAAACTGATGATATCGTCCTATTCTGGTAGCGTGGATATTGTTAACACAACCGATGGATGTCATGAGACCATGCTTCACAGGCAAGTTTCCTACCTATCATTCTGTATACAGATTTTTCATCTTCATGAGTGAAATTAGACATTGCAAGGAGCAGTTAGCACTAATGCTAGCAAAGATTTTGTGGTTCAAAGGAAAAGGGCAAAGATAACAAAGACCCTGTGGATCAACCGGAATCGCGTATGTTCCTTGGGAATGGGAGTAGAATGTTAAAGAAATTTCACAAAATAAAATCACCTGTGGCATATTCTGATTCAAGTCCAGTGGATGTAGGCTCAAGATTAATTTTCTATGTGCTAAAGAAGTCTACATACACGGTCTTCCAAGCCATTTCTAATCTGTTCCAATTTCTCATATTTATTTTATCCCCATTTTTAGTGATAAAAATGGAGCAGATACATATGGATATGTCACCCCCACACTAATCCCTCCTGCTCACCAACAATTATAGATAAATGGTTTCAAAAGATATAGTTTTAGGAAATTATAACCAAGTTTCCAAAAACAATAACAAATTTATTTGAAGTTTAACAGAAACGCACATCAGGCAAAGTGTATTAAGCCATAGGCTTACTTGTAGACTGGAAATTCAATTCTTTTGGAAAGACAAGTATCAGATGCTACCCATGTGAGTGAAAGAGGTATCTGAGATGAGCCTTCACTCTCTTGGTCTCTTCCACACACACGTGCACACACACACAAGCACACACAGTCAGAGCTGCCAATATATTTTCAATAGGCAACTGGACCTGGAATTCTACAGTATCTCTTAGAAAAAAAAAAAAAAGAAACTATAGCTACCAATATAAGATCTGTTTCTAATAAATGCACGCAGCAAACCACCAGGCACAATAGGATATGTGTGAATGGAAAGGAACTCCCTCTTAGAATGAATTTGCAACCTAAAATTTAATAGCATAAAACTAGTAAAAAACTACGAAGTTGACCAAAGACAAATTTACTTCCAAGAAAATAGAAATAATAGGGCATTCCAAAAAGAATTTTAAAATAAAGATATTTGAGACCTTCAAAAATTTAAAGGAAGGAATAATCAGTTATATAAAACTAAATATATGAAGATAACGTAAGATTGTGAAAAACAGATTGTCGTATATGAATCCAGGATTGGTGATATGAAAATAATTCAGTAAAAAATAAGTTAAAAAAGCCATTGAAATAAAATGAAAACTCAATAGATAGACTAACCTCTAGACCAGAAATTCTCAAACTGTTGCACATTAGAATCACGTGGGTAGCTCACAAAATCCCAGTGCCAATTTATAACCTAGAAGATATGAAAATCTTTAAGATGAATCTCAGGAATTAAAGAAAAAAACTCTTTGATTCCAATGTTTCACCAATTTACAAACCCAATGATTTGGTTATTGTTAAATGTATCTTTAGAACACAGCCTTAATATATTAATATGCATAATGAGAAATTATCTTAGGAAAATGGGGCCTTAATGTTAGAATTTATTCCCTTATAATTACTAAATATAATTAATATATTTTAAATATAATGCAACCTCTTGTCAATCAAATTAACAAACTGATTCTGAAATTTATGTATAAAAGGCCAAAAATAGCTGAGAGAAGCTTGAAACAAAGAAATGAGATTTGCGATAGGAAACACAAAGCTTTAAGTCATTAGTATTAACATTTGTTATGGTGTTGCTTATGACTGCCTGTGAGATGATACCAAAATGTTTTCAGTTCTCTCCATAATTATTTTTGGCTTCATAAAAACTCAGAAAAGCTAACACTGCCTTTTAACTTTTGCCAAAGAGAAGCCCCCCAAAGAGGGGCTTTTGAACCTGCAAGTGAATTTGAGGGACACCTTACATGTAGCTGTTCTATTCCCCAGGATCATAGCAATACCAGTGATTTCCTTGTCTTTTCTATCTTGGGACAGACGTTACTACTCACTTCAAACATCTTTACGGTGATTTTACAAGATAAAATAGGTTTCTTAAAGGATGAGGAAGAAAATATGATGTATTTGGTGTTCTCCTATTATTATTACTTTGAAAATGCTACCCTAATCAGAATCAAATTATAAATTTTGAAAGCTTACTAATTCTCTAACATTCTATCATGTTATTTTATGATTAGTTAAATTCACTTTCCGAATATAGTAGCTTTATTAAATACATTTTATTTACATCAATAGTACTTTAATTATAATGTTTATAATTCTGTTTTTTCAGAGCTTCATTGTTTGATCACCATGAGCTAGCAGACTATTTAATTTCAGTGGTAACTATTCCTTTTACTGGTTTATTTTTATTACTATTTATAATTTAAGAAATCGTATAATTACATAATATGGATTTTCAAAAATGAAGCAAATTTTGATTTCTTGCTTATCAGCAAAAAGTATACAAAATGATGATTGACATACTTGGAAGCAGAGTATATTGCATATGAATACGTAACAGCCAAACTATTACAGTTAGAAGTGTCAAAGCGTAATTTGGATATCCATATCAGTGTTTTTAGTGCAGGAAGTTGGCAGGTACATTGCAAGGAAAGCTGTTCCCATGGCCTGTAAGAGGGTCTTCCGGGAGTGTGAGCTTGGGCGGTGCCCCTTCTTCAGCCCTGGTGGCTTTAAGGTGGAGGCAGGACAGGCAGCACGGGGGGAAACTCCTATCCCAGATGCCTCAGTGCCACCTTTAAAAACTGAGGAGTTGAAAAATATTGTCAAAGATTTATTACAAGTGAAAGCATGAAGCATGAGATCTTTTTCACTCTGGGAAGTGGAATCAGTCAGCTTTTGAGTTGAATTTTAATATGCCCTTTATACGGATGAATGTATGGTGAATTTACGTAAGCTGCACCATATCAGCAATGACGGATTTCCATTTGTAGTATTGAACGTGTGTGTGTTGTCAATCATAACTATTGAAATTATGATAATTACAGAGAAGAGTGCTGGGGAGACTCATTATATGCCATAAACTATGCATTATATGCCATAAACCATAAACCATAGTCATGCATGGTTTCCTGCAAAGGCTGCCATCTCTTCACCAGGCAAGAGAACTGTGGCAGAGCCTCACTGACCGTGGAGCTTGCCAAGGGGATGCTGCCCCCATTGTCATCTATATTCATTGGGCCCCAAAAGAACAAAGAAATATTCACGTTTGGATTTTAAGCTATTTTTTATTACCCTATATAAAATACAGGATTATTTCCATGAAATTTTAAAAGGCCTTTGATTTCTTGTCATATCAAATATTATAATATGTAATGGTTAACATTGACTTATTCATTTAAAAATATATGTTTAATGTGATTTTTAAATATAAATTTTCTTAAATAAATGTTTGGCTAAAGTTTTACTTTAGAATTTGAGTGATTTCGATTCAATTATTTCAGTTCATCTATTTCCAATAAAATAGGATTTTTAAAAAAAGTGAATGGTGTTTTGTAAATGTTTCTTAAATCATATATGTAATGAATTTGGGAGAGTTTTAAAATTATAGACATTTAAAAATTATTTCTTGCAGTGGAAACTAAACTTGATCTAAGTAAAAAGATATTATTTTTATGGTTCAAGCGGTAACAAGAGCTATTGCCAGGTGTAAGTAAAAAGCCTAATATGTGAGAATAATTTCTTGTTGAAATTATAAACGAATTTCTTGATTTCTGATGATACAACATATGAACTATGGGAAACTTTCAAATAATTCTATAACTAGTCGTATGGTTCAGTGCTAGCCATAATATAGACACTCTGTATCAATGAATTACCATTAGTTAGAGATTACAATATATTATGATTTATCTGTTTCTAAGCTCTTTGTTGAATGGTTTGTTTGATTTTTAGGGAGCAGATATTAATAAGATCGATTCTGAAGGACGCTCTCCACTTATATTAGCAACTGCTTCTGCATCTTGGAATATTGTAAATTTGCTACTCTCTAAAGGTACCAAGAGGGAACAAGCCAAGTCTTTTGAAGTGCCACTCAATTTGGTTGGATGAACATTCACTGTGTGCCAAATGAACATTCATTGTGTGCCACCATCTATTGTGTGCCAGGCCCTGGGCCAGGTGTTGTGAATTTAAAAATAAACAGAACAGTTTTCATGTCTAGAATAATTTTCTGTCCAGTAAGGGAGCATACTTAAAAAGATAATTTCAGAACAATAGTAGAGAACATTTATAAAGCAATTGTTATATCCCAGGCATTTGCTGAACATTTAATTAACTGTCTTTCAATGTATCAGTCCTGTGTGGTGTAGGTACTATAACTTTCCCTGTTTTAGATTCTAACCTGGGCCTCTGATAACAAAGGAGCGAGGTGTCCTTCTCTGCTATCTTCTTCTTTCTTGATCTCTAATGTGTCTATACTTACATTTTATGCTTTAAAAGGTAAGGCTTCATGTATTTATGTAATGCATCACATATTTTCTACCCCACTTACACATACAGACACACACACACACAGAGAGTAAGTTAAACCTGATTTTAAATATGTTTAGTTTTCTCATCTAAACACAATTTCCTGTAAACTAAAGGTCGACAATATTTTTAGTCAAATTTTTTTTTGCTAAGTTGAAAATCCACGTAAACATTGCTTTAAATAAATGAATAGAATTTATATTTACATAGTGTTTTTTTTTAGGTGCCCAAGTAGACATAAAAGATAATTTTGGACGTAATTTTCTGCATTTAACTGTACAGCAACCTTATGGATTAAAAAATCTGCGACCTGAATTTATGCAGGTAATGTATATCTGTGGATTGCCATTAACTGAGTTGGGTTCAACAGAAAATAAACTAATTTTGTTTATTATAATTTTTGTTATTATATAAACTGATTCTGGAATTTTAAAAATGTTTTAAAATAAAGATGACATATTTGACTATTTAGTTACAACATGGTGATGGTGGTGGTGGTGATGATTATGACAATGATAATTAATTGTAGTGAGACTGAGTTTTTTAACTTACAAAGAAACTTAATATGCAGTCATCTATGATAAAGATAACATCCTTAATTAGTTTGATTTTCTTCATTCTTTGACCATTATGATTTGCATATCAGTGGAAAAGCCAAATATAAGAATGAATTATCAATACTCCACCATCAATTAAGAAAAATTACTCAGCATACTTGACTTTCTGAGGAGAGGTTGAAAGCATTATTTTTATATTTATATTCACCAGCTAATACTTACTGAGTGACTAGCACATGTATGTGAAATACATCATATTTTTATCATCAATAGATTTCAATATTGCCAGTATTTAATAATCAAAATATATATGTGTTTGAATATTTAAAAAATAACAAAATATTAATTGATAGGCTTAAGCTTCTCATTTATCATTCATTTTTTATTTACTATACATATAAAACATAAAATAAACCTAATGTTTACATCCCATCCATTTTACCTAACAGAACATATTAACATGAAGCTGTTGGGTGTTATTTGGGGGTGGGAGGAAATAAGAGGAGGGGCAGAGGGAAGGGCCATGATCAAATATATTTGAAAAATGCTGAGTTAAAAATGTTAAGTACATTTTCCTATTGGCATGATCTCTCAGATCCTTTAATACAGTAATGTACACTAATATGGTAATGTACACTAAATGAAGACAGAGCATTCAACTTCATTCATATTTATATTACTCTCAAATCCTTTAGGTTATTTACAATTTTGGCCCCAAGGAATACATATTGACCCTTGTTGGAAAATATTTTCCTACAGAATAGTTTGAAAACCATCATATTAGCATAATAGCAGAGTTATTTGTATGATATTAATTTTTTCCTATAGATGCAACAGATCAAAGAGCTGGTAATGGATGAAGACAACGATGGGTGTACTCCTCTACATTATGCATGTAGACAGGGGGGCCCTGGTTCTGTAAATAACCTACTTGGCTTTAATGTGTCCATTCATTCCAAAAGCAAAGATAAGAAATCACCTCTGCATTTTGCAGCCAGGTAAGGGTCAGTCTAGCAATGTATGAACATGTCTTCTTTCTGTTTAATATTTGCCTTGAAAATATGAAACCTAATTTTTTCCAAGTTATGGGCGTATCAATACCTGTCAGAGGCTCCTACAAGACATAAGTGATACGAGGCTTCTGAATGAAGGTGACCTTCATGGAATGACTCCTCTCCATCTGGCAGCAAAGAATGGACATGATAAAGTAGTTCAGCTTCTTCTGAAAAAAGGTGCATTGTTTCTCAGGTGAGGATATATGATTGGAGTGTTTATATAATTTCTTTAATTAGCCATTTTCAGGCTATCTTTTCATTATATTTTTAATTATGAGGTCTAACTTTATATCTCACTAAGTACTTTTATCCAATTTATTTTTTCATCAAAACATATGTAACTTCTAAAAATACTGAAAGGGAAGTCAGTATTATTTCCAACTGACAAAGACTTTGAAGTTTATAGCGTTGAAGAACCTTGTTCAAGAATATTCTGTTCACAGAATAATTGGCTTTGTGCAGTCTTTCTCAGAACCTTTCTTTGAAACATAGTTTCTCATATTTTACCTCATCATGCTGCCATATTCCTATATAGATACAAAACTGTGGTTGTGTATGTGTGTATGCACGTACACACACACACAAAACATACAAGTTCAAATACTCTACTTTTCATTCAATCTGATGAATGGTAGGCATAAAAAGTTCCCTTTAAGTGACAACAGGAGATGGTAAAAATTTCTGAATTTTATTATACTTAAATGAACTCAAGTACAAGAAACAAAGTTAAAATATGTAAGTATAATAAAATATGTGGCATAATTAAATGATATTGTGATAAGAAAGAAAAAACCTGGAAATGTTTTACAGAGGTTTTTCATTTGATATCTTACCATAGCAGTAGCAAAGAGCTTATTAGGCTAATGTTCAAAAACACATTTCCTTACCATAATATTGATGCCAGCAAATTGGTGCTACAGCTACATGAATGAATGTTTTGCTCAGTTTTTTCTGGTTTACAAAGAAACACCAAGCAACTGACCTGCAAAGGGGACCGAAGTAGACCCAGGCCAGACAGTTGTTGCTTAATTACATCATAACTGAAATAGCAACATGGCTCTTGCACCCTAAAACATCTGCTCACTAGCACTGAAATTAAATAGTGTCAAGAATTTTTTTCTGTCTAATTTGAAAAAAGATAGCTAATATGACAAGGCTTTGTTGTATTTACATCTTGAATTTCTGTGGAAAAGGATAAACATTTTTCAAAGCAATTGAGTAAGCATTTTTCAGAGCACAAGAGGGAAGCTTTTTAGATTTAAACTCTTAGAATAATAACTGACACTAAGCTAAGCATCTTATAGCCATGTATCATATTACTAGTAGTATTACCAATAACTATTGACCACAAAGACTAACATTACTTCATAAAAAAATTTTGATACAGTGTTCATTGAAAGAATAAAACAAGATTTAAATTGATGTGTATCAGTTCATTATAGCTTTAAAAAAATTAGGTATGACACAGACATGCTAAGCGTACTTCTCCTACCCCAAAGTGTTTGGTAATGTGTTTATATACTTTCATATTTTAAACCACTAAGTAAAAAACGTGTATGAATCACATTAGAAATAGGTCATTTAAGATCATTGAGCTTGGAATTAGCTCATTTATTATAAATGTTTTATAAATATTTAGTTGCCAGATCTCAATAATGCTTTTTGTTGTCATCAGATTTACCTAGAATAAGCCAAGTGGCATCCCATCCCGCATTTCATCTGTTAAGTGTATGCACACATCTTTTCTTAACTCTTTACCAGTGACCACAATGGCTGGACAGCTTTGCATCATGCGTCCATGGGCGGGTACACTCAGACCATGAAGGTCATTCTTGATACTAATTTGAAGTGCACAGATCGCCTGGATGAAGACGGGGTATGTACTGCGGTCCTCATGCTTACCCAAAATCTCAATATAGCAGAAACTTCCAACATTGCCAGAAAACTCTCCTAGACACCTTTTACCTTCCTTGCTCTATTCCCAGCCTTTTGTTGGGTGTTTAGCAAGTGGATTCTTGAGGTGAAGTATGAATCAAAAGGCAACAGAATTGGGAGAATACCAAGGGGTGGGTGAATGTTGGGGAAACCTCCAGTCTCACAGAGCAGCGAGGTCCACAGGCCAATGAAATTTGATGGTAAAGCGTTTACTCCCTGGTAGGTCCAGAGAAATGAAGGCAGGGGTGAGTTTTCATTAAGATAAGTGTTATTTTGAAGTGTATTGATTTGAAATGCTGCCCTTTATTGTGCTATTATGTCTTTCCTTCCTTTGGGGAGAGTAACTTTTGAAATGTACGTTTGTTCATAAAATGATGGGGATAGAAGACTGTTGTTGCCTTTTTCAAAAAAAAAAAGTCTTTAAGTGGAGAAACTAAAAATGGGCAAACTTATAACAGTCTCTGATTTTAAAAAACATTTACAAGCTTGTGAAGCCCCAAATCTGTAAGCCACTGTTCTACAAATGATCAATCTCAGGAGGATTTTCTTCTGTGTTCAACCCAACATCTTTACCCTGAAAGCTTGTCCTTTGTCCTTGTGGAATCATCCCATTGCAAAAGCAACACAAAACAAATGCCTTGGAATTCATTCTCTCTCTCTCTCTCTCTCTCTCTCTCTCTCTCTCTTTCTCTATCTCTCACACACACACACACACACACACACACACAGATCCACTTCCCACACATGCACACACACCATGCTAGAACTATAAACTCATTATTTTGAAGCTTGATTCTGAACACCAGTTTTAAGTGCTATGTATTTTGGTATTAAATAGTGTCGCTAATGTCTTTTAAGCAGTTAAGCAGTGAAATAAGACAGATTAGACACTGTCACCACGTTTTCTGTGTCTGTTTTTCTTCAAAAGAACACTGCACTTCACTTTGCTGCAAGGGAAGGCCACGCCAAAGCCGTTGCGCTTCTTCTGAGCCACAATGCTGACATAGTCCTGAACAAGCAGCAGGCCTCCTTTTTGCACCTTGCACTTCACAATAAGAGGAAGGAGGTTGTTCTTACGATCATCAGGAGCAAAAGGTACACTGTCTTCCTGTCCACTGTCATTTAGTGTTCTCTGGTGTTGGGATGATTTGAAGTCTGAGACAAAATAAGAGAAAAGAAATGATTTTCAGCCATTAATCAAAATTTAAAATATCAGTTGTTTACATCAATTTTTTAAAGGTTTTTTATTTTTTATTTTTATTTATTTATTTTTAGAAAAGGTCTAGCTCTGTCGCACAGGCTGGAGTGCAGTGGTGTGATCTCTGTTCACTGCAACCTCCGCCTCCCGGGCTTCAGCAATTCTCATGCCTCAGCCTCCTGAGTAGCTGGGACTATAGGCATGAGCCAGCATGCCCAGCTAATTTTTGTATTTTTCATTGAGACGTGGTTTCACCTTGTTAGCCAAGCTGGTCTCAAACTCCTGGGCTCAAGTGATTCGCCCACCTCGGCCTCCCAAAGTATTGGCATTACAGACATGAGCCACTGTGCCTGGCCATTTTTATTTTTAATTTGTGTGGGTAAATAGTAGGTGTGTATATGTATCAGGTACATGAGATGCTTTGATACAGCCATGCAATGCATGATAATCACATCATGGAGCATTTATCATTTGTGTTACAAACAATCCAATTATACTCCTTCAGTTATTTCTAAATGTCTACCTAAATTTATAAATGAATTCTTTTGGATGACAACAGGCACATTGCTTAACCTCTCTGATCTTTAGTTTATATTTCTTAAAAAATAAAATGTGGGCACATAAAACCAAGCTTCACATCACTCTTGTGAGACTCCAGGGGTTCAGGTGTTGGTGGGTTTCTAAACCATACTCCAAGGAATTTTAGTGATGAAGTTAGAGGATAGTTAGTCTCACTTCTCATAATATCTTTATAATATCACTTTCTAAAATAATCACTGATAGTTATGCACGAGGGCCCAGTGTCACCTAGTAGTGGACACAGAGCGAACAATCTCATATTCAAGGCACATCAAGCCTGTGTTTTTGAGCATGGGCAGTCTAAAAAATCTCCGACTGATCATCCCTTTAAAGCACTTTTAATGAAAGTGTTCAATCCAAACTTTTCTTTTGATAATGTAGATATACTAGATGGGTTTTACTGATAGAGTTTAACAGAAAATTAGATAAGATCTTGGAGATAATGGGCCATTCTTTGCCTCCTGCCATAGATTTAGTTCCTCCTTGGTATGGTAAGCACCGTCTTACCCTGTTCAGTTGGATGGTGATGAAGAAAATGGGCAAAATCTGGAATGTTCTGGCAGAGGCTATGCTTATCAATGCACTTTACATGTGTTAATTTGTAGTTTAACTCAATACAGGATGTACACATGTATTAGTTATTAAATATGGGACCAGTACTACACTGATGGTGTAGGCATGTGAATGTGGAATCTCTACCCAACGTGGTCAGCTCTGTAAGTACTGACCATTTCATAACTTCAGGAGAAAAAGAAGATATAGTCCCAGCTTCTTTGAATGGCATTTAGATAAAGAGACAGAACAATGATTATAATAGCCATCCTGAAATTTGCCCACATTCCTAATGTCCATTAATGGGCAAGGATCCTATTACTGAGTTGATCTTGCTTTACATGTTGGTTCCATTGGAACCAAGGGTGAGCATTGCATTTCATGAATATGCTTAAGTTTAGGTTTCCCCTAAAGAAATAATCTTGAGTTTCAGCTGTTGTACAGAACAGAAGGATGAAGACCTGTGCTTATCTTACTTATTTATTTTTTACAGATGGGATGAATGTCTTAAGATTTTCAGTCATAATTCTCCAGGCAATAAATGTCCAATTACAGAAATGATAGAATACCTCCCTGAATGCATGAAGGTAAATTCTCTAAAACAAAATTCTTCCCGGGTTTATGCTTGACATATGTTGTTGTAATCACAACCTAATAATAATAATTTCCAGCTTTAAACAAAGCTTCTCATTTTCCATAGGCTGTAAGGGAAATGAGACAATAACTATTTAAGGAAGGCCTTCTTGGATTAAAGAATCCTATTAGTTATTATATGTAATAGAGAATAATATGGTAAAATATTTTTTATTTAAATAATCTACACCTGTAACAGAGACTACAAACTGGTGTTTGTTGGCTGGTAAAGCTTTTGTATATGTTTCGCTTGGCATGCATGCTATTGTTGTTTCAAATGTGCATGAATTGCTAATGTTTGAAACCAGGATGCTTTCCTTAAGGTATCTGGTTTCTTCCAGTTATATTTTCCTCCAAATATCTAGCTTCTCATAAGAATGAGATCTTGTACCTGGGCCTGCCTTCTCACAAGGCAGGAATTGCTGGGCTCAGCACCAGCTGCTTCCCATGGATGGGACAATCACTCTCCTATTTAAAAACATGGATGAAGCTGGAAACCATCATTCTGAGCAAACTGTCACAAGGACAGAAAACCAAACGCCACATGTTCTCACTCATAGGTGGGAATTGAACAATGAGAACACTTGGACACAGGGTGGGGAACATCACACACCGGGGCCTGTCGTGGGGTGGGGGGAGAGGGGAGTGATAGCATTAGGATAAATACCTAATGTAAATGACAAGTTAATGGGTGCAGCAAACCAACATGGCTCATGTATACATGTAACAAACCTGCACGTTGTGCATACCCTAGAACTTAAGGTATGGTAAAAAAATAAAAATTAAAAAAAAAAATAAAATAAAATGCCCCACCTCTCCCTTTTGTATATTGGGCTCCAGTGCCTAGTTGTCACATATTGTCATTCTTATGCAATTGCTTTCCTTATAGTAGAGAAGTATTGAATTATGACTTTATCCAAACTGTGAAGATAAAAGCTTGCCCAAGTATAGCCAACATCTCAAGAACAATGGAAAAAAGCTCTTATGCCTGGCATGGTTCTTTCATTTACATTACTTGCCTGGCTTCTGTGGGTTCTTAAACATGTGACCCCTTTTGCTACGTTAAATACACACTAGCATATGACCGGACACCCCAGACAAGACAAACATGCACAAATTGTTGAGCAGATGAGTATTAAAGGATGCAAATAAGCAATCTGGGAAAGTTGGGATTTGAGGGTTGGGACAGACAGAATAACCAAGAAAGGCAGAATGACTTCAGATGTCATGCAAAGGAAAAATATATACAAATGCTGGAGGAGGCAGTAAGATATAATGACACAGGGAATAGAAGACCAGATTTGGAGCCTTCTGGAGGTCCTGGGATTTAATCCTGGTGCTGCCTTTTGCTGTGTTGTTTTAGGCAAGTCATTTCACCTCTCTGAGCATTATTTTCTGTTTTCTCTATTTCTAAAATAATGATGCTAATACTGATCTTACAAAGTGATTACAAAAGTAGGGGTAAAATGTATAAAGTGCTAAGGATAATGGTTTGTACATAATATACCTCCTACTATTTTTGTGCTGCTTATGTGGTTATTAGTACTACTAGCACTTATTGTTCTTTATTTATTGAACAAGGACTTCCTGTGCACCAAATATTTTGGACGGTTTTTTTATGATGCCTAATGAAAATTGGAGCCAGTCCAGTACACAAATGGCATACAGATTAACTTTTTAGGTGCCTACATCTCATCAAAGGACACATAAATACCTAATCTCAAACTTTCTTATTCTGTAGTTACAGTTGTTGAAATCTGTCTTGATGAATAATCAGAGATACAGATTTTTACAGAATGTTTCCTGCAACATTATTTATAATTGTAAAACAATGTTGAAATATTCACATGTGGAAACATAGTAAACAGTCGAAATTATACCAAAATGTTAATAAGAATTATCTGTTATAGGATTAGGATTAGTTTTTAATTTCTTCTTTATGCTACTATATTTTCTAGGTAATTTTCTATAATGACTTAATTACTTTTATATTGTGACTACTTTTCAGCAAAATAAATGAACTTACATGTCTTAATTTAGCCGGACATAATGCATTTGAAATACTTATACAACATTTCTGAAAAGTTGCTCTTGAAATCTCCCCAGCCCCCACCCAAGACAGCCCATCCTTTATTTTGCACACGTTGATTATTATCCAGTTTTCAAACTATAACAACCAGACCTGCCTGTTTCTGCCTTGCACAGCACTACTGGCTAGTCTTGTCTTTATTTTTCATGATGGTTGTTGTGACCTCCAGTACTGCTATCTAGTCACCAACAGAGACTTCCTTGTAATTTTCTTAGTCCCTTTGGTACCTGAGACCAGCCATGGCCCTGTTTCTTCCCTTCTGGATATAGTCTGACCCTCTACCCTCAAGTTCTACAGGTTCACCAGATGCCCCAGGAGGTCCTAGATGCATTGATGGGGCCATATGGGGTATTTTGTCTAGTCCTGGTTCCAAGAGGGCAGCCTGGCTAGGTGATATTTCTTTCTCAGGACCATAAATTTGGACCACTAGATTTGAGGTGTCTCAAATTGTTTATGCAGCCCCACAAAAACAGTTGTTCCCACACACCATAGAGGTGGCTCTATTGACCCCATAAGTGTTCTTTCCCTGAGTTAAGTATCTAGAGAGTCTTCATCTATTTCTCATTACAACATCTATCCCCCACCATCCTGTCCACCCCCCTCTAAACACATACTCTCTCCGTGTTGCTTGGCACATGAGGTATAGAAGCAAACACATTACTCCAGACTGGGGCAGTTCAGAAGATGGGAACTAAACCATAGAAAGACTCCATTGCTGGGATGAAAAATCTTGATTAAGAACAATAAGTTGTCACAGTAAGGTACCCAGCAAAGGAATCAGATTGACTATCCTTTATCCCAACTTCTTGGGACCAGAAATGATTTGGATTTCAGAATATTGGCCTATATATAATGAGGCATCATAAGGATGGGATCCAAGTGTAGATACAAAATTCATTTGTGTTTCATACCCTCCTTAAAAGCATAGCCTGAAGGTAATTTTATATAATATTTTTAATAATTTTGTGCATGAAACAAAGTTTATATTAAGTACTCATGTGTGGAATTTTCTACTTATGGAAATATGTGGGTGCTCAAAACATTTTGGATTTTGGAGCGTTTAGAATTTCACATTTTCAGATTAGGATTGCTCAACCTGTAATCTATATATCCTCTAAAAGTCCAGAAAGACATCAAATCTTAGGCACAACTAGTGGAATATCTCTTGCCTAGATTTTAGTACATGCAATTTTATTCTCAAGTACATGGTATTTTTTCTGAATCACTGGTATTTCTGAGGCATGCAGAGGTATTTGTAACATTTTGTATTTTAAACTTTGTTCCTGAATGACATAGATTATAATTTATTCTTGAGATGCAAGAAACCAAGGAAAGGAAAGGGAATGTCTTGTGTATTATTTCAGAAATAGGATAAAATCTTTCCTAATATGTAGTGTACTGCCCCAATATCTTAGCTGGTTTTTCTCTTTCAAAGGTACTTTTAGATTTCTGCATGTTGCATTCCACAGAAGACAAGTCCTGCCGAGACTATTATGTAAGTTTATTTTATCATCATTATCTGAAATTTATTTTGTTATAATTCTTTGAAAAATATTAAAAATATTGTTACTATTGATCTGTAATCTACTGCAGATGGTATTGATCTAATTTGTCATATTATTGTATTATCTACTTGTGAGAGAATTTTTCCCTTACATTCTCAGTTTTCCCCGAATATTTTAATAGTTTCTAATAGCATCATTTAGTGTTGTTTCTAGTCTTTATGTTTTCTTAAGTAGTTGTGCCTTAATAATGAAGATCTAAAAGATCTAAATGATCTTTTGAGAACTCCTCTCTTTCCATGCCTATGAGATACAAAGCAATTGAATAACAGGCTTCCAGGATATTTATTTTTAGAATTAATATGCAATAACTTAATTTCCTTTCTCCACTTGAAATAACTCAACTTTGTTCAAATCACTTAATTTTCAGCAGAATTGTAAATTTGTGTATTTGATTTTTTCAAGAATTACTTTGGGGATTCTATACTTGACTAACTGTACATTTTTTTAAAAAAAATTCTGTCTTCTACAGATCGAGTATAATTTCAAATATCTTCAATGTCCATTAGAATTCACCAAAAAAACACCTACACAGGATGTTATATATGAACCGCTTACAGCCCTCAACGTAAGTTCAATGTTTTCATTATCTAAATAGTTTCTTTTTTTTCTTTTTTTTTTTTTATTATACTTTAAGTTTTAGGGTACATGTGCACATTGTGCAGGTTAGTTACATATGAGAAATACCATTTGACCCAGCCATCTCATTATCTAAATAGTTTCTAGTTGGGTTCTAAAATGTTTTGATACAATAGTCTAAAATGTTTTAATACTTGATGGATGGAGAGAATTACAGTTTTATAGTTCTATGTCTATATCTTCCATGTGACTCAAACCTTTATTTGTTAATAAAGAAAGCAATCCTTTTTTTCAATTGCTATAAAGTTCTACACTTCATTTCTAATGGTCACATAAGAACTGCTCCAATCCAGAATCAAATAAACCATGGACAACACAGGTAACACTTGCTTGCCACCTCTATCCACCTACATATTCAAGAGTTTTCTCCTGTGTAAACCACAGGAAAATGCAAGGGGTGATATTTCACAGCCACAGCTTCTAAGTTCAGCTAGCCACTGGGCTCCAAGGTAAACTCTGACCATTCAGAGGTTCTTAGATCTTAGATTCCAGATGAATGAACCCCATTGGAAGCAGGCTTTTAAGACACAGCATAGACTTAAATTTCCCAAGAAACCTTTTAAAAAGTAGCTATTATTTAAAAAGATGCTTTTATGTTTCTAGCCAATGAAGCAATGAAAATAATGCATTTGACCCCCTGTAGTCTAAATCAAAGGTCTCAAACTGAAATAACTACAGAGAAAACAGTAACAGCCAAGTAACTTAGGCTTCTGGTTAAAAGGACAGTGGCTACTAGCTTCAACAAATCATTGCCATGTGGCAATAGCAGCCCACAATTGTGTAAATATTGGCAACAAATTAAAATTGTGTGCATGTAAAACAAAACATATTTGAGGACTGGAGTTGCAAATTTTGGTCTAGATTTGGGCTATCTAGTATGGGAACCAATAGTTGCATGTGGCTTCCTAACTTAAAAACTAGTTTAAATTAAATAAAGTTAAAAATTTGTTTTCCAGTAACACTAGCCACATTTTAAATGCTCAGTAGCCCATTTGGCTTGCAGCTCTCATATTGCACTGCACAGGTAGAAAACATTTTCGTCATTGCAGAAAGTTCTATTAGACGACACTGCTCTAGGCCAATGAAGAATTTTTATTCACCTTCAATGAGTTCATTTCCCTAAATTGAAGACTTTGGTACAGACCATGGTAGCAGCCGTCACCCAAGTTAAACCTACAAGGCTTACTGAGCACTTGGAGTATGGAGAATGCAGACTCGTGGGGATTTTATGCCTTTAACACTGGTGATGGCAACTGACTAACCATTGCTGTAAGCGCTTTAGCTCTCCTTGAGTATGTTGTGTTTTGCTATTAGTATAGTTCATAATCAATAGCCCAGTGATCTAACAGTAACTACACTACAGTTATACTTAGAAAATTTGTTGCATATGTATGTGTTTTTTAATTCTAATTTTAAAAATAGGCAATACTTCTATCAGAAAAAAATGTATCTATTTTTGTCTCCATTATCAGAATAAGAATAGGAAGAAATAAGATCTATGTAGCATCTAAAAAGAAAGACAATATATAACAATGGGCAAAGTATAATTTAAATAAAATAGGTTCACTTAGATAAATGCAATGTACTAGATATCAAAACAGCACCTGATTCTGCAATGCCTTAATAGCTTATGAAACCTTCCTTTAGTTGTAAGTGAGCTGAGTGGGGCTCTTTAGGAAGGTAACTGGCCTGATGAGAAATTACTGTGCACAGAAAATTTGAAAGTCTAGATGCACCAAATAGAGAACATAAGAAATCAGACACTGAGATTAAGACAAACTGGAGCCAGTGAGAGGCTATTTTCATTAATGGTGCATGCAAGAGTAGAGCTACTGTGGAAAATCCATTAGCATAGCTACAAATGCATTGGATACTTTGTCTTATTTACACTTTATTTGGGTGATATTTAAACTTAACAATGTACTTGCATGCCTCAAGGGGTAGGTTTTCTGTATTTGTTATTAGTTTAAAAGCAGAGTTACAAGATTTCAGAAACGTAAGAGGATTGTTTTAATGAAAGCACATTGAAAACAAGTATCTGTGTGTGTTTCTAGTATGGTGTTTTAAAAATATTAATAGTAACATTCTGAATTACTCTCACAAATATTTTTCCATATTTTTTATTTTAGCTTGAAGAAACCATTAATTTTAAATGGAAAAAAAGTCAAATCTACGTGGAAGTTTAGATGAGGTCTCAAAAACAATAGCTAGATCTTGCCAGTTTTTTTTTTTTTCCCAAGAATAGCTAGATATATAGCTTTTCGGGCTCCACTGGGCATCCAATTGATAATGAATATTTGCAAGGGGTTCTTTTATTCCCCCCAGACTATTGTATATAAATATATCTCAATTACTTTTCAAATGGTTGGGGTAAAAATAAATAGAAAAGAAAAATGGTGAACCTGGAAATATTCCATTGTTGGTGTCACAGTAGTAGTTTTTAAACTGGAATCTCTGGCTGCTTGAATCAGAATTATTGTGGTTCTTGTTAAAATGAAGGTTCCTAAGGCCCATCTTAGACCTACTAACCCAGAATGCTTGAGGGTAGACCTAATAATCAAAATTTTAAATAAGCTTCTAAAAGATTTTTATGAATACTAAAATTGAAAAAATGTAATAGAGTGCTGATGAAAATTATAGTATAGGCTTTTTCAAAATGTAAGTGGGTGTTTAGTGCAAAAACCTATAAGTTGTTTGGTGAATAATTTTGGAAAGTACAATCAAATCAAAGTTAATACAAGGAAGCTAAAAACAGAAATTCCAACTTCTATCTAACAGTTATTTCCGAAAGATGGACATTTTTAAAAAGAGATGGAAAGATAGGGAGAAAATTGAAAGGATAATGTCTGAGAATTTTCTAGAAATGAAATCTGTAACTCATCAAATTAAAATTAAAAACTTCCCCAAGGGCTAAGAAGACCATTCTGGCTGCATCATTTTTAATTATAAAATGTGAAACAATAATAATATTTATAAATAAGGGAAGGTCTTAATAAACTACTATATCCAAATGATGAAATATTAAGCAATATTTAAAAACAATGTTCTTGATGAATCTTTATATAACATTCATATGTTTCTAGGCTGTGTTGAATAAATAAGCAAATTGAAGACATAATTTGAGTAAAAACGTAAATACAAAATAATTATCCCTTTTTCTATAACTACGTTTGAGTTTTTGAACATGGGTGTTTCTGTGTAGAAATATAGAAAAGGATTTGGAAGGATGTACAAGTAAGCAATGATGATACTATTGAGGAAATGGAGGCCTGCCTAGAACTGAGGCTTAGGTGTGGTGAGAACTATGGCCTTATCCCGATGTTCCAGTATTTTAAAGGAGAATTTGTCTGGGTATTTCTTCTTTTTTACTTGTGGTAAAAAGCATAAAGTTAAATTTACTGTCTTAACTCTTTTTAAATGCATAGTTCAGTAGTGTCAAGTATTTTCACATTGTTACTCAAGAGATGTCTAAAATTATTTCATGTTGCAAAACTGAAACTCTATACTTATTAAACAGTAACTTCCATCATCTTTCCCCCAGCCCTTGGCAACCACCCTTCTACTTTTTGTTTCTGTGATTTTTCTCCACCTTAGGTACTTCATATAAAGTGGAATCTTACAGTATTTGTACTTTTGTGACTGGCTTATTTCAGTTACTATAATCTCCTTAAGGTTCATCCATGTTAGAGCATGTGACAAGACTTCCTTCTTTTGAAGGCTGAATAATATTCCATTGTATGTATATACCATATTTTCCTTATCTGTTTGTCTGTTGAAGACACTGGGTTGCTTTCCCTTTTTGGCTATTGTGAATAATGCTATAGCATTATTATACAAATATCTCTTTGAGATCCTGCTTTAAACTCTTCATATACACATTTAGAAGTAGGCTTGCTGGATCCTGTGGTGATTCTATTTTTAATTTCTTGAGGAACCCCAATACTGTTTTCCATAATGACTGTTCCATTTTACATTCCCACCAATAGTGCACAAAGATTCCAGTTTCTCAGCATGCTCACCAATACTTGTTATTTTTTGTTCTTTTGATAGTGGCCAACCTAACGGATGCGAAGTGGTATCTCGTTGTGGTTTTAAACTGCATTTCCCTAATAATGAATGATGTTGAGCATCTTCTCATTCAATAGTCATAAACAATAGTGCTTATTGACTATTCATGTATCTTCTTTGGAGAAATGCCTATTCACAGCCTTGACCCATTTGTCAATTGGGTTATTTATTGTCTTGTTGAGTTGTAGGAGTTCCTCAAATATTCTGGATATTAACTCCTTATAAGATATATGATTTACAAATATTTATTCTCATTCCATAGGTTGCCTTTTCACTTTGGTCATTGCTTCCTTTGACTTGAAGAAATTTTTAACTTTATATAGTCCTGTTTGTCTGCTTTTGCTTTAGTTGCCTGTCCTGTTGGTGTCATAGTCGATAAATCATCTCTCCTTTTTCCTTAATTAGTCAGTAAAATTTTGTTAATTTTGTTTATCTTTTCAAAAAACCAATTCTTGGTTTCATTGATTTTTTTCTATTGTTTTTCTATTCTCTATTACATTTATCTCTGCTCTAATCATTATTATTTTCTTCATTTTGCTAATCTTAGGTTTAGTCTGTTCTTCTTTCTTTATTTCCTTGAGTTTTAAGTTAAATTATGGATTTAAAATCTTTCTTCTTTTATAACATAAGTATTTACCATTATAAACTTGCCTCTTAGTATTGCTTTAGTTGTACCTCATGCATTTTGGTATATTATGTTTTCATTTCATTTGTTTCCAGATGTACTTTAAATTTCTGTTTTATTTTGTCTTTGACCTATTTGCTGTTTAAGAGTGAGTTGTTAAGCTTCCACAGGTTTTTCGATTTTCATATTTTCCTTCTACTTTTGATTTCTAGTTTTATTCCACTGTAGTGAGGAAGATATTTTATATGACTTCAATCTTTTGAAATGTTTTAATACTTCATGGCCTAATATGTGGTCTATCTTAGAGAATGTTCTATGTGTGCTTGAGAAGAATATCTATTCTTCTGTTGCATCATAGGGTGAACTGTTCTGTGTATGTCTGTTAGGTAAAGTGATCTATGCTGTGGTTCACGTCTTCTGTTTCCTTATTGAACTTCTGTCTGGTTGTTCTATCCATAACTGAAAGTCAGATAGTGAAGTCGCCTACCATTATTGTGTTGCTGTTTATTTCTCCCTTCAGTTCTAAGTTTGCTCCATATTTTTGGGAGCTCTAATGTGAGGTGGGTATATATTTATGATTGTTGTATCTTCCTGGTGAGTTGACGTTGTTATCATTATATATTGTCCTTTGTTTCTTCTCACAGTTTTTGTCTTAAAGTCTATTTTGTCTGATGTAAATATGGCTGTTTCTTTTCACTTCAGGTTCTCATTTGCATGGAATATCTTTTTCCATCCGTTCAATTTCAGCCTGTGTTCTTATATCTAAAGTGAGTCTCTTGTAAAGAGCATGTAGTTGAATCCTGGGTTTTATCCATTCAATCAACCGTTGTATTTTAATAGGAGAGATTAACCAGTTTGCCTTTAAAATAATTATTGACAGGAAAGGACTTACTATTGCCATTTTGTTAATTGCTTTCAGTATGTGGTAGACTTTTTGTCTCTTTTTCCCTGTGTCTTTGATGCTGTAGCAAGTCATGATACTGGGACACTGCCTAGGATCTGTCTGTTGACACTCTATCTTCTCTGGTGCTAGACTAAGACCCAGTGATCTACTTTGTTATCAGTGGTCCCCTCCTGAGACCCATTCATGTCAGAGCTTAGATTCAGGCAAGATAAAAATCATTCCCTTGGGCAGCCCCTTAGAAGTCAGAAGTTAGTGGATATGTTCCACTCTTTTCTTTCTCTTTCCAGGGAGAAGGCAGGAGTTGGGAGTTTTCTCCCAATGGCACTGTGCTTTGCCAGACGGAGGATCTGTGGCATGTAAAGGCCATGCATTTTCCTACTGTCTTTGATATGGTTGATTTTGGCTACATGCTCACCTTGGGTACAGAAACACGTTAACTAAGTTTGGGATTGCTCACAAAGAAAATGTTCTGTGTATTGTTTTCAATTCCATATCTCTATGGAGGAAGGAGGGCCTGGGACTTCCTATTTTGCTCCCTTGTTGGCATCAGTCCCTCTATTTATGTATGTCTTGAATAATTAAAAACTAATTTTTAAATAAATACTAGTAGTCACAAATAACTCTAATGAAAACTTATGATCTAGATTAATTGAACAACTATGTATGTATATTCTACTGCATAAAATCCTTCTGGAAAGATAAGCCTGAATTTCTTCAAGGACACAATGAGGGTATAACTCTTGCTAATTTATCTTTAATGTCCTTTCCTGTTGTAATCCTGTATAAGATTAAAAAGCTTATGCTAGGTTAAGTAGTCAGAAATCTAAAGAAACAGACTGAATCAAACAATTTTACCTGTACAAAATGGTTATCTCTAATTTGTGTTTTTTAAAACCTTGATCTAATTTTTATTTTTTTCAATGTTCTAAAATAGGTGTTACTTTTACAATACCAAACACAGTTATAAAACCAGACAATAAATAGATTAGTTTATACTCAGTAGTTGATTATGATTGTGTTTTTATTACACTTTTTTTTATTTCTCAGGCAATGGTACAAAATAACCGCATAGAGCTTCTCAATCATCCTGTGTGTAAAGAATATTTACTCATGAAATGGTGGGTATTGAGTAGTATTTCTTGTTTAATGCTGTGTCTATTGGATCTATTACAAAGCCTTCAAAACAATTATATTGTAATGGTATTTTAATGTTTTAGCTTTTGTTATTTTAATGTTTTTACTTTGAAGAAATAAGTAAGGCAAATGCCCTAGAACTTAAAGTATAATAATAATAAAATAAAGTGAAAAAGACCAAATAAAAAGAAGTTAAGGTTAAAAAAAATGCTGGCATTGTTTATCCTTATCATTAAATAAAATATTTGCAGGGTGGGAGGGAATTATTATATAAGACATGAAGAAGCTCTTTAGAGCCTAAAATTTATCTTTAACATTAAATGAAATATTTGGGGGCATGGAAAGGATCATTGTATAGAACATGTAGAAATATCCTGGACCCTGAAATTTAGCTGACAATGAAGAAAGAGGTGTGTTCTAGGAAGAGCACTCATATTGCCGACAGATTATATGGGCTAACATCCTGGCTCTTTCATTAATTTGTTAAGTCGTAATTTGCTTAGAACTTGAGGTTCCTTCTCTGAAAATGAAAAAGGTGAATTAGAAGATTTACTTGATCTTAAGCTTCAGTGAATTTACCAACAAGGTTTCTGAAAGAGGTTATAACCATTTTTTCCCCAGGTATCTTAAGTAAATATTTTTGTTTGAAATGACTCAATTCTGGTTTGCTTATATTTTTGTAGGTTGGCTTATGGATTTAGAGCTCATATGATGAATTTAGGATCTTACTGTCTTGGTCTCATACCTATGACCATTCTCGTTGTCAATATAAAACCAGGAATGGCTTTCAACTCAACTGGCATCATCAATGAAACTAGTGATCATTCAGAAATACTAGATACCACGGTAATTTCAAATTTTAACTTTCTAAAATAAAGGATTATAAAAAATGTATTTTTTCTTAAGACTACTAAACCCATAATAAATCTGACATATCAGGACTTTATTATAAATAGCCTGTAAGAATTTGTATACAGTAATAATTTCTCCTAAAATCCTTTGTGGAAGGAGAGGGAATATAAACAAACAGGTCAACTAATGAGTTTGTAAACTAATTTAAAAAGAATTGACATGTGTTAGATGCTAGCTTAAATACTGAAGTGTAAAACTTTAAAATAGGTGTACAAGAAAGCAGATTTGTAGTTGCCAGGGACTGTGGGACATGGGAAATGGGGAGAGATGCTTTATGGATATGTGGTTTCCATCCAAGATGATGAAAAAGTTATGGAACTAGATAACGGTGATGGTGGTATAACACTGTGAATATACTTAATGCCACTGAATTATATATTTTAAAATGTACATGTAAAATGTAACTTTTAAAATGGTAAGTTTTGTTATATGTATTTTGCCACAATAAATAATTTTATATTGGCCTACAGATTCATATTCTTTTTTAATTCAATTAGCAATTTTTGAACTTCACTTAATAAGGACATTCCTAAATGAGGGTGTGTTCATCTCTAGTAAATTATATGAGTATTGGTGTCAGTTAAATTTTCTGTTTAACTCAAAGTGGACAGTATATAGAAATTAAGCAAAAAAAAAAGAAAAAAGAAATTTAATAGTGAAAATTATGGAAATGTTAAAGTGTTTTATATCTCTCATAACTATGTGTCTTATCCTTTTTTGTTTTAGAATTCATATCTAATAAAAACTTGTATGATTTTAGTGTTTTTATCAAGTATATTTGGGTATTGCAAAGAAGCGGGGCAAATTTTCCAACAGGTATGTAATACATTTTGTATCTCTAAAGTTGCACATATTTTCATATGCAGAACATAAGTTAATTGATAAGCTATTACTTGAGATATTATGTCATAATAAAATTACATAGCTTGACTACCATATAGATTAGAAACACCAAGCATAAATGTTTCAAAATGTAGAAATCACATGATTTTAGGTAAGGTCCCTGCCTATTTGATATATCTATGAAAGAGATGTTCCACTTTTACTGGTCCTTAAACATCTAACTACAAATGGTCATTATGAGTGAACTTTCTTTTCTCTTACATAGTTTTAAAGATTTTGCTAACATAATGGTTACATTTTGAACTTGATAATTTTAAATGTAAATGTTTATAAAGAAGTTATCTGGCCCAAGACTCCATTTCAAATGGGTCTTTCTTTGAATTCCTTTTCTAACAGAAATACTTTTTTGATTAAATAAAATTCCAAGTTTTAATACAATTTTGGAACTTTTTACAGCAAAATTTTTACTTTATATTCCACTTTTTAAATAAGTGAGCCAAGTTCAGATCAGAACCAAGTGTATAAATTATCTGCAGGTCCTACCTTTGGTTGATAAATGGCAAAAGTTGATCCTTCTTTTCTCAGTATGGAGGTTGAAAGTCTTTATAATTTTTTTGTATATGTTCATGAATATTATTTTTATAAATCATATGTCTTTTATACAACACCTCACTTTCTGTGAAAATTTTCTTTGTTGCATCACGTAAGCACATAGATATTTGCATTTATAAATTTGATAATAATGGTTTGCATTTTTTAAATATTATACATTGCAAGTACTTTCATATAGGTACATTAAGAAATTTGTCACAATTCTGATAGACTGTAATGTTGCATTTTACCTTAAACGATTTAAGGCACATTACTTAATCTTTCTTGCCATTATTTTCATTTTCCAGAAATGAAAATTGCAGATTATAGTTTAAATTGAGCTATAAAGTTATATGAATTCTCTATCAGATTTGATCTCCACATTTTCTTATTGATATTTAAGTGGCCTACTCTATAGGAAATTTAATGACCAATACATAAAAAGTTTGAAAATACCATTATTATTTGTTTTTATTTCCTAATTAAGTCTCAGTGCATGTCCCAAACCTTTTTAGAAACAACTTTAGTTCATAAAGAGAGCTCCACATTCATGTTGTTATACGGATAGAAAGGCCCCAGGAATTACTGAACCAACTTGCAGTCCCCAAGAAGTTTTCTTAAGATGGAGTGGACTCCACAGGGAAAGCCCAGCAATTTGTAGGATTTCCTTAGGCGTCGGATTCCCATAACACCAGGTTAACAGAGGGCTCTGGGCCATCTCCAACACCGATTCATACCCCGGGGACTCTGAAGTCAATCCAGGATGGCGTGAGGTTACTCCTTGGTCCTAAACTTCTCCCCAGCTGGCTGCAAAGCTAGAAAAATTGTATTACGGGGTGCATGTATATAACCATCCATAGATGCTAGGTCTCTATATGTGGTAATTTTTTATTCTTTTCTATCCCAGAAAAGGAATTATTTTATGGATATAAGCAATGTTCTTGAATGGATTATCTACACGACGGGCATCATTTTTGTGCTGCCCTTGTTTGTTGAAATACCAGCTCATCTGCAGTGGCAATGTGGAGCAATTGCTGTTTACTTCTATTGGATGAATTTCTTATTGTATCTTCAAAGGTAAAACAAGCTTGAATTATTTCCACATCCTTTAAGCATTTTTAATATCAAAAGAAAAACTATTGTACCTGGTGTAAATTTAAAACTGGCTTATTCCTTTTCCAGTTGTTTCAAAATATGAAGAATTTTTGTATACCCTATTAAGGAAAGGCTGGAGCATGGTTCCAGAGTTCAGAATGAAGATCAGGGTTTCTCACACTTGGCACTATTGAACTTTGTAGCCAGATAATTCTTTTTTCTTCTTCTTCTTCTTCTTCTTTTTTTTTTTTTTTTTTTTTTTTTGTGGAGGGGGACTGTCTTGTATATCGTAAATTGCTTAGCAGCATTCCTGGCTCCTGGCTTCTACCCACTAGATACCAGTAGCATCCACCCCAGTCCAGTTATGACAACCAAAAATGAATGCAGACAATGCCAGATGTTCCCTGTGTGCCAAATGAGCCCAGGTCAAGAACACTGGTCTAGACAAATCTGGACTAAACAGGGGGAGTAAATATTAAAAGTATTGGCTATTCTTGTTTTACCTGATATTATTTTGTAAGCATTTACTTTGAATTAAAACACTCAAAATGAACTGATGGATAGTATGGGGAATTGAAGTGGTATAAAAGAAAAAATAAGCCCAAAGAATCTAATTCTAGACAGGGAAAAAAGCCTGAGTTCCCGGGCCTCTGACAGTTGGTAATGTTGAGTTTCATGTTATTTCACATAATCTTTCCAATAACAAGGCCAATGTTATTATCTGCATTCTCTAAAAGAAGAAGCTGAAGCACTGATTTCAGTAACTTGCTGAAGATCTCAGCTAGTCAGTCAGGATACAGGTATTTACCCAAAGTCTTTCTGACTCCAGGAAGCATGTTTTTTTCACCATATATCTTCTGCATTGCTGTGTCATAAGCACAGTGATAGAGTTGAGTGCCGCCCCTTGGAGAGTACGTGGTATGGTGAGAAAGGCAGTGGCCCAGAAATAGGATTTAAGACAGGTTCAGGCACTGTCACACCCTTGGCTCTGTCATTATTAGTGGCCTTGCTGAGTCACTATATATGTCTCTGTGAATTTCGCTGAAGTCCCTTTCAGCTTTAGAATCTTGTAAGTTCCTCATTTAATAAGTCATCTTTGTCAAAGGCAGACTACAAGTTAGAGGCCAGATGACACACCCATTATCTATCCAAACATTTCACAATATAGGATGCAGGGGGTAGAAAAGAAAACCGAAGGAGATGGTGAGGATAAAATGCAAATCATGTAGTGTGTGCCCTGCATTAGGTGACTTCCAGTTCACAAACTCAGTCTCTGCATGATGCAGCACACAATTTATCTCTCTAATTTCTTTATTAAGCATTTGGCAGCATTTTCTTTGATATTGAGAAGCTATTATTTTTCTCTCCTACTTCAGTTGAAGTAATGTCCAGTTGTCAAGTGGTAAAATGATTTAAGGTAACATTAGGGCCGGGCACAGTGACTCACGCCTACAATCCTAGCACTTTGGGAAGCCGAGGCAGGCTGATGCTTGAGCCCAGCAGTTCACGATCAGCCTGGGGGTGATGCCTGCCTGTGGTCCCGGCTACTCGGGAAGCTGAGGCAGAAGGATCACCTGAGCCTGGGACGTCAAGGCTGCAGTGAGCAATGATTGCCCCACTGCACTCCAGCTTGGGTGACAAAGCAAGACCCTGTATCCAAAAAATAGATAACATTAATAATGAGAATAAAAGCAAAAGTAATTTGACTAACAGCTTGAAAATTAAGACATGATTATTCAATTAATTCTTATGTTTTCTTTTTCAAAATAACTGGCCTCAGTGATCTCATCTGTGAAATCTAATACCTGGTTTAATACATGATAAATATTGTCACTGAATGAATACACTTTGACTATAAAAGTGAGTAAATTTTTTTTTTTTTACTTTTCTAGATTTGAAAATTGTGGAATTTTTATTGTTATGTTGGAGGTAATTTTGAAAACTTTGTTGAGGTCTACAGTTGTATTTATCTTCCTTCTTCTGGCTTTTGGACTCAGCTTTTACATCCTCCTGAATTTACAGGTAAGACAGTTACATCAGTAGTTGATTTTGTCGCTGTGAATTATGGAAATATATATTTATATTTAAATCTAAATAGTCTAGAAAATGCATAATTACATAACAACAGTATTCAAATACTTTAGTTTTTATCTCCTATATCTTTCAAATGACGTTTATTGCAGAAAAAAGTATAGTCGTGTTAAGCAACTTTGTCCATTGTCAAAAAGTTTATGTACAACACAGATGATTTATTATTTATGCAGATAACATATTTTTGATGACTTTACCATGTTTACTATATTTTATCACTGCATTTCAACAGCTATATGCCTATGACTTTAAAAAAGTATTCTGAATATAGTTTTTATCATTCTACCTCCAGGAAACACTTTTTCATTGTAGAAACTTTGCATTTCATTTGTACCTCACCGTCTGCTTTCAGGATCCCTTCAGCTCTCCATTGCTTTCTATAATCCAGACCTTCAGCATGATGCTAGGAGATATCAATTATCGAGAGTCCTTCCTAGAACCATATCTGAGAAATGAATTGGCACATCCAGTTCTGTCCTTTGCACAACTTGTTTCCTTCACAATATTTGTCCCAATTGTCCTCATGAATTTACTTGTAAGTAGTTTTTTCTTATATTTTCTGTTTGTTGATCATTTGAAACATTTTATAATGATAATCATTTTTAACTTCTTTAATCTTCCTCCACTGGGGAGATCAGGAAGGATCTACTACAAAATCTATTCGTTCAACACTCACTTGGTGCCTGGGGAGCACCAGGCACATCAAGAGGCTCAGGGCGTGCAAAGATGCATGCACTTGGCAAATACCAAGGATCTACCAAATGCCAGCAACTGTTACAAGTTCTAGGAACCAGTGATGAAGAAAGCAGACCAATATTCAGTCTCAGTGTGATTACAAACAGTCAGGAATTTAGGTAATAAATAACTGTGTAGCATAATGTCATGGGGTTGATAAATGCTATGAAGAAATAAGAAGCAGGGAAAGGCAATAAAGATGAAGGTGTGTGATGTTTTGGAGTTGGAGAGGGGGTCAGAGTTTAGGCAGAGACCTTTATGGAACATATCTCTATGCTCGAACTTACCATTGACCAGAGATTCAAGTGGGGAAGTCTCTCATGCAGAGGGCATCTGCGACGTTCAGATGCCGCCTTGAACCCAGTCAAAGCCTAGACACTATCAGCAGACATTAGAGTGCCCTTCCACATGGAATTCTCTACAGAATCTGCTCAAGGCATGAGCACGTTGGCTGATGCAGGCAAAGGTGCATCCCATTCCAGGTCCATGGGGAGCCCTTATTGGCATCGTTGTGCCTGTTTTTCCTTTATCCATTTATGCACGCATGCACATATTCCACACAATTTCTCTGAGTCTGACTATGTACCAGAGACTGTACTAGGCAGTGCTTTTGGAAAGGAAAAAAAATTATGCAGATGTGTGAGTATTTTGATTCAATTATTTGATACATCTCCAGAGTTTTATTTTGGTGACCTAGAAAAAGAAAGGATGGCAATAGGAATAACGGAGAATGACATAAAGCCCACATTGTTCTCCAATAATTGTTTATGCTTTGGAAGATAATTATCCAGAAGAGAATTGGGCTTAGCAGTAGTACAGGTTGGCCCCATTCTGAAGATCCAAACATCCAGCGCCCGCTGTGCATCTCTACCTGGATATCCTGGAGGAAAATCAAAACCAACAGAGCCAAGACTAATGTTATCTTTCCTTCAGAATCTCCACTGCCTCTCAGTAGAATCTCCTAGTCATCCTACTAAGATCATTGGCAGATAGTCTCTATTTCACTCTCCCACGTTTTTCCTCAGTTCTTTCAATAATTCTTTGGCTGTCACATCTGCTTCCGGTTGGCTTGGACTGCCATAGTTCCTCATCCAAATTGCTGCAGCAGCCTCAAGAGCATCTCTATCGTATCACACTGCTTTGTCTAATTTTTCCTACAAATGGCCACCATAGTGATGCTCTGCTAATGAAAAACTGAACACATCAGTGGCTTTTAAAAATATTTTCCATGCCTCTTCAAAAGCTTTAATTCAGTCCAAACCCATCAGCATAGCAAGCAAAGGTCCCTGTGAGCTGGATCTTACCAAGATCTTTCCCAACGCCTCACTGTTCCCAGGATTTACCCAGAAATGCACACTCCATGATTGTGCCACACTTTCCTTCATGCTGCCTAGACTCTGTACAGGCTCTTCCTTTTGCCTGAAAAACGTCCCACCATGGGTTAGCTCTAAGATTTCAAAACTCAGCTGAAGTATCATTTCTTCAGGTCAGACTTCCTTAACCACCACCCCTCTCCAATTAACTAACTCTATTGGATGTTCTTTCCTTGTGTTACCATAGTTTTGAGGATACAAACATTTAATAATAATAAAACCTACTTCCTAGATTATTGTATAGATTAAATGAGCTAATACAAGGGACTTAAAATAGTACTTGGCACATGATAAGCATTTGATAAATGTTAGTGACCATCAAAAGTTAATAATTCATCTCTTCTATGGCTTATAAGCTCAAATGTCTTCAGAGCCCAAAAATGTATCTAAAATATGTGAAGCAGCAGGTATGAAATGGTTAGTTTTGGGGTTAGTTTTTGTTGTTTGTTTGTTTTTTGTTTTTTTGTTTTTTTTTTGTTTTTTTGTTTTTTTTGAGATAGGATCTCATTCTGTGACCCAGGCTAGAGTGCAGTGGAGTGATCATGGCTCACTGCAGCCTCCACTTCCCAGTCTCAGCTGATCCTCCCACCTCAGCCTACCCAGAAGCTGTAACTACAGGTGCTCACCACCACACCCAGCTAATTTTTGTATTTCTGTAGAGATGGGGTTTTGCCATTTTGCCCAGGCTGGTCTGGAACTCCTAGGCTCAAGTGATCCTCCCACCTCAGCCTCCCCAATTTCTGGGATTACAGATGTAAAATGCTGCGCCTGGCAGAGATGGTTGGTTTTGATGGGGGTCAATGTAAATTGGAGAGAACACCCATCTGAACACTTGCAAATTAAAAACCAAAACAATATTATCCTGTCCAGTGAAACCTATTTCCTGACTATATCCAGTTCTCAGTGCTAGTTTTCAAGCCCTAGAATATATTCTCCCTGTCTTCATTCATTCTGTGACTGTTTTGTTTACCTATTATGTACCCTGCTCTATACTAAGCACTGGGCATACAGTGGAGACCTTGACAGATCCCTTGTCTCATAGAGCTTACTGGACTTTGAGCTCCCCAAGAGCAGTCACTGACTTTTCTTTCTGGTGCAGCATGCAAGATGCTGGCTCAGCAAAGGCAGGAACTAAGTACCAGAAAATAAATGGATGAGTGAAATGAGCTAATTTCATCAGACTGAGTAGAACTGAGCTAACAGCTTCCCCCCAGCTAATTCTATCTAGCCATAAATTTCTGGTTTCTCACCAGAGCCTCTCCTGCCCCTATAGTATATGTTTTCCTTCTGAACATATGTAAGATATAAAATGTATCATTCTCTCAGTTTAGTATTTGTTTCCATGTTGTTAAATCACTCTTGTCTACCTTAGTTACTAAACTCCTGGAGTTTCCCACCATGTTGTGTGGCCACACCCAATTGCATGTGATATCACATCATCCCTCTCATTTAAAAAAAACAGATTTTTATCTTAAATGAAATGAATTTTGGATTAATTTGTATGTCTTAAGTTTTCATAACACTTAAGAGTACTGAACCTCTGAATGTGGCCATCATCGTTGCAGAGGTATATAGGCCTTGTAGTTTTCTGTAAGGTGTATTACCAAAGTATTCTGCAGCTACTACTAGTAGATTATATGCCCAGTCTCCCACTTTAGCCACAGAGGCCTTGCTATGATTTCAATTTTTATGTCCCATCCAAAATGTATGTATAGAAACCTAATCACCAAGAAGATGGCATTAGAAGGTGGGGCCTTTGGGAGGTGATTAGGCCATGAGGGGAGAGCCCTCATGAATGGAATTAGTTCCCTTATAAAAGAGCTATGAGGGAGCTTATTAGCTCCTTTGCCTTTCTGCCATATGGGAACACATAGAAGGTGCCACCTATGAGGAATGGGTTCTTACCAGAAACCAGTTCTGCCCGAGTCTTTATTTTGGACTTCCCAGCCTGCAGAACCATAAGCAATTAACTTATGCTATTTATACACTACCCAGACTAAAATATTTTGTCACAGCAGTCTGAATGGACTAAGACAGACCTTACATGCATTTTTAGGTGGACCATTCAACTGTAGTGATTTAATTTTGTGTCATACTTCAGATTGGTTTGGCAGTTGGCGACATTGCTGAGGTCCAGAAACATGCATCATTGAAGAGGATAGCTATGCAGGTAAGTGCAGTGCCTCCCCACTTATTACAGTGTTATCTTCTGGTAAACCCACAATAAGTTAAAAATATTACAAGTCAAAAATGGGCATTTTGTAGGAATATGCCAGTTATAAATTTATACTACTTACACTGTAAAGTATGTGCCATTTACCCTCCTGATCATGTGGCTGACTGGGTTCTGTTCCTCGCTGCCACTGCCCGGCATCCCAGGAGAATACCACATACTGCTAGCCCAGAACAGATCAAAGTTTAAAATTTGAAGTACAGATTCTACTGAATATGCATCACTTTCACACATCATAAAGTCAAAAATCATGAGTCAAACCAACCTAAGTTAGGTATTGTCTGCATCACGTTTATTTAAACTTACTGGAATTAACACCATTATCGTTACTTCCTTTTTTAAGAGCACAGTTACTTAGCATGGATACCTTCTTAATCCTGAGGAGTCACATCCTGTGTCTGTTTGCATGTTACCTGGTATACCTGCTCTAATCAAAGTTGATACAAAAAAATGTCCGAGAACAATCTTAGAGAAATTGAGAAATTGCCTGAGCATCTTTTGTTATGTTAAAATGTGGCCACCCAGGTAGCTAGCTGCTTGATCAAGAGCATCACTGGCATCCTAGCCCCGCTGTTCAAAGGAGCTCCTTATATTTTGTGCAGGGAATCACAGGGTCCCCACAGCATGATTTATGTTGAAGTTTTAACTGCATCCATGAGGTTTTGTTCTCTTGTGACATCTCTCTCATTTTTATAGACAATTTGATGTAAAATTTGGTGTCAAAGTTTCCTGGCTAGGTATTTGGCTATTGAATCTTGTGAGGTGCCTTCCTGTCATACAACACAAAGTTATTTTTATGCTCTTCACTGGATTGTCTTTAAATTTCAAATTCACATGGGCACTTTTGATGCTTCGAGGATATTTGGTGACCAGTTGACTATACGCATTCAGAAACTTTGGCCAGTTTGAGAGAGAGAAAAATCATGTTATGATATAACTTTCTATTCACTCTTGTCTCCTCTTCACTTTTATTTGTCCAAATTCTTTCTTCTCTGTTATTCATTCAGCCACACACTAACATTTATTTATTGAAAACAATGTTTCAATACATAGTATGTACAAAGTCCAGTACAACTTATCATGAGAGCCCAGAGGAAACAGAGGGATGTGATCCCTGACTATTAAGTCAACTATGCCTACTTAGCACACCAGCTAGGTATTCATAGAATTAAATATCAAAAATCAACTGAGAACCATTCATAAATTCTATGTTCTATGACATGGCTGTATATTATACAGAGACACAGAGCGATTGGAACACTTAGAGAACAAACACAGGATCAGGTACAGGAAAAAATGCAAAAATAATTAAGAGAATGCAACATGGAGGGGGTGAGATGAGTCAGTGTTGAAAGATGGTTGGGATTTAACAGGACATCGATACCGTCGTGAAAGGAGGGGCCAGCAAGAGCAAAGGGCCACATCAGAACCAGGGAAAATGGCCAAGGCACTGGCCCAAGGCCCCTTTGCCTGGAAGGATCATTCATGTTAGTGGGTGATTAGATTGCTGCAGATGATAGGGGGGTTTATTCAAAACCAGCAAAGAAAAACCTTAGCAAAGGGCACTAAATGATGAAGTGCTTCAAGTTATTTTGTAAGTTAGTGGAGAGTTATTATCAGCCCTTCTGCAATGAAAATGGTGTTTATAGTGATCTGTTATTATCTTGGTTTAGTGAGGAAAGATTGAAGGCAGGAAAAGCTAATGGCAGGTTATTACTGTCACAAAGATGGTGTTTAGGACTCCAGGTGTATGGATATGGAGAGGAGATGTATAAACCTCTTGGCAGGTATGTCAGCAATACCTCATAACTGCCCTAACAGCTCTTTAAAATACCCTGGGGAATAGATAAAAACAATAATACAAGCAAAATTGGGGAAGCTTACTGAACTAAAGTGTCAGTGGGGTTGAGCTGAAAAGCACAAACCTATATTGTTTACTATGCTCCCTGACAGTCAATGGCACAAATCCTAGTACCCCCCATATTTTCTATGCCTTGTTTTGGATCAAAAACAGCATCGCCTGGAAAACCGGGAAGCCATTCTCCTACTTCTCCTGAGTTGTTTCTTAAGCAACTCTCTGCATCCATTCTGAAACCTATGTCTGAGCCCATGGCAGAACTGTGAGCAGAACTGGACAAGTAGCACACATTTCTGACAGGGCCATTTAGTTCTCTCATAGAATCATCTCGAAGGGAAGTGGAGACAGGCCTTGGGACAATGCATGCTGGGAGATGGGTTCTTTATGGGGACTGTCAGTTCTTCAGGGGCAGGTGTTATGAGTATTTTGAGGGGCTTGAAGCTGTTTGGGTATTTTTAAATGTTGGTATCTCCACTTTCCACCACAGTTTTGGCAGCTGCAGACAGTCCATAAACATTTATATCTCCACTGCAAATTAGAAAGGGAAATCCGCAGCGTGCATCTTACCCTTCAACATGGAAACCCCACCAGTTAGAGGAGGTAAAGATGCTCCCTGAGCCCAGTGGTGCCAGGCTCAGTGGGTCCCACCTGACCCACACTGGACTTGGGGCTTTGCTTGCCAACCTCCCCCAGGACCATCTTTGAGGGACCTATGTAGATAATGAACAGTGTAAGACACACTATGTATTTTATCTGTTGGCAAACATTGAGCTTGAGTAAATCTTTTTCAATCAAGTGTGAGGAAATAGTATGTGACCTCTAAAACTATATGTATGGGAAGAGGAAAGTGATATCACCCTAAAGAGCAAAGGGGAAAAAAGGAACCCTAGAAATTATTATAGAAAATCAGTGAAAATATTTAACTGGTATTATTAATAAAATACAAGAAAACATAGCTTTTCTTGAAGCTGGAACTAATGCACAGTATGTTAAATGGTGATAAGTGCTATAAAAATAGCAAGGAAGCCACATGGGGGAAAGTCATTTGGGGGACAGTGAGGGGGCCACAATTTTAAGCAGTGGTGTCAGGAAAGTTCTTACCATTTCACTATTTATGGCTATAAATCACTAATATTGGAAAGTATTTGTTCTTAGAAAGCAAATCTCACTAGTAGTTACAAGTAGTTACAGTAAACATACCTATACATCAGATACAAAGGGGTGTAAAAAAGCAGAGATAAATTTGGCAAAAATAAATGAAAAAAATTAAATGTGAGGAAATATCTCATTTGCTATCCCTGAAAATAGTAATTATACTTAAAATTCATCATAGAGAAACCATTTTGCACCTGATAGCACAGACATGAGAAATGCATGACATACTCTTAAGCATGAGAGTTCTAATTCTTTTACTGCTTACCTTTGTCTTCCTCCAGTTAAGCACTCCTTCTTCTCTCCTGCCCTAGATGTGTATACATGTGTGCACGTGCACACACGCATTCACACTGTCCAGTTGTGCACATTTTGTAGTATTGCAACACCGCAAGAGTATGAACTACCCTTTTCTTCTTTAAATCTCCAGCATTGAACAATAAAACATCGGGTGACTATCCCTGAACAATAAACAGCAAGTGACTAAAATTGAATTCCTTTTTTAAGCAACTTCCCCCTCTCCTTCTTCTCCCACTCCAAGGCAGATTGCTGCCCTGTCAGTGGGTGAGGTGAGAGGAAGGGGCAGGTGACTGTGAGCTAGGGGATAAGAAAGCCTGGCCAGCCCAGCTGTGGCACAGAAGTCAGGACATAGAAATCAGTTTTCATTTTGCTGTATTAATGATTGCCTCTGTGCCATATAAAAATTCCATATACTAACTAATGATTCTATCAATAAATCCAAAATGCACTTTAGGTGGAACTTCATACCAGCTTAGAGAAGAAGCTGCCACTTTGGTTTCTACGCAAAGTGGATCAGAAATCCACCATCGTGTATCCCAACAAACCCAGATCTGGTGGGATGTTATTCGTAAGTACACATAACAAATAACAACATCAGTAACATGACACTGTTTGACATTCATTCATTGTGTTAACCCTAAGGGGGCCCTTTTATAGACTTTGAGTCTTCTCTGCCTGTGGGCAGAGGAGTTGTGCTTTTAAAAAAAGGATATGATTAAACCAAGACATGAAAGAGCTGGGTGAGAGGAGGGTGACGTTTGCTCTCCCCTTTCAGGTGGTTCATCCATAGCATCTGTGTTAAATGCGTGCTGTCCCTGTGAGAGCAGATGGGCAGGGGACCAGCCACACCCTTTTAGTGTCTTTTTTACAGTACAGGTATACTTTATTTGCTTTTCCTAGTCACATGTCACTTACATTTATGTGTAGATATATATGTGAGTATATACAGCCAAGGGTTTAGAATACACAATAAAGAACACACATTTACACATACACACACTATACATACAATGTATTAATCCATTTTCACACTGCTATAAAGAACTGCCCGAGACTGGGTAGCTTATAAAGGAAAGAGGTTTAATTGACTCACAGTTCTGCATGGCTGAGGAGGCCTCAGGAAACTTGCAATCATGGTGGAAGGTGAAGGGGAAGCAAGGCACCTTCTTCACAGGCAGCAGGAAGGAGAACGAACGCATGAGGAACAACCAAACAATTATAAAACCACCGGATCTCATGAGAACTCACTTACTATCACAAGAACAGCATGGGGGAAACCGCCCCTATGATACAATTACCTCCACCCAGTCTTTCCCTTGACACGTGGGGATTATGGGGATTATAATGCAAGATGAGATTTGGGTGGGGACACAAAGCCTAAACATAGCACGCACACACACACACACACACACACACACACACGAACACACACACACAGCATCCACTATAGAAAATGAGGTAATTAAGTGATCAAAGACTAAGCAAGACAATTGCATTATAATGGAAGAAGGGCCATATGAAGAGCCAGAATAACAGGTTGCTAATCCTTAGTATGCCTGGGCTCCCTTCATCTCTACGACTGTTCTTCCTGAGTTCTTTTCAGGTTAATTTCCCCTGTGTAGTCATAAAATAATAAAGTCACCCTGAGTATCAGTCTAGGCTTTATTCTAACGCCACAGTATCTCTCCAACTGATTTCACACATGTCCATGGTTAAAATTACTACCGAAACAGAATGCTCAGCAACTGATTTCTCAATCCTAGAGCTCACTCTTCAGTTCCCGGACCCTGTATCCAGCTGCCTACTTGACATCTCCACTTGCATGTTTTAAAGGTGCCTCACATTCAGCAGGTTCAAAACCAAACTTCAATGCTTTCACGTTTCACCCTCTCCTGACATATCCCCTACAGGAAAAAATGAAAAAGTCCTGGTTCCTCCTTGCAACAATGTCAGCACAATTCATTAGCCTGTGCAATCCAGCCACCCAGGAGTCATCCTTGATCTGTCCCCTCCCTTTCATTCTCCCCTCAGTCTGGTCCATTTGACTTCCTGGATGGCCTGTGCAAGTCACCATTTTCTCTTGCCTGAACTCCTAGAATTACCTCATTCTTGATCATTTCACACCTGCCCTTGACCCTCTCCAGTCAACCTATGGTTTAAAAGATACTAAATTAAAATGAAATGTGTTAAAATAACATTTCTGAAATTTCTCCAGGTGAAACTTTGTTGATTGGTTGAGTTGTATTGGATAATGTGCAGTACAGTTTTAGATAATTAACAATGAATCTCGTATAGAATACCACCTTCCGTGATGGGCATTTCTCATGAAAATATATAGAACAATTCAGCTAAGCCTCATTCTAAACAATTTCTGTCCTAATTTACTCCTCTTCTGTTTTATCTGTACATGTTTTATTTCTCTCTGATTATATGTATGACTTCCTTTCACAGCTCTTTCTTCACATGTCTCTTTCTCCTAGCAGATTGTGGGTTCCTTGAGGGCATAGCTATGCCTTATGCATATTGGTACCAGTGGTGGTTGAATTTTGGCACATGCTTAAGAAAAAGTTCCTGAATTGAATTCAATTTGAGTAACTACTATTTTTTATCCGACAGCATATATTCTGTTTTTTATTTTGCACTGGGGAAATAAGACAAGAAATACCAAATGCTGATAAATCTTTAGAAATGGAAATATTAAAGCAGAAATACCGGTATGTATTTTTCCTTCTATCTGTACTTGAGAAATTTAAAACTCATAAATAATAATGCACAATGTAAGATTATATTTTATATTGATGTTTTTGTTTTATATATTATCTTGCTTTATTGATAGCTGTAGCTAGTGTATTGAGAGTCATGAGACATTTTTTAGAACCAACAACATATTTGCCACTATTCACCAATCAGTTTGCCTTCCAATCATAAGTGAATAAAAATTAAAATGCTGATTTCCTTTCTCTTGGAGGTAGTATCATAAACTGTATTCTTCATCTGAATTCATAAAGCAAAGCTCTGAAAGCTTCTGAAGATCCCTGGAGTAACTATGTGGTGGGCAGTCATTAAGCATGAGGGTTTTACAGTTAGTTAGTACCTGAGTTCAAACCCCTATTCAACTAGGTACGTAATAACTGTGACCCTGGGCAATCTGCTTAACCTTTCTCTATAATAGTTTCTTACCTATAAACTGGGAACAAAAATAAACTAGCCATGAACTAACAGTGTAACTTTGGGAAAAATCATTTAAACTTCAAAAATACATGTTTCCTGGAAGGATTGTGACTACCGAGGTTAAAACCTATGCGTTCCTACATTCAGAAGGGACCGAGGTTAAAACCTATGCCTTCCTACATTCAGAAGGGCTAAAAGAAGAACTGAAAATAAATTCATGAAATGTGTATGTCCTTTTAGGCTGAAGGATCTTACTTTTCTCCTGGAAAAACAGCATGAGCTCATTAAACTGATCATTCAGAAGATGGAGATCATCTCTGAGACAGAGGATGATGATAGCCATTGTTCTTTTCAAGACAGGTTTAAGAAAGAGCAGATGGAACAAAGGAATAGCAGATGGAATACTGTGTTGAGAGCAGTCAAGGCAAAAACACACCATCTTGAGCCTTAGCTCCTCAGACCTTCAGTGAGGCTTCTAATGGGGGGTGCATGACTTGCTGGTTCTAACTTTCAATTTAAAAAGAGTGAGGAAGAAGCAGAATGATTCATTTTGCTGCGTGTGAAATCATGGTTCCTGCATGCTGTATAAAAGTAAACCATCTTTTATCCTCTATTCATATTTTCTACCAATCACTATGTATTGGGGATATCTTTGCAGATATGTTCAAATTGGACTGGACTTTGATGAGATATAATCTCATTATTTGAATGGGTAGAAAATGAATTTGCTAGAACACACATTTTTAATGAAAAGAAGTAATAAATGTAACTATTAAGCTAAAATGCAAATGTCAGTACTGAATTCCTGCTTGTTAATTACATAATATGTGATGCTCTAGAAAATAGTCACAAGTATTAATAATGCCTTAGATGATAGTCTTAAATATTAGGTTGAGGTCTACCTAACCTAAGCTGCTTCCTGGAAAGCTTCATGTTGAAAGAACCTATGGGTGGCACCATGTGGACTTTTCTGTCCCTACTGTGATGAATAGCCCCACCCTTCTTGCTGTCCCCAACACACCTGATGTCACTTTGAGCCATATAGTTGAAGTACAAATTAATAGGCCTTATGATATGCACGAATTTTACTATAGATAATATATGTTGTTTCTGGTTTTGTTTGCCAATGAGCATAATAAATGTAAAACCTATATAGTATCCCTGTGATTATTGTATGAGCCTTTGTTTGAGATTTGAAAACAACATGGCTCCATCACATATTCCCTTTTTTCTTTTGATGTCTACTCAAATCATGAATTAATCACATACCTCATCATTAATCTTTTCAAGGTCCTTCTATTGTTTTGTCTGATTTTCTCCATCATCCTGATTAGCATGTTTATTCCCTCACTACCCCCAGGAGATATTCACTGTAATGAATATGTCTTTGGCTATGTATGTGTCCTTGTGTTATGTTGTACAGTGTTGTTTTGAGTCTGTTATTATTTACACAGATGTTATTATGCTATAGCTTCTATTTCTGTTTTTGCTTCTTATTTCTCTTATAATTCTCACTTATTTCCTATTTTTTCTACTCATTTCTATTTGTTACTCCTTTTTACTGGACATGATGTTTACAAGATACAACTGTGTTACTGTATTCCATCTAGTACGGGGCCTTTGGTGTGGCTTACTATTTCATTGTGTGCACCCACCCACCCACCACACTGGACTTTTCTAGAGATGGACAGCTTGGTTACCTCCACCTTCCTGCACTCATTCTCAAACATACTGATGTTCATACAAACCAGCAGAGTGCTGAGGGACGATATGTACTATTACAAAACCAGACACTTTTACATTCATGGTCCAACAGATCACATGGCCTAGAGGCAATGTTGCATATACCTTAATCTTTGATATGAATAATATCTTTGTTCTTTATATTTCTTAAAACAGAAAGGGTGGAAAATCACTATACAGAAGCAATATCCAAAGATCTCCTGATCATAAAGACAAGGGGTCTTTTCAGTCTTCCCTCTCCTCAAACCTTGTGTAGCATTGCACAATATAGATCTCAGTCAACATTCACTGAGTGCCAAGAATGTGAGAAACACTGTACCATGCCTGTCATGCGAAATATTTAAATAAACAGATTGTCTTACAACAATGTCACCAACCTGTACTCTCAAGAAGCTTACAATTTAGTGGTGTTCATTTATTTCTGCAGTTCTTTCTCCTTTACCCCCAAACACAGAACTGCTTTTCCACTGTTTCCACTGATTGCTGCTTCTCTCTTTCTCGACTGGCTTCTCTTTCCTGCCAACTAACTCCATGTGTACATCCCTGAGGTCTGTACCTGGCTCTGTTTCCTCTCTTTCCTCACTTCTGCTCCTTCTCCTAAAGTCCAGTCCAACATTTCTACAGTTCTTCAAATTAAATACATAGAAACCTGAATTTGGTGGTAAGAGAAACAAACCAACTCCTCTGGACTTCCTATTTCCCATCAGTGGTACCAGGATTCTCTCAAGCTCCTAGACTCGAAAGGACTCAACATACTAAGTTGAGTTAATCTTCCTAAAGTGGAGCTCTAAGCCTTCACACCCATCTAAAAAGCTTAAAGATTTTCTCTTTCTTCATAAGCAAACTAATCCTCTTAACCTGCCTTCTCAATCTAAATTAGCTTTATCTTCCAGCATTCTTCATTTCATCCAAATTGGAAGACCATTGTTTCATGAAGACACTATGTTTTCCCATCTCCCTACAGCCAACTCTATTCTCTTCCAGCCAGAATGTCCCCTCTCTAACTCTTAAAGCTCAGTTTAAATGGCATCTCCACCTTGAAGTATTTTCCTAATGGTCCCCACTCATTATGCTTCCTGCCTCCTCGGAACTGGCACAGACTGCACTTCTCCTCTGCTACTGCAGCCTATTATGGTGACTATGACTTGCCACGTGTCCTCCCCTAACTAAAGGGTAGACTCCCCGAGCTTTATGGGTCATTATCACCAGTAGTCTCAAAGGAGGCAAAGAATTACATCCTATTTCATTTTTTTTTCATTTTGTGGAGCTTCCAGCACTGTGCCTTGCACATAACAGATGCTCAACAAATACAAATACACAAATAAGAGAAATCAGTGAAAATAATAAATACCATGGACCTGAAAGAGACTGCAAGAAAACTGGCTCAGTTTGCCTCAGAAAAGTGGTTTAGTGTCCTTTTTCTGTTGATACTGTGTCCTAGAGAAGTTAAATGACTTGCCTCTAAGTGGTGGAAGAAGCATTAAACACCACTTTCCTGCCTTTTTATTCCCACCAGTTCAATCTGGGCTGTTGTTTTAATGATCGTTAACTATGATTAGCATGGACAATTGAAAGGTTTGTGTTTTGCAGGAAGACAACTTGTGCCTTCGTACTGACTCTAATTCCTGTTGGTTGAGTGACTCTGGGCATATGTCCTCCTCTCTAAAATGATGATGATAGAATATATTCTTTATGGTGTTGGTAGAATTGGACAACCACACGCATACAGAGTACCTAACTCAGTAAACGCTATTGCAATGTGTTCAAGGAAACTGATTTACCTGAGATAAAGGGGGTTACAAAGCACACTAGGATTTTCATATCATACCAATTACCCATGGAATTTCTTTGGAAGTTAATTAATTAGCAGCTTGATATAAATTGAAGCTCCCAGGTACTTCTGAATCCCCTTAGCCAAACAAATCCTGGAATGTGTGTAGTAAAATAAAAACCTTACATTTAGAGAAAATTTTGATTAAAATGTTTCAGCACTTTTGTCATCTTTATTTTTGCTTTAGACTCAATTCATTAAACATTGATGGAGCACCAACTCCTTGCTAGTCAGAGTAAATCATCATCAATGAATATTTTTTAACCATTTTGGACATTTTGATGTGAGCACATTAAATAATAACAAAAAGAAAAGGCTTATGAAGTTTACTGTGTATCAGGCACTGTTCCAAGCACTATGTACTAACTCACTTGATTCTCAAAACCTATGTGGTAGGCGCTATGATAATTATCATCCTTGTTTTGTAAAACAAATCATGACACTTCTAGGCTGAGTAGCTTGTTCGAGGTCACATTGCTGAGATGTAAACTCAGGCAGTCTGCTTCTAGATTTTGTGTTCTTAATACAAAGCTATACTATCTCTTAAATAAGAATCGGACAAAAGAGCACCCTTTCTTCATTGACTTTATACTTCAGAGGTTACTGAGTGGATACCTGCAATGTAACATTCATAGGTAAGTGCATTTTAAGGTTAAGGGACATGGGACACCACAAACATAATAAAAACAAGTGATCAGACACTGAAGTCAGGAAGCCTGAGTCATAGACTTCAGACTTATGGCACAATTGTTGAAGGTATAGATGAGTGAAGTTGTTTAACCCATCATGAAATTTAACCCATCATGAAGCCACAGAGTGAACTGAACTGGGCTGATTCCTAGAATCTGAAGCAAGTCGTCTTGTCATTTGGCTCTGATTTTGCTTGTTAGTTTTAGTGAAGTGATAGGAGACGACAGAAGACAGGAAGATGTGGGCTACCCCTTGCCATTTCCAGCTCCAGACACCCTACGAAAGGTGTCCAGCTAGGAGGCAAAAGGAGGCACGATCCTGAGCTGCAAACATCAAGGAAACCGCTGAGGGAAACAGCGCCCTCTAGGGGTGTAATTGATATTGAGCTGGAACCAGAAGACCTCATTGAGACCTCCCTTGTGTGCAGGAGGATCTCTCATCTCAGGAAAACCTACAGCGACATTAACCTATGCTTCTGCTCCTCTTTCTATTGAGATTTAATATCGCAAGTCCAAAGGCAGATGGTGGCACTTATTTAAAAAGTTTCCATTTCAATCGCTTCAGATAATACAGGCTGCCAATAAATAGATGCACAAAACAGGTGTATGAAGTGGTATGGTAGTCCTCCGTTATCCCTAGTTTCTCTTTCTAAAGTTTCAGTTATCAGCGGTCTACCACGATCAGAAAATAGGTGAGTACAGTACAATAAGATATTTTGACAGTAAGGGACTACAGTCACATAAATTTAGTATATTGTTATATAATTGCCCTATTTTATTATTAGTTGTTATTATTATTTCTTTTTGTGCCGGATTTGTAAACTAAACTTTATTATAAGTATGTATGTATGTATGTATGTATGTGAGAAAACATAGTATATATATATACACACACACACACACACATACATATATAGGGTTCGGTGCTATTCATGCTTTCAGGCATCCACTAGGGGTCTTGGAACGTATCCCCCCACAGAAAAGGGAGGAACACTATACTTTTATGTGAATCAGAAATACTTAATAGCTTAAATAAGACATAATCCGCTCTCCAGAACCAAGTCTGAAAAAAATAAGTATTGAGGGAGAAAACTCTCAGAAGAGACAGTTATCAGTGGTAATTTAGGTTGTTTTAAAAATTCATGGAGAAGAGGATGAAGAAGACGGAGATTATCACTCATGGGCAGCATGTCTGTGCTTGTGTCAGTACCAGCAAAACCTGAAAGGAAAACTTCACCTGCACCTTCTAAACTTGCAACAATCTAATTTGAAGCAATATCAAGGCTCAGGAATCTATTAGAATGACAACCAGCTTCTACAGCCCCACAGGAACAGTTACTCCCAAACTCAGATTTCTCAACAAACATTACTGCAGGCATATTCCAGAGGCAAAGCAGGGATCCTCAGTTAAGGTCTTTCACAAAAGGGAAAAATATGAGGAAAAGTCAAATGGCTCAACAAAGGCAGTTTGTTTTTCTGTCTACAAGTCAACTCAGTAATGGCAAACCCCCTGTAAATCAGTGGAGATCCATATGCCTTGCAGATGCAGATCATTAATTCTGAAGGAACCAAAACTGTCTAAGGCCAGGGGAAGTGGCTCATGTCTATGATCCCAACACTTTGGGAGACCACGGTGGGAGGATTGCTTGAGTCCTGGGGTTCGAGACCAGTCTGGGCAATACAGTGAGACCCCATATCTACAAAAATTTTAAAAATAGCCTGTCATGGTGGCAGGCACCTGTAGTCCCAGCTACTCAACAGGCTGAAATAGGAGGATCACTTGAACTCAGCGGGGTCAAGGCTTCAGTGAGCCGTTATTGCACCACTGCACTCCAGCCTGGACAACAGAGCAAGTCCCTGTCTCAAAAATAAAAAAGAAAAAGAAAAAAAACTGTCTAAAGAATTCATAATCGAAATAATCCAGAAGTTGAGGTTCAAGACTGCAGGTATCTGTACTTTCAGGATACCACAGGCAGACACAACATCTTTCATAATCCGATAAACCTCCAAGCATCAAGTTTTCTGTGATGTTGTATGGTGTCCACAGTCCTTGAGATACAGGTTAGGTAGTGCAAATAACTAAAACCAGTAAGCCAGACTGCAGTCTTCAGCAAGGGACTTAAAGTCTCTTCTACTGCAGCAGTCTCTTCTACCCCAGCAGTTGATCAGCAAGCATCTTCATGACCCAGATGGTTGCCTTTCAAATTCTGAGTGTGGTAAAAGAAACCAGAAAACTCTTGGAGAGCTGTAATACTGAATTGTAAACATGTGTGCATTTATCACCATCCTGTATCACTTTGAAAACTTTCCCAATTATAAATATGCTAAAATCACCCAAATTTAAATAAGATGGAGGATTTATTAAATCAAATAGTCTTTTTACTTGTCGCAGGGCAAATGCTGAAAGTGGGACTCACCCCAGGAGGCCACGTGGGTTTTTGGCTTTCTGCAGGAAAAAATTCAAGAGCAAGCCAATAGAGTAAAGTGAAAGCAAGTTTATTAAAAAGTAAAGGAATAAAAGAGTGGTTACTCTATAGGCAGTGCAGCCCTAAGGGCTGCTGATTGGCTATTTTTATGGTTATTTCTTGATCATATGATAAATAAGGGGTGGATTATTCATGAGTTTCCTGAGAAAGGAGCAGGGGATTCCCAGAACTGAGGGCTCCTCCCACTGAAAGACCATATAGGTTAACTTCCAGATGTTACCATGGCATTTGTAAACTGTTGTGACACCAGTGGGCTCTTCCTTTAGTATGCTAATGTATTATAATTAGCATATAATGAGCAGTGAGGATGACCAGAAGTCACTTTTGTTGCCATCTTGGTTTTGGCAGATTTTGGCTGGCTTCTTTATTGCATCCTGTTTTACCAGCAAGGTCTTTGTGATTCGTATCTTGTGAAACAAGTCCTGCTGAACTCCTGTCTCATTCCCAAGTATAAAACCAAGTTGTGCCCCTAAAACCTCTATAGCATCCCAGTCTAGTGGTCAGCTCTGCCATTCCTTCTCAGTTGATAAGATAATGAAATGGCCCTTCACTCATCCAAATTACTGTAAACTTAACACCCAGTGTGCAGGATCTGACTGTACCTTTTAACATCCTTTGTTTCTATGCTGCCACATGAGTCCTTGAAATGCAGAAGACACAAGCCCATAAAGGACACTGTCAGTAAATAACCAGCCAGAGGATCAGAGATTTTGAAAGTTTCCATCAATTAGTCAATGACAACGCACAGAGCTTTGTCAAACCTTTGAAATATGGAACATGTTAATTTCACAATATGAAGTAAATTGCTTATGGGACATGCTTTTTTTTGCATGCTTTTAAAGTGGTTTCTATATTTTTTAACTGTAAAGAAAAGTCAACAAGAGATAAAGCTAAGTTCTACTAAAACATTTTGAGCTATGTTTTATATTGCCATTTTAAGTCTTAGCACTTAGAATGAGAATCATCAAAATGTGGTGACTCTTTGTTAACAAAGATAATACCACGAGGGCTTCACTGATGTTCTTTGGGAGTGGAGATTCATCAAGTGGAGTATCTCGAAAAAGCTGGATTGCTGCTTTGAGTTTTCCCCAAGAAAATTCAATTATCATATGCCAGTTTGAAAACAGAATAAAGCCCCAAAGTGCCAAGTGGCTTAAAGTAGTCATTGCATTCTATTTTTTGTTAAGTTTTTCTTTAATTGGAAAAGTATTAGGGTCAATAGAGCCAAAAGGTGGGGTCGGCCTTTCAAGTTTGGCACAGTTTTGCTGCTTGGGTACAGTGTTTTTTAAAATTCAGGTTCTTAACTTCTTGGAAAAGATGAATGGGAAAGAAATCAGAATGGGGGTATTTTGATTAAATTATTTAGAATGGCAATTACAAAAATAAGTACGTGTTTTAAATGTTTTCATTTATTGTTATGATTTGCATTTAAATAATTATTTTTGGAAATAATTTTCAAGAAAAAATATATGTATATATACATAAAGTATCAGAAAATAGTAATTAGCTGCAAAATTTAAGCTTACAGGGATGAGTAAATATATTTTTACAGTCTGAAAAGCAACTATTTACAAGTGAATAGTTTATAGCAACTATTTACAAGTGAGTGTACTGAGAGTTATTACTAAAGATAACTTGAAATGTAAAATCTGGCTTTAAAAGTATATTTTAAATGACAGTATAATGTTACACAAATCAGATGGGTAAATAGCAAACTAGGATTATACACTTGAGATATGCTAATATACAGAGTTTCATCTGTTATTAACATTTTTATTAAGACAAGAAGTATTAGATACCTTCTAAACAACGAATGTATCACTGATTTAAAAAAATAACCACTTAGTCACTGAGCAGCTATCATAACCTTCAAAGGAGAAGATTTAAGGCAACACAAACAAAAATATGCTAGCTTAACCTTGCATGTAAATCTTCTGAGAGTCTGCTCTAGACAGAGGTTTCAATTCTGCACCGCCTAATGCGTGTGACCCACAGAATTCCCAGCTGGATTTAGCTTGTCTGCACTGCACTTTTAAAACAAGCTAGAAAAAGGCAAACTCCCTGTTCTTCTGGTGCCATATGTGTATATTTTGGCTATTTCAGGGTATAGGGTAATGGAAAAAAAGCACCCTTTGTTTCATTTTTCATCATAATGAGGCTCCCCATTTGACATGTATGACAATTCTACCAGATAAGACAAGACCAATACAACACAGGGCAGAAACATGAAGAAAAGAATATTTTCTAAGGTCTTCTTGGGCACTACATAGTTGTTTTATGATATTTTAAAATTTATTTTTAACTGATCATGCCCAAAGCCAAACTTTGTTACAAGAGACATCTATAAATATTTACTAATCAACGAATGTTACAACAGACAAGGAACGCAATAGCATGAATGTATTACAACACAGGGTACATGGGCAGATGTTTATGGGAAAATGACTAACCCGTTCATAAATTATCACTGTTTACATTTCAAAGCCCAAGCCAGCTGCTTTGTAATGACAGATTATATCTTCAGTATTGATCACTGACAGCTATAAAAAGTCAGGCTGTTTGGCTTTCACAGGTACGAGTGGTGAACAGAAGATGAAATACCTTATCTCATTCATTTTTCTTAGCAAGGACTCAATTCTATTCAAATTAAAGATACTGCTTCATAACATACTTGTAACTAAAAAATATAGGGTGGATAATTTCTTTTTTTAATTGTTCAGAAATCAAGAATATAATTTAAACAAAATAAGTATGTATTAGTACATGGGAAAAAAGATAAAAAGAAACAAAACAGGCAATATAAGAAAAGCTTAAAAAATTAAGTAAAAGAAAACATCAAGACCTACAAAAATGCAAAAACATGAACAAGACTACACAAGTAAAATAAAATCTATGAGTTCTGACAACCAATCTAAACTTCAGTAAAAAACACAATACTTCCTTTCTGGGTTAAAAAAATGTAATCGCTAGAGAATAATCTAAACTAGTATTATAGAAAGATGAACAAATAAATATACAAATATAAAGAGCAGGAGTGACAAAATGAACTTAACCCAAAGAATGCAAGGGAAAAAATATAAAATTAGGCAAAATTATTGCTTTACACGGACAAAGATTTGACCTACAAGGAAGTCATGAGTTATTAACCTTTTTGCTTTCAATAAGTTACCAAAATATGTCGAGTTATAATTAGTAGAAGTGAATCATTGATGAATATATTGTTGGAGAGTCTTATAACACCTCCATTAGCCTAATCCCAGCTCCACACTTAGGAACTGTGTGACCCGCAAAGGTTATTAGAACACTGTTGCCAAGGAACTAGGAGAGAAGAGTCTGCTAGGACAAGGCACCAGCAGAGAACAGCCACTGCTGGAGAAACACAGGTACCCAAGCTAAGTTTCCAGGTCAAAGCAGGGACCAGATGAAGTCAGGAAGATCAGTCTGTAAAAGATACGAGCATTTCTGAAGCCTTTAAATAGCTGAATACATTGTATAGCGTTACTTCCTCACCTGACCCAGGTTAACCTCTTTTTATGTCAGTCCCCATTTTTCCCTTCCAATTTCTAACATTCATATTCCATTTTGAATAATTAAAAAGTTTTTTAAAAAATTAGTAACTCATGGAACTTGAGTTTGTGGATAGAGAAGGAAAACAATAACTAAGTCTGAACCAATAGTGGGCCTTGCCCTCTTCTCCTTGAACCTAGGTTTTAATGACAAAAATGAAGCTATTTTGGTCCACAAAGCAATCAAGGGTCCCTTTAGCCATCTCTGTGTCCCTTCACTAATTAATTCACCACCTAGACTTCAGCTGAAAAGACCTGCCCTACTCCAGCTATTTAGTTTAGCTCTATGTTCCTTCATTACTTGCTCATCATATGGGGGTTTGTCCCTTATTTCCTCACCCCTCTGAACAACATGCTTCTTTAACAGCTGGTCCTGAGGGTCAATAGGGTGTTTTAGTGTTCTCATTTGGTCTTTCAATAAGATGCCATTTCTTCTTGACTCTTGTATGTTCTAGTGCCTTGCTATTCAAGGTGTGGCCTGTGGGCCAGCAGCATGGGCACCCTCTGAGAGCCTGTTAGACATACAAGATCTCTGGCCAGTCATGGTGGTTCACGCCTGTAATCCCAGAGCTTTGGGAGGCCGAAGCAGGTGGATTGCCTTGAGTTGAGGAGTTCAAGATCAGACTGGGCAACAAAGCAAGACCCCGTCTCCACAAAAAAATTAAAAAATTAGCTAGGTGTGGTGGCATGCACCTGTAGTCCCAGCTACCTGGGAGGTTGAGGTGGGATGATCATCTGATCCACGGAGTTTGAGGATCCAGTGAGCTGTGATCATGCCACTGAACCTCAGCCTGGATGACAGAGTGAGACCTTGTTTCAAATAAAAGAAGAAAAAAGAAGATGAAATGTAGGATCTCAGGTCCCTGCCCTAGGCACTCTTCCCTCCTAAATCAGAATTTGCATTTTAGTAAGTTCCCTTGGCAATTCATATGCAAGTTAAGGTCTGAAAAGTACTACCTAATGAAGTTTCACACTAACACTGCTGGATGCTTCATTTAAAATCAATCAAGTGGCCGGCGCAGTGGCTCACGCCTGTAATCCCAGCACTTTGGGAGGCTGAGGCGGGCGGATCACAAGATCAGGAGATCGAGACCATCCTGGCTAACACGGTGAAACCTCATCTCTACTAAAAATACAAAAAATTAGCCGGGCGTGGTAGCAGGCAACTGTAGTCCCAGCTACTCAGGAGGCCGAGGCAGGAGAATGGCGTCAACCCGGGAGGCGGAGCTTGCAGTGAGCTGAGATCAGACCACTGCACTCCAGCCTGGGCAACAGAGCAAGATTCTGTCTAAAAAAAAAAAAAAAAAATCAATCAAGCAAACTATAGTCAAAAATAGAAAATGCTGCATACTTTAACTATCTCCACTACCTCCTGTGTTCACAATGCACATTGGCTTAATAAGGCTCTGAGAAAACTTGTAGTAAGTAAACCAATTTTTTTTTTTTTTACTTCACTATTTTCCAAACTTATATATCCACGGGTCCCCTGGCACATAATAACTATTAACATCCTTCAGGATTTATGATCTATGGAACACATTTTGAGAAACACTGGTGTAATGGACATATTTGATGAAAGGAAGCAAATGACTAATTAGACACTTCTTTGCATTGCAGTTTCTTCATCGATGCAATAGAGGTAAAATAGGACCTATCCATCTCAAAGCGTAGCTTTGAGAAGAAAAGGAAGTGGATGTCAAAACCTTTTGAAAATGCAAGTGTTTGGGATACTTTCATTCATTTATTTTTTCACTTAACAAATACTTATGAGTGCTTACTCTGTCCCAGGCCTGTGCCATGTGTGGGGGCTACAGCAGTGAGAAAAGCTCCTGCTTTCACGGAGCCAAAAATCAATCCGAGTGAATTAAGGATTCAGATTTATAGACCACAAATGTAGGCAGTGATTCCCAAGAGGTAAAACATTGCTAAGAGTCCCATCAGTGTTATTTTAATTCAAAATGATTTATTTAACTAGAAGAAGGCCTTCTCAAAACCATAAGGGAGCAGGAGTACCTACTGAGTAATAATAATGTTAAGATTTATACAGAACTTACGGATGTCATCTAACCAACGGTGTGCTGGCAAGCTAGCCCCTGTTGTATAGTATTTGCAAATATCTGTAGTGTAAATATTCTCACCATGGCCAATTAATTTCAAACTACCAATATGATGTCACTGGATGTGAGGATGGGAAGATTGGCAGAATCAGAAAAAAGGTGTACTATTGGTCATTGTGAGCCAGTACAAACCAACTGCAGTACATCATGGCATGGACCATTCTAAACATTTCACATAAAATAAATCATAACTACCCTATAAGAGAGTAACTAGCATCTTCCCTATTTTATAGATGAGGAAATTGAAGCTCAAAAAGATTACATAACTCTTCCAAACCAAGCAACTAGGAAAGGAGGTGATATGGTTTGGCTGTGTCCCCACCCACATCTCATCTTGAATCCCCACATGTTGTGGGTGGAAGGGACCCAGTGGGAGATAGTTGAATCATGGGGGCAGTTTTCCACATACTGTTCTCATGGTAGTGAATAAGTCTCACAAGATCTGATGGTTTCATAAGGGGAAATCCATTTTGCTTGGCTCTCATACTTTCTGTCTGCTGCCATCCACGTAAGATGTGACTTGCTCCTTCTTGCCTTCCACCATGATTGTGAGGCTTCCCCAGTGAAGTGGAACTGTAAGTCCAATTAAAACCCTTTATTTTGTAAATTACCCAGTCTTGGGTATGGCTTCATCAACAGCATGAAAACAGACTAATACAGGAGGCTAGCATTTGAACTTAGAGACATATGACTCTAGAGACCTATCCTCAAACACTATGGCCCAGTACTTACTAAGCTTGCCACTGGCAAGCTGTGAGGTAATCCCAAAGGTTAGTGTCAGCCAAATCCACCTCATTCACTTATTCATTCAATAAGCAACCAAGAATACTCAAGGATAGTGAATATGCTTTGGATGAGATGCTTACAATTGCTTCACTGGGGTGAAAATATTCTATTTGGACAGTAAAATAAACTCAGTATTTGGATTTGGCTCACACACTTCTCTGTGACAGAGCTTCATTTTCATAGGACAGCCACAACAAAATTCCCTTATTTTGGCATTCCAGAGAAACTGACATTTGGCCACACTGCTAAAATTGATAGACTGAGAAATTATGACAGAAGTTCAGATGGGTACATGGATATGTGTATGTAGTTTCTGCTGTCTGAATGGTGTGAAAATTGCCCTAGATTAAGCTAAGGTTATTCTAGTCAGCCTTTAATTGGCTAAGATTGTATATTGGTTTGCTAAGGCTAGAAAATAAATAACAGACATTTATTGTCTCAGAGTTCTAGAGGCTTGCCAAGATGTCAGCAGGCTTGATTCCTTCTCAGAGCTGTGAGAGAGAATCTGCTCCAAACCTCGTTCCTAGCTTCTTGTGATTTGCTGGCGATCTTTGCCGTTTCTTTGTTTATAGAGGAATCACCTGGATCCATGCCTTCATCTACACAGCATTCTGTGTGTGTGTGTTTGTGTGTGTGTGTGTGTGTCCCTGTGCGTGTGTCTGCCTTTGTACCCCAATTTCCCCTTTTTATAAGAAGAGCAGTCATATTGGATTAGAGACCACTTTAATGACCTCATCTTAACTGTTAATAATTACATCTGCAATGACCCTATTTCCAAGTAAAGTCACATTCTGAAGTACCTTGGGTTAATGCTTCAACCTAAGAATTTTGGGGGAAGGAGGGGAATGCAATAAAAGATCTGTCTCCAAAAGCAAAACTCAAAATAACTATGCTTTAAAAAATAATACAAACAAAAAGTTTATTTATCTCTATAAACAAAGTCTAAAAGTGAGTCCTACTAGACTAATAGGCTAATACGGCAACTCTGTTCCACATAATCCTATCACCCTACTATCCAGGCAAGTAGTCCTTGTCCTCAGGATTCAAAATGCAAGCATCCATGTTCCAGGCTGTGGATTAAAGGAAGGGACAGGAAAAAGAGGTACACCAGCTGTCTCTTAAAGAAGGCTCCTGCAATCTACACATCATCATTTACTTATATGCCATTACCTGAATTTAATAAAGTGGCCACATTTTTCTTTAAGAGACACTGGGAAATATCATTCTAATTCCATGCAGGTGTGTGCCCAGATAAACATTCTGTTATTTAGAGAAATGGGCCAATAGATGTTGGCAGTCAACCAACAATCTCTACCACAGAGAATAAGAAAAAATACAAAATTACACTACCTGTGTATAGAGGGCCAGCTCTAAAGGGGGAGGCCATTTCTGATGTCAGTGACCTCACCTAACAGGGAATGTTTGAGTCTTAGAGCAGAAGCATTTCCTGGGAGAGTGGGCTTTAGCTAAAAGACAGAGAGGACTTGGCCCAATCTGGTCTCTGAAAGGCACAACTGTCCACAATGGCTTGCAAGAAGTGAACTGTTAAATAGAAAGAGCAGTCTTAAAGAAGTAGAGTAGAAACTAGTTAATGACATATTTTAGGTAAGGTCTTATTTTTCTTTCTGGAAATCCATGGGGAATGGGATCACATTTGAAACTTCATAGAGAGCAAGCACGTTTTTAAAATAAGCCAAATATTCGGTTTTATGGCACTCTGTATGTTTATTTCTCTCTTTCCTCACTAATTTCCTATAGCTTCTTTTTGAATCTGTTATTCCTTTTCAGCTGTGTGATAGTTATCGAGTCAAGGGATTTTGCTCATGCTTAGTTAAAAATATTTAAATGATGAAACAGAGCCCATCAAGGCCAGCATCATAGGGATAGTGGTAATTATTATACTCTAATTGCAGATTTGATACTGCATGGTCCATTACCCCCTTCTTTCCTCCTAGTAGAACCTCCTGTAGAGTGAACTTTGGAAGTTTGAAGTGTGTGTGGGTGTTTTATTAAAGAGGGCCACTTTACCTGACTGTGAGCTAATGGCTTCCAAAGTCTACTGCACACACATTCATTCCCAGAGCTCTCTCTCCATTTCACCTCTGACCCTCTGCTCAATTCAGTAGCTGCTGGTCCATGGCTACCACCACATTTAATCAAAAGGGGCTAGTTAGTAGCTTTCTCCCTGCCCTGATAACCTCAGAATTAACTCTTAAAAGAAAAAGAAAGAAAGATACATGGAAACTTGCACAATTTCCAAAAATGTAACAATCAGCCCTTGCGCTGGTATAGAAAGGGCCAGCATGCCAATGATAGCTGAACTAATAGATAACATTACAAAAAGATTTACTCCAGATTCTAGGAGTTGCATCAAAATCCAGTCTGAAGTGGAACTTTCTGCTCAGAAACTGATGCATCTAGTCCTATGAAATTCTGCTGTCTGAAGGAAAAGACCATGGACAGAGTGCTGGCACCAGTGATGGCAGTCCAGGAAAGATGAGCAAAGTATGAGTTGAGAGCCTGAACCACAGGTTGTGCCTGGCTGGGCAGGAAACACATGAGTTTTCAGAATACAGACATCACATCATAAGACTAGATGTGTAAGAGGCAGAGTTTGTTTGCCTGACTTTAATCTGACTACATAGAGCTGGACAAGGAATTTACAAAAACAAAATAATATGAAAAAATCCATCCATCAGTTTAACACTAGATGGCACTGAATGATAATAATTTGGAAATAGGCCTTCAGTGTCATTAATAATGGCATTATGGATGTACTTGGGCTGCCCTGAGTCTTGATAGATAAAAAATATCACCAAGTCTACCCTTGCCTCTTTTCACTGTTTTAGCTATAATCCAAACAAAATACAAAAGTTATTATACTCAATTTACCTAGTTTTCATGCTGTTACTTCTTTGTGTTGTGATCTTTCATGTGTCTGTATATCTATTTGTAGGCTCTTTGAACACAGAGACAGCAGTTAATCCTTTTATTTGTTATTTTATCTACTTATTTTGTTGTTGGTATCCTCAATTCCTAGTCACATGAAGGGCTCTTAATACTGAAACATTTTTTCTTTAAAAAACTTTTTTTAAATTTTAATAGCTTTTGAGGTACAAGTGGTTTTTGGTTCCATGAATAATTATAGTAGTGAATTCTGAGATTTTAGCACACGCTTCACCCGACTAGTGTACATTGTACCCAATATGTAGATTTTATTCCACTACCCCTTCTTATCCTCCCCCTTCCGAGTCTCTAAAGTTCATTATACCACTCTGCACGTCTTTGCATACTCATAGCTTAACTTCCACTTATAAGTGAGAACACACAATATTTGGTTTTTCATTCCTGAGTTACTTCACTTAGAACAATGGCCTCCAGCTCCACTCAAGTTGCTGCAGAAGACATTATTCCGTTTTTTTTATGGCTGAGTAGTATTCCGTGGTGTATATATACCACATTTTCTTTATCCACTCATTGGTCGATGGGCACTTAGTTTAGTTTCATATCTTTGCAATTGTGAATTGGGCTGCAATAAGCATACGGGTGCATGTGTCTTTACCATATAATGATTTATTTTCCTTTGGGTAGATACCCAGTAGTGGGATTGTTGGATTGAATGGGCAGTTCTACTCTTAGTTCTTTAAGGAATCTCCATACTGTTTTCCATAAAGGTTGTACTAATCTACATTCCCAACAGCAGTGTAAAAGCATTCTCCTTTCACAACATCCATGCCAACACTTACTGTTTTTTGACTTTTTAATAATGATTATCCTTGAGAGAGTAAGGTGGTATCTCACTGTGGTTTTAACTTGCATTTCCCTGGCGATGAGTGATGTTCAGCATTTTTTCATATGTTTGCTGGCAATTTATATATCTTCTGTTGAGAAATGTCTATTTATGTCATTTGTCCACTTTTCGATGGGATTATTATTATTATTGCCAATTTGTTTGAGTTCTTTGTAGAATCTGGATATGAGTCCTTTGTTGAAACTTTCAAATATATATTTTATTAGTTGTTTGCCATAAATGAAACAAGCATGTTGCATTTGCTTTCTACATGTATGTCTTATTCACTAAAACTGTATATTAAGTCTCATTAACTGTATAGTTAGCCTTATCCACTAAAACTGTATTGCTAGGGGAAAAGAATGTGGTATGTTTTTATATCTTCAGGTAGCAGAGATTTAGAATCCTGGGAGATCAGAGCTGAAAAGGAACTTTATTAATCACGAGGTCCAACTCCATTCCTTTCCAGATGAAGTAACTGAGGTTCAGAGAGATTTAGCAACTTGCCTGAGGTCACACAGCCCGTAAGTGACAGGGTTGGGAATAGAACCAAGGTATTTTGGCCTGCAGGCCATGTGTCATTATTTCTTAAGCTGCCAGGCCCAAGGTGCAGAATGGAAGAAATAGGTCTCTCCAGGCTGGGATATGGAGCTGGGGGACCATCCTGCCTCGGGTCATTTCCTCTCTCATGACTGCTTTCGGTAGCTTTGAAGCCCAGTGAGATAGGACAACGGTCTCGCGCAGGCTCTCTGCACACCGCAGTTACAGGCAGAGCAGTCTGACCAGGGACACGAAAGACGTGTTTTCTTTGAGCCACTGAAAAAACTGCCCTCCACAGGGTTGAGGGAGGTCCCTGGAGATTGCTACCTGCAGGAAGAAAGGAGTGTCGCCAGTCCTACACTGAAAGGGGGAGGGCAGTTCCAAACTGCACCTCTGAAGCTGCGCACGCCCCCGCTGGTCACTGGTGGCTGGGGAGGTGGATGCGCCACTGACCCAGGAGAGGGCGCCGAGAAACGAGCGTCCTGGCCCGCGCTTCGGTGCTGCTCGCCACCTGCCGGGGCCCCCTCGTGACACGGACACAGCTCTCCTTCCCAGAGCCCAAAGTCACCCCACCTGAGAGTGGCACAGGAACGGGGGCTCCCCAGTTCTCCGCGGAGCAGGAATCCCCGGAGTCCGGACCTCTCTGACTCCTGGAGACGACCTGCAAGCCTTGAGAGTTCGCTCGACAAGCGCGAGGGCAGTGACTTGAGGTTCGCTCATACTGGGGAGTTCGGCGCGCTGTGGGGAGCTGGCACCTGCACCAGGGACCTGACTGCGTCAGCGCTGCTCTGCTTCCCCTTCCCCAGCTCGGCCCCGGGTCACACAAATATAGACGCTTGCTCTTTGAAACTGTGGAGTCACGCTGGTCTGCTGCTCAAAATAAGAAAAAGAAAACCGAAAACCAAGCAAAAATCTTTCCTAAGCTTAAGAAGTCTGGAGGATTTAAGGGTCTTTGTAGGAACTCCTTTTGATCTCACGTTATGCGCGTAATAGCCAATCAGTATTTATGGGGTATATGCTGGGTGTCAGGAAGGCACTGGAATTACCATGGCGAATAAGGCAGCATGGTTTCTTCCCTTATGGAGCTTAAAGTTTAGAAGAAAAGATAGACTTGGGGAGTCGGTGGGGAGAGGTGCGGGGGGGGATGTCGGGATGGTTTCACAATCAAATACCGTACTTAGAGTGAAAATGGGGTAGTGTACTGGAGCCCACTGGCACAGGCTCCCCAGAGGCAACTGTGAAATTTTCAGGAATTTTGCCAGCCGGTTGTTGCAAACAAACAACCGTACTTAAAATCAGGTAAGGTGATTATACTTAGATCACTGAAATCAGCAAATGTCACAAACCTGGTCTTCCCCCAGAGCCCCTGTTGTTAACCCTTTACAGACTACCATTGGAGATAAGGGTCTGTAACCCGTGGCACGTTGCTGCCAAACTGGATGCAGTGAGTATACCCAACTACCAGCTGGGTTGGAGGGGAAGGGAAGGGAGCAACGACGTTTGGCACTAGTGTAGTACAGCCACCTAGACTGGAGCTGCTTCCTCCTCACCACTGGTTATCCGATGCTGGAGAGATTACTTCCTAGGCTACCTATGCCAATCAGGTGACCAGGTAGTGGTGGTGGGCGCCCACATGTGGCACAGTGTCTCTCTCGAGCAGAAACATTTAGACTGCAGTGATCTGATCGTTCAAGCAAACTCCCCAATGCACTTTCCCAAACTCTTGACATAACCCTTCTCCGTCAGGATTCTGCCTGATCTGTATACTTCCTACCCTATCACTAACTTCACATTTTCTTTAAATTGACTTGCTTTATCCACACAAATGTTATTTTAAAGAATACTTAAAACCCTAACACTGATAAAGATCAATGTTGTTTGTAATAAATGTAAAGTGATTCTAAAAATAAATACAGTGAAAACAAAACAATGCTATTAATTTCCAGCTCTGAGCTCCAGGTCTGCTCAAAGATTCAACATTAATAGGTGTATAAATATACTGTCGCCACCTGGCAACATTGCTCTTGAGGTCATCAGAATAATTAAAATCAAATTTGAAAGGAAACACGGCTAGGCTCGGTGGCTCACACCTGTAACCCCAGCACTTTGGGAGGCCAAGGTGGGCAGATCATCTGAGGTCAGGAGTTCAAGACCAGCCTGACCAACATGGCCAAACCCCATCTCTACTAAAAATGCAAAAATTAGCCGGGCGTGGTAGCGGGTACTTGTAATTCCAGCTACTCTTGAGGCTGAGGCAGGAGAATCGCTTGAACCTGGGAGGCGTAGGTTGCAGTGACCTGAGATTGTGCCACTGCACTCCAGCCTGGGTGACAGAGCTAGACTCTGTCTCAAAAAAAAAAAAAAAAAAAATTAAAAGGAAGCAAATTCATCAATGTGTGATTTGACATTTAATATCTTATCTGAATACCACTTAAATTACCTTGTTATAATGGGAATGATAATAACAATCAGCATCATCATCATCCTGACACTTACCGAACACTTAGTATTCATGTGCCAGGCACTGTGTTTTCTGTAGTAACTGGATATTATTGGAGCTCTCCTTTGTTCGGACTCTGCCAGTTCTGTTGCAATTCTGCTTTCACCTTTTCTACACGTGATGCTTCAACTGATTTTATTTCTACAGAACTTGAGGGCAAACACAATTCATCACTGTGATAGTTATCTTCCAGTGAGCATAGGATTAATCCTCCTAATTAACTAATAGACATTATTTTAAAACACATCTTCATCCTATTACTATTATAAGTGCAACAAAAAATTGTATTTTGCCAGAAATAAAAATTAAAAAAAATTAGCTTTCTTGGCTGACTGGTTTATTCATTCAACAAATATTTACTGAGTGTCTATTATCAGGAGAAGGACATGGGCATAGAGGATGAACTTCCCTGATTAATGGCCCAGGCAGAGGCCTTGAAGTCCTCGTCTCATGAGTGCATGGCCACAGTAAATTATCCTATTGATATCATTAGTTATCTGAAAGAGAGTTTGCATAAGAGCAGAAGGAGCACAAGGTGCTGAAGTTCATGATTGAGAGACTAGACTTCCAAAAGGAGAAGATAAATAAAAACAAGTCCATTTTCTTCTTGTTCAGTATCTGATAGCCCAGAGAAAGGCAAAAATCTTTGAGTGGCTTATTGGACAGACAGAATGTATTCAAAATCTGTATGCAGTGGCCTTGCTCTGCCTTCTTGTGCAGACCGAGGCGGTTACAGGTAGGAGCTGGTCTGAGGACATGGCAGGCCTAGCCTCTCTCAGTGGCAGAAAGGAAGAACTGGTAGTGAGGATCATAATAAACAATGACCCCAAGGCTGCCCCAGACCAGACCCAGGGCCCATTTGGGACCACAAGTGCTATCAGTAAATGAATTGACTAAAATAACGACGTCTTCATCCACTTTTATTTTTTTCGCTTTTCCAATTCAATTCTTCTAGTCTTTTCCTGACAGATGGCCATCCAGTCACATTTACATGCAAAGTCTTAGAAAGATGCTCCAAATTAGTTGCAGTGAGCCGAGATCACGCCACACCATTGCATCCCAGCAGCCTGGGCGACAGAGTGAGATTCTGTCTTAAAAAAAAAAAAAAAAGAAAGAAAGATGCTCCAAATTTTAACCTTACACCTGCTTCCTATAAATCCTGCTCTAGCTGGCCTCATAGGTTAGTGAAAATTTTTCTTTAGCTTTAGAAATTAAAATTGTATTAGTGTTTCCTATTATTTTATTCTTTCTCTCTTCTCTATATACATGCTAATTTCCCCAAATATTATTTAATGAAATATTCTATCTAGACCTCTCCACACCTTTATTGCCTTCTTATAGTTACAATCCCACCTATTAGTGTGTCCTTTAAAAGGCTCAGATGCAGCGATGCAGTAGCTTTATGTCTATTCTCTAAATATACCTAGAGAGGAGAGTGGGCAGTAATGTGCCTCATTATTGTGAGTGTCAGAATAAAGACATTCAAATAAATATAAGTGAGAATATAATATCCAGGAAAACCAACAATTTATTGGAGAGGAACTCAAGGTAGGATGGAGCTGGGAAAATCTTTGTGCCATCTCTGGACAGAAGCCAACATTTTTCTTCTTTAGGGCATTTTATTTTTCTGTTGAACCTCTGTTCTATTTCATAACGGCAATTTTAATATGGAGTGTATTGTCATTTTCATTTAGTTAGGAGATGTCAAATTTGATAATATGCCTATTATAGTATTTGATTACGTGGCAAATGATAAACTAAAAGCAATTTTATTTTTTCTTAATTCTAACCCTGAAAACCACTCTGTGGACTTTTTCTATTCTAGCCTTTTTTAGAGAATAAAAAGTTCAGTATGAGAACTAAAGATTCTCACCAACTTTGAAGTTTCCCCTTTCCTAGCCTGGTTTGCCTCCAGCTTAGAAGCCTGCAGTATAGAGGGGATAAGTTATAATTTGCCCCTTTTCTCTTTCCCCACCAATCCCTCCTTCCACACTCAGTGTGCTGCCCCTGGCTCCTCCAGGAGGGGAAAGGAGAAGTCTTACTTGAGCAGGACAGCTCTAATCTAACATGGATACCGCTTGGGTATGAGAGATATTTAAAGCTGGCTCTCTTGGGAGACAGTTTTGTGAAGGCATTTGGAGATTACAGTCCCCTGGTATGGGCTATGTCTCCTCTGCTGGTCCCTTGCAACTCCCCACGCTTACCTTTTATATCCAATATTGTATATCTAGGCTTTAGGAGCTTAGGCTGCTTCATCCCTAGCTGAAAGTCCTTTGGGAGGGCTCTTTACAAGATAGGGACTGGCTGCTTCCCTCCTGTATGGTCTAAACGTGGCCTATAGAAGTGTATACCCTTGCCCATCACTGGGGGAGAGGCCGCTTGCTTCCTAATCTGCCCTCCATAACTTCAGAAGTATAATTTAAAGTGGCGGTACTCAATCAAAGCCTGTACACTGTACAAGAGTTAAAACTGAACCAGAAGAGAAACAGAAACTGTGAAGGGTCATCACTTAACTGTTCTCTAGAATTTTCAGAAGAACTGGCCTATTTATTGCTTGTCACTGTGCATGCACTTATTCATAGAAGTAGTTACAAGATTATAAGATACTCTCACAATGTGTGATGTCCCTTCATGCCAGGTCAATTCTCACTAAGGGACCTTTGCTAATTCTTAAAGTACCTCCTTACTTGGCATTTCCGGAAGACCACTCAGCATCACATCTGAAAGTAGCAAGATTAGTCAGCATCATGTATGAACCCAGAAGATTAGTCAGAAGCAAAAAAAAAAAAAAAAAAAGCATTTCTTGGGCACTTGTTTCGAAAGCAAAGGGTCTAACCACCAATCACAGTTGCATTCTGAAAGACATTGTAGTAAAAAGTAGGGCGCAAAGTCACTTCTAGCTAGCCAGTCAGCAATGCGGGGGCCCCTAAGCGTGCTAATTATGGTGAGGTTACAAAGGAGCTGCAAGGCTCAGCCTCATTAGTCAAGTTGCTCACACTTCAGCTGGGGAGGTGACATTTCTTTCAATTTAACTAAACTTAAGAGGTTCAGTGAAATAAATTGTATTTCATAAACTTTGGGGGGCTCAGAGAATTGTCCTCATTCTTTATTTTAAAAATCTATTCATTATGAACTTCACACTTAGTTCAGATGTCACTGGGTAATCAATAGACAGTGAATGGTAGAAGAAAATGGATCTGGCAATGTCATATAGTAGTAGTTGCACAATGTGATATATAAGGAAAGGTATTACATTATAGTGGAAAGAAATCACAATGAATGCTGCTGAAATCATAGGATTGATTTTGGGGCCTTTTTTTTTTGAGACAGGGTGTTGCTCTGTCACACAGGCTGGAGTGCAATGGTACAATCAGGGCTCACTGCAGCCTTGACCTCCTGGGATCAAGTTATCCTCCTGCCTCAGCCTCACAAACAGCGGGGACCACAGGTGTGCACCACCATGCCCAGCTAACTTTTTTATTATTTGTAGAAATGGGGTCTCACTCTGTTGCTCAGGCTGGTCTCGAACTCCTGGGCTCAAGCCATCCTCCCACCTCAGACTACCAAAGTGCTGGGGTTACAGGTATGCACCATCATGCCCAGCCTGATGGATTTGGGGAGAAATATGTAATGGAGCAATGAAACATAAACATGATGAAGGAGTTGGGCAGAGCTAAACTCCATAGAAGCTGGGGTAAACACAACTTGTTCCACAAACAGAGATGGTTCTTATAACTTTGGCTCTCGTGGGAGCAGATGGCTTATGTCTGATTCCAGTCTGTGGTAGCAAGCCTCTCCTTTATGTTGAGCAAATGGGAAATTGCAGCCAAGGCAGGCACTGTTAAGACCCAGCAATCTGCTGTACATCAAACTGCACACTATAGATGGCAATGCTTCCTGAATTTACGGATTAATACTTCAGAGCTTTAAACAGTAAATAGCTAGATCTGTTGATCTCAACATGGTGTACTTGGAAATTAAGACAAAATGAAGGAAATAATTTACTGTTACAGTAAAGGCTCTGAGTATAATGTTTATCATGTAACATTCCTTTCCTTAGAAAATGTGGGAAACTATGTTGTGGGAGCTTATAAAATAACAGAAAATGTTTGTTCTGTGAGGAAAAGCTAAGTGCACTCTTTCCTTTCCACCATGTATCACTGGGTGCAATTATGTGTCAAGTGGGTCAATAACTGAATTGAAAGTAAGAATCTTCCCTAAGGTTTCCCATGCATGTGTTTTTTCAGAGATTCATTTTTGTTTGTCCAAAATGAAGAATTTGTCTTTATTCAGAAATGTGATCATCAAACACTTGCCCTGAACCTGTGCTCTGAGTCTTCCTTGGGGGAAGCCGTCAACCTCCTTGTTAGAGAATCCTTTGGGAGGCAAAAGATAGAAGCGATCCCAAAGAGGTCCTGGGATTTGCTCAGGGATGAGCAAATAGGAAGTGACCAGGACAGCACTGGCACCCTGGGCTTCTGAACCTAGACTCAGCGTTATGTCTAGTCCAGCCACGTAAAACATTGACGGTCCCTGACTTCTGTACAGACCTACTCATAGACCCACATCAATCTCAGATATTCTCTCCTATACATCTAATAACTGAAACCATTTGCATGTGTAAACCAAGCCTACAGATATTTAATGTAAAGGAAAAAATGAAAGACCATTCACACGTATGCATTTTTCTGGAAGCCTCAGTGAGGTGGCCCAAGTTCTCCAAATGCATTATTTCAATGTAGCCTAATATAAATTTAGTTCTTAGTATTTGAGTGCTCGCACAAAGAAAATATGTTGCTTGTCATTGAAGCACAAACAAAATAAGATTAACTAAAGCATAACTTTTAAAACCCCTGCAGCTCCTCCTATAATTGCATTTAGCATGTCTGCTTACTATCAGTATAACTTTAGGCTACTTAACCTTCATGACACCGTACTATGGTTTAAATGATAATGTCCTCTCCAAAATTCATGTTGAAACTTAATGACCAATGCAACAGTGTTAAAAGTTGTGGCCTATGGGAGGTAGTAAAGTCATGAGGACTCCAGGCTTATGAATGGGATTAGCACCCTTATAAAAGGTTGAAGGGAGCACGTTCTTGCTTTTCTGCCTTCCACCATGTGAGAACACAGAAACAGGCACCATCTTGGAAGCAGAGAACAGCCCTCACCAGACACCAATGCTAGCACAGAGATCTTGGACTTTCCACCCTCCAGAACTGTAAAAAATAAATTTCTCTTTTCTAAATTACTCAGTTTCAGGTGGTTTGCTATAGCAGCACAAATGAACTAAGACAATGCAGTCACCTCTTCTATGACAAGAAAATCAGATTCATTCCTTGTTGGGCATGTAGAACCCTGCATTCCATCCTTAGAAAATCAAGAGTCACACGTGTGGCCAGGAACTTGTATTTTTGGAAGACTTCTCACATGATTTAAATGCACAGACAGACATAAGAACCACTGATTACAATAACTCCAAGAAACAAAAACTATTATAAATGGGAAATAAAAGGCATATTTGTATTTGACGTTAGTTAACCCAAACCAGGCATGGACCCGGGAGAATACTATTTTAATTCAATAAAGGTTTAAATTACTGAGTATAATTTTATAGACTGAAATGAAGAGGGGAGAAAAAGCAGCAAGCTCCTTGGCTGCTGAAGGAATTTTCTCAGCCAATTTTTGTAAAAGGGTTAAAGCAGTATTTGGTACCTAGTATTAAGTCAATTAAGTAAATACTTGATAAATATTAGCAATTATTTTTATTATTGAATAAAAATAGTATTGATTAATTTAGGACAATTGTAAATGATCTTTAAAGTGGGGAGTAAGCAGCTCTTTAAGTGAGCAAAATCCCTTTAGATATTACATGTAAGTATTAAAACACATTAAAATATTGATGTATATTAATAATGAAACTTCAGTATGTTAACTTCTTATATTTTCCCACCAAGCGATATTGGATAATCCTCTTCTTACTCTCACTGAATTTTTTCTTTTCAGAACAAATGTCAAAAATTATCTAGAAAAGGCATGTATTCTCATTCAAAGACACTTGAGCTGGAAAAACCCTTTAGATAATAGACTTCATCTTCGGGACAAATGTTAGAAGAGGATTTTGAAACATATTCTAATTAAACACATATATCTATAATAAAATCTTAACTTGTCCTGGCTGGCACATGTTTATGGTACACAATGTATCTGAAACATGCATGGTTTAAAGATGTAGAACATTTGGTTCTAATTACTTCCTTTCCCTAACTGACCATTTAATTTGCTTTTCAGGGAGTTCTTGGCCTTTCTTCATAAGCATTTGCACCTTGCAGGTGTCAGCACATCTCTTCCTTGCTCTTAGCTGGGACAGTGTGACACTTCTTAGCAGATATAAAATGACTATGTAACCTTGAGTAATGTCAGTCCTGTGCTGGGCCATTAATGCAAACCACTTCATGAACTGCTCAATTCTTTTAACTCTTTCTTTTCCCCAAGGTCTCCCTTAGTCAGTGAGTGCACCAGCCACTATTCAAACATGATTATAAATCGTGGTTGTTTGCTCACTGACCCTCTTACAACACCGAAAAAAAAAAAAAGAAAAGAAAAAAAGAAAAAGAAAAAAAGAAATTCAGCTCAGAGGGCTCAGCCCTAACTTAGACAGCACCTCTGCTGTTGATGAATCTTTATGGAAGCCTTATCTTATATTTTTAACAGCAAAGCTCAGGCTCTGTTTTACTGAAGCTGTTTATATATCTAATCAGAGTAGATCAGGAAATGTGGTTGACAGCACAGGGCTGCCTCAGAAACATAATATTTGCTGGCCAGCATTAAGGGGGCCTTTCAGCCTGGAGGCATGATCAATGAAGTGTGCCTGAGGCTCTGTTTAGATTAAGGGAAATAACACATTGGTGGCCACATTCATCCTGAGCAAATCGTTTTCCCTCACGTGGGCTGCGTGAAAAGCTTTCCAATAAAACCGATGACAGGATTAAACACAACCAACTCTTCACATGCCTTTCACGTGGCTGTTGGCCACAGGCTGGGAGAAACACGGACTCCAGCTTGACTAGAAGGAAGATGGCCCAGAAAGAAAGGGCAGCCTATGCTCTGCCCAATCGCTCACCAGCTGTTGGCCTTTGGCAAACATGTATCTCTCAGAGCCTCTGTTTCATCACTTTTAAAATAGCGGTGTGTTAGTCAGGGTTCTTCAGAGAAACAGAACCAAGAGGATATATGTATATATGTATACGCGTACACACACACACACATACATATAGAGGAGGGAAAGAGAAAGCTTTATTTTAAGAAAAATTGGAACATGCAATTTTGAGGTGTAGCAAGTCTGAAATCTGCAAGGCGGGCCTGCAGCCTGGAGACTCAGGGAAGAGCTGATGTTGCAAACACATGCTGGAGAAAGAATTCCTTCTTCCTCAGGAGGGGACCTCAGTCTTTTTCTCTTAAGGCCTTCAATTTATTGGATGAGGCTTACCCACATTATGGAGGGTAACATGCTTTACTCAAAGTCTATTAATTTAAATGTTAATCATATCTAAAACATACCTTCATAACAATGTCCAGATTGGTGTTTGACCAAAACTGGGTACCATGGATATGATACCCTAACCATTACAGGGGTTATAATAATACTTCACTCGAGAAGTTTGGGGAAAATTAAGCACTAATGTCTATAAAACATTTTGCATGGCACATGGCACCAAATAAAGACTCAGTAACTTCCCCTGTACTGTGAGATTTTAGGTGGATTTGACTAATGATTTAAGATTACATTCTAAAATATTGGAAAATACGAGTCACTATTGGGTATAATTGAGTGTTACTATTTGACAGCATCTGCTTCAGATTCTTTCGCAGACATATTGTGTTGAACCTCCACCAATAAGCTTCATGTGTCCCTGAAAATTGAGGGGCTACATATTTGTAGCAGGGGTGTATTTGTAGACTTAGAGAATTTTTAAAGGCTTACCTTCTGCTCTTGAGAAAAAATTAAAAATCTTTGTGAGTACAGTAAGCATTTCATGGATGTTTTCACACTGTGTGGCCCTAGCAATTTTGGAACATGGAGGAGTAAGGTAAGAGCTCATTTAACACTGTCTCATGAAGTGCCTGCCCCAGAGTTGGAAAAGGGAGCTTAAGAATGTGGCTTCCACGTATGTCTTTCTCTCCATGGCATGAAATATGGCTTCGAAGAAAATTTCGTTGTTTCCATTTCAAGGTCTTTTTGTGAGGGGAGAAACTGGGCAGTCACTGGTGGAATGCTACCTTTCCAAGATTTATTAGGAGTCTTGAAGGGCTCAGTAAACTAGGAAGGTAGCTTTTGTATCCTGCAGCACTCAAGACTGATTTAATTTCATGTCAGTTCTGGAACTGCAAGCACAATATGAGCTGCAACTTTATAAATTGCTCCTTAGAGCAGCTGACCTTGCAGGTGGGAGAGTCAAAAAGGGTGGAAAAGTAGAGGAAGCTGGAAGGTTGAGAATTGGTGCACCCAGCAGCTACATTTCACCAAAGCACATGGAGTTCTTATCTGTCCCCAATGTCACCCAAAACATCCCTTCTTTCCCTTGTGTTTGTTTCCTGCCTAAAATAGCAATTTCTTTTTCCCCAGAAGGGTGTCAAATGAGGTAGTGAAGGAGAAACTTGATTATGCTACCATCGTGTGAAGGGTTTTTTAAATTTTCAAAGATTATTTCACCAAAACTCTGCCCAAGAGAAACTCAGAATAAACTAAGTAAAGCCTAATTTATGTCTCCTCTCACAATAGAATTCCTGATAGAAATGTTAAAACAAACTGATGTCACTAAGAAAACAAAGTTAATACTCAGAAGCACTGAATTTTTACAGGAGCTAGAAAATGTGATGCGGTTTCATAGCATCTATTAAGGCATGTCTTAAAATGAGCAAGCAACAATGTTATTGGAAGGAAACCACAGACCATCAGGATAAATCTCCTCACAGCCTATTAGTTCCATTGCAATGGAGTGTTGTCTATGGGGTGGTGGAATCCTATTCTCTCTTGTCATTTAATATTATTCCAGACCAAGCATTTGTGGACAATGTTACCTTAGTGATAGGATTTCCATGTCTCAGAATGAATATATGCAATTAATTCTAAAAAAATAAATTTTTGAGGGGAAGAAATGTAATCAAAAATAAAATTAAATGTCAAAATAATAAATATATTAGCACAGGTTGTCAGTTGTGATTTTCAGATTTGATATACATCCTCTTAGTATTTTGCATTCATTACATCTAATTCATCAACTAATACTGATCTATAGCCACGTGATCTCAATATCCTGTGACAAAGATGCTCTTTGCACTTATCATATTTCAGATATTTAGACAGATGGCTGGGCTGTAATATTGTATGCTTATATTTGCCCTAGTTAATATTGGTCTCTACATTCTGCTATTTTGGGTGTTTTACCAATTAGAAAGTACAGAGAGGTAGAATCATAGCTACGCATTTACAAATTTCAAATCTACCAACATATACACCATTATAAAGAGAATACCTTGATGTATAGCTAATTGCTGATTTATACTCACATTCCACTCCCACCCCCCTACATTTCCCTAGAAGGCCAGGTAGAGGTTAATCTGTTCCAAATCTACACTACTCATGTGGTTTGTGCCCCTTGCTTCTCCCTGAAATAAAGGAATTATCCTTGTGTGTCATCTGTCATCTGAAATCAAACATAGAAGGCCCACAATAAATGCATTTATTGTTGTCCCAAACTTCAAAGCAGAAATGTGAGGTTCAGTCTTTCAGTCTGGCTCTAGTGTCATTCATCCAACAGGCATTTCCAACCCCTGTCTCAGCCTCATGCAATTATATCACAGTTAGGTAGAATTTAGACCTCTTGGGCATTTGAACAAACTTCTTACACCCAGGCTTTACATTTGCTTCACGATTAAAAGTGAGAGTGGCTATGGAGTGTATTCAACTACTGAAGAGATACTGTGAATTAGGAGTAGGAGGGAAGAATTAAAAATATGTATTTATCTAGCTCCAAAATAGTACCATCAATCCTGCTTGCACAAGATTGTGAATGCACTAAATGCCACTGCATTTTTCTCTTTAAAACAGTTACTTTTAGGCTACGCAAATTTCACAATTTTTTTAAATGTATTTATCCACAGAGTAGTTATTTTTATTTATTTATTTATTTATTTATTTATTTTTTTTGAGACAGAGTCTCGCTCAGTCGCCTAGGCCAGAGTGCAGTGGCACGATCTCAGCTCACTGCAAGCTCCGCCTCCTGGGTTCATGCCATTCTCCTGCCTCAGCCTCCCAAGTAGCTGGGACTACAGGCGCCCACCACCACGCCTGGCTAATTTTTTTTTTGTATTTTTAGTGGAGATGGGGTTTCACCGTGTTAGCCAGGATGGTCTCGATCTCCTGACCTTGTGATCCACCCACCTGTCTCGGCCTCCCAAAGTACTGGGATTACAGGCATGAGCCACCGCGCCCAGCCCCACAGAGTAGTTATTTAAGTGATCCAAATGTCTAGAAACAGCTCCTCTCTCCCTTCTTTCTTCTTTTTTTTTTTTTTTTTTTGGTTACTATTTTAAGCATCCAGGTATTGATCATATTGGCCAGGTTTGCCTTGGCCCTGCTGTGAGGTAGGTGAAGCATGTCTGATGGCCTCTTTGGTCCCATCTGTCCTCTCTTGTGCTCCATCAGGTTCCCAAACACCCCCAGTGTTACCTTGCTAGTTGGTACCTCCAGTCCCAGAGAACCGCACCTAGTAAACATATTTGGAGGTGGAGGGTTCATGTTTTACTACCGAATGTTGGAGTTTGGTTCAGCCATTTATTCACCAAGCATGTATTGTGCACCTATGGTATGCCAGGCACAGTGATGCATGATGCCGTCCTGACAGTGACCCAGATGAGTAAGAGGCCACCCCTGCTCACCAGCAGCTTGGTATAGTGGTCTTGGTGTTGGTTAAAAAACAATTCTACCAAAATATGGTCCTGCTGTAAGAGATGTGCAGTCAGAGCACAGAAGAGACAATCAGGGAAGGCCTCAGAGACGTGGTAGCATTTGAGATGAATATTCGTTGGTAAGAAGACTTTTTCTAGCCTAAACAGAAGAAAATTATATCCAGGAAGAGAAGGTCATAAAGTTGTGAAAGGGCCAGAAATGTTCTGGGAAAGATGAAAACTTAGTGCAGCTGAAGCTAAAGAGATGTAATAGCAGTGGTTGCAGGGATGAGGGAGACAGCACAGTGTGTAAGAGCAGCCTTGCAGGAGCTGAAGTGTGATCCTGAGAGGCACCAGGAAATAGCTGGAGGGGTGCAGAAGGAGGAAAGAATTTGGAAGGAATTTGTGACCAGTTGGATGTGGGGGCTGGTAAGTGAGAGAGTGGGACAGAGGATACACACATTTCTGGCTAGAGCAGCTAGGTAGGTGATGTCCCTGTTGGACTAAGTAATTGTTTAAAGTAATAGAAAGATCTAGAATGGCAAATACCAGATGCTGTGGCAATTGAATGGGAAAGAGACTGGAAGCAGGAAAGTCTCTCCTGACATTATTGAAAGCCTCCTTTCAAATAAACGACAACTGTGTCTACTCAGGAAGCCACACCAACATTATGGAAAAGAAGAATTCAAGTCAAACTCCACAGGCTGAGTTAATTTGGAAGAAAATTTTGATAATAGTTACACACAATTTTCTATAGTCAGTTATATAATTTGCATTTACATAAATAAGTTTCAATCTTTGACCCAGAGAAAGTTCATCTTCAATTAAACTTTAAAATATGTAATTTCATTTTTAGTTTGATAGAGGACTTTTTTTTTATCTGACAAGGACCTGAGGAAAACAACAATTTGTTCAAAATATAAATAGCACGTAATATCCATCTAAAAAGTTCATTGTAGGAGGTACTACATTTTTTTCTGGAATACTTTTTCTTTATAAGATCTAATGGGTCAAACATGCAATAAATTACTTCTTTCAATGTGAAATTCCATTTCCATCTAGGGCAAGTTACATACACTCAATTCTTTTGTTTGCATTTGGTTACCTGTGAAAACAAAGCCCTTTCCACAGCCTGTGGTCAGCATCATCGGCCTCATGGTCACAAATGGTACCAGGCAAGAGGCAAATTTCATATAAACTGACTTTCATTTGGCTTTTCTCTTCTTGTTATATCTTAACAACATTTTTGTTGTAAGCATCTCATTTAAAAGTGGGAAGAAAAGTAACAGGATTACACGGAACCATAAATGAACCAAAACTGACCTCAGTGAACTAATTTAACTGTATTTATTTATGCAAGCTGTGCTACAAACAACCCTATTTAAGAACCATATGCAATTTAGAAAAGAATTTCCAGTTGTAAAAATAAGCAAACAAAAATATTTACATATATCACCATTTAAAAATCAACTTAACTGTTATAAAAGTTAGTCATTTTTAATTAAAATTAGATAAAGAAATCTATTTTGTAAAAGAAATTATAGTACTTAAACCACTTCCTCATATTGTATTTTGTGTATTCATTAATAAAACTATTGTTGTTAAGGCGGTTCTTTATTATCAATGATAGGATCAATATTTGATTATAACCTGCTAAGTTAAAATCAGAACATTTGGATATTTGGAAATGGATTTGAAATTGTGCCCAATTTCCAGTTATGTATTGTTTTTTCCCATGCATAAATACTTTTAAAAGAGAAAATATAACACTAGCAAAATCCCAACCTAACACAATAAGGAAGTTTGAAAACTCAGCTTTGATTTTTAGAAAGTCAATATGATTAAATAAAAGTTACATTTCACTGCTTTAGGCTTTACTTACTTGTCATTAAAAAGGAAGAAGGATTGAATGTCCAGTGTCGATTGCAAATAAAATGGAAACTTTTCATAGACCCATCAGAAGTGTTGGAATTTTACCCACAGAATTTAGGTTTAAATACATAAAAGTTGACATAATAAGTAATTCCAGAAGAATTGATTTGGAAAGAATTTGAATAATTTTAATTTGAAGTCTTCTAGAAAAAAGAGCTTCTGTTGTATTTTGGTATCAGTTTTTAGTCTCTAATGGTGTTTACTAGATTTATGGAACAATTTCTGATAATATGCTTTCACATAAAATATGTTCTTTTTAAGATTTTAAGGTTAACCTTGAAGATACATTAATGTACTAATAAAGAAAACATTCATTATCTTAACTCAGTGTTGTGAGTGACATAAAAAATAATCAAGTATTTTGAAGACTCACTTTTTATATTATAAAAACTAATTATCTAGTTTATTTTATTAACAATTGGGAACTCACATCAGGTGCTATTTGCTGTCAGATATCAATGGAAGATAAAGTTTTGTTGTTACAATAATAAATAATAATTTATGTGTGTTTGTGTGTGTATAGATAAGCTTTTAAATTCTTCGAATATTTATAGAGCTTTTCTTACATGCTTAGTGAGGTAGAAGGAAAGAAAAACTAGCATTAATTGAGCCTAATATGCCAGACCCTGTGCTAGAACTTTACACCTATTTTCTCACTTAACCCTAAACCTAGGAGGGAGCTGCTATTACTCTCAATAGGTAGCTCTTAAGTGGAGATGTCTTTAAAACTAACGTCTGCTGGACCTTGAAGCATATGCTTTTGCTTATTTTCTTAATTAAAATTGTTTCAATCATACAGAAAAGTATAGAAAATAATATAATGGACTCTGTTTTGCTACCACCTCTCATTAGCAAATATTAGCATTTTACATTATTGGCTTCATGTTCTTTTTTTTTTTCAAGACCAAAAATGTTTATTTCATTTTAGGGAAAAGTGATTGGCAAGAAAGCAATGGCAATTATTTTCTTTTCCCAATTCTTTGGTCCCAAGACAGGATGCAATTTTCTCCAGATTGCCTGAGACTAGCTATGGGTACAATCACAGTGATTTTTTTGGATTGTGGCTTGGGTCTCCAGCCCACACTTTTGTTGTGGAAAATGGTGGTGCACAGCTGTATCTCAAAATGGCATTTTAAATTTATTTTAAATAGACACAGGGTCTTGCCATGTTGCCCAAGCTGGTCTTGAACTCCTGGGCTCAAGTGATCCTCCCACCTCAGCCTCCCAAAGTGCTGGGATTACAGGCGTGAACCACTATGCCTGGCCTCAAAATGGCATTTTAATAGGGAGAATGGAATACATTAGTAGCCACTATGTCCCAGCCTATGACACAGGCTTCATCTTTTAATAGTCATTTTCTATGCTTCTTTGAGAAATCAAATACTAAGGCTTCTTTGAGAAATCAAATACACTACTCTCTTCTCTCAGTTCCCAGAGATACTACTTATATATTTATTACATATCCTTCCAAAACTCTTACCACAATTGTAACTTTTTCCCCTCAGCTTTTATTGTTTAGAGATTAGTCACTATAAATGTAGTGTCTTACTAATCCATTTAGCTGCTATGTATCCCCTTTTATGAATATGTCCTATTTTGATTGACATTAAAGTTGCTCTTAGTATTTTGCTAAATAAAAATATTGTATTGAACATTCTCACACATGTCTGTGTCCATATGTGTAAAAATTTCTCTAGGACAAACAGATGGTCCCTGATTTACAATGGCTTGACTTTGGATTTTTTTTTTTTACTTTATGGTGGTATGAAAGCACCATCAGTAGAGACCATACTTTGAATTTTAAATTTTGATATTTTCCTGAGCTAGCGATATGTGGTATCATACTCTCTCAATGCTGGACAGCCACAGCTGCAGCTCCCAGTAAGCCCCACTATCATGAGGGTCAATAGCTGATACTGTACAGTGCACTGTGTTGCCCCATGAGTTTGCCCAACTGTAAGCTAATGTAAGTGTTCTGAGCACGTTTATGAAGGCTAGGTTAGGCTATGGTGTACTGTAGATAGGTGTATTAAGGGTATTTTCAGTTTATGATATTTTCAAGTTATCATGGGTTTATCAGGACATAACTCCTTTGTAAGTCAAGGAGCATCTGTATATCTAGAAGTTTTTTTGTTAGTTCACAGGACATTAACTCTTTCTTGCAAAAGTGGTAGCTTTAGTCATTGAGAATATGCTTTAACATGTAGAAGCACTGGAATCCTGAAGGTAGATCACACAGAATGCTCATACTACCAAAGATAAAAAGAAAACAGAGGGGCCAACTTCTTTGCCTCTTTGGTGTGCATGGGAGAAGTTTCAGCAAAGTTATCTTCCAAAAGAGTGAGAAGACACTTACTGGGCATAGAGGCAAACCTCGGAAAGGCCAGGAGGATGAGGTTGTGAGTCAGGCAATGGTCTTAAGGGCTAACTTTGTCCAAAATGGCCTGGAGCCTCTGGGAGCGAGGGGCCAGTAGGGACAAGTGAGAGCCAGACAGTCCTTAGTGGGGCAGAAGTTTGGACTGGTAAGAGCTGAATGGTAGCACAGGGCAGCAGGCAGAGAGAATGACTCAGCAGATGGGCTGTTTCTCCAATCTGTCTTCTCTTCTCAATTCCTAGCACTATGCCTGAGTTCAACTTCTTAATAGTCTATTCACTTACTAAGGCAGTGTTTTGTTGCTGGTCATTGCCCCCTCCACATTTTGGCAAGACAGTTCCAAGGAATAGCTTTGCTTTGTAACTTCATTGCCCAATACCATTCAGCAGCTAACCATTACCACACGCATCAATTACAACTAGAGTTTAGTTTGATATTCAGAGGCTTTGAAAGTTTGGCTTTAGCCTACACTTCCAGGCATAGTTCCTTGTTATTCTGTTTATTTGTAATTAATATTTAAATTTTTATTTAAGTTGTATATTTCATTTAAATTTTTTCATTTTCTTTAAGTTGCATATATGTTTTGAGAATCAAATAGTCCGAAAAGGTTGGTTACAAAAATAATAGTACTGTCTAGGCCTCCCAGCTATGTACTTTTTCAATTTCAGTGGATTTTCCTAAATTACCCTCTGAAGTAGCTGTAGCAATTTATATTCCCACTGTAACAGTATATGAGTTTCCATTTCCCAACCCCTCATCAACATCTAGTGTTATCAGAACATCTGCTAAACTTGTGATTGTGAAATTGTATCACATTGTTATTTTAACTTGCTGTTCCTTGTTACTAATAAAAGGGAACATATTTTAATATGTTTATTGGTCATTGAATTCAGATCCTTTCTTTTTTTCTGATCGAGATGTAAGACTTCTAAAATACATTCCTTATATGAATTATTTCTTGCCTATTATATTCTATAACCTCTTTCAGTCTATGACTTATGCTTGTTTGTTTATGGTGGGATTTTTTTCATCAAAGTTTTAAAAATTATGATGTAAATTTTATTAATCTATTCTTTTATGTTTTGTTCATTTTATGTTGTGCTCAAGAAATCATTCATTATCCTGATATTATAAAAAGATTTAATTATGTATATTTTTAGAAATTTTAAAGTTTACTTTTCCAGTTAAGTCCTTTATGCTATTTGGAGTTTGTTTTTGTGTATGATGTGAATTTGTGACTTAATTTTATTTTTCCCAGGTTTTAGCCAATTTCCCCAAAAGTTTTAACTTAAGTGTCCACAACTTTTTCTCTTAACTTGTAATGCAATATTCCAACAAATTGTTAGTGCATAAATTTACTTGAATAGACTTTGTAATGTTAACTCATCCTTGCATTCCTATGATAAACAACAATTGGTCCTGATATATTTTTCTAGTACACTGGTTTATTCAGGTTTATTCAACATGCAAATATTTTGTCTGAAATTTCTTCTATACTCAAAAGTAAGATTTTCATTATTTTTTTTCATTGATGAATTATGTAGGAATGATTTTTAATGGTCCAAAAGCATTTGGAGGTTATCTTTGGTTAATCATCACTAATGTAATTGCACGCTACCAAGAGAATATAGCCTGTCTCCGTGTACAAAAATTATTTGACATTTGTTACTTACTTTGTGCTTTAGGGTGTGAAGTGTTTCTATAAATGTTACATTGGTCCCAACATGACATTTTACTAATAGAAATCAGTGTGGACATATGCCTATTTACGCAGTGTATAAAAACGTATACACGTGTTTTCACGAGATGTCAAACCAGTGTGCGTCACTTGTTATCCCAAAGCTCTGTAAATACAAATTGTTGAAAAACAAATTCCAAACATATAGTGCTTTTTTCTAGATGCTCAGTTCCTGATGCCAAGAGTGTAAGGTATTAAGAAAATGGTACAGCTTAAAGAAAGCACAATTTCCTAGGAGAGATAAATGGCTGTCATAAGTACTGTGCCAAGCACTCACAGAGTTCTAAGATTTGGTGTGGGTCTGCTGGAATCCACTGTCAGCGCTAGGGATTTTTAATATCTCTATTTTTTTCTTATTCAGAAAACCATACCATAAGCATATTAAATATACTTTCTGTCATTTTAACTTCATGAGTCAAAAAAGTGCTGCTATCTTCTGAATAATAATGGCATATTAAATTCCATTTTTAAGCCATGTAAATATCACTTTATCAGAAAGCTGTTTTCTTATTTCCTTTAGAAAATAGGCCCTTCCTTTGGAAAATGTCTTTGAATGGATGGACATTAGAAATCAGTCAAAGTCAAATCTAACCTATTACTGAAAAATCAGTACAAATGGCCAATAAAGTGATATTTATTTCAACCATCAGAAAGTCAAAACTAAAAAAGGTCAGTGATATCAAGTGTTGGCCAGTGTGTGGATAAATGGATATACTTCCCCACTGTTGGTGAGAGGTGGTACTGTAAAACTTTTGATAAAGATCATGTGCTTATTTTTGGCCAAGCAGTGTCCACCCTGCTCTTTTTACCATCTATATGTCCAAATGCCTTTGGGGAATGTTCCCCATTATCTGTGGGTAGAGCAGCAGCTCCTGGGAGGCTTTAAGGTATACTGGTTAAGGATATGGACTTTGCTATCAGACCACTGTGAGTTTGATTTGCCATTTACTCTATCATCTTGGGAAAGTTACATAGCTTCCCGGAAACTCTCTTTTATCAGTTATCTTTTATCAGTTATCAGCTATGTATGCATAAAACCTTGTTGTATTGGTACAATGGGATAGCCACAAGAGGTCAGCTTTGGGTTGAAACTGAGAAAGAAACAAAATAAATGGATCCAGGTGTGGAGATCAGAAGGGAACTGACATTTCCTGAGCCCCTACTATGTGTAGGTGCTCTTGGGTACTAAATATATGTGGTCTCACTGTGTCCCTCACAACTATTTCATGAAGTCATATGCCCATTTTATAGATGAAGAAACAGTCATTCCCAATATCATACAATATTTCAGAAGTAGAACCAAGATCTGTCTGAAACCAGAGTCAATGCTTTCAGCCACTATTAACACCACTCCTCAGGGCCTCAGACACAGTGAAGGGAAGCCACGAGGGGCCCACATGAAAACATTGGATAACTAAGGGAATCAGGAGGCCTGGCCAGGGGAGAAAAGGCTGAAGGCCACTTGGTCTTGATATCTGGATATTGGTCCAACCATCTGGTTCATCACAGGACCACAAACCCAGACACCAGATCGGCAGAGCCCATGGTCAACAGCTGAGAAATAATTTTCAGGTGCTGCTGAGGATAAAGAAAATTGGTATTGAAAAATCCTTCCAAAAATATAATGGGATTATCTTAAGTAGTCTGCTATCTTTCTAAGAACAAATCAGAGGGATGTCAGTCAAAAAATGCAATCTAATATCAGAGGGAATGGGCAGCCATTAGGGAATACTATTAGTCTCCCAAGAGCTTTAGACATTGTTTACAAGAAAAGTACCTGAAATCAGACTTGCAATGATTTTCTATACTTGAAATAGATAAAATAATAAATATACCCAAAATGAATTCATGCAATGTTTGGGGTATCATGCCCAGAGTAGTTTTTTATTTGAGAATGAGGGGCAAAAATAGGGCTTCAATCATTATTGAACCAATATCACACATTCCCACAAAAAAGGAGCCATTTCTAATGCCCTCACCTTTCATACATCAAGAAAAATGCTAGATTCGTTCATTGGAAAAGCATATAAAAGATCTACAAGTCCTAAAATATGCGGATTTTATTGGAATGCTTTTGATGCCTTCATCGTCACCTTGGTGCACCAGTTTTGCTGTTACCAGTTGCTGGTAAGGTGCGAATGATACAGCATGATCAATGACCTGAATAGCAATTTGGAAATCTTTACCTTAGATGATTTGGCTACAATTACACAATTCCAAAGTGTGGGTACCTATAATCCATAAATAAAAGAAATAAATCTTTTGACAAAAAGAAAGTTTAATAGCTATAAAAAAAGACTCCTCCAACAAAACAAATTCATAAAATCTGTAGTAAACCTGCTGTCTTAGTTCAAGCTGCTGTAACAAAATACTGCAGATTAGGTTGCTTAACAACATTGATTTCTCACAGTTCTGAAGGATGTGAAGTCCAAGATCAAGATGCCAGTTGATTCAGTTCCTGGTGACAGCCCCTTTCTGGCTTGCAGACAGCCACCTTCTTACAGTGTTCTCACATGGCAGAGAGAGAGTGTGAGTGCCCTGGTGTCTCTTCCTTTTCTTATGAGGATACTAGCTCCACCTCATGACATCATCTAACCCTAATTTCCTCCCAAAGATCCCACTTTCAAATATTATCACACTGAGGGTTAGAGCTCCAACATATGAATTGGGGGTGGGGGGAGGGCGGGACACAAATGTTTAGTCCCATAACACCAAACAACTATTAACTAAAGAAGTTTTATCCCTCAAAAAACTAACCTGATCAGCTTCTGATTTCAACCAGCTCTGAATATTGGTTGCTGAACAAACATTTACAGTTCTTACTAGTGCTAGATTTTCTTTAGTTCCTGCTCCCTGGCCAAATTTATATTTACTCCTACTTAATTAAAACTGTCCAATTTTGCCTAATGATGATCACTTCTTCCTCCAGAGCTGTCATTTATCCCATCCAACTGCTTCCTCTAGCAAGAAAATTGAGAAGCATTCTCCTTTGACAAATGAACACCCCTTAATAAGCTATACTCACATACTCACATTTCTTTTTCTTTCTTTTTTTTTTTTTAAGATGGACAGGGTCTCACTCAATTGCCCAGGCTGCAGTGCAGTTGCACAATCATAACTCATGGTAACTTCAAACTTCTGGGCTCAAGTGATCCTCCCACTTCAGCCTCCCAAGTATCTAGAACTACAGACTCCTGCCACCATGCCTAGCTATATATATATATACACACACACATATATATACACACACACACTATATATATATACACACACATACACATATATACACTCACACTATATATAAACACATTATATATACATATACATACTATATATGTATATATACACACTATGTATATATATACACACTATATATACACACATACTATATACACACACATATACTATATATATATGTACATACTATATGTGAATTTATACACACACACACAGACGCACACATATATATAGTAGAGACTGGGTCTTGCTATGTTGCCCAGCCTGGTCTTGAACTGTGTGCCTCAAGTGATCTTCCTGCCTCAGCCTCCCAAAGCTGGGATTACAGGCATCAGCCACCATACCTGGTCCTCCCATTTCCTTTATCTAAACAAATGTAACACAAAACATCTTTTAAAACAAATTACAGTCTATTTAACTAAACTTGGATTTATCAAAACATTACTATCAAGGTGGACCTGTTTCTTAATAAGGTTTCAAATGCATCCATGAAGAGTTCTCAACCTTGTCTTGACGAGGAAGTGCTCCTGACTGGCCCAGTCTCACCATCATCCACCAAGTGGTAGAAGAGGCTGCAGAGAGTGTGACAGGGCCCTGGAGTGGTGGGTGCAGAGCCAGCTCTGCCAGTTCTAAAGCCTCTCAGGGAATACTTGGCAATTGCAGCCTGGGTGTCACTAGCTTTTACATATTTTCAAAATTCCAAGAGAAAAGCCCACAGCACCTGGCCACAAGATAATATTTATAGAAGGACTAAAGAAACGTATATGTAGGGGTTGCCCAGAGGAGACTCAACCCCAATCTTTTCATTAATTTGCATGCTTTGTCAGTCTTTCTTATACATTAGCAGTCTTAGACTCTTTGAGGACACATCTGTTTTTCATGCAAAGCTTCAATTCACATGTACAAAGAGACTTTTGTGTACACAAATGAGATAAGGGCAACCAAATCTCCAGTATCCACATGCACACAGGTGTCAGTGTTTTAATGGAGAGTTACTGAAGAGCACACTTAAAACGTCACATTTTATAAAAGTTTCCCCCCTCCAAAGACATAAAAACTTGGCTGCATTTATTTGTAAAACTGAAATTACTCTCAGAGAGATTTAGTTCACCTTCTAATGTCAACCGAAACAAATTTGGAATTTAAAGGATATGAAACTGCAGACATCCTTTTTAAAAATATCATATTAATGCTGAATGAATTATCAGAAATCAGGACATTCTCATAAGTTGTATATAAGTTGTCTCCAAATTCAGTTTGGTATCACATTCTCTAGAATGTGGGCTCGTGTTAGAATGAGATTTTAGTGCTAATATTAGCAATTCCCCTTTCTGATCAAAAGGGAAAAGCTGTCAGAAGTCCCATCACAGGGTATACTCAGTCCCCCACATTCAATGTTTGCTACAAATCAGGAAGTAGAGAGAGGACTTGGTTCTCTCAACCCCTCACTCATGCTACAATCATATCATCCTTGTCACAACTCATTTGGTAAAACTCTTCATAGAGGCAGTGAGTTCACAATTGCCTATAAAACAAAATCCCTGTGCGATAAACTCTGCCATGCCCTTCATATGTCAGTGCGGCTGCCCATATATCATTAACACAATCAAATCCATCCCCACACCTTAAGTCGCTGCTTGGGTTTCCCTGCTAATGCATTCCTGCAGTGCCTGCCTTTAATGTTCTGACTGTGTTCGGAATAAAAACGACTGGGTGTCCCCACTCTGTATATTCTGAAACTGAAAAGAATCAATTAAACTAGCCATATTTCCATCAGGGGGGCTGCTGCTGCTCCCCAAACAGCTTAAGCTGTCTTCTCATAGTTTATGATGTCAGCAGGATCTCTCGATTGAAATACAGCCTTAAATCTCACCCACCCCCTTGCTGGCCCTCTGTCTGCAGTATATATTATTCTTGTAGTTTTTAGAGACAGCTGTGTGAATTAATGAACTGATGTGAGAATCAGAGTTGGCCTGGAGCCCCACTTAAAAGTCATGTCGATGACCTCATAAAAACAGCAAAGAATGCTTACAGCTTGCTTGTAAAAATAAATCCATTTCTTAATAACTCAGAATGCCCACATAATTCAGCACATATTTTAACCCCAAATGATTATTTCATAAGAATGGAAATTTCCCATGAAAAAGACATTTAGCTAACCCAGGCAACTATAAACTTTAATTGATATTTCACAGTATGTACTAGTTTGCTCTCTAGGGAGTGTAGAATATCATTCTTGCACCTGCACTTTAACTCCAGAGTTATAGTATTTCAACCATTAAACATTTTTCATTAAAGCACTTCATATAGAATTAGTCTAATCTGATTTTAACAAAAGTATTCTATATTTAGTTTTTCACACTGTATTAGTGCAAACTGTTAGAAATAGAAAGGCAGTGCTTTTGTTCACTGGAAAAAGCAAAAGGGTGGTCTATATCCACTCACTTCAAAGATGGTCCTTAGTGTGTCTACCATCCTTTGAAACAAACACAGCATTTATCAACTAAGTCACTCCTGGGCAAATCATAGGCTCTGAAGAAGCCGAGACACATGGTGAGCTCAGCTGGTTTGCAAATTTGCTCCTTTTCCCATAAAATCCTGCAAAGCAGGGAAGGATGCAGAACATTTTGGAGAGGCTGGAACTGAGAAAATGTGCAAAAATTTGCATCTTATGGTTTGAGTTTTATAGCTGTTATCTCGCTGGCAATCTTAGGTGAACAGCTGCAGGATTTTAGGATGTGTGACTTTAACTAAAAGGAAAGGGCCTTTCTAAATGCTTCAAGTTAGAATTGGAGAGAAGCAAGCAGCTTAGGAGCTCACTTGGAATCTGAGGTTAGGTAATATTTAAAGAAAACCACCCTACTCCAAATAACCTTTTTCTCCCTGAAGCACGAAACTCTATTCTTTCTCAGTTAGAACGTGAACTTCTTAGGATTGAGAATACCTGAAGTAAATGAAAGTTGCTTTCTTGAATAATAGTTGTAAGTTTTCTGAAATGGACAAGTCCATGAATGCTTCCTGGCTTGGTTTCCTTGGGTTTAGCCTTTATTTAAGAAAGCATATTAATATATTTTTATTGATGCTTCAACTTGACATGCAGTGAGATCTAATGTGATATTTGACAGAATTAATCATACTTAATTCCGTTAAGCAGATATTACTGAGCTTGACTTTAGCAAGAAAATGACCCAGTGTGCCAAATAAAGATGATCCATCAGATACTTATTCATATTAAAAAAGGAAAGTTTAAGGAATAAAAAAGATTTCCATTAGGCTTATTAAAATATTGGATCTTCTGACACAGTTCTAATAAAATGTATAGTGGTTGACTTCACACAACATAAATCCCTCATTGCACTCTCCTTGGGCTTGGTAGGTGCATACAGTGTTTTTTTGTTTGTTTCTTTGTTGTTTTTTTAAGTTAAAGCATACAAATGTCCCAATATTTGGCTTTTTGACCTACAAACATGGCTCTCTCATATGGCTCAATCTAGCAGTTCCAAGGGCTCTCTGAGTGATACGTGAAGTGGGAACCAAGCAGGAAAGGAAGTCACTGGAGTAAAGCGGGGCAGGGCATAGAGAAAGCTGCAAAGATGGACCCCACAAAGGGAGGCCTAAGTTAGTAGAGTCAGGGATCAAAAAGCCGCCAGAGTGGGAGACCTTTTGCCCACACACTAGGGAATCAATCTTATCTTAATGTGGAAGAAATAGTTTGCCATGTTATTCTCAAGAGAACATCTGGATATTATTGTTGTAAAGCCTTGGAACCCGGTGTAGGGTCTGGAAAATCTCTTCCTGTCTGATCCTTTTCTGACAGGTAAGTCAAGGGTGGCCTCGCATTCCTCGGCAGGGTGTGGCTGTGAAGGCCCCTTGCACAGAGGAACCACTCCGGTACCATTAGTGGCTGTGGCAGTGGGAACAAAAGCAAATCCAAGCTGCTGGGCCAAGCCAAGTGGCTGATTGGGCAAATGAGAGGCAGTGGGGATGAGCCCTGGAATGCAATGCCCCTGCCTGGGTGGCCTCCGTACACATTTCTAACAAGCCAGTGTGAGGGGCTGAGGAAGTGCTTCTTGTTTTCCTGGAATTAACTCCTACAGCCCGCTGATGAGGACAAAAGGAGAGTGGCACCTCCATTCTAGGTTTAAAGATTTCCAAAGCACCATTTCAGGATAATTGGGACAAGCACTACCCCTTCACCAGCCTCCTCTCTCCCCACACACATCAGTACAAGAGGAGGAAGGATGATAAAGAAGGGGGTCTTATAAGGAACACAGAGTGTGTGGAGCATCAACTATGTTTTCTCAAATCGATGTGGCCAGCCGATCCCTCACCCTACAAGACTGAAGCATGCCTGTCCGGAAATTGTCTCTTGTATGAAAGAAACTGGGTCACAAAACCAGCAGAGTCCCCACTGGGGCATGCAGAAAGGGGTCAGAAAGAGATAGTAGGGAAGTGCAGGGGACAAACATCTTGCCAGGAGCAGGCCAAGAAAAAGAAACATTCATGATCTGTTTCCTTCTTCCTCTTTTTCCCCAACACAAATCCATAGCTGAGTCAGTTGAGCAAGGTGGTTCAGCAAGCAGTCTCAACTGGCTGGGAGTCTGAACATGAAACACTTTTAGTTTTCCAATACGTACTCTCACCGCTTCTGTCAAATGCTCCTCTCTAGCTGGCTTTCAGTTTTCCTTAATAATATGTGTCTGAGTCCATCTCTTTAAGTCACTTCAATTTATCAAAACTATTTTGTATTAGCTCTTAAAGTATACTTTAGTGCTGTTTTGTTTCTAAACTTGAATCTCGTATTCATTTTAGGCTTTCTTAATTCACAAATCAGCACAGGCCAGAGGGGCCTAGGGTGGAGGCAAGATGGGATGCCTTCTTCCTTGTGCCTACTCCTTTGAGGTTGGGCAGGAGGAGGAAAGAGGAGACCAGATAATGTCAGCCTCCTTGGAGACTGTGACAAAGTTGTCCTGGTTTTCTGTCCTTTTTCACAGCTTCCCCATGCAGCCATGAGTGGCTTACAGTACCCTCTCTCTGTCAAGTGTCCAAATGTCAGCTAGCCCAGAGCCAAGGGGTGGGGTGGGTACAATGTTGGTTCTCCAGCATCACTGATGATCCAAGACTAGTTCTAATACCCAAGGTCTTAGAACCATTGTGTTAGTAGTCCCTCAAACCCACTCTGGATAGACTGACTTGGTTCTGAGTCCTCAGCCTTCACTAAAACTCCACTAACGTTGGCTTGAGGCAAATGGAATGGTGAGTGAATTTGTTGCATTCAGCATGGGTGATCAACGTAGTCAAGTATCTTCTGTAAATGCACTGGAGTGTCCATAAACCAGAGGATGGCACATAAGATTCACCTACTCAGGGAAAAATATTTCAGGGAGTGAAATACTGCTGTACTAAACTGAATTGTTTCAAGGAGGGGTTCTTAAGAAGAACCCTCTGTCATTGCTGCCCCTTTGTGTTGTTTCCCTATTGTAATACAGGAAACCATAGAGTCAGGAAGGAAGGAGAGACAAGGAGAGAAAGAGGGTGAAGATAGCAATTGGAGCATGAAAAATTGAAAAATAATACAGTGATTTTGACAGGGAATGTAAATGTATTATTGATACATTTCCTCTTTTACAACTAATACCAGGAAAAGTGAGGAAAAATTACGGGAAAAGCACATATATGAGTTGAGTTGGCCTGTGGTTCCAGCAATCTCTGCCCATCCATACGACAGATTTCAATGTGTGTTTGAACTCAATATCTAAGAATATATCTATAAAAGAGAATTTGCGGGAAGCCCAGGGAATGGAAAGCATTGCACTTGTTTTGCAGCGAGGAGACAACTGTTCCATCCTTGGGTCTGACCTCCTACTCCACAATTACACTGTATGCTACTTTGAATCATGTATATCACTTCTTTGTAATAACAGTAAATTAGATAGCTATTGCCACAATAATGCTGCATAGCAATCAGCTTCAACAATCCCAGCAGCAAAGATGTGCAGGTAGATGGGGATTGGCTGGGCTCAGCTTGGGACTTGGCTCTGCTCCTTGTGAATATCATCCTCCACTGGAGATCATCCTCCAGTTCAGGCCAGTCTTCTCATGCAGATGGCAGAGGTGCAAGAGGGCAAGACCAATAAAAGCACTTTCCAGGCCTTGGCTCATGAAATTCCCGCTAACTTTCCAATAACCAAAGCCACCCACAGGGATGAACCCAACTGTAAGGTGTGGGCGAAATACTCTACCTTTTTATTGGAAGAACTACAAAATTAGAGGGGAAGTGCATGAATGCAAACATGAGTGAAGAACTGGGGGTGTTAACGCAATCTGGAAAACATGGTAGCTGACATGGTAGGTGAGGTTAAATAGGAAATTAAAATGTATCCCCTAATCCTACCATCCATAGATGACCACTCTTAATATTTCAAGTGTATTATTCCAGTAGTTTTTCCTAGGGATATAAAAATTATTTTTTTCAAACTTGAAATCATACTAAAAATACAATTATGGGGTTTTTAAAAACTCATCAAATTATATTCAAAGACTTTTTCTGTCCTTGAATATGTAGACAATTGGCTTCTGTTGTCTATAAGTTAGTTAGTCCAGCATGAAGATATTTTATTTAAATATTCTGCTATTGTTGGACATTTAGTTTGTGGACACTATTTTCTGAACAAGTAGTGGGGATACCCTCTGATAATTAGAAGACATTTTTCTGAGCCATGGAGCATTTAGGAGTGTGCTGAGAGGACAGATTGTGCAGTAGGTTCAAAATCCAAGCCCGAAAAAAAAATTGTAATACACTTGTTGTAATGAACTCTCAGGAATCTGTTTCTTCTTCCTAAAAGGCATATCAGCCATCTCTTAGATTTTTCATAAGCTTTTTAATTTCTTTCATAGCGATGGGGTCTCATTATGTTGCCCAGGCAGGTCTCAAATTCCTGGGCTCAAGCGATTCTCCTGCCTGGCCACCCAAAGTGCTGGGATTACAGGCATGAGCCACTGAGCCTAGCCAGGAAGCTATATTTTTGACACAGGGAAACAACAAAAATTGTGATATTGCATACAAGATAACATATAATAACACACAATGCCAAAATATGTTAATCTAACTTTATAGTGCTTTGCTTTGTATGTATTGTCTTCCTAAGCAATAGAAAAGCACTAATAGTCAGAATTTTAATGTCTCAGTGATGTTTCAAAGGTTTTCTAATGACCGTGCCAGTTAATCAGGGGAAATGCAATGAATAGTTGGTCAATTATTTAGAAGTTGAGAGACTTCTTTTTTTAATTAAAAAAATAGCTATGGCCCTACTAACACAAAATCCCTCCCTCTACTGATTAGTTGAGTCATGTCTTTCAAAATTGAAATATGTCCTGGGAGGAGAATGTGTTAAGTCAATTATCAGTCATTTACAACTTACTATGATTATTAGGTCATTTCAAAATACAGCCAATACTGAAAAGGGGGAAACTGCATAAAATCATAAAGCCCAAAGGGCTCACTAAGTGTAGAGAGTAGGGCTTGAAACTAATTACTGACAAATTAGTTTTCATTCATATTGGATAATGAGTGAGAACATGGGAGCGAGTTCCTATACCTGCCGCTTCATGGGTCCTTGCTTTTATATTGTTATGGCTTGTGTGCATGCAGTTACTCATTCTCGTCACTAGATGGTGCTTTTGTGCATAATAGCTCGGCTTTGCAAACTTTGCTCCTTGATTTATTGGAAATGTAAGACGTACCCCCACCTTCTTAACTAATTACCTTTTTTGTTGTTGTTTACAAAAATTATAACTTTAGTTATGGAATATAAAATACTTTGTATAAAATATGTCGAAGCAATCGAAAAAAATTTCAAATATGAATCTAACCATGAAATTTGCCTCAGCCTTCTCTATAATATAGTATGAAAACGCTTTCAGAAAAAAAGGAGTCATTTGACTTCAACTCTCACTCTTCTGAATCAACAGATCATCTGCTTAAAACAGTGTAACATGTATGAAAGCACAGCTTAGTAAGGGTCTTGGCTGCAATTAAATACTGTATTAAAAATTTAGTTCTTTAGTTCTTTATAAGAAAGACTCGTGGGTTCCAATGTCACAGTGAAACTTCTTTTTTTTTTTTTTTGAAATGGAGTCTTACTTTTGTTGCCCAGGCTGGAGTGCAATGGCGCGATCTTGGCTCACCGCAACCTCCGCCTCCCAGGTTCAAGTGATTCTCCTGCCTCAGGCTCCAGAGTAACTGGGATTACAGGCATGCACCACCACGCCGGCTAATTTTGCATTTTTAGTAGAGAAAGGGTTTCTCCATGTGGGTCAGGCTGTTCTCGAACTCCCGACCTCTGGTGATCCGCCTGCCTCGGCCTCCTAAAGTGCTGGGATTACAGGCGTGAGCCACTGCACCCGGCCTCACAATGCAATTTCTTTACTGAAGATATGACTAATTTATTCTTCCTTTTTGCATCCCAGTTTTGGGGTACAATTATTTTAAAAAATGTTGGGCTCATGGTAAACATTTTTTTTTTTTTTTTTTTTTGAGATGGAATCTTGCTCTGTCACCCAGGCTGGAGTGCAGTGGTGTGATCTTGACTCACTGCAACCTTTGCCTCCTGGATTCAACCCATTCTCCCTTCTCAGCCTCCTGAGTAGCTGGGATTACAGGCTTGCACCACCATGCTGGCTAATTTTTCTATTTTTAGTAGAGACGGGGTTTCACCATATTGGCCAGGCTGGTCTCGAACTCCCGACCTCAAGTGATCCAGCCACCTCGGCCTTCCAAAGTGCTGCGATTATAGGAGTGAGCCACCATGCCCAGCCAACATCTCTAACTGAGCATTTTGCTCCTCTCATAAGTTCTACCCACCCTCCCCCTTTTCTTTACTTTTTTTTTTTTTTTAATATGGAATGCTTCACGACTGACTCTCCCCCTTTTCAAGAATACCAACAGACAAAGTTTTGATTGGGAACTCTTTGAAACTGTTAGGCAGTCCAACAATGAAAGCACAGTCATTTCTTTGCAGTGCTGATATTCAACTGTAACATGTTGTAATCAGCATTCATGTAGCTTTCCTCACATGGAAGCTAATAGCTTTCCAAGGATGCTGTATGTCCACAAACAAATAATTGTTTCTGTATGACTACAAAGCAAGTTGTGCTATCCTTTGAGTACTGAGGATTTGTGTGTCTTATTAGCTATCTGATGTCTTGTCTCCTGTATGTGACTGGAAACTCCTAGTTGGCAGAGTGTGTCATTTCCTATGTAACTATATGTTGATTCAATAAATATATGCCTGGCCACTATTGGCCAAATGAATAGAAATAAATGCTTACTGCTGCTCTTAGCATATTCATCAATAGACAGTATGTCATATATAATTGCCTCACCCAGAAAAAGAAGAAAATGTTGCTCATTCCTTACCTCCTCATGGTGGTTCTAATGTTCTTCCAGGCTTTCATTAGCCATGAGGATTCATCCTATGGATTGGAAGCTATACTAGATGACTAGAAACATATTTCTTCCAATTTTAGAATTCCATGATCCTATGAAAATCAAGTTTTAAGAAATTATGATGTTGGGAGCTCCATTGGTATTCTTGAATGAATGAAGTCAATTGATAGTATTTCCAAGTATTTTGCATTATATATGAAGGTGTCACTGAACAGTGCCAAAAATATCCGTTAATCCAATCAATTAGGTCAAATAAAGAATAAATTCAGTAGGATACAAATGGAAAAGGAGGAAAGAGAAATCAGTTAAGAATTTTACATCAGTGTAGTTCTATGGAGTATTTAATGTAATTAGCACATGGTAGAATATAATATGTTTAATTTCCAACATGATATATTGGTGTAGTATAGACCTAACAACTTTCATGGTCTAAGCGCAGATTCTATTATTTAAAAGCATATCCCTGTCTACATTACTTGGTAATTTGCTTTTCTTTCTGATATTCATTATACTTGCCAAAACCAAAATTGCCATAATTGCAAGAAGAATAATATTACTACTGCTTTTGATAATTTCATATAATAACAAGAAGTTAAATAGCTGTAGTTATTTATGTACAAGAAAGTACACATTCTTATATTTCTTCCATGTAAGTAAGAATATTCAGTCAAGGCAGAATTATACAATTTGCATTTTTAAAAAATTGAAGCTGTTCATTTGAAATTCCTCAAACTCATATCATGCCTTCCTTTCTGCACTTCTGAGTTTCTCCTTGCCTCTCTTGACTTTCACTGCTCAGAGAGGCTCCACCTTCCCATAGTAGACTCTCTTCCTTCCTGTTTTCTTCTGCCCTAACCTTATCAGTTATTCCCTCTCTCAGCTGTATCTTTGACCTCTCCTCTTTATTTTTCCTGTTTCAGATAAGCAATATCAGGTTTCCCTACTCTTAAAAATAACAATCACCTTCGTTAAACCTATATCCTCCTCTACGTACTAGTCCATCTATTTCTTCCACTTTACAGCCAATCTTCTGGACATAGATGACACTTGTCACCTCTTCTTCATATTTCATTCATTCTCTGAATCCACTGCAACCTGATGTCCACCTATACTACTCTCCTGAAATCATCCCCGTCAAGGTCAGTGGTGACCTGCTAAGTCACGAACTGATTCAACTCTTTTTTGTTCTTATCTTAACCTGGTTGACAATGCATCCGAAACTCTCTTATCGCCTGGTTTCACAGTTAGCAGTCTCAGCTAATACATGAATCTGGCCACTGTACACACATGCATGCACACCACACATACACACAATTTTACTTATAAGAAGATAAATTATTTTTCGAGTATAAAATAATACAAAGTATAATCGAACAAACACACGCAAAACTCAGAATAGCTGTTACTATTGTATCATATTTGCTATTAATCTCTTTGCCCTAAGTATATATTTAGAAAAATTACATAAGCAATATAATCCTATATTTCCCTTAAAGACCTACAAAAATATTACATTTCAGAAAAAGCTGAAGCCACTTTTATTCACCACTTTATTCAGTTCTATTTCCCTCTCTGCCCCCTCTCCTCACACAAACATTATGTGAGACTGGTGCATAACCTTCCACTTCACTTTAAATTTTTACTTACACACACAGGTAGTCACACGTTATTTAGGTCTGTGTGCATTTTCTAAATCTATATAAATTTAGATAATTTAAATAATTCCATAATTGAAACTTCACGTTTCTTGCTTTTTTCATTTAACATTTTTATTTTAAGTCAATCTACATTGATATATATAAAGATCAAATTCATGCCATTTAATTGTGGTAATACATTCATTCTGTGGCACTGCTGCATTTTATATATGCAATCCTTTAATAGTGACTGTTTAGACTGTTTCTAGTACTTCTATAGCAAAAAAGGCTGAAACAAATCTTTGTGTCTTACATGCACATGTGGAAGTTTTTCTCAGGTGTACATACTGGACTGGGCCTGACATTGCTGGCCTTCTCCCCCACCTACAGATTTGCCTCAATTAGGTGTTTTGGGTTCCATTGCCAAAGTTGTGTTTCTATCATAAAACCCTAACCATGTGACTTTCCTTCTTAAAATCTTCAACTGACTCCTCATTCACTTCTAAATAATTGGCACAGTCCTTGGGGTGTTTTATAAGGTCTTTTTTTCATCGGGCTTCTGCATACCTGCCTAGGTTACTTTCTCACTCCCTTAACCTACACTCTAGTCTGATTGAGCTACTCTCAGTATTTCTGCATTTTCTGAGTACAACACCTTGGTTTCTTTTTCCCTGCGTGTGCACGTGGGTGCCCTAGGTTTTGAATACTCATCCCCCACAATCTTTGCCTGCTAGCTTCTTCTCATGCTTCAAAATTCAACTCAGATGCCAACCCCTTTGGGGATCCTACTTTTTCTCCTTCTAGGATAATTTAGATATTCAAAACAAACAAAACAGGCATCTTCTAATAATTACCTGCCAAGATTAACTAGTCAATATTGTCTTCCCCTATGTCCATACAGGAGGATAAAGAACCTACAAGATGTTCTGTCCATAACAGGTAGCAGGTCAGGCATAAATGCCCTGGAATAAATCCATGGTCAGTTTCCTTTTTTTCACTGAGAACACTGGAATTAGAAGCAAAATGCATACAACTGCTATTTGAGGCCAAATTAAAGTGGGATAGATGCACTCCACTATTTTAAGAGAACATTGTTTTACCTTCTTACCTGTTATGTGACTGCATCCTGCCCTTTCCTTCCTCTCTTCTCTCACATATGCAATGATGACTTCTAATGACACAACTCAAAAAGTCCTTTCCTCAGTGGGGCTGCTTTACTATTGAAACAGGTGCACCTTGCTTCACCCAATCTCCATGAACAAAGGACACAAAAGACTCATTTGGGCCAAAATGATTTCACAGATTCTGGACTTCGCTGCATCTTATTTATGAAAGAGTTTCCTCCTGCAGATGTGAACTGTGTAAATAGTCAGAACTGATCGATTCCTCCACAGATAAGTGCATTTCATGCATAATCAAGAAAAATTATCTCTTGAAATATGGGAATAGGAGTGCAGTCTTGATCTACTGTGAGGATAGCCAAGCATCAAGCTCCATAAGGATTGCATTTCCGAAGCCTGCAGTGAGAGTTTCTGACTATGGGGGAAAACGAAGGAAGAAGAAAAGTTTGCTTACTAATCACATTGAGAGCAGTTTCCATGGTAAATAAGTAAAAAGCTTCCCTTTTTCTTCCATACTATTCAATTACTTTCAACAAGAAACTGTAATGAGTGACTATGTGCCTGGCACTGTTCTAGGCACAACTATTACAGAAATAAGGGAGTGAGGGTGGGGTGGAGGCAAGAAAATCACAGTCCGGGGGAGGATACATAGACTTAAACAAATAATTAAACCAAGTGTGATAGATGCTGGAATGATGGCAGGGCATAAAATTTGAAAGCATAAAGAAAAGTTTCCATTACTGGACATAAATGCAAAGGAAAATAAGTTGTCCTACCAAAAACGCACATGCGCCCCTATGTTCATTGCAGCAGCATTCACATTAGCAAAGGCAAGGAATCAATGCAGGAGCCCATCAACTCTGGATTGGATAAAGATGTGATACGTATCCAGCATGGAATACTCTGCAGCCACGAAAAACAACAAAATCATATCCTTTGTAGCAAAATGGTTCCAGATAGAGGCCATGATCCTAAGTGAACCGATACAAGAATAGAAAACCAAATACCACGTGTCCTCAGTTATGATTAGGAACTAAGCATAAAGTACACGTGGACATAAGGATGAGAATAGATGCTGGGGAATACAAGAGTAGGGAGGGAAGAAGTGGGCAAGGGCTGAAAAACTACCTACTGGGTACTATGCTCACTACCTGGGAGATGGATTCATTTGTACTCCAAACCTCAGCATCACACAATATTCCTTTAAACATGCACATGTACCCCCTGAAGCTATAATAAAAGTTGAAAAAAAACCCAAAATTGAGATGAAGTTAAAAAATAAAAGAAATGAAAAGAAAACATTCCTGAGACTTGAGTGACTGGAGAACAAGCCAGGAAAGGGAGGAAAGCAGGGCACTTAATATACAAGGTGGCTTGTAAGGCATAATAAGTTGCTCAATAAACCAGATTTGTCATCAGTAGCAGACTTCTATATGAGAGACATAGGGACCTGGAGAGGGGATTGGAAATAATGCCCACCACTGTCCACCAGTCTCTCAAGGGGTATATCTTCCTAGTCAAGGAGCACAACACTATGCAAGATGCTATACTATGACAGCTGCCACCATGCCACATTCTGAGGCTAGAGAGCAAAGCAGAATCCTCATGTGAAAATAGAATTTCCTCTGGGGCTGGCCAGCCTGTGAACTTCAGCCTTCAATTTCTTTGTGATTCCCTAAACCTGGCCAGCAGCTTTCACATGTCACCTTGGGCATAACCTTCCAAAGGTACAACTACACACAAGCACTGACCGACCCTGGGACTTGTGAGAGTATATTTTGCTCCTGGGCAGAGAGGAACAGCTCCTAAGCATGTGGAAACTTTCCCCAGTTTCACTCCTGCTTTCCTTCAGCATCAGCTCCCATTCTCTGCCATGCACTCTGCAGCCGGCCCGGATTCTCACGGTACCTTGGGATTTACCCTGCTTTCCTACGATGCCTTAACTTGCACATTTTATTCCATATGCCTGTAATACCCTTTCTTTCATTTTGCAACTGGGGAAAATCTACACATCTTTCAAAGTTCAGATAACTTATCTGAGTCTTCTTTAATCAGAATGAGTCACTTCCTCCTCTGTGCATTTATAACTCCTAATATATCACTTTGCTACACTGTTTTATAATACTAGCTTCACATATTGAATCCCAAACATTGCCAAAAGCTCCCTCTCCACCTGATGCTGCTTCTGTTCTTTATTCTTGCAAATAGCACCTCCACCTGTCTGAGGCAGACATTGAACATCACCCTCTACCTGATTTTTAAGGGGTTATCAAACCTAATTAATTTTACTTTCTAAATATCTCTTACATTTGTATCTCTCTTTTTGCTTCATCACTACCCTAGGTTATTATTTCTTCCTTCTACTGTTGCTTTTGTTTTTTAACTAAGCTATCCACCTCCGGACTCCAATTCCTCCTGCCTTTGGGGAGGCACTATAGCAAGGGTAATTGCACGGACTCTCCTGCCTGATTACCTTGATTTGGATCTCAGTGTTGCTACTTAGTGTGCATGTAGCTTAGTAAAAGAAGACATGCTAGTATTCACCTCTTAGTTTGCTGTGAAAATGAAAAGCAGTAACATATGTAATATGCCCGGAATAATACCAGGCACAGAATAAGGACTTTTTGAAGGTCAGTAATTTTCATTATTCTTCCAGCACCTGTGCTACCTTGAGAATGATTTTCAAGTCTACTTTTTTGCAAATCTGATAGCATCCCTCCCCTGGAAAAATGCTTCTGAGACTTCCTGTGGTCTTTGGAATTTAGTGAGGTTTGTATGACCCTACATGACCTGCTCTGCACCCGCCCCCACCCCGTGCCAGCCTTCTCTCTCCTACTTTCACAACACCCTGTGCTACAGATGAGGAGCCACCAGCTCTTCCCTTGCTGCCTACTCTTCAGCCTCTTTTTCTGGTGAGTTATCCCCCTAGAGGACATTTACCCTCCATCCACTTGACTGATTCTAGTTTATTCTTCAAAATCTGTTCCTAAGTCCAATTCACTATCTGAGGAGCCCAGGAAAACAAACAAACAAAAATAGATTTCAAACATGCTAACAAATATATTTGAATTTAAAATTGTATGTAACATTATTTGTAGGTTATAAGACAGGATGGTTATTGGGGCTTTTTTTTTCCCATTGTTGGCATCATCCTGTCAAAGTTTCCTCTGAACTGACCACCAAATAGCTCTATGACCTATGCTTTCTTTCGGTTTTGAATATTTAGAATAATATCTTTGTTGAATGATATTTCAACAAATTTTTATTTTGTGAAATAAGATTATTTCACCTCAAGATTATTCAACATTCATGAAAATTGTACAAATTCAATCAATTTGGATTAAGTAGGGATTAAAGAAATTTGGGGTTGTGATGGTTTTAATGATTAACATTAATTCAACATATTAACATCCCTTCTCTCCTGCTCCTGAGAACACACAAAAATGAGAGAGATTAAAAAACAAAAAACAAAACAAAACCTCTGTCCTTAAATTGCCAAGGCTGATAAGGAGATGGGCACATTAAGCCACAGCCTGAAGGGAGTGATGAATATTTCAATAGTACACAGCCTGATATGGGAACAGACAGCGGGAAGGCATTAACTCTGCATACAGGTGAAGGTGAAACCCAGGTAGATCAGGGAAGAATAAGCAAGACTTTTTTTGTGTATCAGTTGAAGGAAGTGCTCCAGGACAGCACAGGCATGAGGCATGGAGAGCCATGGACCACAGCACAAGAGGTTGGGAATTGTTGGAGACAAGAATAGACATAGGAGAGTGACAGGAAGTAATTCTGGAGAATGTGTGGAAGCCAGAGAGTGAAGCGTCATGCATGCCATGTTAAAAAATCTAAACATTATCCTGTAGGTGAAAGTATTCCATTGAAAGGTTTAAAAACATGTAACATGGTCATATTTATGTTTTCAAAAGAACAACTTGATGCTGATGGGTTTAGGTGCCAGAAATGTCATCGTCTCAAGGCAAGGAGACCAATCCACAGGTTACTGTAATAGTCCAGGCAGGAAGGGAGTTGGTGAGGCAACCACATAGCAGAATGCGCTTTATAAGTTCAAGTCATTTCACGGAGAGACTCCCCTCTTTGTAGAATGGTGTGTGACCCCATCTATAAGTCTAAAAGAAAGAGTAATATGACTTTTGATGTGTATTTCAAGAATGTCCTATTTATTTCTAGTATGTTCTAAGTATTTCTATAATTAACTATTTCTGTAGCATCATAGTTCTGAAATTAGATTATAATACTTGACATCCTTATTGTTCAGCTCTAATGTTGTATTAAAGTATAGGACTGAGGTTTTTGGATTAGCCACAGATACAGATAGATCCCTGGCACAAATGGACAGTCACAACTTCTAAGATTCTATAATGGAAGAGGAATTCTAGAGAGGCAGCTTCTTTGGCCTTTGTATGTATTAGTAGTAGAAGCAAAGCAGTAGAATGAAAAGTGAAGGACTTTGAGAGGCTTTCTTGCATGGAACAGACCAGGGAGGAGTTACAAATAGTACATTGGAACTTGTGAGTATAAACTTACTAGTAGGTTCTTTGAATTTGTTAAGTCAAATTGGCTCTTAATTGACAGCACTGCCATGTTAAATGGAGACATTTTCAGGTGGAGGCTTGATGGTAGCGGAGTATATATACCCTGCTGGGGCTCAGGTAGACTTATCTGGTTTCTCCAGCGGAATACGTTCGGGATTAAATCTCCTCCTTAGCCCTCTGAAGCGTGTAAACAATGCCCTAAGTGCGCTGAGGTCAGACCACTTCTGCTGAACTAAAAACACTTCTTAAAACTATTCAGCTAAGTAATCCGTCAGTTTTCCTTAATTTTCTCAAACCTGGGCCCTATCTCTTCTTTTTCTATGTGCTCTGCCACTAATCTTGGGTAATATTGCTTAAATAAGCGAGCTTCCTTCCGTGTTTAACTATCTCAGGATAATAGTCCTTTTTAAAAAATTAAGTAGTAGTTTAATTTTGACTTGGACAATGTAACATCTTAGGCTATTTAACCTGTGTATCTCAGTCTATTTACCCTGTATAATGGGTGATATTTTTATTGTCTTCATAGTTAGGTATGAAATATTTGTTATATATGCATTTTAAAACTTTCACAGAAGCCAAATTATTTACACCTAAAAATTAAGAAGGACTCAGTATTTGAAGCCGCATTTAGCTTAGTATATGTAGCTACTGGGCAGCTATAATAAACTTAATATAGGAAGGCAGAACTTGGTCACTGTATGTATTCATTCATTCCCACATTGCTATAAATAAATACTTGAGATTGGGTAATTTATAAAGAAAAGAGGCTTAGTTCGCTCACAGTTCTGCAGCTATACAGGAAGCACGACAGCATCTGCTTCTGGGGAGGCCTCAGGGAACTTTTACTCGTGGCAGAAGGCATGGTGGGAGCAGGCTTCTTCCATGGCAGGAGCAGGACTGAGAGAGCCTGGGGGGAGGTGCCACACACTTTTCAACAACCAGATCTCACGAGAACTCACCATCGAGAGGACAGCACCAAGGGGGATGGTGTTAAACCACGAGAAACACCCCCCATGATCGAATCACCTCCCACCAGGCCCTACCTCCAACAATTGGGGATTACAATTGACCATGAGATTGAGGTGCGGACACAGATCCAAACCATATCACTGTATATAAATATGCATTTTAAGCAACTAGGATAACAGTTTTTAGGACATACAGTGTCGTCTATTTATATATTTCAAAAAGCATGTTTAATAACCAAAGCTTATTTTATGTCTATGAGACTAGCCAGTAGTGACACTTGAAGTACGCAGGGAAAAAGTCTTCCTCATTTTTGAGCGTTGGGGTCTAAAGTTTTACCCTAAAATTTGCACCTGCCTAAGCTGCCCTCTTTGCACATCTTCCCTGGAGGAGTATCTGCTAGGTACAGAGGATTCTGGCACCAGACCATGCTCCTTTACAAAGAGTGCAAGCACTGGATTCCCTTGGGCTAAGGGAGGAGGATGTGAGCTCCAGAGGAGGAAAAAGCGAGGCAGAAGGGAAGCTTGCAAGGAAATCATGAAAAATCTGCATTTGTAGAGACACCCTAATTAAATCTTTCCTTCAGTATTGTCTGTGAGAAGAAATATAAGTTTTTTTTTTTACCCAGGCCCTCTCTCACATTTAGAAGACAAACTAACACAGCTCCCTTAGCTAAATATTTATCTGACAGAAACTGAGAGTTTGAAAGAATAGTTCAAAAGAAATTATCACAGTGGAAGAGAGTGAGCTTGGAATTTAATTGGAAGTCCTTGATCACCCCACGATCCAGCAGGTGGGGCCCATGAAGATTAGATCAGCTGAGAAAAATAAATAGATAGAATTTGTAGAATTTATAGAAAAATAAATATGTAAAAAAATAAATATGTAGAATTTCATTGCACAGCTGAATTATGTGAATAAATTTATGATCCTGTTATACCTGTATTAAGCCCCCTCCCCAGCCTGGGCAATACAAGAAGACCCTGTCTCTACCAAAAAAAAAAAAAAAAAAGAAAAAAAAAAGAAATTAGCCAAATGTGGTGGTGCACAACTCTAGTCCCAGCTACTTGGGGGCTGAGGTGTGAGGGCCCTTGAGCTGGGGAGGTAGAGGCTGCAATGAGTTGTAATTGCACCACAGCACTGTAGCACAGGTGACAAAGCAAGATCTTGTCTCAAAAAGTAATAAAAATAAAAATAAAATAATAAATCACCTCCCCTAAACCCCTACCTCTTGCCAATGATTCCAAGCCAGGCACTCAGCATCGGGATTCATCTGCTAACACAGGCCTGGGCCCCCATGAATTATGAGGTATCTGTCTGCTCAGCCAGTTCAGAAAAACGAACTACAGTATCATTTTTCCTGTCTCCCAGCTTCTGTGTAATCTGATTTCCCTTCCACACTTGCTCCTCCCCATCACTGAAGACTTGCCCTGAACTGCCCGACTTAACCCCCTGCCTGCTTCCTAAGGGTGCCATCTCCCTAAGGACTGGCTTTGCTCATCATGTTCACAGATGATGTCTAAGAGATTTGGTTTCACCAGGTATCCAAGAGGCTACTCTATTTAACAAAATATTGCTGCCTCCTGGGAAACCCCCACCACACCTGTGGCAGCCCAGATAAGATAAACAGTAGCTCTGCCTTCTTGAATGCTCTAAATGGGTTTATTGACTTTCTGGGGCCAAAAGAGCTTGACTTTAAACATCAGGTACAGTTTATTTTGTACTGTGTCAAATCTTGGGTGCATAAGCTCATTTAAACTTCATGAAACTCTATGACCTAAATACTTACATATCCCCATTATAAAGATGAGAAAATTGAGATTTAGAGAGTGTTATGGGCTGTATTTTTGTGTCGCCCACCCTCAAATTCATCTGTAGAAGCCTTAAACCCCAATGTGATGGTATTTGAAGGTGGGGGCCTTTGGAAGGTAATCAGGCTTAGATGATATCATAGGGGTGGAGTCACCATAATGAGATTAGTGTTCTTACAAGAAGAGAAAGACTAGAGCTCACTTTCTGTCCCATGTGAGGACATAAGACTGCCATCTTCAAAGCAGCAAGATAGTCCTCACCAAAACCAGGCCATACCGGCACCCTGATCTCAGACTTCCCAGGCTTCAAAGAAATAAATGTATGTTGTTGAAGCCACCCGGTCTGTGGTATTCTGTTACAGCAACCCTAGAAGACTAAGACAGAGAGGCTAAGTAATTTGCTCATGGTTATTCTACTGGCAAGTGATGGTGAACCTAAGTTAAAGCAGTTGTCTGACACCAAACCTGAATCTATAACCATGATTCTTACCTGCCTTTCCTGTGGCCCAGTGGTTTCCAACGACATTGGGCTCTCAGTCTGAGAAGTGTCCTATAATACTGGCTTTACATTGGCCTCAGCTGAACCTTGGACGTGGCAGGTATTGCAAATATTTTCCTGGAAGGAAGAGAATAAATCAATGTGATGACTCTTGCTTGCTTCATGGAGCTCCGCAATAACTGTGGCAGTCCTGTGTTTTACTTGCTCAGATGGGCAGAAATGGACAGATTTGCCCCATAGGGGTAAATATTCCCTAGGTGGAAATTGCGATGACTACTTTGCAACCCTTGAGAAAATTTGACTGCACCAGAAACTTGGCATTCAATCAAATATCCATTTGCTTCCTATCTGACTCCCTCACTAGCATGTGATCTCCATGAACACAGAGATTTTGTTTTGTTCACCGCTGTGTCCCAGGCACTGAGAGCAGTGCTTTCCACTGAGTGGCTACTTGATCCATGTTCTTGAAAAGTGAATCCCTGTCTTCCCTAAGAAACAGGAAACTTGATTCAAATCCCTTGAGTTAAAATGTTAGAAAGAGACCTTCAGTCACTTAAAGTGACAACACACAGGATAGTGTGGGCGATTGGCACCAGGGTGAGTCTGAGCTGAATGTGGGTTAGAGTCCGGGACCATCCAGACCTAGAACCAAGACAAGGGACAGGGGCGAGGCAGCCACAGCATGGAGCAGAGCTGGTGTGGAGAGTCAGAACCAGCCTGCAGGGCGAGGGGAGGAGCCGAACTGAGGTCTCAGAAAGCCCCGATAGTACCACATTCTGAGTCACTGCAGGGAAGGAAAAATTCAAGAATTCCCTCTAGATTTCACCTCATTCCCTGGAAAAGAGGTTATCAGAGAAATCAGTAATCAAATACGGTAATGCGTATTGGGTATGTAGTGTGTGCACAGCTCCGATCTGAGCACTTACATGGATTGGTTCATTTAATCCTCACACCAACTGATCTAGCCAGAGGCTGAGCCATCAAAATTACCCAGGAAGCCACAGAGTCTGGATTTGAACCCCAGCAGACTGGCTTCCAGGTCTGCAACTCTTCATAAATGTTGAGGTCTCAGGGTAATGGCATCTATCCAGAGTCCTACTAGAGAGTACCTACATCAGACAAAATGTTGTTGGTAATTTAGACCAGTGATGTCACAATATCAGCTGGTGGTTGAAAAAACAAGAGTTTTATACACACAATGAAAATAAAGTTTTCCTAAAGTTCTGAAAGTCTCAGAGTCATGACTGCTCTTGCAGGGTTTCTTCCCTTTTAGGAATATCATGCACAATGGCAATTGCGTAGGGAGCTTGGGACACCTGTCTCTGTCAGGAGCTTGACTTCACTGAGCACATAAGCACCCACCCATCATGTGACAGGCACCACAGGAGGCACAGGGAATGCCCAGGTGACTAAGACACAGCCCTGCCCTCAAGGCACTCTTGGGGCAGCCCTGCATTTGCCCCCCCTCATACAAATGACCAGGGCAATGGAAAATATGCAGTTGCACAAAGATGTCACCTTATTGCTATGGGGCTCCTTAAAGAGCAAAATTTTCTAGTTTTAAATGTTAAACCAGAAACAAAAGAGTCTTTGCTGGGGTGGCTGATGCCTGTAATCCCAACACTTTGGGAGTCCAGCATGGGAAGATCGCTTAAGCCCAGGAGTTTGAGACCAGCCTGGGCAACAGAGTGAGACTTTGACTCTACAAAAAAATTAAAAATTAGTCTTGCATGGTGGTGCATACCTGTAGTCTCAGCTACTTTGGAGGCTGAGGTGGGAGGATTGCTTGAGCCCGGGAGGTCGAGGCTGCACTGAGCTGTTATTGCATCACTGCACTCCAGCCTGGGCAACAGAGCAGAACCCTGTCTCAAAAACAACCAAAAAATCTTTACCAAAATCTACCTGAAGGGCTTTCTTCTACCTCAAATATATAGGAGACCACACACACACACACACACACACACACACACACAGACACACTTGACAAGCACAAAAGCCACCTTGCCTAATATGCATTTTAACCTGAGAAAATGATCATAACTCAGTAGACTTAGAAATAAGATTGCCTAGTAACAACTACAAATAAAACTTCTCTTTTCATAGAAAACACAAAATTAAACCTTAAAGCCCAGTAATATAATTAAAATGAAAACCTTTTAGAACCACTGTTTTTCCTAGGAGGCACTGCTCGGAATCCCCTGCCAGCTGGCTGGGTATGTGTGTGAAAGATCGTAATATTTCAGTAGTTGCCCCTGCACCAGACATTTTTCTCACCATTGCTCGTGGCTCATGGCCACGCTGCCCGGGCACCTGCAGGATCAGTCAATTTGCACAAGCAGCTTCCCAAGTGAATGACGTACCTCCCCTTTCTGTTGTTCCCAAAGACCAACATCTGTCAGAGATCAGCATATGCATCCGCGTATTAAAGCGCTTACTGTTCTAAGGCCCTGCACTTAATTTTCCCTTGGGTAAACAGAGCCAATAATGGATAAATACTGAAGGATCAAATATCCTTAAACTATCGGAGAAAGCTGTGAGTGCAGACTTTAATCCACATCTGAAGTGAGAAAAAAGAGAAAGTAAAAAGCTATGACAGAGGCTCTCCAAATCATGAGTGAGGAACACAGGATGGAGTTTATGCCACTGGCTGTGTAACATCTTGGGAAGCATCTCCATGAATGGCCATGGGAAGGGCAGTTAGGACTGTATGAGTAAGTGCATTTAAATGTTGAATACATTGCGATCCAAACGAATGATCTTTGCACTTTTCAGAGATGAATAGCAGAAGGTCTTGCCTTCTTCTTCCAAGCAGAGTCAACCTGACACTCTCTGTAACCATACACTGAAAAGATTTCTACAAATGTCCTACTAATTGCATTTTGAGGCAAGTTCCACTAGGAAGATGAACTTTGGACAGGCTGACAGTGTTGGCCTTTGTGGACATGGTTGGTCTTCTAATGGCTGAGCCAGCCCCTAGGGGAAACACACAGCTCGAGTTTATCTTTTAAGTATAAACTTCTGAGGATGAAACTTCCAGCCTCTCTGGAATTCTTGTCTAATACAGGAACATGATGTATTTTATATATTTCTACACACTCTTTCTTTTAAAAGAATCCTTTCAAACTTTGAAATAATTTTGCCTGAAAAGATTATCCTATCCAAATTTTACCTCTTCACCATATGCAGCCACACAATTATTTTCTGATTTGCTTTAAAAAATAGAAACATTCAGCCTTTCATATTATAAATTTCTTTCTTGTAACATAAAATAGTTAGAGATGTTTCCTTATTACTTGAAAAGAGTACATAAATCAACCTTGCCAAGGACTGATATTCATCATAGCCATGTGTCTGTCTAACCTAAACCATCCAGGTCTACTTTTGAATTATTCCTATTTGGAAACCTCAAAACAAGATTAAATATACAGCTGATGGCTTCGGTAATAAATTGCTACAAGTAAAGCAGAAAGAGAAGCTCCAAGTGAGATACTCCTGGGAAAGCAGGCTGGCATTTTCCATAGAAGAGCCACAAACGTGTCTACACTGAATTGTTGTCCACCTCCAAAATTGCTGCCATATCCAGGCAGCTGCCATTAGCCCTTTCCTGTAGGAGGTGGGGCGTCTTCTCCCATTCAGCCTTGTCTGTAAAACACCTGGATAACCTGCAGAATGGACAAAGCAAAATATCACCTACACATGAATAAGAGAAGCAGGACAGCCCATCCAACTCGAAGGCAATAAAAAGATTTGGTGTAATCCAAAGAAAGATATGGTCTAATGCAGGAACTTAGGTTCCCTGTTATCTCTTTTGTAAGAGTGAGCTGTTGGTAAAATGCCGAAAGAAATAAAAAAAATATGGACAGCAGCTCCGAAGAAGTACATCACATTTATTTTTCAATGGATTAAAGAATGGTTAAGCCTTGAGAAGTCAATGAATAAATCACAACACATAGAACCTATAAATAATATATGAGCTGAATACATAACCAACTGTGTTAAAGCTCTGTTAGTAAAAAGACCAATAACCAAGAAGGCAGAGACAGCAAAAAGATAAATAAATAAAATCGCTGTCACTAATGAAAGCTCTTCATTCTTATTGCTTATGTTTTTGCAACAGTCCCTTCCATTTATATAGTGAAGACAAACTAACAGACAAGCATGTGGGTTTGAGGCAATGGTCGTATGACTTCGTCATTTTGAAGATCATTTGACATTTCTCCTTTTGTAATTGCATGACTTCAAGTATTTGTTGATTTCTTTTCTGGAAAATTTATTTCTGTGTTCCCATATTCCTCAGAACAAGAGGCCTTCAAGGCTAGTCTTGTGTGTGCACATATCACATGTGATATTTTCTCATATGATAGTCACAATTTATCTGCAAGTTGAGTATTATCGTTATTTTAAAATGAGCAAAGTAAAGGGTTTTTGAGGCTAGAAAAAGTGCTTGTAGACAGTATATAAAGTGTTAGACGTCTAACCCAGATGTATCTGAACCCCAAGTCTAGTGTAATACATTCTGCTGTCCCCTTCTTTAAAAAGTAGATAGAAAAGCAGATTCCTGCCTTTTAACACCAAGAGCTTCTTTTTAATTTTTTATTTCTTTTTCATTGGGCCCGAGTTTTTGTAGAATTTTGACCAGCAAACAAATGATTAAAATTAAGTCACAATGAATTCTCTATTTGTATTCACAGAAAACATTTATTAAAATAAGAGCATATGACCAACATGAGATAATACTGAGCCAATATCATTCCATTAAAAGGTTTTCAGAAAGATATTCTTAGTAGTCTATTCGAGGAGCAGAATAATAGTGTTTAAATGTTTAATCTCTATGATTAGGCTTTCCGGAATATTAAAAAGAGCCATCCAGTGGGCCTCTGGAACTCCAGGGATCAGTGGTCTCTAACCTGCCATCAGAAGACACTAGATTCTGTGTTTTTAAATAACAGAAGCAGGTGATGTGATTGTGCTGTTCGTGAGAAAGCATTACCTTGAGGCAGAAATCCTTTCATATACCAGGCTAAATCCCTCCTGCTCCAGCATAAACCCATTTCCTCTTCTGGCCTCCGGAGAAAAGGGAACAGCTGCTGGGTGTCTTTTAACTCTTCCTCTGGGGCCCAGGGGGCTGGGCCACTTTACTGTCAGTGCACCACATTGTGAGCCATGTTGGACAGATTCCTAACGAATGTTAGGTTTGTTATCCCCACTCTCATTTCCCAACATATTTTCCAGGTTCTCTTTTTGTTGTGCAAGTAGGGATTTAGATTCTGGGGATCCGGACATAAAAGCTTCAGACTCGGGAAGTATCTCACAGGACTGCTTGTATTCTTCATGTAGCACCAGGCTGGAGGAGAATGAAAATCTGATACCATGATAGCTGAAACTAATATCTATTGCTGCTATTCCAATTGCATTTAGTACTTCTGGAAATTCTTGCCTCGGATCACAGTCATATTACCAGCTGGGGTCAAAATACCATATGAGGGATTCATATTTCTGTCTAATTCATTATACTGATGGCTTTTATGAAGCATCTGGAATTGGAAGTACTGGAAGGATTCACAGGGAATCCATTTGAAGCCATGACAAAACTGTTTTCCATTGATCAGTCAAATCCTGCCCAATCAGGAAATGACATTTTCAGTTCTCATCAAGTCCATTTTTAATATCCCATTAACAAACAAAAATATAGATATAAAAATAATAGTTAACCCCACACTTAGAGAGTCCTAGGGAAAATTCCAGGAAAGAATTTGATGCATCTCCTTCTATCCCACACAAAACAAAATCCAAGTTGGTCAGACAAAATATTTTTCTCTTATTGTGTTGCTTTGGATCTTCAGGTCTGAAACATCAAATAACCCTTGTAACAACATTTAAAATAAATCCTAATCTTTTATACAGCTCCTTAATGGAACCAACTTTCCAACGATTTGCTATCTCACTAAGAAATACAAAACAGGCTCATGCCTGTAATCTCAGCACTTTGGGAGGCCAAGGCAGGCGAATCACAAGGTCAGGAGATCGAGACCATCCTGGCTAACATGGTGAAACCCCATCTCTACTAAAAATACAAAAAAATTAGCCAGGCGTGGCGGCGGGCACCTGTAGTCCCAGCTACTTGGGAGGCTGAGGCAGAAGAATGGCATGAACCCAGGAGGCGGAGCTTGCAGTGAGCCGAGATCACGCCACTGCACTCCAGCCTGGGCAACAGCACAAGACTCTGTCTTAAAAAAAGAAAGAAAGAAAGAAAGAAAATAAATACAAAACAAGTATTCTAAAATATATTGGTTCCAATTTGTAGAAAAAAGAAATCACACAGAGGTGAGGTCCAAGGCATTATTTTCTGTCAGCCCAGGTTCTCATGAAGTCAAGATTCCAGGAAGAAGTGTATGTATCCAAGGCTCTGTATTACAGAGCTGTCCTTCCTCCATAACCTTTAATTTTTATAACAATTTTCAAATCTTTTTATTTCCCTGTGGCTTCTGAGCCTCCACAAATAACTTTCTAAAGTCATTCTCTTTCAACTATTAGAACAAATACTGACTGGAAGAGTTCTGTGAAAAACAGACACTAAAAATTGGTCTTCCTACTGAAAAAAAAAAGGCCTCCTGAGGAACAGGATTCAGATGAAAATCTAGTGAATTCAACTTGACTGGATTTTCTAAACCACCTATACAATCTCCACAGACATTTTAAGGGGGCGAGTTCCACGTCAATTTATAGCTCTAATTCCATCTAATCTTAAAAATAAAGTTTATATCGTGAATGTTTTTGTCAGAAGCATTTGAAACAGAGGAGCTCCATCTTGAATAGGAGCTGGGTAAAATAAGGCTGAGATGAAATGGGCTGCATTCCCAGACAGTTAAGGCATTCTAAGTCACAGGATGAGAGACGAGGTTGGCACAAGATACAGGCCATAAAGATCTTGCTGATAAAACAGGTTGCAGTAAAGAAGCCAGCTAAAACCCACCAAAACCAAGATGGCCACAAGGGTGACCTCTGGTCATCCTCACTGCTACACTCCCACCAGCACCACAACAGCTTACAAATGCCAGGGCAATGACAGGAAGTTACCCTATATGGTCTAGAAAGAGGAGGCATAAATAATCCACTCCTTGTTTAGCATATCATCAAGAAATAATCATAAAAATGGGCAACCAGCAGCCCTCAGTGCTGCTCTGTCTATGGAGTAGCCACTCTTTTATTTCTCTACTTTATTAATAAAGTGGCTTTCACTTTACTCTACAGATTTGCCATGAATTCTTTCTTGCAGGAGATCCAAGAACCCTCCCTGGGGGTCTGGATCGGGACCTCTTTCCTGTAACATTTTTATTGAAAACTAACAACTTCATTTCCGCTACCAACTGAATTAAAAGAAGGATAACTACATTAGTGCATATATGCATACATAATTTTATGACACTAAGTAATTGTTGATAAACATGAGTGTAATCACGTAATTCACCCTCCCTCTACAGCTAAATTCATCCTGGGCTTACTCATACTGTTCTTCACAAAAGCTAAATATGATAACATGCAAGACACTTGCACAACCTGTATCTCATCTCTCAGTATTCCTTGATATTGCCTGTGCTTCTGATATACTGAACTGTTTTCAGCTTCTGAAAATGTTGTATTTTCTAAAACCTCTCTGCCCCTGCACATGCCATGCCTTTTATGTAGAATTCCCCTCCCTCTCCTCTTCTCTTCCATGTGAATATTCCTCTTCCACCAGGGTTTACACCCCCAATTCATGCCTGACTTTTGCTGAGTAGTCTATTCTCTCTATCCCTCCTTTGATCAAGACTGAATTAAGTTATCCTCCTTTGTCTTCCCACAACTTCTTGTGTTATCATTATTTTCCATCATTCCTACTGGAGGGACAATACCATGAGATTAACAACTGGCTGGTTACCAACTGGCAGCCAGAAGAGTGGGTGGGGCAGCCCCTGAGGGGCACCTGTTGCCTCTGCCGAGCAGCTTGTGCAGTGGCTTCCAGAACCAGGAGTGCTAGCTTGTACTAGAAGAGGGTGGTCCCCCCCATCATAAGCTCTGTGGCTCCGGAGGTTGCGCAGAGTCAACATACTCAGAGTCAACCATTTAGATTTCCTGTCCCTGGGCCTGGCACAATGGCAAGCACCTACAGTTCTAGCTACTGAGGAAGCTAAAGCAGGAGGGCTGCTTGAACCCAGGAGTTCAAATTCAGCCTGGGCAACATAGCAAGACCCCATCTCTAAATAAATAAACAAACAAATAAAATAAATTAACTGATGTCTTGTCCCCAACCTGAACTTCAGGATCTCAGGTTTTCTTAACCAGTGCTCTGACCTTAACCTGGCAGACGTGCCTTGACCGAGCATTCAAACGTCTCTGGCATCCATGACTCTATTGGATCGTCAGTCTACTGCCTAACTACCTCTACTCTTTCAGCACAAGAGAGAAGGACCTCTTTGTCACCCTGTAACTGCTTGTTAATGACCCTCTTTCTAGTTATCCTTCTGAGGGGCACTTATACAACTTAGCAATAACTAGCCAGCTCTGCAGACTTTGTATGTGTTCTTCCAAATGCTCAAATCATCACATCTGTAATCATTCTACTTCATCTGGACATTTCTCCAGTTCACCACCTGAGAAATTAAACTCCAGGGACTACCTGTATCTTCCATGGCACTCATGATGGTATTCTCTTCACCTGCCAGGTGGCGACAGATCCAGTTCCAAACTTCATGTTACTCCTGTTTTCTTGGCCCACTCTCAGAATTATTTGTATTAAAAAACCTTTGAGAAGCAGATGCCAAAATGAGGTTAGATGTGCAACAGATTTATTGAAGGAAATATCCAGAAGGGAAAGAGTTAGAGGAGGTGGGACAGCCTTCGGACCGGGATTCAGGTGTAACCCCTGTAAAGGAGAGAGGGAAGGAAGGAGGGTTACATAGGAAGAGCCACAGACTGGAATGCATTTCTAAAAGTTTTAGCTCAGCTAGTGGGGAATCCTTGAGCAAAAGTTGCCCAAGTCAGACATTGCAAAAATTAGGCATTAGCCAGGAGCAGCCTATGGGAAATGTGGGCCTGGCAGGAACACAGTGGTAGGCTCAAATCTCAGCACCTGAAGCCATCCATCAAACACCTCCTCTAGCAGACATGTGAGGGCATACTTTTATAGCCACCACAGTCACCCAGTTGGTAAATGACTGGCCTTGTTATAAAATATAGATGGGTAGTTTAACTGTGCATACTTTCTATATGTATGAATTTCAGTTACAATGATTTAAATAACAACAATCCTCCAACAAATTTCACGGTATATTAAGTGGGAGTAATTGCATAAAATACAGACTTTGCTGCCAGCTCTTTTCCCACAGATCATTACATTAATAGCAGATGCTTATCATAATCAATGGACCACTAATGCTACTTCTTCCAGTCTGTTGGTGATGGGTCACTGCGTCTCAGTTATTCAGTTCATGCATAGACAGCAAAGTGTGTGTTGGTATCAGGACCATGTCTCCCAGAGGTAAACCCATGTGATATTTACACAAATGGATAATCAGTAAAGGAAACTGGCCAACAAATATGAAAGTGAAACACCACACACACACACAAATAGAAAAAGTGATGATGCTAGAAGTGAAATTTGTATTGAATGTAAATAGAGTTCTAGAAGAAATAGCTGATTATGGAATGTTGACACTGCCACTGATGGAGAGACTCTAGATTTGCAGCCAGAAGAACATGGTGAAGGTGAAGTTACCAACAGAAATGCAAAAACTTGTAGTGATGAAAAGGATGAAGATCTCCCAGAGAAACTGATGCCATTAAAAATCTTTACCCTAAATGGATACTCAGAGATACTTCACAAGGTTGAAAGTGCAAAGGATAAAATGTTGGAAGCTGATCCAAACTTAGAATGGGCTGTCAAGATTCACCAAAGCCTAGAAAAAAATGCTCACTTAGTACTATAAGTTATACATGAGAAGACAAACATTGCTCAAACTATTCTTCATAAGTTCTTTTACAAAAGTATTAAACACTTTAAGTCCCATTTCTAATGCTTTAAATTACAGCATACTAAAAAAAACTTTTACCATGTTTTTTAATTTCCTTATACATTTATAAACAACAGTAAAAGAGATTTCAGTGTTTTGACAGGAAATTTTAAAGGTCACAGAACAATCATAATTTTTCCCCATTGATTATTAAGACTACTACTATGTATGGTTTCAGCTCATACAGTCATTTTTATGATCCTGTCTAGAGCAAGGAGTGCCTGCATATATCATTGACTTGGCCATGCTTGCTTTTCTTCAGTAATTAATAGTCACTAAGGATTTGGATAATTGGGTAGGACAAAATATGTGATAACAATTCAACATAGGAAACTAATAAAATTATAATAATGTTCAGCAGTTTTAACCACATGCCATTTGTAACATAACCAAATGTCACATTACATCACATGAAAAGTTTTTCTAACATTTTTAAAGGTTAGGAAATCAACAATTATTATCTGACCACTGAATTCTGAAAGTTCAGTAAGAAAGTTGAGGCATTTTCCCCTAGCAATTTACTGTATAAATACCTTTTCGATGAGTAAATGACATTGAGCAGCATATAAAAAGAGACTTTCCTCAGAGGCACAAGTTAGAACTCCTTTCATGGCTTCTGGTTACTGTCAAGATGGTACATACACTGCTAGCTTCCTCCCTAAAAATAAACCTGGAGAAACCATAGCAGCCAAAGAGAAGCCTGGATTGCAGGAAACAATAGAAACAACTTCCCCTGCTGACACTACAGACCACATTGAGCTGATGTGCCTAGGAGCTGAGCAACTGCAGCTGGGGGCTGTGTGTTACCCAAGTGGCAGTGAAAGGATAAGCTGGATGGAATTGTTTAATTCTCTGTCCTTCATCCCGTTTTTTTTTTTTTTTTTGAGTTGGTACAGTAACTACTCGTTCATTGCCTAGAAATGGCACAGACAGCCTAAAGCACCAGGGTTGGTGTTCTGTACCAGGGTGGTTCAAAAGGCCTGCCCGTGAGAACAATTAATGAAGGCAGGTAGTGGGTGCTGGCTAAGTAGCTGCCCTTGGGCATTTGGTTCTCCAACCCCTTCGCCTCCAGACTTGCATGGTTGCTGGAATACCTCCCCAGGAGACCGATTTTCCCTGGTGCAGGATCTTTCTAAGTGTGCAAAAGTAAAATCCTGCCCAAGAGAGTTGCCTGGTACAGTAGAAGCAACAAGGGTCACCAAGAGTAAATTTTTGGTATTTGGGCCCATTCTCCTTGAGGTTGTCTGGTCCCTTCTGTTCCAAAGCTGCTACAGTTTGTGGCATGAACTTCAGTTTCTTCCCCATGTATGTTTTCTGACTGAGTAGCTGATACCTCTAGGGACCATCAGAAGCCCAATTAATTCAGAAGACAAAAAGCTAAACATATGCCACTGAAGCAGAGTTGTGAAAATCAAGAATTTCCAATATCCTGATAAGAATATTTAAAGGAGAGATCATAGGGAATATTTGTAACATAAATCAAGAACCAGAAATAATCAAAAAGTGGAAATATTAGATAAATAAAATACAAACACTGACATAAAGAGCATGGTAGATGGGACGAACAATAGGTTGGGTGCAGTTGAAGAATTTTAAAGAGATAGAAAGCCTGATTCAGTAATTCTCCAAGAAGAAAATTTTAAATATGTAAAAAGAGAAAATATAGACAAAGAGAAGTAATAGATATAAAGGACAGATGTAGAAGTGCCAACATATGCGTGATAAGAGTACCAGAAAGAAAGCATATGAAGAGAAGAAAAAATCTTTGAAAAAACATAATTTTTTTAAAATTAATAAAAGATAAAGACTTCTATTTGAATGTGTTAAACAGTACAGATAAGAAGTGGGGGGATTTAACAATAGAGACTTAAAAATATCAAACGAAGTGAGGCTTAAGAATATCAAATACCAAGAGAGATTCTAAAAGCATGCAGAAGGAAATAACAGATCATCTACAAAAGAATAAAAATAAAGTTGCGATCAGACTTACCAACAGCAATGCTAGATACACAATACACTAATATTTGTACGTATTAAAGAAAAATAACTTTATTCCAGAATTTGATAACAAGCTAAAATGTTATTAAAATATGAATGTGTAATACAAATACTCAGTGACACATCAGGCCTCAGATTTTCTACGCAAAGATCTACCTTGAAAACACTCTTAGAGAAAGTATTCAAATAATGTGAAGAGAAAAATTTAGGAGCTAGTTCATAAGTTATTAATTGTAAAAGAAATCAATGACTTTGAAGTTTATCATTCCTTGAAGTGATAAAGCAAAACAATGAGACGAGTAAGGCTCAAAGTAACAAAAGGAAGTATATCTATCAACAACCTGTAAATAAACTTTTACAGTATCAATATAATGTGGTGCTGAAGGAGACAATGTTCCAGGTTCTTATTTTTTAAAATTTAATATGTTTAAGAATTCAAGAAAAGTGAATAAAACTGAATATGAGTTTGAGGCAAGTAACCACAGTAGAGACAAAATTATAAGGTTTAACTTTTAGAATTATAGACGAGAACTTGAACTATCCAATGGAAAGCCACCTCAAAATGAAAAAAGGAAAGGAAAGATATAAAATGAAATTTAAGAAATAAATTCTAACATGAAGTAATTTCAATAAACGTATATGAGTCAAATTTACTAATTAAGAGACAGAAGTTCTCATATTGGATACAAAAAATCAAACCAATTAATATATTGTCCAGAAGGGACACACTTAAAACAGAAGACACAGAGAGGTTGAAAATAAAAGAAAAAAGATAGACCAGAAAAATGTATATCAAAAGATTCCTAAGGTAGCAATTGTACTACACAACACAATATAATGACATAAAGGGAAATGTTAAATAATGGCTAAAGGAACAAAGAAAAAAAGAAGATATTATAAACCTACATGGACAGCCTCAAAATAGCAAAAAGAAAATCTGATAGAATTTCAGATGGAAAAATCAATTATTATAGCTAAAGATTTTAGCACATTCGTCTCATAAACTAATTCAATCAAGTAGACATAAACTAAGTAGAGATATCAAGGAAATGCCAATATACTTAATAGGCTCAAGCTTTTAGACATGTATAATACTCTATATCAAACAGAAAATAGTCAAGGAATATTTACAAGAGCAAACCACACATTAGCCACATAAGGAACTCAAAACTTAGGACTAAATAAATCTTAAATGATAGATAACATACAGAATTTAGTTTCCCTCTTATGATAAAATAAAACTATGAGTTAGTAATAAAATGATAGTTTTTAAAATAAAAAATAGAAGCCAAGTCATGTATTTCTAAACAATCCTCGCAACCAGAAGGAAATCACATAGGAAATTAAGAAATCTCATTACAGAGATCTTCATTACTATTGATAAGCTTTTTACATGATCTAAGACTTACAAAAATGTGCCACAAATCCCAAAGCTAACCCCAAACAGATTCCCATTTTCTTGAAATTATCAGACCCCAGATATTGTAAGGAACTGGTTGAAAATGGCAAAGGCTATGACAGTCTCTTCTTAGCGGGGATGATTCCTGAAGGTTGCATCCTCTTCCTAATCTACTTTGAAAAATATTAGACCACTCTTGTTAATATATTCATTGTAATCTAGTTACCTATTTGACCTTTCAGGATCTCTTTTTTTCTTTGGGGTTTTTCATAGAAATTCCTAGTTCTTGTAATATAATATAATATTCCAAATAATATTCCAAATAAGCTATAGTCTATAGCTTTCATATTAAATTAATAGCAAGTAAAAACTAGTTTTATAAAAGTCAACAACAAAAATTCATATAGTAGTTAAAAATTTAGTCACATGTGAAACTCATGAGGACAATTTTACTCTTTGTATAGAGAATGAAGAAAGAAAAAAATATTTAGACAGAAAGCTGTAAGAGCAGAATAACAGAAGTAAGAAAGTTAGGGTGGAAAGTGAGTGGGCTGCAGAAATAATTCATAACTTGGAGATGGAGAAAGCCATAGGACAGGAATGAAAGCACATTAAACATGCTGGACAGAGAATATTATTTAATTCCTGAGTGTTGTTGTTCAAAAGAAATACTAAAAAGGAACACTAAATAGCATAAGACCCTGATAAGACCTGTGTTCACTCCTTCCTTCCTTCCTTCCTTCCTTCCTTCCTTCCTTCCTTCCTTCCTTCCTTCCTTCCTCCTTCCTTCCCTCCCCCTTCCTTCTTTTCATTCTTTCTCTCTTTTTCTCTTTTGTTTTGGACACAAGTTTATTAGGGACATTCACAGCCTCTCACAGAGCAAAGTTCACTTTTCCTACACTCATATTACCTCTCTAAGGAGGAGATTTAGCTTCAAGATATAGTCCAAAACTATGCGCTTGCCTCTGTCTGCCGCAAATCCAAAAATAGGGAGTTCATTATATACCTAGTTTTTATTTGAGATTTTGACTTCCTGAACCAGAACCTATGGTCCCACTTACAGGTTACCAAACCAGGTAAATGGAAGGTCTCAGTTACATTGGTATCATTAAAAGCAAAACAAGGACTGGAGTTACACATGTATAATTTTTTGAAAGGTAGTCAGTAGGCTGAGTTTTGTGAGGGCCATATACGAGTATGAACCAGGACCTGCTGTGATTTCCTTCTCAAATAAATACCTGCTGAGGATCATAAATCACCCATATTTTAGATTGATCGAGTATGTGTGTTTTTACCAAAGGCTGATAGGAGCAGCAGAAACAGCTCAACTAGTTTCTGAAGTGAACAATTAAATCCAGTGTTTACCTCCTTAATGTATCATGGACTGTATATTGGACCCAAACATCAGCAAAATTTATGAGATTTATTGAATTAATTTCTAGTTCCAAATTGTATAGCCCCTATATCTTTAACTACAGGTGCCATACCATAACTATAACACCTTCTCAGTGGCTTGAAAGGGTTTCTGTTTGTTTGTTAAGGCTTAACAACCAGAAAGTGGTTTCAGCACAGGCCTATGGGGGAAAAGTGATTTCATGGTTTTTCAAATACATTTATATAAATGATTTCTACCACCTTCATCCAACTCATCCAGAAAAACCACCTGGGTGATAGTTATCCACTCTTAGAGGGTTATTTAAATACTTTAAAAGTACGTGAGAGAAAAGTCCTTTACAATTAAACAAGATCATCTGTTGATGATGGTTCTTTGTGACTGACTGTATAGACCACATCCTATGCTATCCTAATTGGTCAAGCAGGCGAATGGATTTCAGTGTTGCTCCTAGATTGACCTAATATTCCAAACACAAACAACCACTCTCTCTTTGGAAGCAAGGAGGTGGATTTTTACCCACTGTCTCATTTCTCTAAGAGTAACAGGAGCAAGTAGATTCAGTATGTGCATTTAGTATTTTAGAAGCCTAAGGCAAGGTAAGAGGTATGCCCGCAGCTACTTTATGGAAGAGGAAGCCCATGGGTCTCTCTAGAACACAGATGCCCTGATCATGGGAGAAATGGGATGGGATGTGGAGTCATTCCTTGTTCTGATGGTAAACAGGGAGCATCACACAGCTAGGGAGAGTCTTGCTAAGTTCTTTCTCACCCATCAGGGCAGTCATATAAATCAGTACCCCAAAAAAAGGCCTCATCTGGTGAAAACACTATCCACCATCCTCTCTGGACACTATAGTGGAAGTAAAATGAACAAATTTAGGAGTTGGTTCTTCTTGATACCATAAATTACTCAATATTTAACGACAAGGCACTATTCCCAGAATGTATTACATGCAACTTCCAAGTGAAAAAAATTTTATTGCCCTTTAAAAGAGACTCAGGAAAACATACAAATCCTCTCTAGCAAGAGGATACTTATGGTCCCAGATTATTCCACATGCCAAGTGCATTTCCTCCCCACGTGCATCAGGATGTGGTCAGTCTAATACAGGTCTTTATATAATCAGTGATCGTGAAAATGGTCTTTCTGCTTTCTCAAAGAAGATAGAAACCCATGTCCTCTTCTAAGTACACAGGACACAATTCTCTTCTCTGCCATATGAATTAAATTCTCCTGATCTAATCTAGAAGACACAGCTGAAATATACTGTCACTCATTATACTGAAATTCGCTTTCAGAATTATAATATATTCATTCTGCCATTACCTGTCTTAAGCTTCTTTCTTTCTACCTTTCTCTGACTCCCTGTTTACCCTGGAGTTGTAGGTTGTCTCCCCCTTATGATCCTTTATTCCTTGTTTCCCATTTCCCTAAATCACTAAAATTACATTATTTTCATAATGGCTTATGAAAGCTCTTCAGCCTGGGGTATTCACAGGTACTTGGCATATAATCAAACCTGCTGAATCGCCCTCAGGACAGGTTTTGGTACAGTCTGGTGCAGTTTTATGTTTTCTGTTTTCAGAGCTGCCCAAGATTTCAAAAGGAAGTCTATAACACAGAAAGATTTTAAGGCCAGGTCTTACATTAAATTAAAGGAAAGAATGTGTCAAGGGATGTCTCAGCAAGGCATAGTACAAGAGGAATGGAAGTCTGCTCTAGCTATGGAAAACTGTGGGGAAGTTTGAAAGGAGAAACCAGACTGAATTGGGGCAAGTTCCTCTGCCATGCTGAGTGACAGTTACTCTCATTGAGACATGGTAGAAGACAAATAGGTATTGTTTGTAAACTCTAAATGGTTGTAAACTTAAATTTTTTCATTTAAAAATATTATCCTGCTGCTTTAACTGCTCAACAAATTCGTTAAAGTGACTAAGAGGACTCTTACTTAATTCCTTCAATATGGCAAGACAAGTTTTTAAAAAGGAAAAAAGAAAACAACAACTGAATTTGAACAGCTTGAATTCCCATTAACAAAAGACAAACTGGCAAAATAATTTAGGGTCCTCAGTGCTTATTATTTGAAACCAGCCACTCATCTTGGTCTTTGCACAGTAGTAGAGACTGAGCTAATTTACTGAAACCAGTGAACAGAGTTGCACTTGTGTGGTGTGAAGGTGATGGGCTTTCAGATAAAGTTGCTTTGAGTGGAAATCAGTGTAAGGAACACCTGGCCTAACTCCCAGCAGCACATTAGTTAGAAACTAGAGAAAGACCCACTTTTAGAACCACTAATGAGCCCCAGGTGAAAACTCTGTTAACTAGACAGCTCCTTTTTTCAAAATTTCCAATGTTTTGATTGATAAGCAAATTGCTTAGGATTTCTAATCTTCCATTACATTAAAACATAACCTTTGTTGTTTTTTTTTTTCTCCCAGGAAACACATTTTTGTCTCTAGCTACCAAATGGGTATCATTAGTTATAGAATATATCAGCTTCCATGTGGGGAATACTTGGTGAGACAAATGTACTTACTTGTGGTAGTTTGACTCTACAGAGTGTTTATGATCCAAAAAAGTAAAATGGGAATAACTGTGGGGTTTGAAGTGGCTAATTAAACACATACTGTTGCATTTTTCTATATTTGCAACGTTGTTGCATCTGACAACAAATACAATTTTAAAGTATCTTTCTCTATTTTAAAAGAAAATAGATGCCTATTTAAATTTGTAATTAAAATGTGAAAATATCCAGTTACTGTCAACTCTCAGGTGCTGAAAAGCACTGGCTATAAGGAAAAATAACCCCAATGTGATTCATTGTCGTTTAGCATTATTTCTTCAACATATATTTAGCACATACACTGTTACCAGGTATTAAGAAGAAATAAACGCATATATAAGGAATTTAGTCGTACTGCATGCTTTTACTAAAACCGAAGTCTCATAGATGTATTGCAACATGTTGACATTTGTTTCTGTTTTTGGTTGAACATTATTTATTCGAAAAGTTATTTTTTGAAATCTATCATTCACTGGGCAATGTTTTAGCAATAGCTAAAACAGATACGGTCAATGCATTCATGGAGTTCATAGTATAGTGGTGTTGATAAACACCAAACAAATGAATGTGGAAATTGCTATAATTATGACTAAGCTCCATAGATGAAATGTCTAGGGTACAATGAGAGTGTGTATAACAGAGAAACTTAATATTGACTGAAAAATCAGGGAGGACTTCTTTGAGGAAGTAATGGTAGGTTAAAACTAGAAAGATAAACAGAAATTAGCCAGGTAAAGAGAAAGGAAAAAAAGAGCCTTCCACATAGCAGACAAGGCCTTATCAAGGCCCTTGAGGCAAGAAGAAACTTGGAATCAAACACCTAGAAGAGAGAAAAGGCAGGAATCTCTGTAATGGTTCACATTTCGCTGCCTTTTTAAATGAGAGTGCTGAACATGTAACACATTTTTTCTGACTTTTCAAGTCATCATTTTAATCATCAATAATTATGCTGTGCTAAGAAAGGGTATCATTTGGAGTTATAAAGATGATCCTGAGATAAATGCTCCCAAATAATTGTGCTTCTTAAGTTCTTATATTTAAGGTGTCTGGTTTTCCTGTATTTATTTATTTTTGTTGTCAATACCACTTTTGATTTCTAATAGCGTTTATGCTATTAACATTGCTCTTATTGTTAATTGTTATCTTATAATCTGCTGTGGTCGGCAAATATAGATTATATATATCTACTAGACATGTGAAGAAGCAGGAAAAATGTGACCCATAGTCAAATTTAAAATCTGTCCAGGAGAAACAGACAAAGGAATGAAAAACACAATATTTTTTTGCAGTAAGGATGTAAAAATGGCTACTACAATTATGTACAAGGATTTTTTAGAAACGTATATAATAATGATAAGGATTAAAGATATAAAAATAATCAAATGAAATGTCTGGGGTAATACATATGAAATAAAAAAACTAAATAATTGGACAAGTAGAAGAACTTGTTAGACTCAACAGAAGAAAAACATCAGACAAGAAACAGAAGAAAAAGGTAAGCAACAGAAATTTTTCAAATATAAGTACAGAAAAACTAAAAAGACTAAAAAGTTTAACAAAACTTCAGAATTATGGAACAACATCAAGAGGTCTATCATATTTACAGAGTTCAAGAGGAAATAGGCAAGAAGAGGGTACAGAAAAAAAATTTAGAGAAATAATAACTGAAAAATTCCAAACTTGGTGAAAAATATAAACTAAACCCACAAATCTAAGAAAGTCACTGAGTCCAAAGCAAAATAAATACAAATAAAACCGTACCAAGGAAGATCATAATCAAATTTCTGAACACTAATGTTAAAGTTATGAGAAAAATTACAGAAAATTATAAAAGCAGATATTTTTAATAATCACATACAGAGGAACAAAGGTAAGAGTGAGTTCTGACTCCTTATGTAAAAATACAGGCAAACCAGAAGACAAGAAAATGACATATTTAAAGTATTGAAAAATTCTACGTAAGCTATAGAAAGCTAGAAAGAGCATTCCTCCTATACTAGCAACAAGAAAACAAGAAAAATGTAGATAATTTTGCAAGTCGTATTTTTTCCTGTGCCATTAGAACTAAAAACCTGGGGCTACCTACTAGCCTGACATCTAAGCAAAGATAAGTGCTTCCACAGACAGGCTTACCTGGGTAAGGGCATGGGAAAAAGACAGCGTTAGCAAAGGAGTTGGTAAAATTTCAGCTATAATATCTGAGATACTGTTAAGATGAAGAATAGAGTGAAAGTATAGATCTTCTTGGAATCACAGACACAATAGGAGTTTGTATCCACTCATAGGCTCTTCTTGTCCACAGATCTCACTGGGTGCTCATAAGCAGTATTGGGGCAGGAAAGAAGACCTGGAACATCTCCCTTGTGTGTAAGTCTGGAGAAAAGAACAGATGCCAGTGTGGAAAGGCATGAAGTCCTAACCAAATTCTTCTTCCTATTAAATAAAAAGCCTTAAGCCAGTAGGGGAAGAGCAGAAAACTCTGTCACCCCTAGGGCCAAAGCCAGGACTCCGGTGAGGTAAGCAAAGCATCCAGGGGGCAAAATAGAAAAAGGCATTCACTTCCTGGTTTGTGCAGTGCCAGCTTTGCATTTGCACAAATCTGAGAGTGAGGATTTCCTGAAATATTGTGCCCTAGGTACGTTGCTTCCTTCACCCAGGCCCCAGCATTCAAAGGCACAAGTGAAAACTTATTGCGGCCAGGGGAAGGAAGCGGAACAAAATTGACTACTACCCTGGAGTAAGAGGTTGAAACTAGCATGGACATAGAACATAAGAGAGCCTTGGCCGGGCATGGTGGCTCATGCCTGTAATCCCAGCACTTTGGGAGGCCGAGGAGGGCGGATCACCTGAGGTCAGGAGTTCGAGACCAGCATGACCAACATGGAGAAACCCCATCTCCACTAAAAATACAAAATTAGCCGGGCATGGTGGTGCATGCCTGTAATCCCAGCTACTTGGGAGGCTGAGGCAGGAGAATCACTTGAACCTGAGAGGCAGAGGTTGTGGTGAGCCAAGATCGCACCATTGCACTCCGGTCTGGGCAACAGGAGCAAAACTCCATCTCAAAAAAAAAAAAAAAAAAAAGAGAGAGAGAGAGCCTCTAACACTGGGGAGACACGATCACTGAGAAAGCCCTAAACACTAAGACCTAGGGGCACATGGCTTGCCTAAGACTGAGGCTGAACCAGAATCACAGAAAATGTCTACCATTCTTCCACCACCAAGCTAGCAAGTCTTGAACAACATGTAACATCAGTTTACCACTTTGGGACAGACAAGAGCATAGAGAGACATCTCTGAAGTGCACAGGAAAGTCTAAAACTGGGAGTGAAATATGAACATTATGAAAAACCCTCAGCAATCCAGTCCTCACCCTGATCACAAAGTAATGCTAGAAACATTGGAAGACAGTGATGCATTAAGAGTAATCGTAGCAACATCACCACCTAAACCCAGCTTGGCTCCTAACCAGAAAAACTTAAACCCCATATCAAAGACCTAGGAGAAGAAAAGCTGTGCCCATTTTCAGGCACGAGTAATAATAATCTCAGTCTGTACTATCCTACATATTATGTCTTGATTTCAATCAATTATTATAAGATTTTTCCAAAGGGAAAGAAAAAGAAAAAACTGACTGTCAAGAAACAAAGCAATCAACAGGACAATATTCAGTTATGACACAGGTGTTTAATACATCAAACAAAAAATTTCTATGATTCACAATGAGATACCATTATACACCTAGTGAAATGGCTAAAATTAAAAAATAAAAACTGATAATACCAAAGATGTGTAACAACTGGAATTTTCAAAATGTATGCAAAATGATAAAGCCACTTCAAAAAACAGTTTAAAAAGTTAAATATGTACTTACCATGTGTCCCACTAATCCTACTCCTACATATTATCCAAATGTATTAAAAATTTGTGTTCACACAAAAGTCTGTACATGAATGTTTACAGCAGCTATATTCATAGTGCTAAAACTGGTAGCCTAGATATTCTTCAACTGATAAGTGGATAAAAAATGGTACATACCTTCAGTGGGATAATACAACAGTAAAAAGGAGTAACTTATCAAAATAATAACAACATGGACAACACTTAAATGTATTTTTCTAAATGAAATAACCCCAAATATTATATATTATATTATTCCATTTATATGACACTATGGAAAAGGGAAAATTATAAAGATGGAAAACAGATTGGTGCTACCAGGGGTCCATATTATGTAAACAAACAAACAAAGAAGGGAGAAGTCACCTTTACAAAATAATTCCAGTCAACAAATGTAGACAAAATGAAAAAAAGAGAAAATGACTATCAAAACATTACAGTAACAATTGCTGCAGATAAAGTCTATCTATGAATGCTAAAATTCATGGACAAAAGTTTAAGGAGAAATGGGATATCTCTATAGTCTCTAAATGTCTCCCCCAAAATATTTATTAATTATAAAGAAGGAAATATTAATTTACAGTGGAGAAACTTGGCAGATACCACCTAAACTATGTCATGAAAGTCAACATCACTAATAAATTATATTGATACTATGAACTCCCTGATATAATGCACTGAGAAAAGCCCATCACCTCAGTGGCGTACTTCCACAAAATCAATATTCTCAATCAACTCTGGAGAAAACTACCACCAACAAAAAATGGAAGGATATGCTACAAAAATCTGAATAGTAGTTTCCAAAAGCATCAAGGTCATTAAAGGAAAGGAAAGACTGAGAAATTGACACAGGTTGGAGGAGACTAAAGAGACATGACAACTAAATGTAATGTGGCACCCTGTTGGGATCCTGGAACAAAATAAGGACTTTAGTAGAAAAAAAAATTGTGAAATTTGAATACATTCTGTAGTTTAGTTAATAGTACTGTGCCAATCTTAATTTTTTATTTTGATCATTGTACCATACTTACATTAGATATTAATATTAGGGGAAGCTGGGTTAAGTACATATAGGAACTCTTTGTACTATTTTTGCAATTCTTCTGTAAGCCTAAAATCATTACAAAAGAAAAAGTTAAAATAACAATAATTATTAATGTATTAAAGTTTCTAGCAAAAAAATATAGCCAGCATCCATAAACAGATGGTGGAATTTCAGCAGATAGATAAAAAATAAAAGAAAGAAAGAAACAGAAATTATACCAGGTAAAAAGGTCACCTTTGAGGGATGTACTGCTAGACTTCAGACAACTGAAGAAAAATATCAGTGATTTTAAAGATAGCTCAATAGAAATTACCCAAACTGAGCTAACACATAAAAATAAATGGTTAAAAAAAAAAAGGAGGACAGAACATTCAAGAACTCTGGGACAAAGTCAAGTGGTCTTATATACTATCCTTGGAATCCCAGAAGGAGAAGAGAGAGATAAAGCAGAAAAACATTTTAAAGTAAAATGGCTGATAATTTCTCTCAAACAATGAAAGATATCAAACCACAGACCCCAAGAACAAAAGACAACAACAAGCAAGAGAAATATTGAAGTACTGGGGAGGGAGAAAAGAAAAGGAAACTATATCATTCTATATCCACAAAAATGTCCTTGAAAATGAAAGTAAAAAAATTCAAACAAACAAAAGCTGAAAGAATTTGTTAACAGCAGGAATTTATTATGAAAAAATGTTAAAAGTTCTTCAGCTGGGGAATAGGAACAGCTACAATCTACAGCTCCCAGCATGAGCGATGCAGAAGATGGGTGATTTCTCCATTTCCAACTAAGGTACCAGGTTTATCTCACTGGGGCATGTCGGACAGTGGGTGCAAGACAGTGGGTGCGGCCTGTCAAGCAAGAGCCAAAGCAGGGCGAGGCAACACCTCACCTGGAAAGTGCAAGCAGTCAGGGAATTCCCTTTCATAGCCAAGGGAAGCCATAACAGACAGCACCTGGAAAATCGGGTCACTCCCACCCTAATACTGTGCTCTTCCAAGGGTCTTAGCAAATGGCACATGAGGAGATTATATACTGTGCCTGGCTTGGAGGGTCCCATGCCCATAGAGCCTTGCTCATTGCTAGCACAGCGGTCTGAGATGGAACTGCAAGGCAGCAGCGAGGCTGTGGGAGGGGTGCCCACCATTGCTGAGGCTTCAGTAGGTAAACAAAGCAGCTGGGTAGCTCGAACTGGGTGGAGCCCACCACAGCTCAAGGAGGCCTGCCTGCCTCTGTAGACTCCACCTCTCGGGGCAGGGTATAGCCGAACAAAAGGCAGCAGAAACCTCTGCAGATTTAAATGTCCCTGTCTGACAGCTTTGAAGGCAGTAGTGGTTCTCCCAGCACAGAGTTTGAGATCTGAGAACAGACAGACTGCCTCCTCAAGTGGGTCCCTGACCCCCGAGTAGCCTAACTGGGAGGCACCACCCAGTAGGGGCAGATTGACACCTCACACGACTGGGTACCCCTCTGAGATGAAGCTTCCAGAGGAACGATCAGGCAGCAACATTTGCTGTTCAGCAATATTCGTTGTTCTGCAGCCTCTGCTGCTGATACCCAGGCAAACAGGGTCTGGAGCGGACCTCCAGCAAACTCCAACAGACCTGTAGCTGAGGGTCCTGAGTGTTAGAAGGAAAACTAACAAACAGAAAGGACATCCACACCAAAACCCCACCTGCACGTCACCGTCATCAAAGCCCAAAGGTAGATAAAACCACAAAGATGGGGAATAAACAGAGCAGAAAAGCTGAAAATTCTAAAAATCAGAGCACCTCTCCCCCTCCAAAAGAACGCAGCTCTCACCAGCAATGGAACAAAGCTGGACGGAGAATGACTTTGACGAGTTGAGAGGAGAAGGCTTCAGAAGATCAAACTTCTCCAAGCTAAAGGAGGATGTTTGAATCCATCGCAAAGAAGCTAAAAACCTTGAAAAAAGATTAGGCAAATGGCTAACTAGAATAACCAGTGAAGAGAAGTCCTTAAATGACCTGATGGAGTTGAAAACTATGGCACGAGAACTATGTGATGAATGCACAAGCTTCAGTAACTGATTCGATCAACTGGAAGAAAGGTTATCAGTGATTGAAGATCAAATTAATGAAATAAAGCTAGAAGAGAAGTTTAGAGGAAAAAGAATAAAAAGAAATGAACAAAACCTCCAAGAAATATGGGAGTATGTGAAAAGACCAAATCTAAGTCTGATTGGTGTACCTGAAAGTGACGGGGAGAATGGAACCAAGTTGGAAAACACTCTGCCAGATATCATCCAGGAGAACTTCCCCAATCTAGCAAGGCAGGCCAACATTCAAATTCAGGAAATACAGAGAACACCACAAAAATACTCCTCGAGAAGAGCAACTCCAAGACACATAATTGTCAGATTCACCAAAGTTGAAATGAAGGAAAAAATGTTAAGGGCAGCCAGAGAGAAAGGTCGGGTTACCCACAAAGGGAAGCCCATCAGATTAACTGTGGATCTCTTGGCAGAAACTCTACAAGCCAGAAGGGAGTAGGGGACAATATTCAACATACTTAAAGAAAAGAATTTTCAAACCAGAATTTCATATCCAGCCAAACTAAGATTCATAAGTGAGGAAGAAATAAAATCCTTTACAGAAAAGCAAATGCTGAGAGATTTTGTCACCACCAGGCCTGCCCTACAAGAGCTCCTGAAAGAAGCACTAAACATGGAATGGAACAACTGGTACCAGCCACTGCAAAAACATACCAAAATGTAAAGACCATCGATGCTAGGAAGAAACTGCATCAACTAATGCGCAAAATAACCAGCTAACATCATAATGACAGGATCAAATTCACACATAACAATATTGACCTTAAATGTAAATGGGCTAAATGCTCCAACTAAAAGACACAGACTGGCATATTGGATAAAGTGTCAAGACCCATCAGTGTGCTGTATTCAGGAGACCCATCTCACATGCAGAGACACACATAGGTTCAAAATAAAGGGATGGAGGAAGATCTACCAAGCAAATGGAAAACAAAAAAAGGCAGGGGCTGCAATCCTAGTCTCTGATAAAACAGACTTTAAACCAACAAAGATCAAAAGAGATGAAGAAGGCCACTACATAATGGTAAAGGGATCAATTCAACAAGAAGAGCTCACTATCCTAAATATATATGCACCCAATACAGGAGCACCCAGATTCATAAAGCAAGTCCTTACAGAACTACAAAGAGACTTAGACTCCCACACAATAATAATGGGAGATGTTAACACCCCACTGTCGACATTAGACAGATCAATGAGACAGAAAGTTAACAAGGATATCCAGGAATTGAACTCAGCTCTGCACCAAGCGGACCTAATAGACATCTACAGAACTCTCCACTGCAAATCAACAGAATATACATTCTTCTCAGCACCACATTGCACTTATTCCAAAATTGACCACATAGTTGGAAGTAAAGCACTCCTCAGCAAATGTAAAAGAACAGAGATTTTAACAAACTGTCTCTCAGACCACAGTGCAATCAAACTAGAACTCAGGATTAAGAAACTCACTCAGAACCACTCGACTACATGGAAAGTGAACAACGTGCTCCTGAATGACTGCTGGGTACATACCGAAATGAAGGCAGAAATAAAGATGTTCTTTGAAACCAACAAGAACAAAGACACAACATACCAGAATCTCTGGCACACATTTAAAACAGTGTGTAGAGGGAAATTTATAGCACTAAATGCCCACAAGAGAAAGCAGGAGAGATCTGAAATTGACACCCTAACATCACAAGTAAAAGAACTAGAGAAGCAAGAGCAAACAAATTCAAAAGCTAGCAGAAGGCAAGAAATAACTAAGATCAGAGCAGAACTGAAGGAGATAGAGACACAAAGACACCTTCAAAAAAATCAATGAATCCAGGAGCTGGTTTTTTGAAAAGATCAACGAAATTGATAGATTGCTAGCAAGACTAATAAAGAAGAAAAGAGAGAAGAATAAAATAGACACAATAAAAAATGACAAAGGGGATATCACCACCAATCCCACAGAAATACAAACTACCATCAGAGAATACTATAAACACTTCCACGCAAACAAACTAGAAAATCTAGAAGAAATGGATAAATTCCTTGACACATACACCATCCCAAGACTAAACCATGAGCATGGAATGTTCTTCCATTTCTTTGTATCCTCTTTTATTTCATTGAGCAGTGGTTTGTAGTTCTCCTTGAAGAGGTCCTTCACGTCCCTTGTAAGTTGGATTCCTAGGTATTTTATTCTCTTTGAAGCAATCGTGAATGGGAGTTCACTCAAGATTTAGCTCTCTGTTTGTCTGTTATTGGTGTATAAGAATGCTTGTGATTTTTGCATATTTATTTTGTATCCTGAGACTTTGCTGAAGTTGCCTATCAGCTTAAGGAGATTTGGGGCTGAGACGATGGGGTTTCTAGATATACAATCATGTCATCTGCAAATAGGGACAATTTGACTTCCTCTTTTCCTAATTGAATACCCTTTATTTCCTTCTCCTGCCTAATTGCCCTGGCCAGAACTTCCAACACTATGTTGAATAGGAGTGGTGAGAGAGGGCATCCCTTTCTTGTGCCAGTTTTCAAAGGGAATGCTTCCAGTTTTTGCCCATTCAGTATGATATTGGCTGTGGGTTTGTCATAGATAGCTCTTATTATTTTGAGATAAGTCCCTTCAATACCTAATTTATTGAGAGTTTGTAGCATGAAGGGTTGTTGAATTTTGTCAAAGGCCTTTCCGTATCTATTGAGATAATCGTGTCGTTTTTGTCATTGGTTCTGTTTATATGCTGGATTACGTTTATTGATTTGCATAGGTTGAACCAGTTTTTGCCCAAGGACCTCTTCAAGGAGAACTACAAACCACTGCTCAATGAAATAAAAAAGGATACAAACAAATGGAAGAACATTCCATGCTCATGTATAGGAAGAATCAATATCGTGAAAATGGCCATACTGCCCAAGGTAATTTATAGATTCAATGCCATCCCTATCAAGCTACCAATGACTTTCTTCACAGAACTGGAAAAAACTACTTTAAAGTTCATATGGAACCAAAAAAGAGCCCGCATTGCCAAGTCAATCCTAAGCCAAAAGAACAAAGCTGGAGGCATCACACTACCTGACTTCAAACTATAATACAAGTCTACAGTAACCAAAACAGCATGGTACTTGTACCAAAACAGAGATATAGATCAATGGAACAGAAGAGAGCCCTCAGAAATAATGCCACATATCTACAACTATCTGATCTTTGACAAACCTGACAAAAACAAGCAATGGGGAAAGGATTCCCTATTTAATAAATGGTGCTGGGAAAACTGGCTAGCCACATGTAGAAAGCTGAAAGGTGTAAGGAAAGATCCCTTCCTTACACCTTATACAAAAATTAATTCACGATGGATTAAAGACTTACATGTTAGACCTAAAACCATAAAAACCCTAGAAGAAAACCTAGGCAGCACCATTCAGGACATAGGCATGGGCAAGGACTTCATGTCTAAAACACCAAAAGCAATGGCAACAAAATTCAAAATGGACAAATGGGATCTAATTAAACTAAAGAGCTTCTGCACAGCAAAAAAAAACTACCATCAGAGTGAACAGGCAACCTACAAAATGAGAGAAAAATTTCACAACCTACTCATCTGACAAAGGGCTAATATCCAGAATCTACAAGGAACTCAAACAAATTTACAAGAAAAAAACAAACAACCCCATCAAAAAGTGGGCGAAGGACATGAACAGACACTTCTCAAAAGAAGACATTTATGCAGCCAAAAAACACATGAAAAAATGCTCACCATCACTGGCCATCAGAGAAATGCACATCAAAACCACAATGAGATACCATCTCACACCAGTTAGAATGGCAATCATTAAGAAATCAGGAAACAACAGGTGTTGGAGAGGATGTGGAGAAATAGGAACACTTTTACACCGTTGGTGGGACTGTAAACTAGTTCAACCATTGTGGAAAACAGTGTGGTGATTCCTCAAGGATCTAGAACTAGAACTAGCATTTGACCCAGCCATCCCGTTACTGGAGATATACCCAAAGGATTATAAATCGTGCTGCTATAAAGACACATGCACATGTATGTTTATTGTGGCACTATTCACAATAGCAGAGACTTGGAACAAACCCAAATGTCCAACAATGATAGACTGGATTAAGAAAATGTGGCACATATACGCCATGGAATACTATGCAGCCATAAAAAATGATGAGTTCATGTCCTTTGTAGAAACATGGATGAAATTGGAAATCATCATTCTCAGTAAACTATCGCAAGGACAAAAAACCAAACACCGCATGTTCTCATTCATAGGTGGGAATTGAACAATGAGAACACATGGACAGGGGAAGGGGAATATCACACTCTGGGGACTGTTGTGGGGTGGGGGGAGGGGGGAGGGATAGCATTAGGAGATATACCTAATGCTAAATGACGAGTTAATGGATTCAGCACACCAGCATGGCACATGTATACATATGTAACTAACCTGTGCATTGTGCAATGTACCCTAAAACTTAAAGTATAATAATAATAAAATTTTAAAAAAAACAGAAAAGACAAAGGGAAGGATTGCATTAAGCCAGCCTATTGAAGTAAGAAAGAAATCTAGGGGAGATTTTAGGGCAATGATGTGCTGGGTTGATATTAGACAAGGAGTTCCAGAGAAAACATGGCAAATGTTGGATGTAAGGCAGAAGCAAAATGGTATAAGAAGAAGGGGAAGGGATGAGGATCAAGATTTTTCTAAAAAATGTAACTTGGGATGAGGCAAGTTGAATTACAATAAGAAAGAGTTGAGTCCGTGTATTAAAATCTCTAGATAATATTATAAACTGGAATAGTGCTTACTATTGATATGTATGTCTTAGGAAGACTTTTTTAAACTTGGTTTTTTATTTACTCTGAGGATTTTTTAACCTTGTTATACTGATTCATTTCATTTAATTATCAAGCTTATAGAATATCATTAAAATAAAAAGTATTAAAAAGTGAAAAAAAAAGAAAAATGATATGCCATCCAAAACTAAACATAAGAGAGCTAGGGCAGTATTATTTAAATAAGACAAATTAGACTATAATACAGAAAACCTAAAAAGGATACAGAAACATAAAGATGCAGGTGTCAACCCACGAAGAAGACATAATAATACAGGTTTAACCAATTCCTATCAATATTCCAGGTATTTTTATTGTGGATATAGATAAGATATTCTAAAATTTATACAGAAAAGGAACTAGAATAGCTAAAATACTTTTGAAAAAGAAAACTAAGTGGGAGAATTCAGTCTACACAAATTGAAGACATTTTATAGTGACAGAAATCATGGAAACACGGTACTGTTGGAGGGATAGACACATAAATAAATGGAACAGAATAGAGAGCTCAGAAGTAGACCCACACAAATATGTCTTACCTATCTATTTATTTTTATTGTGGTAAAATATATGTAAAACATAAAGCTTGTTATTTTTACCATTTGAGGTGTGCAATTCAGTGGCATTAATTACATTCACAATGTTGTGCAACCATCATCACTATTTCCAAAACTTATTTATTCCAAAGAGAAACTCTGTAACCATTAAGCAGTTAATTCCTTATTCTCTCCTCCTCTCAGCCCCTGATAATCTCTCATCTACATTTTGTCTATGAATTTGCCTACTGTAGATACTTTATATATGTAGAATTATACAATATATCTCATTTTGCTTATGGTTTATTGCACTTACAAGAATTTTTTCAAGGTTCATTCATGTCATGGCATGTATCAGAATGCTTTTCTTTTTATTGATGAATGATATTCTATTGTACACATATGCCATATTTTGTTTATTCCTCTGTTGATGAACACTTGGGTCGTTTTTACTTTTTGGCTGTTATAAATAATGCTGCAATGAACATTTTTGTACAAGTATTGGTTTGAGCTCCTGTTTTCAAATATACAAATATTTTTTAAATTTTAAAGTTTTTAAAAACTTGTCCAAATACATAAGAAAAGAAGCAAACAAATAGAGAACCATGGGGAAAAACAAATTTCTTTTCACAGAAGAATAAAAACTGAATGGCAAATAAATATATAGAAAAAGGGCTTAATATTACTAATACTCAGAGAATGAAAAATAAGAAAATATGAAGATGCACACACACACATATACACACACAAAAAAAAAGACTTACAAAAATTAAGTCTAACAATACCAAATGTTGGGAATTGCATACATGCTAATGGGAGTGCCCACTGGTAGTCACTTTGGAAGACATTTGGCATTATCTTGTAAAGTGGAAAATATGCATATTCTGCAACCCAGTAATTCGACACTACCAAAACAAGAGAACAACAAATAAAGGGTATGTTGTTATTATACACATTCTAACATAAAGGCAAAACCAGAGAAAAATAAATTGCTATTGAATACAGAGACATAAGAGACAACACATATTTTAAGTCCATTATCTGATACCTGCAATGAGTTAGGACATAAGAGCCATGACTATGACTAATTTCATAGTTGATGAAAAACTTATTATAAATTACATTAAGCAAGTAAGTCCTCAGTGCCTACACACCAATAAAGAGGATGGATGACAGACAGCATGGCCTTGTGCTTTTGTTATTTATCTTTCCATGCTTCCATCTTTAAAATATATTCTGTGAACACTACTAGAAAGCAGGAATCAGTGATTCATTTCTAAATTCCCTCAGATTAGATGGCAGAAAACCAAAACAGGATGACTGAAAGAAAAGGAAGGAAGGAGGGTGTGAAGTCCAGGATGTCAAGTAATTCACCATCTCAGAAGTGAGATTTAGGCAGAGCTAGAAGAACTAATCTGCCCCATGGTATGTCCTCCTGCCTCACCACCATGGCCCCTCTTAGTACTTGAACCTCTTGCTTGAAATTCCCATTATTAGAGTCGTCAATGAGGTGATTTGGTTAAAAGCCTTCACCTTTTGTAATAAATCAAATACAGACTATCACCAACTTACCATTTTTTGACTTTACGATGGATTTATGGGGGCAATAAATACATTTTTTACTTTCAATATTTTAGACTTATAATGGGTTTATTGGAATGTAACCCTCATAAGTAGAGGAGCATCTGTATCTTAGTATGGCACATAGGGCCCTTCATGGTGTGGTTCCTCTCTACATCTCCAGGTCAATGCATTATACTTCCCACAAGATTAAACCTGTGCTCCACAAACACAGAAGTACTTTAAGAAAGTCTTTCTCACTCTCCCTGCCCCTTTCTTCTTCTTGCCTCTCCCTCCTCCTCCCCTACCACTCTTCCCCTCTCTTCTTCCTCTTCTCTTCCTCTTCTCTTCCTCTTCCTTCTTTTTCTTCTCTCTTGCCAAGCCCTGCCCACCCCCCCATCTACACATTTGTTCTTTCTGCTTGGAAGAATCATTCATTATCTTATCAACAAACAGATATACTCTTTTTTTTTTTTTACTAACTACCTCTTTTCTCTTATTTCCTCCTATTCTCTGAAAGAACCTAAAAATAACAACACTCCAGTATCAATGAGTACACCTAGCATGAAAATCTTGGTTTCTATATTCCTTACTCTATGAAAAGGAACTAGGACTCTTTAGAAAGATGGCTGATTCCAAGGCTTGGGAAAGGAAAGTACAGTTGAGCCCAACATATCTTGGGCAAAAACTAAGAAGGACTTAAAAAAAACAATGGAGACATGTCAATAGACCAAAGAGGAAAATTTGAAGGGGCTCCTTCCTGGCCAAATCTGCGACAACTGGAGCATCAAAATGCAAAAAGAAAGTAATAGATTCTTACTAGTTTGAACAACAATAAAGAATCAAAGGATTTATATTGATGCATATGTGAGCATATATGCATGTGTGAGAAAGAGGAGAGAAGGCACTTCCTCAGCTGACAGAAAACTCTATGACTCTATGTGTTTCCTATGCTAATTAATTAACAGCATTTCTGTCCTCTCCATTTCTCCCCTCTGGATAGTTGACCTTTACCATTTTTAGGCAAGCAACTGTAGAACCACATGCATGCTCTGGAGAGGTACCTGATATTCAGTATATTTCAGTGTTTCCGGTAAAGAAAATCAAACGTTCACAAGGTCAGAAAGTGTAGCACTCCACAGTTAATATTTTCTTACACTTACACATTAATTTATAATATTTTAAGTTATCTTCACTTTTATAATAAATAGAAGAGATATGCAGGATGAATGATTATTCCCATTTCAGAAACTGGGAACAATGAGGCTTGCAGAATCATGTAATTTGCAAAGAGAATTACAGATAAAGTTTTCTAATTGTTTCAACAAATGTGTTCTATGCAACTTTTAGCTTTAAAGAAAGTCACTTACAAAAGTCAAGTATACTTGATCCCTTTCCATCACACAGCAGCAAAGCAAAGTATGAGGCCATCTGACTTCAAGAATCTGAGCATGTTTGAAATTTAAAGGTCACGATTAAGCTCCGTTACTGCCACTAGTTTGCTCTGTGGCCAACTATAATAATGCAATACTCATTTACTCATCTGTTTTAGAATTACAAGGATAAAACATGGGACTTCCTAATGTAGACATTTAAAAAGAAATAAGGTTAAATGGGAATCTAAGACCACAGAGAAAATTTTTTTGCTTTTGATCTCACAAACACTTCCAGACTTAAACTAGGATTTGCATGTGGCATTTTGAATTTTGAAGTCTAGGTTATTTGCAATATATGAAACACTGTGAGTTGAGTAGTGAAGTTTACATTTGCAATGAGATCTTCCTCTGAAAGGATTGAGGCTGAACTACTATTTTACTTTCCATGTTTGGAAAAGGAACTGAAATAAGCACTTAAATCCCTTTCCCCCTCATTTTTGTAATATGAGTCAAACTTCAGGAAAGCTCTCCTCTTTCCCCACACAAAGAAATTTTATGTTCCTATCTGGTGTAGAGCTATCTAATAACCAAAGAAAATCCCAAGATCTTTTTTCCTGGAAAAGCCACTTGTTTTAATGGAAGAGTCACTCTGTTCAGGAGAACGCAGCAAACTTAATTGGCAGGCACATAGCAGATGGTTCCTGGAGTCTACCCATGCACCTAATATGGCTAAAATAGTTATTAAAAGGCCAACATATGGGTTTTAAATTGCAGGGAACTAAATACTATGAACACCCCATTTTTATCATTTGTGATGTCACTTAGTATGTAATGAACTATTATTTCTCAAATTCTTCTGTGAATAAAGTTGTCCCAGAGAGGTAATGACAATGTTCTTTAAGATATTTGTTCTAGACACTCAGTTTCTCCATGAGTTTTCAACTGACTCTCAACTTTAGTTGAGAGAGTCATCACGCTACCTGACTTCAAACTACACTACAAGGCTACAGTAACCAAAACAGCATGGTACTGGTACCAAAACAGATATATAGAGCAATGGAACAGAACAGAGTCCTCAGAAATAATGCCACACTTCTACAACCATATGATCTTTGACAAACCTGACAAAAACAAGCAATGGGGAAAGGATTCCCTATTTAATAAATGGTGTTGGGAAAACTGGCTAGCCATATGCAGAAAACTGAAAATGGACCCCTTCCTTAACACCTTATACAAAAATTAACTCAAGATGGAATAAAGACGTAAACATAAGACCTAAAACCATAAAAACGCTACCATGAAACCTAGGCAATAGCATTCAGGACATAGACATGGGCAAAGACATCATGGCTAAAACACCAAAAGCAATGGCAACAAAAGCCAAAATTGACAAATGGGATCTAATTAAACTAACAAGCTTCTACTCAGCAAAAGAAACTATCATCAGAGTGAATATGCAACCTACAAAATGGGAGAAAATTTTTGCAATCTATCCATCTGACAAGGGCTAATATCCAGAATATGCAAGGAACTTAAATTTACAGGAAAAAAACAACCCCATCAAAAAGTGGGGGAAGGATATGAACAGACACTTCTCAAAAGAAAACATTTATGCAGCCAACAAACATATGAAAAAAGCTCATCATCATTGGTCATTAGAGAAATACAAATGAAAACCATAGTGAGATACCATCTCACACCAGTTAGAATGGTGATCATTAAAAAGTCAGGAAACAACAGATGCTGGAGAGGATGTGGAGAAAGAGGAACGCTTTTACACTGTTGGTGGGAGTGTAAATTAGTTCCACCATTGTAGAAGACAGTATGGCAATTCCTCAAGGATCTAGAACTAGAAATATCATTTGACCCAGCAATCCAATTACTGGGTATATACCCAAAGGGTTAAAAATCATTCTACTGTAAAGACATATGCACATGTATGTTTATTGCAGCACTATTCACAATGGCAAAGACTTGGAACCAACCCAAATGCCATTAATGATAGACTGGATAAAGAAAATGTGGCACATATACACCATGGAATACTATGCAGCCATATAAAAGGATGAGTTCATGTCCTTTGCAGGGACATGGATGAAGCTGGAAACCATCATTCTCAGCAAACTAACACAGGAACAGAAAACCAAACACCACATGTTCTCACTCATAAGTGGGAGTTGAACAATGAGAACACATGGACACAGGGAGGGGAACGTCACACACCAGGGCCTGTTGCGGGGTGGGGAGGTTGGGGATGGATAGCATTAGGAGAAATACCTAAGGTAGGTGACGGGTTGTTGGATGAAGCAAACCACCATGGCACGTGTATACCTATGTAACAAACCTGCACGTTTTGCACATGTATCCCAGAACTTAAAGTATAATTTTAAAAAAAGTAAGGATTTACCAAATTTGTGTTGTTCAATGTCAGTATTCTAAGGTACAATACTTTGTCTCCAGCCAAGTACTTTTTATATTTATTATTCATTCATTTAGCAAATACTGTGCATGCCTAAAATACAACTCATCATGTTGATGATCATTTTCATCAAGTGCTGCTCAAAGTACGTTAAACTTTTGGTTTCCTTGAATACATTGAGCCTAGCTTTTAAATAATTCAGTTAGTTTCCTGCTATTCTTATTAGAACCTCTCCAAATGAGTAAAACAATGAACAACAACAATATATGCCAAACATTTTAATAAACAACACTTTTTTAGAGAGTAATAACAACTCAGGACCATTTTTATTTAATCTTTGATGAAGTCAATGTTCAAACACTTAAACTTTGCTTTGATAGAATTTTCTATGACATTAGGGTTTTGTATTTTAAACTGATGATCCCTTTGTCTTCTAGGGTTTTGTTCCATAATCTGCAAACCAGGGATTTGGCTCATTCGATCCAAATAGCTCCTTCCAGCTGCATTATTATCTAAACACACCTTAATTCAGTAACGTACAACTATACATAAGTTGCCATCTAGAAATTGTCCAAATGCAATAAATTCTCAACCATCAGTGCTCGACTTTACCAGAAAACTTAATAATTTTACAAAAGCATGATTTTTAAAAAAAATTAGGAGAGAAGGAGGCCAAAGAAATAGGTTTCAAGAATAGCAATCTGGAGATTGTGCTGAGAATATCACCAGAGTACTTGAGCTGTGGCTTGAAGAGACAAGATGCTTAAAGGAGTAGAGGAAGCAGATGTAGGGGAGAGGGAAGTGCCCTGACTGGGAATAGGAAATGGGTTCTGTTCCCAGCCCTGCCACGTACTAGCTGTGCCTGCCACGTACTAGCTGTGTGCCTTCAGATAAGTCCTTTAACCTCTCTGGGCCCTGGTGTCCCCAGCTTTAAAGAAGTCTAGGTGATGCCTTATGTCTAATCGAACTCTGCAAAATCTATGATTCTATGTGAGACATATGATTCAACATCTAGGTGCCAAAACAAAAATGCTCAGCTTCCCCTAAAAGAGAAGGCATCATTATTTTACACAGAAACCCTTTACCATTCAGATAGTCTTTCCCACCACCCCTTCTGTTCCAGCCTAGTTTCCTGCTTTTATTGCTGAGTCTCTTGACAAAACCAATTGTTCCCAGTAGTGTAAATGCTTCTGCTTATCTCTTGAGCTCTTCCAAGAGTGCTGATGAAACTCTTGGGTGACCCAATTCTCCTTGTTCCACTCAGTTATGTGGGAAACAAGATTTGTCTTGATGTTTCCCATTACCAAAAAATGGAATGCATTCAGCCCAGAGCTCCAAGTTATTAGCCAGGAAGATAAGCAGAAAAATAATTGAAACTCAGAACAGCTGCAGTCCCTGTTAGGTCCTTAAATTTCTAGTAATTAAGTACTAAAGGGAACTTAGCAAATGTAAGTCTTTCATTTGTTTGCAAAGGTCATGAAACAACTGCAAAAAAAAATGAGGGTTATGTTAGTTTACAGAACACATATATTTACGAAACAATTATTAGCAAAAAGAAGTTATACTTGGCATTAACTTTTATTCCTATTTAATATGAATTCTATCCTTGAGTTTAAAAAAAGCACTAAAAATGGAATTCCTGTTAAGAAAATTTAGCTAAGTTTTTACCTAAATTATCTTCATAGTGCAATTTACACCATTCTTTGTACAGGCATTATTTTTGATTATGTAATCTTTGGGTGTACTGTAGATTTGTGCTTATCTCATTCATTTATCCATTCATTCATCCAAAGCAGGCACCTGGCTTCAGGAGCACCTGGCTTTCCTCTAGTTCAGAGCCCCCAGGTCGGAGTGTATTCACTGAATAGCCACAATAATAGATGCTGAAAGTCAATGACAGCCTCCTTCTACCTGTGAATTTGACTTATGTTATCTAATGATTATCCCCTTTCATCCTGCCCTCATACACACATCCAAAACATTCTTCTTAAAAGAATTTTAGAAGTTTTATTATCATATTTATTTTCCTGTGTAAAAAAAAATAAAAGAACATATATACTCTTTCCAACTTCATTTTTTACTTGGTTAAAACGACTACAGGATACAATTTGGAATGACGTCTATGGTAAATAAAGATAGGTAATATGGTGGATATGTAATAGTTGTAGAGCTAAACAAGAATCAGAAAATTAAAGGCCTCTGAAATGAATAGAAAGGAAGCATGGAGTATGCTCCAGAAAGGCTTTAGTATGAGCGAAGGCTGGTGGAGACCAGGGTTGTGGCTTTCAAAGGCCTAAGAAGAAGGACATCTACTTGTCTGGTGGCTGAGATTATAACCAAAGCAGTTAGAGTATGGAGAGCTTAAGATGGCAACAGTATTTGAAAGTCATCCAAGAGAGAAACGTGGATGTGGTGGGGGGTAGTGCTGAGTGTGGAGGGCAGATGGGGGTCTATTGGTCAGCGCTACACAGTAAGAGGAGCTGACATTCACTGGGTCCTATTCTGCATTAACCCTCACTGCAATCCTGGGAAGCAGCTACTATTAACATGTTTTTATCAATAAAAATATTTTCATACTAAAGCTTATGCAATTTAATAATTTCCTCTAAGTCTCAAAGCTAATAGTGCCCAACTCAGTGCTAGCACTCCAATCTACTCCAATCCAATCTACTCCAATTCCAGAGCCGAGCTTGCTTAGACAACCTCCCAGGGACACATAGTCACTTTCTCTAGGATGTATCCTTTGAGTACTTTGTTCTCCCTATGCCTCTGATTCTACTGGAAACATCACACTGTTCATAATTCTTTGTTTCTCCATTTTTGTCTCTCCCACTAAGTGCTATAAACTCTCCTGGGAGCTTCGGTCTGACTGAATCATTGGTAAATACAGGTAATAAAATGCACTTCTTTGGTATCATGTGAATATTGGTATGTCTTCCTGTTTGACTTACACTTTTCCTATATTTTGCTGATGCTGCAGTAAGTTCTTTCTCTATAGTCTGCATTTCAATATCTAAAGAGAAGATTAAAATATGTGGTTTAGTTTAGGTTTCTTTCTTTATTTTTCTTCTTTTGTTTTTTCCCAAATGGGAATCTCTAGCACTAGCATCTGGAAATAAGATGGCATCTGATCTAAGGAAAATATATATAGTGTGTGTCTGTGTGTGTATGTGTGTGTGTGTGTGTGAGAGAGAGAGAGAGAGAGAGAAATATGTGTGGGTTAGCATGTGATGTGAACTTAAAATTTTTAATATATTATAAATTGTCCCAGACATATCGAATGAATAAAGAATAACATGGAAAATGCCCATGTATTCACTCCTCATCTTAGAAAAGTAAATTTTTCAAATACAGTTGAGCTCCTATAATGTTCCACTCATTAAAAGAAACAAAAATGAATAAAAATTTTGTGATGAACTGGATAGAAATTACAGTACATGTGTCTATTTCATTTTTAAATTAACTTAAAAACATTCAGTTTTATTGACAATGAGTCTCTCAGTTTCTGTGACCTAATTCTGTATTTACTTGGATATCTATGTTCTTTCACATTTAAATCACCCAAACCAGAAATTGCCAACTTCCCCATCAGATTGCCTTCCCCCATGGGTTTCCCCATTCTGCAAGAGGCATTGCAAATTTCCCAGGTCACCCAGGTTTGATGTATTGCATCATACTGAATCAGATCATTTCCTTTGCAGCTCCCACTAAGCCTAGTCGGTCTCCAGATGCTGTTGTTTTGTTTCTCTGTGTTTCTGCGTCTTCTCAGCTACACTCTAGCCAAGAGGTTCTCAAGTTGTGGCCTGGAAACATGGGAACTCCCAAGAATCTTTCAGAGTATCATGAGTTCGAAACTACTATGATGGGAATACTAAGGTGTGATTTGCCATGTTCACTGTTTCTCTCATTAGCATGCAGTGGAATTTTTTAGTCCACACATTGTGCAACATCACAGCCCACTGGATGTATGACAATCCACCTGGATTCCAGTAAGCCAAACATTAAAGAAATCTGCAAAAGTATAAAACAGTATAATTTTTCTCACTATATATTTTTAAAAGCATAGTTATTTTTCATGAAAAAGCATAGTTACTTTTATGTTAATGTATAATGGGTTTATTGTTATTTTAAAATGATTTAATAATTTTCTTAAAATAATTCTGTTTTAATTTCAAATACCATAAACATCGACAGATAAAAACCAAACAAACAAAACACTTCTGGACTCCTCAATTATTTTTAAGAGTATCAGTACACCCATGACCAAAAATTTGAGAACTGGTGTACTAGTCCAGGCCTTCACTGCCTGTTCCTGGACTTCTGCAACATCTTCTCAATGATTTTCCAGCCTCCAGGCCTCTGCTCTTCTATCATTCTACACATGACTGCTGAGTTCACCCTTCTTACAAAAGCAGTTTTTACGTAATATTATTTTCCTGCTCAGAATCCATTAATGTAGGAATCTTTAATTCTTGTAATATTTTTCAGCCTTATTGATTCTCCAATTTTATCAACCCCACCTTTTCCCCAAAACCATCTACTTTAGGCAGGCTGATTGCACTGACCCCAGAACATGCTTCCCTTCTCACCTCCAGACCTTTGCTTAGATTTTTCCGTATTCTATCCCTGCCCTGGAGATTGGACGTCTCTACTATGCCCAGCCCAAGGCAGCACAGAGAAGTGCTCAGTTAAGAGCATGTCCTTTAGAGTCTGGCTTGAATTCGAGTTATCTTTTACTAGCTATTTGATGTAAGCAATCCACTTTCTGGAACTGTGAAACAGAAAATAAAGTACAGTAGTTCCTAATTTAAATAGCTATTGTAAAGCTATATGAGGTCATGTTTAATAAGTGTATGTTTAGTAAGTATTAAGCAACGTTGTTGTTCTCTAAAACCTGCCTAAGATTCTAGTTTTTCCTTGTCTATGAAAGCTTCTGTCTTCTTCATCTAACACTGTTCTCTGTCTTACTGGCACTGTTCACTTACTGGCATGGTAGTTTTCGTGCACACATCTTGACTTCCCTAGTGAGATGAGAAATGGCCATGTAAACGCTCTCTTTTTCTGTATATGTGTATATCTGTTTTCTTAGACCTTCCCAGTGCTGTTACACTTGATTCAATAAATTCAATATGTGTGTCATTATTCCTTGGCTTTCCATAAAATGATACACATAAACCAATTCTCAGCTAATGAGGGACAAATAAACACATTTGATCTATAACCTTTCATTCATCCTGCCCTTCTCAGAACAGCTAGGAAGTCTTCCTCTAGGATAATAAATCCATTCATTTGAAAAAGGAAACTCAAACAGGAAACATTTTATATCGAGAGGCAGATCTGATGATAGAATCGTCCAAACTACACAAAAATGAGGCCAAAGGCTGGTTGATCCTGGCTGCAAATCAATCCTACTGTGAAATGACTTTCAGCCATCCCCAGCTTCTTCGAAGTGTGCTGGGAATTTACAGTCTTGAAATCTTCAGTTAGGTCTCTGTCAGTTAGTGGCGGAAGTGAATTGATACAGGGTGTGGAAAAACCTCCAACCAAGAGTTCAGACTTGCTCTGACATCCTCTAAGGTCATGAACAGCTGCTTCACGATTGGGAGTTGGTCCTTTGGCCTCTGGAGATTAGCTTTCTGGTCTGCTAAATGGACCAGGCTTGTTGAGGGATCAGATTAAATAAAAATGCATACATGCACCTTTAATAAGACTGTTGTGTAATGCTGAAATCTCTGGAAAATATTTCAGAGATTAAAATTCTAAAAAGTGTGTGTGTTAGTGCTGAGATACTCCATTTTTTTAAAAAAGGGGCAATATTCCTAAATGACCTAAAAACACAAAGTTATTTATCTTAAAAGCTTCATTCTGGAAAGCAATCACTTATTATGTCTCAGGGCATTATAACGCTGTAGACAGCAGGCATCGGATCTTTTGAAATATATAGTACATTGACTATTAAGAAGAATATAATTTGCCTAAATATTCTTAGAGGTCTTTGCAAAGGCCATGATTCAAAGAGGAAATAAAGTTCATATTTAGGCAATACTTGGATATAATATCTTGGATATATGCCAGTCTTTTTCTTGTTATGTTAGAGAGGCAGTACTGCAGAGTGGCCAAAAGTGCAAGTGCTAGCAAGAGCCAAGCTGTCTGGGTTCAAAGCCTGGTGCTTTCACTTGGGAGCCATGTGATTGAGTATATCATTTAATTTCTTGGTGCTTCAGCTATCTCGCTGGTAAAAGGGACACCACAATATTTACCTCATATTATAGGTTTGTTGTGACAATTACAAGATTATTATTCTTGTTTGCGTCTTGCCCATGGGCCAAAATAGTTTGATTTTTAATGCAATGAGTTTATATATAAAGCATGTCAGCATCTTTGGGTAACTAAAGGAGTGCAGAGAAAATCGCTGCTCTGTGATATCAATCACATGAGAAACCAGCTTTGTCCTGAGGCTCTGGAGGCAGAGTTGAGAGGCATAGTGTTTTCAAATAAGTCCTTTGTTATATATGGATGTAGTGCAGTGCTTCTCAAACTATTTGTGGTAGAAAACTATCAGTGCTTCTCAAACTATCTGTGGTATTTTCTGGTTTAATTTCCAATTTGTTGTGTATCAGTATTTTTGTCAAATACAATAAAAATATCATGGCAATGTCAAGTTGCTATGAAAGTTTCTGGCTGCCTATTCTCATTTTCTATGTTTATCTCATTGTGGACCAAGAGCAAAATCTCACAGACAGCACTCACTCACAGATGGCCCACACTATGAGAAGCCCTGGTATGGTGGACAATGGACTGCCTAGTATCTAACCTCTCTTTCTAAGTTTGAGGAGTTTCCAACCTTATGAGGCATAGAGCTGATCTCATACTCTAGAAGCTGAAAAGATCAGCTACTTGCATTTCTGAAAAGATCAACTACTTGAATTTCCAAGTCTTCCTTTTACCTAAAATATTGGCATGTGAACCCACGCAATGTCAGTCAATTGCAAAGGACCCAGACTTTGAATCAGAAGTATAATCGAAGAAATGGGGATTATCCAGAATGCATTTGGGTAATGTTGCTTGCAGATACATCCAGTTCCCAAAGGCAGTGGTGCCAACAGTTCCAGTAGCTGTATCCCATGTCTGGGTGGTGATTGTATCAGCTATCTGTTGCTGTGAAACAAATTACCCCAAAGTTTAATGACTTAAAACAAAAATAAACATTTATTTCTCTCTCAGTTTCTGTGGGTCAAGAAGCTTGGCTAAGCATAGTAGTTCACACCTGTAATCCCAGCACTTTGGGAGGCCAAGGTAGGAGGCTTGCTTGAGCCTAGGACTTTGAGACCAGCCTTGGCAACAAAACAAGACCCCATCTCTACAAAAAATAAAACAATTAGCCGGGCATGGTGGCATGTGCTTGTAGTCTCAGCTACTTGGGAGGCTGAGGCAGGAGGATCGCTTGGGCCTGGGAGTTCAAGGCTGCAGTGAGCTATGATGACACCACTGCACACTAGCCTGGGCAACAGAGCAAGACACTGTCTCTCTTAAAAAAAAAAATACCTTAGAGCAACATGGCTGAAGACACTGTCTCTTAAAAAAAAAACACACAAAAGAAAAAAGAACTTAGAGCAACATGGCTGAGTAGCTGTGGCTCAGTCTCTCAAGAGCTTGCAGTCAAGACATCAGCTGGGGCTGCAATCATCTGAAGCTATGAGTGAAGACAGAGGGCTGGCTTCCAAGGTGGCTCACCAGCATGAAAAGTTGGTGCTGGCAGTCAGCAGGTGGCTGCAGTTCCTCTCCTTGAGGCTCCTTGCATGACCTCAGGGCCTAGCAGCTGGCTTCCCCCAGAGTGTGGGAGACCAAGGGGAAGCTTCAATGTCCTTTATAATCTAGCCTTTAAGTCACGTGCTGCCACCTGTATTGGTCACACAGAGCTGCCCTGACTATGTGTGACAGAAGACGGCACAAGATCACAAATGTCAGGATCTGAGACTCACTAGGGCCATCTTGGAGACTGACAAATAGGGCAGGCTATGGGATCTGTAACCCGTGGAAGTAGCAATTGGTCTATAGAGGACCAGTTCAAAACATATTTTAAGGCATCTTGCAAGACTGAGATATCTCCAAGCCTGGTTCTCTGGCCCCCCAAGAGATTCAGTGGGTTTCCAAAATTATTTATCACATTTCTTTTCTGATAAATTAACCAGAGTTGCCTTCAAGTTGCTTGCAAATAAAAACTCTGATATATCTTGAAGAAAAGACTTAGTAATGTTTTCACTTGACTTTCCTGGAAAGCAATCTAGTATCATTTTGTAACAGGAATAGTTTGGTTATGAAAGATTAGTATATACACTATGTTTCCAAGTGTGTACAGCTTTGTCTCATGGTGATTCATCTTTTATTGCTGAACTTACGGTCTGACTTTTAGATGGAATTGTTTGTACTATTAGGAGCATAGGTTTTTACAAGTTAAGATTTAGGACACAAAAACATTCCACTGAAAATAACCATATTAGCAAAAATGATCTTTAAATATATGCAACAGAGTGCTTTTCAGATAACCTTTTCAGTTTAAAGAAATCTCCCTAATGACAAATGAGATTGAGAAAAGCAGTATAGTTTAGTATAAGTGAGCATAGAAAGAAAGCATGTAGAGCCGCTTTGTAAACAATTTGACATTACCTATGATAACTGAACACACACATCCTTATAACCCACCAGTTCCTCTGTTCAGTTTATACCTCAAAGAAATGCATGCATGTGTTCACCAAAAGACACGCATAACCATATTCCCACCTGCACAATTCATTATCCAGACACAAAAGAATAAATAATGCATAACTCCATTTATATAAGGTACAAAAGTCAAACAGGCAAAAGTTTAATGGTGTTATTAGTTAGGATAGTGGCTACCCTTAGGGGTACAAAATGCCATTGAGTATTAGAGAAAAAGAGATGGGTTTCTGCGATAATGCTCTGGTGATAATCTAGTTCCTGATTTGAGTGCTGATTACACAAGTATATTCAGTTTGTGAAAAAAATCATCAAGCTGTACACTTATAAGGAACATGCTTTTTTAACATGGTATATCATATTTCAGTGGAAGGTTTACTTAAAAATCATAATAGATATATTAATTTCCCAATTATCTTTTTTATTTTCTGTGGATTTATAAAAATGATAAAATAAAATAAAAATAAGACATTATTTTCTTATACTACAACTTATTAGTAAAAGCAAAATGTATAAAAATTTCACTTAGATAAACTAGTGTATTGCTTTCATTGTTACAGTAACTGAAATGTATTTATTTACAAATTTATTTGCATTTTAGAAGCTTCTTTTTGGGGTAAAAAAAGGAAGGAAGGAAGGGAAAACTTTTTACCTTTTTCTAAAATGGAGAAGTTGATTTTTCTCTGTTATAGTTAAGAACCCATTACTTTTTGAACTTGGCAAAGAAAGAGTCCAAAAGGAATTTGCAGGGACAACCTAAGTAAGTGATGATGGAGTTGGAGTGAATGTTTGAACTTCAAGTGCTATGTATAACCATAACCAATGTGTTTAAACCAACTCCAGTGGCACTGAGCGACACCTGTGATGCGTGTCCTTTTGGATGAAAGTTGTGGCTAACTTGTTTACTTGACTGAATTTCCTGACCTTTATTTTAACATGAGCCTTGAAGGGAAAAAATGTTCTTTGCAAAAACATTCTATCTGGAATCCTGAAAAAAATTCTAAAAGACAGTTCAACTATTTCATGACACCATGACTAACTTTTATGACTGAAACTTAGCGCACACACACACAAATGCCTTCCTCAAAAGTCTATGAACAAATCTAGTTACATTAGCTTATCCCAAATAGAATCTCTTGTGACAAAAGAAATCTTTGATTTAGGGCAGAATTCAGATCAGAAGAACTTCGTTTTCATTGTGCATTGTTTTTACTTTGAGACCATGTCAGAGAGCATGCACAGACCTTTCAAAAAAAATGGCTACCTACTATTAACCATAAGACTGCATAACAAAGCCATGCTACACTTACACTCACACTCTGAGAGCTATGGCAGCTGAACATGGTGTCTTCTAAAGCTGTCAAACCAACTGCCTGCCTTTCAGGCTTTGTTCTGGGATGGTATCAGGGTATGCCTGCTCCAGGATCCTTCTTAGATTAGTGATGAGGATAGCTCAGGAATACTTGGCTGGCCTAGGGATTCCCAGGAAGTGCCTTGCTCCCTGCTTATTTACCCCACAGTCATTTTATATTAAATTTTATAAAAGTTTAAAATCTAATGTCTGAATAGAATGTTCTATTTAATCATCATTGGTGTTTTAGATTAGTTCTCTGGTCCGTAAAAACATTCTTTGCAAAAGCATTTTTTCTTTTTAGAATCCTGGGAGGAACTCAAGATGTCCATCTGGTCATCTATTGGGTTACTTGTGGATTCCCCTAACTCAGAATCCATCTCACTCAATTGTTTGTTTTTGAATTCCTAGCATTCGGCCAAGCTTCCAGCACACAGTAGTTCTTAATAAATGTTTGATGAGTGAACAAATGAATGATATGTGACCCTGGGCAATAAGAAAGAGCTAGAGATCCTTGACAGAGTTATAAACTGATAAATTGAACTGAGTGGGCCTGAGACAACAAACCCATTTCTCAGGAGGGAGTTACTCCAGGGCATCAGGTGGGCTCTATGAGGTCAAGGATTAAAGGATAAGAGAGTTTTCTTATCAGCAATCACCTGTGAACAGGTCCCAGTGCACCCAGCTTCAACTGTGCTGACCATCCTCCAGGCCAAGCTAACGCCAGTTCGGTAGGTGTCAGAACCATTCACTCAAACCCTGTGTATGGGCAGCTGGAACAGTTCTGAAGGCTAAAGTGCACCCGGCTGGCTCCATTTATCACTCTAAAGCTTCGTGGCTTGGAACAAGTCCTCATTCACTCATGCTTATTTTAAAAATAGTTTCTAAATGTCTATGAAGTGCTAGGCATCAAATTTGTCATAAAAATTTATTATGTACATTCATTTATTTCCATAAAATAAGGATAAAAATATCCATCATGCGAAGTTATTGCAAAGCTAAAGAAATATAGTATGTAAATCCCCTAACATTTTTATCTGACACACAGTAGGGGTTCAAAAAATGACAGCTATCAATACTGAATATAACAAAATGCAATTTAATTATAGTCAAAAACAAAACATGATTTGGGGAACATTACAGTAGTTAAAAGTCAAATATTGAAGTTTTAAAATTATTTGAATAGTATTTTCTGATTCTCTTTGAACTGTGCTATTTATACTAGTTTGTAACAAAAAATAGACTTTTTCTGCAGGAAGTTAAGATCTTTTTATGTGATCCAATATGATGAAAACTACACTTATGTATTTCTAAATTATAAAACTCTAATAATTACTATATTGTAGTTTCTCATTATTTTCACATTTATTAAATACTGAGTTTCTCTTCTAAGGATCACCAGTGTTCCCCATGCTAAATCAATTTCATCTTATAGAATGCACTTTAATGGCTACAAGATCAACAGTATTTTCCAAAAGGATGTGACAATCCATATTTATGAATAATTAAAATTAGTCTCAGGCCCTTTCAACCCTAAATTAACTTCCTCTCAACTGAAACTGTTAAAGCTTCATTATTGAAGCTTAAGATTTTACTTTTTATTATTGAGAAAACACTTCAATAAAAAGCAAATTTAGTCATTTATACCTCAGTATCAATAAACTTCAAAGATCTTTTCCTAAGCAAGGTTTGAAAGGTAGGGAGCAGAGAAAGTTTCTAAAAGAAAACGATTTTCACATATTGGCACGTATAAAGGAATGCCTCACAGGTGGGTGAGTAGCTTTAAGGGGTCAATAGAAATGGTGCTGAAAAGGAAGGGGAAGGGCACTGGAGCCATGTGCCTTTGTATTGATTTTTTTGAAATATCTAGCCCTCAAATTAATAATAATGAAATTGGGCATCAATAATTCATTAAATCATGAGACTATTGAGCTAAAAGTGGTTCTGTGACATCAAGCCAATCATTAAAATTCTCTGGACTTTAATTTCCTTACCTACAAAATGAGAATTCCATTAAACAATTCTCTGACAATTTATGATTTATTGATCAATAGCCCATATTAATGGTTCTCAAACTTTTCCGTGCATAAGGATGCCTTCTGTGTGTGGATTCTTGGACCGCATCAGTTACAGCACCTGCCGATGTAACATATACAGCCACTGCCCCACCTATATCCCTTGAATCCCACTATCTGCTTTCTCCAGATGACTTTGAATGGCCAGGGGCTGCCTCTCTGTGCCGGAGGACTCTTGCCAGAACTACTGAAGTACAAGTGCCAGGGAAGTAACACTCCCTGGGAGCAACCTTTAACCAATAATGATGGAAGCTGGTGTATAAATATGCAAGCTTCCTTGCCTCTTCAGAAGAATTATTCTGAGAAGTATCTACCATTTCTCAAAGTTTCCCCATGAAATTAAGCTCCAGTCATCCGTATTGGAAGACTGCTTATTCACATAGCCTTAATAATTCACCATTTACTGGCTATCTTTCATCTCTGTACTACTTTGCCCTGGGTTCCAGTAAATACTTCAACTTCAAAAGAAACACTGGAAAATCTAGTTATTGAGTCACCTAACAATAAAAACATACCTTTCCTATCAGGCCCTGCATTAACTAAGATTTAAGAAACAATCTGTATTGAGGTAAATGCCTATCCTTATGCTCAGAAATAAAGGATAAGTGCCTTTCAAAACAAAGCAAACAACAACAAAAAATAGATAGCTAAATTCCAGTTCCTCAAAATCAGCCATTCACCCCTAGTGTGAAGAGAAATCCAGATATGGAAAGCTATGTACTCTCACATTTTTTCTATCAAAACTGCCTCCTCCCCAAATCCCCCTAACAAATGTCCACGTAACATAATATCGGATATCATTTTAAAAATCCCCTATCTCATACTTGCATAATAACATCAACAACTTGATTGCTACATTACTCTGCATTTTGTAAATTAAGTACATAATTAGAAAAATGTTTGTCATTTTCCTTACAAATATAGCATTAATGAGCTGCTAGGTACCTATTAAATAGAAATAAATGTATCTTGAAATTGTGTATTAGTTTATAAATCCATAGAATAGAAGATCAGTATAAGGAGGGTGCTTAAAATTAGCTGCCAACTTTCTTCCCCTCAAAAATATGGTTCTGGTATTTTCTACCAATGTTTTGTCTGGAAAGTTTTGAGCCCAATCAGAGGGAACACAAATAATTTCCACATTGTCACCACTCCTGGAAAACACAAGTCCAGAAACCTGAAAAAGAGTTAAACTGGGCACCTAAGAATGCAGCTCTTTACCTTCTTTCTGGTCATCCCTGATTCTAAAACCATCCCTCTGAGCCAAATAGTCCTGAAACAAAGTAGAGTCTTTATTCAGGGTAACAGAAGCGAGAGCCACTGGCTTTTAGTGAAATTGTTCTATCACCCTAGTCTCCAGAACACATCAGTCCCCGCTCTGCCTTGCTCCTGTCCAACTTTGGGGAACTAAGTTGGTTGTATTCAGTGAGTCTCTTACACAGGTATCATCAACATATCAAAATCCCTAATTTAACATAATGTTTAATATATTAAATATAATATTTTCCAGTTTTCTAGATAAAGAAGCCAATGTTAGCATTTCCCTTCTAGACCTCGTTGGAACTGAAGCATTGTTTCTGGCAAGGGTATTGTATGTGAGTTTATCAGAGATTTTTTTTCCAGGCATGTTTCCCAATCTGAGCTCTATGCAAAAAAAAAAAAAAAAAAAAAAGTCAATATCAACACTAAATTAGAATGTATAGGAAGTAGCTAAACTAAAAGATATCTATGAGATATTATTAGAAGATACATCTTGAAAATGCAATATAACTAAGTAGCTGTTTCATTCTAGGGTATGTTTAAAGAACCTTTAAAAATATATCAAAGTACAGAATGATTCAGCCGTTTGGCACATGTTACAACTCCAAGAGTTCACAGAAGTGGCCTCTGATAAGCCTTAGCCAGTTTTCTTAAGTATCAAACCAGTTAACAATATGAGTTCACCCTCAGAATTCTCAGGAAGCATAACTAATAACATTCCTGCTAAGTACTGTGCAGGCATAAAAGCCATATGCATTGGACAAGGATACTCAAGAGCTTCAGAAAATCACTTCATGGATATGAAAAATATTGTGTTTGAAATGTGAAGAGTTCTAAAGATTTATTTGGCTTTATGGGGAAAAAGACATGAAATAATATAGCTTTAGAAGACATGTCCAATAAATTTTAACTTTCAAACCTTAATTCTTATTTGGCCTTTGAATCAGTTCCCTTCACAATACCCCAAATAAGAGAGAAATAAATTTCTAGACCCTTGCCAAATTTGACACAAGAAAGAAATATTACAATTAAGCTGAATGGAAAAATCTCTGCAGATTTTAAGGACCTCCATTTGAAAAGCACCTGTTTTATTTTGTTTTGTTTTCATCACACTTAGCAAAATGTAAAATTCAATGGATACTATCCCTTCCTAGAGGTTCAAATCATCCAACTTTATCCCCAACACTTCTGCTTGAAAAGAGAACTTTGAAGCTCATAGGAGTAGACAAATTTCAACATGTTTCTTCTCCTTTCTGGATATGGGAGGATGGGGACAGAAATTTCACCAGCATTCTTTCCCTGGGGTAATTAAATTTGGGGCTTTGACCCTACAGTAAACCAAGAATAACAGAGATGCAATTGGTATTTTTAAAATGATAATATTATCTTATTTTAAATGTTCCAGAAATGTTAACTGAGAGGAAACAGTAATAAATAAAATAGTTTTTCTTGGAATCTCTGCTCCAGCCTTCCCATAAAACACTCCTCTCTCTCTCTCTCTCTCTCTTAAAGATACACACACACACACACACACACACACACACACACACTTTGGTCTCTATGTTCCGTATATCAAATGTCTTCCACCAACCTTAAAGAATCTGATAACTTCAGTAGTACCAGGACCATAGACTACACCCAAACTCCCAGAATGGACATGGCATTAAAATGCATGAATCATAAGAAATTATTTAAAAAATTACTCAGAAAAAATTTGACAGTGAGTCAGTAGCCTCATTTTTGGATAGTGCTTTATTACATCTGTATCCATCCATGCAAGCAACAGCGCATTAATTCCTCCAAGTAGTTTCATGGGATATTATCAACATGTACAGGCTCCATGGCTTTCCCCAGCCCACCCCGAAATATCTGAAACAAAGGGCAACACTCTTTACTAAAAAGTTATATGAAAAGTTTTAATCAGAGAAAACTTACATAATATACATGTCATATAATAAGGAATGAGACAACAGCAAGTATCAAAAAAATTTTACTGTGGCTTCAACAAAATGAAGTTCATTTGTCTCTTTTAACAAGAATTCTGAAGGCACACAGGTGCTGATGTTAATTTAGCAACTCAGCAATGTCAGGGATAGTGACTCCTTTATAAGATAGCCACTCCTGGGAGATTATGAAGGTAGCATTTCGCTCTCCTGGCTGCTAGAGTAGCTGCAGGCAATTGGGAATGGATGTCAGGTTAACCAACTCATGGTCTGTCCGTGTATGAACTTTAAGTGAGAAGATCACTAGAGGGTAGAGGCCAACCAACTCAAGCCATTAGAGCAACTCATAACAGAACAAAGAAGGAGAAAAACAACAGCTAATTCCACCACCTGCAACACCTTGGCTTACCAGAGATCCTGATCATTAGCATTACCTTTCACCTTGACTTTGCTAGTTGGTGCTTCCTTTTCCCTACTGGGCAGGTGAGACCTTGGAAGATACCAGGTCCTGTGTGTGGCTTCCCAATTTCGGGAACCTCACTCCATGCATTGAATCTTCAGGGCAACCAGGAATTCTTATTTCTCTGATCCTCGGCATTTGACTCCACATCCTTGCTTGATCACTTCCTATCTTCCAGCAAGATGCACTTCCCTAAGCGGCTAAAATGTATTTGTTCTTTTCTTAACCTGAGGCACATGTGTCATTAAAGCTTCTCCAGAGGACATAAATTCCATAACTTGTTTTAATCCTGGCCAACTTTCCTTGCCTCCCCGCCTTCTTTTCCCTTATTTTGCCAGAGTTTCCATGCCTATTAGTACCACCAGGGCATAGGAGGTGAAAGACTTGGCAACTATTTCTATGTAGTCTATTAATATTAATAAATGCAAAATATTATGCAATGTAAAGATGTGGAACAAAGAGGCAGAAAGCTAGCTTGTCTCCACAATAGGCTGTGGAGTTTGTTAACTGGAGTTTCTCACTAGCTGTGAGCACCTCACTAGCTGATTGGTTTGCCTGTAGGTATTCTATCAGCTTTTCAGGACTCAGGCACAGCTTCCAGCTGTCTGGATGCCTCCAGCGTAGACTTAAGAACCACTTTCTCCAATTGTTTAGGAATGTTTTCAACTTGTTATCACCAATTTGGGAAATTTTTTACATAACATAGCAGCTAAAATAGCCACAAAAATATCACAAGTCTCACAGCCATTACAAAGGGGGAAAATAACACTAATGAGGCAGTTAGGTCAATTACAAAAATTAACACCTGGGTTTTTCTCGACTAGGAAATAGGGAGTATCACTGATTCACACATAAGGTTAATCCCTAAGTGATTTAAGTTAGAGTGTTATCTTGGGACTAATGGTGTATTTGCTGAGCTATTTGTCAAAGCAAGGATGTGGATAAGACATTTTTATTTCTTCAGATGTATAGTGAATGATGGAAGAGTCTAACTCAGGGGTGTCCAATTTGGCTTTCCTGGGCCACACTGGAAGAAGAAGAATTGTCTTGAGCCACACTGAAAGAAGAAGAATTGTCTTGGGCCACACATAAAATACACTAACACTAGCCATAGCTGATGAGCTAAAAAAAGTCACAAAAAAATCTCAGAACGTTATAAGAAAGTTTATGAATTTGTGCTGGGCCACAATCAAAGCCATCCTGGGCTGCATATGGCTTGTGGGCTGCGTGTTGGAGAAGCTTAGTCTAACTGGAACATGATTCTCGAGGCTACCATCTGAACACTAGAGGCAAAAGTGGGAGGAGGGCAAGTGGTGGAGAGGAAACAGGACTAACGTGCAGCTCATGCTTGGATGGACGAAACAGCATCTGGAGACTCACATTGTGAACTTTTGCTCCAGGAACAACTGCAGAAACACACCAGGAAAACCAAAAGAATTCAAAGACCATTTGAAAGACGTGGCTTGCCACTGCAAATGCTGTGACACAGCCAAAAAACTCCAAAGACAAAAGACATAAGCTCTTGGAAGCACTATGGCCCTGCCCATCACCTGAGAAACATAAGTATTCATCCTGGCCAACATAGGACAACATTATATCCCCCTTTTACTACTACAGCTGGTGCTCTCTTGAAAGTGCCACCTCCTGGCTAGAGGCCAACCAACTCAAGCCATTAGAGCAACTCAAAACAAAGAAGGAGAAAAACAACAGCTAATTCCACCACCTGCAACACGTTGGCTTACCAGAGATCCTGAGTCCATCCATGTGACAACTTCACTGCTAGCATAACCAGCATGTGAGAAAACCAGAACACTAAACAAAACTACAACTAAGGACTCCCACAGAGTCCACTTCCCTCTCCTGCCACCTTTACCAGATCAGGTGCTGGTATCCAAAACTGGAAGATGTGAAGACGGATCACATCACAGGACTCTTGGCAGACATTCCCCAGAACCAGTCTGGAGCCCCGTATCTCCACTTGGTGTCTAGACCCAGAGGGGCAATAACACTCACTGCAGTCTGGCTCTCAGGAAGCCCCATCGCTCGGAGAATGGGGAGAGCACCACATCAAGGGATCAGCCCGTGGGACAAAATAATCTGAACAGCAGCCTTTGAGTCCCTGATGTTTCCATTGAAGCAGTCTACCCAAAAAAGAAGAGACCAGAAAAGAAATTCTGGTAATATGACAAAAGAAGGTTCTCTAACAACCCCCCCAAAATCACACTAGCTCTCCAGCAATGGATCCAAACCAAGTTGAAATCTCTGAATTGCTGGATAAAGAATTCAGAATGCCAATTACTAAGCTACTTAAGGAGACACCAGAGGAAGTTGAAAAACAACTTTAAGAGAAGAAAAAAAAATACAAGATATAGATGAAAAATTCTCCAGAGAAATACTTATCATAAAGAAAAGAAAATTACTACTTCTGGAAATGAGAGACACAGAGAAATGCAAAATGCACTGGAAAGTTTTAATAATAAAATCAAACAAATGGTAGAAAGAACTTCAGAGCTCAAAGACAAGATTTTCAAATTAACCCAATCTGACAAAGACAAAGAAAAAAGAATTTAATAAAATGGACAAAGCCTCCAAGAAATTTGGGATTATCTTAAATGACCAAACATAGGGATAATTGGTGTTCCTGAGGAATAAGAGAAATCTAAAAGTCTGGAAAACTTATTTGAGAAAATAATAGAAGAAAACCTCCCTGGTCTTACTAGAGATTTAGACACCCAAATACAAGAAGCTCAAAGAACACCTATGAAATTTATCACAAAAAGATCATCACCTAGCCACATAGTCATCAGGTTACCTAAAGTCAAGATGAAAGAAAAAAATCTTAAGAGCAGTGAGCCAAAAGCATCATGTAACCTATAAAGGAAAACCTGTCAGATTAATAGATTTCTCAGCAGAAACCCTCCAAGCCAGAAGAGATTGGGGTCCCATCTTTAGCCTCCTTAAACAAAATAATTATCCACCAAGAATTTTGTACCCAGTGAAACTGTTTCATAGATGAGAGATAAAATCTTTTTCAGACAAATGTTGAGAGAATTTGCCACTACCAAACCTGCACTACAAGAAATGCTAAAGGGAGTTCTAAATCTAGAAACAAAACCTCAAAATACACCAAAATAGAACCTCCTTAATGCATAAATCTCACAGGGCATTTATAAAACAATAATACAATGAAAAATAAAATCATGGTATTCAGAATACAACTAGCATGATGAATAGAATAGTATCTCACATTTCAATACTAATGTTTAACGTAATGCTTTATTCAAAAGATACAGAGTAGCAGAATGAATAAAATTTCACCAACCAAGAATCTTCTGTCTTCAAGAGACTCACCAAACACATATGGATTCACGTAAACTTAAGGTAAATGGGTGGAAATAGATATTCCATGCAAATGGAAACCAAAAGTAAGTAGGTTAACCACAGTTAGAAAAGATAAAGTGGGACATTATATAATGATAAAAAGAGTAGTTCAACAGGAAATTATCACAATCCTAAATATATATGCACCTAACACTGGAGATTCCAAATTTATAAAACAATTACTACTGGACCTAAGAAATGAGATGGATGACAACACAATAATAGTGGGGGACTTTGATGCTGCACTGACAGCACTAAACAGGTCATCAAGAAAGAAAGTCAACAAAGAAACAATGAACTATATACTTATACCCTACAACAAATGTACTTAACAGATATTTACAGAACATTCTACTCAACAACTGCAGAATATACATTTTATTCATCAGCACATGGAACATTTTCCAAGATGGACCATATGGTAGGTCACAAAATAAATCTCAACAAAGTTAAGAAAATTGAAATTGGCCAGGCGCGGTGGCTCACGCCTGTAATCCCAGCACTTTGGGAGGCCGAGGCGGGCGGATCACGAGGTCAGGAGATCGAGACCATCCTGGCTAACACGGTGAAACCCCGTCTCTACTAAAAATACAAAAAATTAGCCGGGCGAGGTGGCAGGCGCCTGTAGTCCCAGCTACTCGGGAGGCTGAGGCAGGAGAATGGCATGAACCCCAGGGGGCGGAGCCTGCAGTGAGCCAAGGTTGCGCCACTGCACTCCAGCTGGGCGACAGCAAGACTCCGTCTCAAAAAAAAAAAAAAAAAAAAAAAAAAGAAAATTGAAATTATATCAAGTACTATCTGTATTAGACCTAAGAGAGACCATAAACTAAAATTTTGTTGTTTGGGAGGTTTTTTCTTCAGCCTTTAGACTCACATTTAAATGAAACTATTTCTTTAAATAACATAACTATGACTATGAAAATAATTGTGTGAAAACCAGAAGTTTTCAGAACTCAAAGTAAACTGACAGAGAATACTCCATGTGGAGAGTCTTTCTATTCATTTTTGAAATAGAGAACACAATCTGAGAGTTAAATGGGAAATGATGTTGTAGGTTACATTTAACTTATGAAAATAGATGGAATTTTATGACTCTAAAAACATCTTGACCAGTTCTAAATAGAAGTTGTTGTTTGGTTTTTGTTATTTTAATTGCCTGACAACAAGACCAGAACCAAAAACTTGCTTGTCTTAACTCCTACCAGTGTTACTCCTTTCCTCCCTGGATGATGTGTGCTGCTCTGCAAAATGAAATGTTGTCGTTGAAATGCTATAAAATATCATTTTCCATAGAGTAGACTCATCTTATGGTAGGATACATCCCTTTTTAAGCCCTATCAGGAAACCTTCACCCAAATTACTCTTCTAAAACTATAGAGGCTGTTCTTTTAGGAAGCCCCAGTAATGCTATGGCCCAGGATTCAGCTTTGAAGGCTTCCTTTGTCTGCCTCCCCTTCCCAACCAGTTTTGTGTGAACAGTGTTCTATGTTGGCAAGTGGCCAGAGAATTTGCCATAAATAAATTTGCTGTCTGTCTACAAGAAGATAACTTAACTGACTTCCTTGGCCTTCTTAATTTGCCTCAGCACTTTGGAATGGCTGAGGGCTTGGGGATGTTGCAAACCTCTAAAGGATTGCCTGCATGGAAATTTAGAAATCTTACACTCCTGAACCTTCTACATGCCAGTTAGAGGCACAAATCATAGAGTACAAGTTCCTCTGCCTCCCAAGACCCTAATTTACCACTAGTGAGGGCCATGTACACCAGAAATGTATCTCAAGGATTTGGAATTAAGAATGAAAGAAGCAGATTATTCTGATCTCTTCCTATCATTCTTCATTGAAGACAGTGGAAAATCGGGGGAATTAAAATATTGCTGAAGTTTAAACAGAAACAGCAGAAAAACAACACTAGGAATTCCTTCAATATGTTGTAGACTTGAGCGTAAAAGCCCAAAACAACACATTTTATTTGCTTATGGTATTGCTAAAATTTCTGCTGATTCAGATTAAGCCCAAAGCAGATTTTTTACAACAATAGATTCATACTTTTCATAGCTGACTCTTGATCCAGACAATTTGAGACCCCCAAAAATGTCGATTTGGGATCTGATTATGCTTTACTTTTTAGGAATACTTTTGGCATAAATCAATATTTTTCTTAAAAAACTCATTTACTAAAATGTCCCCCAAAATGGTAACTTCTGGTTTCCTATCAATGTGTCATTTTTATTAATAGACTGAGTAGATTTACACTAATCTGAATTATCTATGGTGAGTTTTACAGTTGAGTTCCAGTTCAATTTTCTTTTATTAAAAATATAAAATATAATAAACCAGAAAATGTAAATATCTGACAATAACAAAAGTGAGCAAAGTAGTGGAGCAAAGCGAACACATGTGCTGCTGCTGGGAGAGCAACTTCACAGATGATTGGAAATCAATAAGGTACTGTCCAACAAAACTGAAAGCCTGCCTATTCTACAGCCCAGCAATTTCATTCCTCATGCTAGTGCAATGTTTTAAAAACTGCTGGGTGGTAGCTGATTATGACCCATTAGTGGCTCGATAAATGAATATCAGGGGACAAAATCAGAATATTTTCAATAAAATGAAATGGAGTGGAATGGGATAGAAAATGTCAAAGGAAATCCCTTGCAATCAAAGTATTGTTTTGTAAGAATTTTGCAAAGCCAACTCGTGGCTTATCAAGGTAATGGTCAGAAAAGCTTAAAAAATACTATTCTAGAGAAACTCTCATGTGTCCATTCACATTTAAAATAGAAAACTAGTATTTCTGCACTATTTTACATTCTATGTGTTTGCATCTACTAGAAGTAGGCACTGAAATATGTTCATTATAATTAGAATAAATAAAAATATCTGTGGGCATTATTACAAATGAACACTATATAGTAGTAAAGATGAATAACTATAGTTTAGACATCAAAATGATTAAAACTTAAGCATAACATTGACAAAAAAAGCAAATCACAGAGGAACACATACAATAGATTCCATTTATATGTGCTTTAGTGCATACAAAATTAAACATATATGTTGTGTATAAATCTACACATTTCTAATAAAATTATAATGAAAGTTGGATGAATAATAAACACAAAATTTCACCTCACAAGTATCTCTAGGAGAAAGGAAGAAGATGGGAACCGAGAAGGAAAACAGGGACTATAAAGATATTGGTAATATTCTATTTTTTAAACCAGGTGCCAGGAATATGGCTACTTTTTTACTGTTCGCTAAAGTGTACATATACATCCTTTATAAAAATCTATGTTGTGATATGTTTCTAAAATTTTATCATCTTTTTGACTCACAATGCTCATCCATACAGTGTCACACATAAATTCCTTAATAGAAGTTAAAATACCATTCCCTTTGATCTATTAGCCATATTTCAGGTGTCACTTTTACACTTCTTGTATAATTTATGACTTGATACAGATTCCTCTGCTTCTAGAGCTAAGTGAAATACAATATTCAGTGAGGTCATAACATTCCATGTAAGAATCCATCCTTTGGCTTCAGCCATTATAATGAACATGCTAAATTATGTCTGTAACACATGAAGAACTTCTTAATAAGTTTAATTTATGCTCCTTTCATTGATAGCATCCCTATCGCCCACAGGCATAGCAAGAGTGGGCAGGTACTCTAGAAGTCATGAATTCCCCCTAATGTAATCAAACTAGTACATTTGAACATTTATATTTCAGTATTGTTTTGCAACTGGGTAAAACTCAATATGTTTTTAGGAGAAGCCAAAAACAACAAAACTTTTTTTAAAAGCCCATGATGAGCATCATCTTGTAGAGAACAAAGTATTGATACATCAGATTGTGTTCTTTGCCCCAGTTCTGACCATTTTAATTCTATCACAATTGCCATAACTCTCTTTCAGGGCAGGCAGGGATACACTCACATCAATTGGGGGTAATCAGATTGTGTGAGAGCACGGAATCTATTTTGTACCTATTTACAATGGGTAAATATGTAGGTAGTGAAGATGAAAAAAATATTCAATTAATATTGTGCAGAAACAAAGGCCTATTTGGATAAACATAAAACCAAAATTCAGCAACTGGTTGCTCAATTTGGACTATAATTTGTCTAAATGCTATATACTCTCCTAATTCAAATTCAGTATTCTCCACAAAGCTTTTCCTGTTTTCCTCTCCCCATCTCTACCCAGGTAAGTATAACTGTTCTTCAACTGAAACTACCTAACTCTTCTTTTATGCTTAGCACTATTCCACATTATTTCACAGCTCTATATGTTTACATAAACTATACATAGATACTAAAATATATGTTCAATATTGTCATATGAATAATTAGAGATATGGTTTGGCTGTGTTCCTGCTCAAATCTCAACTTCAGTTATATCTTCTAGAATTCCCACGTGTTGTGGGAGGGACCCAGGGGGAGGTAATTGAATCATGGGAGCCAGTCTTTCCAGTACTATTCTCATGATAGTGAATTAGTCTCACGAGATCTGATGGGTTTATCAGGGGTTTCCACTTTTGCTTCTTCCTCATTTTCTCTTGCTGCCACCATGTAAGAAGTGCCTTTAACCTCCCACCATGATTCTGAGGGCTTCCCAGCCATGTGGAACTGTAAATCCAACTAAACCTCTTTTTCTCCCCAGTCTTGGGTATGTCTTCATCAGTAGCATGACTATGGACTGGACTAATACAGTAAATTAGTACCAGCAGAGTGGGACACTGCTGAAAAAATACCTGAAAATATGGAAGCAACTTTGCAAATGGGAAACAGGCAGAGGTTGGAACATTTTGAAGGACTCAGAAGAAGACAAGAAAATGTGGGAAATTTTGGAACCTCCTGGAGACTTGTTGAATGGCTTTGCTCAAAATGTTGATAGAATAGGTACAATAAGGTCCAGGCTGAGGTGCTCTCAGATGGAGAGGAGGAATTTGTTGGGAACTGCAGTAAAGGTGACTCTTGTTACATATTAGCAAAGAGATTGGTGACATTTTTCCCCTGCTCTAGAGATTTGTGGAACTTTGAACTTGAGACAAATGATTTAGGGTATCTGGTGGAAGAAATTTCTAAGCAGCAAAACATTCAAGGGGTAACTTGGGTGCTGTTAAAGGCATTCAGTTTTATAAGGGAAGCAGAACATAAAAGTTTGGAAAATTTCCTGCTTGACTATGCAATAGAAAAGAAAAACTCATTTTCTGGGGAGAAATTCAAGCTGGCTGCAGAAATTTGCATAAGTAGCAAGGAGCCTAATGTTAATTCCCAAGACCATAGGGAAAATGTCTCCAGGCCATGTCAGAAGCCTTCATGGCAGCCCCTCTCATCACAGGCCCTGAGGCCAAGGAGAAAAAAATGGTTTTGTGGGCTGGGCCCAGGGTTCCTGTGCTGTGTGCAGCCTAGGGACTTGGTGCTCTGTGTCTCAGCTGCTCCAGCCATGGCCGAAAGGGGCCAACATACAGCTCAGGCTGTGGCTTCACAAGGTGGAAGCCCCAAGCCTTGGCAGCTTCCATGTAGCATTGAGCCTGTGCATACACAGAAGTCAAGAACTGATGTTTGGAAACCTCGGCCTAGATTTCAGATGTATGGCAATGCCTGGATGCATAGGCAAAAGTTTGCTGCAGGGGCAGGGGCCTCATGGAGAACCTCTGCTAGGGCATTGCAGTAGGGAAATGTGGGGTTGGAACCCCCACACAGAGTCCCTGTTGGGGCACTGCCTAGTGGAGCTGTGAGAAGAGGGCCATCATCTTCCAAAACTCAGAATAGTAGATCCACTGACAGCTTGCACTGTGCACCTGGAAAAGCCACAGACACTCAATGCCAGCCTATGAAAGAAGCCAGGAGGGAGGCTGTACCCTGCAAAGCCACAGGGGCAGAACTGCCCAAGACCATGGGAATCCACCTCTTGCATCAGTGTGAGTTGGATTGAGACCTGGAGCCAAAGGAGATCATTTTGGAGCTTTAAAATTTGACTGCCCTGCTGGATTTAAGACTTGCATGGGACCGGTAACCCCTTTGTTTTGTCCAATTTCTCCCATTTGGAATGGCTGTATTTAACCAATATCTGTACCTGCATTGTATCTGGGAAGTAACTAGCTTGCTTTTGATTTTACAGGCTCATAGGCAGAAGGAACTTGCCTTGTCTCAGATGAGACTTTGGACTGTGTACTTTTGGATTAACGCTGAAATAAGACATTGGGGGACTGTTGGGATTGCATGATTGGTTTTGAAATGTGAGCACATGAGATTTGGAGGAGCCAGGGTGGAATGATATGGTTTGACTGTGTCCCCACCCAAATCTCAACTTGAGTTGTGTCTCCCAGAATTCCCATGTGTTGTGAAAGGGACCCAGGGGGAGGTAATTGAGTCATGGGGCCAGTCTTTCCCATGCTATTCTCATGATAGTAAGTCTCATGAGTTCTCATGGGTTTATCAGGGGTTTCCACTTTTGCTTCTTCCTCATATTCTCTTGTAGCCACCATGTAAGGAAGTGCTTTTCACCTCCTGCCATGATTCCGATGGCTCCCCGGCCACGTGGAATAGTAAGTCCAATTAAACCTTTTTTTCTTCCCAGTCTCAGCTATGTCTTTATCAGCAGTGTGAAAATGGACAAATATAATTAGTGACTAAATCATTTAAATTTTAAAAAGCAAACCATATCACCCAGGATACTATGTTGTAAGCAACGGATATCTGGCTAAACAAAGCCAAGGTTATTTTACGAAGAACATATTGAAGGTCTCCTAGAATGATGTTTGGAAAACAAAGCTTGTGACAGGAAAGAACCATGGGTGCTACAAAAAGAGGAGCCATAGCAGGAGGAGTGGTCAATACACCACCTCACAATAAAAGACCCCCAGGCTTCCCTTCCATCCATGCTACTCCACCCTGTGCAGGACGACATGCCTTTCTTTTTATTTGGAAATAATTTTTGATTTACCGAAGGGTTACAAAGACAATACAGAAAGTTCATTTATATGCTTCACTCAACTTCTTCTAAGGTTACCATTTTATGTAACAATGGTACATGTATCAAAACGTTTCATCAGTTTTTTCACTGAAGTCCTTTCCAGGATCCAATCTAATATACCACATTGCATTTATTCATCATGTGCCCCTAGTGTCCCCAATCTTTTCTTTTTTTTTTTTTTCCATAACATTGACACTTTGGAAGACAGCTGGTGAGGTACTTTTCTAGGCTGACCCTCAATTTGGGTTTGTCTGATATTTTCTCATGATTCGATAGGGGATACAAATTTGGGGGAACAATTTCACTATAGTCTACTGCCCTTGTCATCACAACACATCACATCATTAATCTGATTTAGTACTAGATTATTTCAGTTAACTAGTTATTATCTAGTTAGTTAGATCACTTAGTTAGATGATGTCTGCCAGGTTTTTCCTCTGTAAAATTAACATTTCCCCCCCTTTCCATAATCTATTGCCTAGAAGCAAGCTACTAAATCCATCTTTTACTCAAAGAGAAAGGAATTAAGCTCCATATTCTGGAAAGATGAGTATCCAGGAATTTGTAGAAACTGTTAAAACCACAACAGTGATTAATAAATATCTTGGGGCTGTCATTTATTGAGGCTATGTAAATATCCTATTTCTCGGTACAGTTTCAAATACTAAGTTTAGCCTTCATCTGTGGGTCATGCTTGTAACCATTACTATTGAGGTGCTGTAATGGTCATTTTCTATTTCTCTCATTCCTTCTGCATTTACTATTCGGAATTCTCTAAGGAAGATTTGTCTCTTCCCTGTCCCATTTGTTTATCTAATCATTTAATTATGTCAGTATGAACTCATGGATATTTACTTTATTTCTTAGGCCATAATCCAGTGCTATCATTTCTTTTGTTGCTCAAATAATTCCAAGTTTGGCCATTGGGATCTCTTAGAGTTTAGCTTTTGTGTTCTTTGACATGCCTGCATATATATATATATATTTTTTTTTTTTTTTTTTTTTTTTTTGCACTTCCTTAGTCTGTGGCACTACAAGATGTTATTGATTTCTCGTGCACTTTTCCTGACACAGCCCTACATGATTGCCAGGAAGTAGAGAAAGTGTATGTTTAACTTTAAGAAACTGCCAAACTATTCTCCAAATTGGCTATACCATTTTGTATCATTTTTCTTTTTATTATTATTATTATTATTATTATTATTATTATACTCTAAGTTTTAGGGTACATGTGCAAAATGTGCAGGTTAGTTACATATGTATACATGTGCCATGCTGGTGTGCTGCAACCATTAACACGTCATTTAGCATTAGGTATATCTCCTAATGCTATCCCTCCCCCCTCCCCCCACCCCACAACAGTCCCCAGAGTGTGATGTTCCCCTTCCTGTGTCCATGGGTTCTCATTGTTCAATTCCCATCTATGAGTGAGAACATGCAGTGTTTGGTTTTTTGTCCTTGTGATAGTTTACTGAGAATGATGATTTCCAATTTCATCCATGTCCCTACAAAGGACATGAACTCATCATTTTTTATGGCTGCATAGTATTCCATGGTGTATATGTGCCACATTTTCTTAAACCAGTCTATGATTGTTGGACATTTGGGTTGGTTCCAAGTCTTTGCTATTGTGAAAAGCCAAAATTGACAAATGGGATCTAATTCAACTAAAGAGCTTCTGCACAGCAAAAGAAACTACCATCAGAGTGAACAGGCAACCTAAAAAATGGGAAAATTTTCACAACCTACTCATCTGACAAAGGGCTAATATCCAGAATCTACAATGAACTCAAACAAATTTACAAGAAGAAAACAAACAACCCCATCAAAAAGTGGGCAAAGGATATGAACAGACACTTCTCAAAAGAAGACATTTATGCAGCCAAAAGACACATGAAAAAATGCTCATCATCACTGGCCATCAGAGAAATGCACATCAAAACCACAGTGAGATACCATCTCACACCAGTTAGAATGGCAATCATTAAAAAGTCAGGAAACAACAGGTGCTGGAGAGGATGTGGAGAAATAGGAACACTTTTACACTGTTGGTGGGACTGTAAACTAGTTCAACCATTGTGGAAATCAGTGTGGCGATTCCTCAGGGATCTAGAACTAGACATACCATTTGACCCAGCCATCCCATTACTGGGTATATACCCAGAGGACTATAAATCATGCTACTATAAAGACACATGCACACATATGTTTACTGCGGCACTATTCACATTTTGTATCATTTTTCACCTGCAATGAATGAGAGTTGGTGCTTCTTGCTAGCATTTGCTATTATCAGGTTTTTGTTTTGCTGCTGTTATTTTAACCAATCTGATAGGTAGGCAGTGGCATTTCAGTGTGGTTTTAATTTGAATTTCCCTAACATTAAGCATTTTTGCTAGGCATATATCTTTGGAGAACATTTACTCAGATTTTAAAAATTGTGTTGCTGGTTTTCTTGCTGTTGAGTTTTAAGGGTTTTAAACCATATTTCTGGATACAACAACTCTACCAAATATGTGATGTGCAAATATTTTCTGCCAGTCTTTCTGAGGTGTCTTTTAATTCTCATACCAGTGTCTAAGCGAAAAGTTTTAATTTTGATAAAGCACAAATTATCAATTTGTTTCTTAATGGTTCATTGTTTTGGTATTGTATCTACCAACTCATCACCAAATCCAAGGTTACACAGAAGTTGTACTGCTTTCTTCTAGAACTTTGATATTTCTACATTTTACATTTACATCTATAATATACTTTGAGTTATTTTTGTATAAAATGTGAGGAGTATGTGTAGTTCATTTTTTGCATACGAATGTTCAGTTGTTTCAGCATCATTTGTTGAAAAAATTGTACTTTCTAGAATGAATTGACTTTGCATCTTTCTCAAAAAATAAGTTGACTACATTTGTGTTGGTCTAATTATGGGTTTTCTATTTTCCCCCACTGATGTATGTCTATGCTTACACCAATACCACATTATCATAATTCTGTAGCTTTTACAATAGTTATTGAAATCCAGCTGCATATGTGTTCCAATTCTGTTTTTTTTCAAAATTATTTTGGCTATTCTAGTTCCTTATCCTTCCCATATAAATTTTACAGTCTGTTTATTGATATTTATAGAAAAAACTTGCTGGAATTTTTACTGAGATTATGCTGAATTTTTAGATTCGGGATGAATCTGGTATATCCTCCATTTGTTTAGACATGTTATTCCTTTTATCTCTGTTTTATGATTTTTCATCATACAAGTCCTGCCCATATTTTTGCTAGATTTATGCATAAATACTCCTTCTAAGAGAGATGGTGCTATTGAAAATCAATATCCCAAAAGCTAATTGCTAGTAAACAGAAATACAATTGAATTTTTTATATTGACTTTACATCTTGCAACCTTGCTGAATTCTGTTATTAGTTTCAGGAGCTTTTGTGTAGATTGTAGGGTTTTCTTCATATATAGTCATGTTGTCTATAAAATGAGACAGTTTTATTTCTTATTTTCCTATCTGAATCCTCTTTTTTTTTCTTGTCTTATTGTACTGGTTAGGACTTCCAATATAATGTTGAATGAGAGTGATAAGACAAAACATCTTGCCTTATTCTTGATCTTAGGGGTAAAAAATTTAATCTCTTGATATTCAATATAATATTAGCAGCAGGGTTTTTTCATGTGCCTGCCCTTTATTAGGTTAAAGAGATTCCTTTCTATTCTTTTTATTCTGAGTTTTTTTAAATCATGAAAGAACGTAGAAATGTACTAAATGCTTTTACTGCATCTGTTGAAACAATCATGTGATGTTTCTTGTATAGTTTGTAAATACATCAAATTACATTAATTGGTTATCAAATGTTGAATGAGCTTTGCATTCCTGGGATGAACCCTACTTGGTCAGGATATTGTATTTTTTATATATATTGCTGAATTTAACTTAATAATATTTTGCTGAGAAATTTCTGTGTATATTCATGAGGTATTGTTCTGTATCTTCCATTTAATTTTCTTTCTCTAGTTTTGGTAACAGAGTATTGCTGGACTTATAGAATACATTAGAAAAAGTTCCTCTTCTATTTTCTGGAAGAAATTTTGAGGAATTTGTATGATTTCTTCTTTGAATCATACTGATCATAGCAAATAGTTCCTATTGCCATGCCTATATTATCAGTTATTTGTTATAGCTGTTCTAATAGGTGTGTAGTGATATCACATTATTGTTTAATTTGAAATTTCCCAATGACAAGTAAGGTTGAGCATCTTTGCATAAGCTTATTTTTATCTATATGTTTTCTTTAATGAGGTGTCTGTTAAGACCTTTTGCCCTGTTTTCATTGGTTATTTCACAACCTATTATTTAACTTGGCATGGTGGTATATGCCTGTAATCCCAACTACTTGAAAGAGTGGGGCAGAAGGAGTATTTGAGGTCAGGAGTTTGAAACCAACCGAGGCAGCATAATAAGCGGTAAAAAAAAAAAAAAAAAAAAAAAAAGAAGAAGTAAGAAATGTATTGTTTAACTTCCTATAATTGGGGATCTTCCAGATATCTTTTAAAAAAATTAGTAGTATAATCTGTAATTATTTGAGAACGTACTTGCTGTGATGTCCATTTTTCAAAATTCATTACAGTTTGTTTTGTTTTGTAGCCCAGAGTACAGTCTATGTTTGTGAATGGTCTATGTACACTTAAAAAGAATGTTTATTCTAAAGGTCTTTGGTGGAGTGATAAATGTCGATTAAATTAAGTTGTTTTATAATGTTTAAATCATTTATATCCTTATTGATGTTTTGGCTATTTGTTACATCAATAACTACAAAGGGGTGTTGAAGTCACCAATGATAATTGTGGCTTTGTTGGGTTTTGCTTCATGTATATTGAAGTTCTACTATTAAGTGCATACACCTTCAGAACTGTTATGTATGCCTGTAGAAGTTAACCCTTTATTATTCTGTAATGTCCCACTTTATTTCTAATAATATTTCTTATTCTGGAGCCTACTTTGACTGAATTTAATGTACTTACTGCAGCTTTTCTTGTGTGTTTGCATGGTATATCCTTATTCACACTTTTACGTTTAACCTGTGTCTTTATATTTGAATTGGCTCTCTTGTAGACAACATGTAACTAAGTCACACTTCTATATCCAAGCTAATAATGTTTGGCTTTTAACTGATAAATTTGGACAGTTAAAGTGATTATTGTTATGACTGCATTAAAATCTATCATCTTGGTAGTTGTTTTCTCTTTGTTCGACTTGCCCTTGCTTGCTGTTTTGCTCATCTCTGCCTTCTCTGAATTTAATTGAGCATGTTATAATTCCCTATTAATCTCTCCTAATTACTCATTATTTATATCTCTAATTTTAACAACTGATAATCAATTTACTGAAATAATTCATTCAAGCATCTGCAACGGTGACTACAGCCTCTACTCTTGGCTCAATACTGATGGAAAACATCAGAGTAATCTCAGAAGAACTGTGCAAGTCAATGAATCTGGTAGAGTCTCATCTAGAGACAATCCCAAGTCTCAGAACCTTCATCACTAAAAGTTTTTCTTGTAGTGAGTCTCAAAGACTAATTAAGCTTAACTTGAGATTTTTTGTCTTTAGAGCCTCTGATCAAGTCAGCAAACACCTTCTCCAGGGATTTTACATTGCAGCTGGGTAGGGTGATTCTAATTTGGTGAAACACCAACTATGGATTCCACTGACATCTTTCTGGCATCCTTAAAAGCCCTGGCTTTTAAGCATAACTTCTTGACCTACTTGTTCCCTTCCTGAGCATGAGAGCAGTGGTGACTCAGGAACAGGAAAGGCAGACCACAGTGGTGACAGTGTTTTCCTCAAAGAGGATTTATACCTGTTTTTTTAAAAAAAAAATTAGCTCTGTAATTGTTAATAAATCTAACTTCAAATAATATAATACCACTTAATATGCAATGTAACAGCATATTCCCAAGTCCTCCTAGTCTGTGTGTTATTCCATGGTTTTATATATTTTACTTCTATTAATGGTATAAACATATTTTTATAATTTTTGTTTTAAATAGTCCATTAACTTTTAGAGCAATTAAAAAATATTCAATTTCACTTTTGTTCTTAATTCTTTGTATAAATTCATGTTTCTGACTACATCTTATTTCTGCTACCTAAAGACATTCTTTAGCATTTCTTGTAGAGTAGGTCTGTGGCAATGTTACCTCAATTTTTGTTTGTTTGAGAAGATCTTTACTTCTGCTTAACTTTTAAAGGATATTTTTCCCAGGTGTAAGTTAGTTTTTTTTCCTTTCAGCACTACAAAGGCACCTTGCCATTGTCCATTTGTTTAAATGGTTTCTCATGAGAAGTCTACTACAACTCTTATCCTTCTTACATTTATGTAATGTGTCTTTTTTTTTTCTGGCTGCCTTCAAGGTTTTTCTACCTTCTTCTCCCTTTGTTCTTTAGAAAATCCATTTTTGCATAGGTTAGATAATGTGATTTTTTCTTACAGCTCTTGGATACTCTAATCTGTTTTTTATCACCCTTTATTTTTTCTTTGTTTTGCTTTGGGTAATTTCTATTGATTTAACCCTGTCTTCAATCTCACAGCCTCTTTATTCAACTATGTCAAATTCAAATCTACTGATGAAACTATTGAAGGTATTTTTCATCTGTTACCGAATTATTCTTTCCGATGATTTTTTTTTTTTTTTTTTTTGCAGTTCCTATGACTCTGCTCAAAGTATCTGCCTGGTCATGCATGTTGTCTTCTTTTTCCATTAAAGACTTTAACATAACAGGGGGCTTCAAGATGATTGACTAGAGGCACCTAGCACTTGCCACCTCCACAAAGAAGAATAAAAATACTGAATGGATAATGAAACTTTGAGTACAGCCTCTAAGAAAGAACACTAGAGTTCAGCAGAGAAGTGACAGAAAATGCCTTATGCACAGAGGGAGAAGGAAGTGAGGCAACCAGCCCAGCTAGTATCATCTGGGAGCCCAGAAAGCATCTCCAGTACAGGGAAATGGTAAATGAGAGATTTCCAGTGGTTCACATTCCCACCATGGAGACTCCTGCAGTCCTACCCAAAAAGAGCCCCTAGGCCTTTGCAGGTCCTGAGACTAATACACGGAGCTGCCTGGAGTCTCAGACAGCACTGCTCCAAAGAGGGAGCTCATGCTGGGTCCTACACTCCCTACCCCAAGACCCAAGCAGCTGTTACACAGCAGCACCATTTTGAGAGCCCAACTCCTACCAGATTGCATGTTGCCCTGGGGTCCAACATTCCCTACATATCTACATCCCTGGAGCCTCACTGACATTCCCCCATATCCTACTGGAAGGCTGCAGCAGTGTGGCAAGGTCCCAGCAATGTGGTAGGGTACCTAGCACTCTAGTGCACATATTATTATACACCCTAGGGAACAAGTATACAGCACAAGAAGGCTGCCACCAAAACAAAGGGAGCTGAAGCAAGTTCTCCCAAAGCCTGATAGCCACCTGCCTGGGACTACTGCCACTGACAGCAGCCCCACCTTCCCTGCACCACAGGCAACAAGCACTTGCATACACCCTGAGGACAGGCTCCCCCTGACCATCAATGAGGCTGCTACTACTACCCAAATACAATAACCCTGGAGCCTGAGGGTTGCCCCACCCTGCCCACCACAGTATATGCTTATATATGCCATCAGGTGGCAAAAGGACAAGCTCTCACGGCCTTGCACCACCCTTGCTCAGTCACCAAGAAAGTCACCTGGGGGCCTGAGGATTGCCCTTTCCCATCAGTCACTCTGGGAGCACATATACACCATAAAGGAGCCTCACAACAGGCTCAGAATGTCAGCTGCTGCTGGCCCCCAAACACAAACAGCTGGAAGCCTGGGGATAACCCTGCCCTGTGCATCATAGCTTGCACCTGTGTGTTTTATCAGGGGAGCTTGAAGACCAGCCCACCCCATCTGCCACCTTCCATTCCCTTGTCCAAGGACACCAACCAGGGGCCAAGGGATCACCCATTGGTCACCCCAGGCACATGTACACACCCCAAGGGTCCTAACAACAGGACCAGAAAACCTGCCGCTATCACCCAAACATGCTTTCCACAAGTCAGGGAATCATGTTAACCCATTCATCATCACTGACATCTGTGCACTCCTCCCACAGCCAGCCATGCCTGTCACCATCAGCACTGACACCTCCAAAATGTGCCACCTGGGGACTGGCCCACTCGGCCCAATGCAGCAACTGCTAACACCAGCACATGCCACCTGTGAGCCTGAGGGTTGACTGGTTATACTACTGCCATCACCTAAGCCATACAACCTGTCTACCCATCCAGCCCAGTGCTGCCACTACTGGCACCTGACCAAGCTGCCTGTAGGCCCAAGAACGGACCTGCCTAGACATGCTAAACCAAGACCCACATACACCATCCAGGGGCCCAAGGATAGGCATGCTAGCCCACATAGGACCTGAAAATTGGCCCAACTGGTGTCTCCAACCCCAGCAAAGTCTGACCATGGCCTCTATGAACAACTATAGGCTAAGTCACTGAGGAAATTGCTGACACCACTGATGCTATTTATAGCCAAGAAAAAAAATTATATGGAGACAACACTACTGTACACACTCAGAATGAAAGCTAAAGTGCTCTACCCAACCAGTACCATGGAAAACATCTTTAGAAAAAAAGTCTTCCCCTACAAAAGCCAATACAAGTAATTGAAAGAAGTAATACATACACCAGATGTGCAGATATCAATGTAAGGACACAAAAAAACCTGAAAAAGAAAAAAAATATGACACCTCCAAAGGAACACCAGCAACAGATTTGATAAAAAATAGAAATTTTTAAATCTTGGAAAAGAAATCAAAATAATGATATTAAGGAAGCTCAGTGAGCTATAAGAGGACACAGAAAAATAATATGAAGAAATCTGTATTAGTCTGTATTCACACTTCACACTGCTGATAAAAACATACCTGAGACTGAGAAGAAAAAGTGTTTTAATTGAACTTCAGTTCCATTTGGCTGGGGTGGCCTCAGAATCATGGTGGGAGGCGAAAGACACTTCATACATGGCAGCAGCAAGAGAAAATGAGAAAGAAGTGAAAGCGGAAACCCCAGATAAACCCATCAAATCTCATGAGACTTATTCACTATCACAAAAATAACACAGGAAAGACTAGCCCCCATGATTCCATTACCTCCCACTGGGTCCCTCCAACAAAACATGGGAATCCTGGGAGATAAAACTCAAGTTGAGATTTGGGTGGAGACACAGCCAAACCATATCAAAATCAGAAAAACAATTTAGGATATGAATGAAAAATTCACCAGAGATAAACATCATAAAAAATAACCAAACATAAATCCTAGAACTAAAGAATTTTTTAATGAAATAAAAATATAATTGAGAGTTTCAAAATTAGATTAGATCAAGCAAAAGAATTAACATTAGACTAGATTAACAATAGACTAGATCAAGTTACAAAACTTAAAGATGGGTCTTTTGAAATAACGCAGTTAGACAAAAATAAATAAATAAAAATGAACAAAGTCTATGTAACATAAAGGACACCATAAGGAGACCAAATATTCAAATTTTTGGTATTTCAGATAGAGATAAGGCCAAAGGCATAAAAAAGCTATGTAATGAAATAATAGCTGAAAACTTCCCAAATACACCAAGAGGTTTACCTATCCAAATAGAAGAAGCTCCAAGATCCCAAAGGGTCTTCTCCAAAGCACCTTAGAGTCAAATTGTCAAAAGTCAAATACAAAGATATAATTCTAAAATGAGTAACAGAAGGAATCTCCGTCAGATAATAGCAGATTTCTCAACAGAAATTTTACAGGCCAGGAGAGAATGGGATGACATATTCAAAGTGCTGAAAGAAAAAGAAAATGTCAATCAAGAATATCATACCCAGCAAAGTCAACCTCCATAGATGAAGGAGAAATAAAGTCTTTTCCAGGTGAGCAAAAATTCAAAGAATTCATCACCACTGAACAAGCCATACAAGAAATCCTTAGGGAAGTCCTAAACCTTGAAGTAAAAGGATAATATCTACCATTATGAAAATACATGAAAGTATAAAACTCCCTGGTAGAGCAAACACAAAAATGAGTGTGTGCAGTAGTGTTTTGCACAAAAATGAGGAAGAGAAAGATCTCAAATGTTACCACTACAAACACACACACACACACACACACAACACCAAAGCACAATGATAAACAGAAAGAAAAGAACAAAGGATAAACAAAACAACCAGAAAACATAAACGAAATGACAGAAGTCATCACTTATCAATAATAACCTTGAATACAAATGGATTAAATTTTCCACCTAAAACCTGTAGAAGATGGCCAACTAGATGCAGCCAGGTGGAACTTCTGCCATCAAGGAACTGGGATGACTGGTGTACTCCTAAGAGATCTTCAGAGGGAAGAAACTGAGAATGGAGGCGTGACCAGAAAGGGTCATAATGTGGACCCCAAGAGAGTTCTTTGATCTCAGGCAGGAAAGAATTTGAGGTGAATCCATAGAGTAAAGTGAAGGCGAGTTTTTAAGAAAGTCAAGGAATAAAAGAGTGGCTACTCCATAGGCACAGCAACAGTGTGGGCTGCTCAACTAAGATTACTTAAAATTATTTTTCAATTATATGCTAAACAAGGGGTGAAAAATTCATGAATTTTCCAGGCAAGAGGTAGGCAATTCCAGGAACTGAGAGCTCCTCCCCTTTTTAGACCATGTAGGATAACTTCCTGACATTGCCATGGCATTTGTAAACTGTCATGGTGCCAGTGGGAATGTCTTTTAGCATGCTAATGCATTATAATTAGCATATAATAAGTAATGCAGATGACCAGAGGTCACTTTCATAGACATCTTGGTTTTGGTGGGTGTTTTTTTTTTTTTTTTTTTGAGACAGAGTTTTGCTCTGTCGCCCAGGCTAGAGTGCCGTGGCACGATCTCGGCTCACTGCAAGCTCTGCCTACCAGGTTCACACCATTCTCATGGCTCAGCCTCCTGAGTAGCTGGGACTACAGATGCCAGCCACTGCACCTGGCTAATTTTTTGTATTTTTAGTAGAGACAGGGTTTCACCATGTTAGCCAGGATGGTCTCGATCTCCTGACCTCGTGATCCACCCACCTCAGCCTCCCAAAGTCCTGGGATTACAGGCGTGAGCCACCGTGCCCAGCCTGGTTTTGGTGGGTTTTAGCCAGCTTGTTTACTGCATCCTTTTATCAGCAAGGTCTTTGTGACCTATACCTTATGTCAACTTCCTAGCTCATCCTGAGACTTAGAATGCCTGACCTCAGGAGGGGCCCAGTGGCTCATGGCTGTAATCCCAGCACTTTGGGAGGCCAAGGCAGTTGGATCACCTGAGGTCAGGAGTTCGAGACCAGCCTAGCCAACATAGTGAAACCCCGTCTCTACTAAAAGCACAAAAATTAGCCAGGTGTGGTGGCAGGTGCCTGTAATCCCAGCTACTCAGGAGGCTGAGGCAGGAGAATTGCTTGAACCCGGGAGGTGGAGGTTGCAGTGAGCAGAGATTGTGCAAATGCACTCCAGCCTGGGTGACAAGAGCGAGACTCTGTCTGGAAAAAAAAAAAAAAAAAAAAAAAAAAAGAATGCCTAACCTCATGGGAATACAGCCCAGTAGGGCACAGTCTTATTTTACCCAACCCTTATTCAAGATGGAGTCACTGTGGTTCAAATGCCTCTGACAAATGGAGGGAAGCCACAGAAGCTGGGCTGAAAGGGGAGGAAGCTGGGAACCCTGCACAGAACTTCCATGCACAGAGACTGGCCCTTGATTCCGGGGAAATGGATGAGTTAAATTGGCAAGAAGGAACCTGCTCTTCCTATGGAATCCTGGCAGGAGGGCCCTTGGCCACCACGGACACTTGAGTTGTCAGGGAGAGATGCTTACAGAAGTGGTAGAGGTAGCATGACAGAAGATGTGGAACCCAAAGGGTTTGGTGCAGGAGCATCTATATTAGAACAGGGCTATATTTAGAAGACCCCATAGTCTAGGCCCAAAACTTCGTTAAGCTGATAAACAACTTCACAAAAGTCTCAGGATACAAAAGCAACATACAAAAATCACTAGCATTTCTATACACCAATGACCATCAAGCTGAGAGCCAAATCAGGAACACATTCCCATGCACGATTGCTGCAAAAAGAATAAAATACCTAGGGGAGGAAGGATGAAACAAGATGGCAGAATAGAAAGTTCCACTAAGGATCCCCACTACTACCCGCATAAGGACACAGAGCTAACAACTAACTACACAGGAAAAAAAACAAAAACAAAAACAAACAAACAAAGACCTTTTTAAGAACCAAAGATCAGGTAAACACTCATAGCACCTGTTTTTCACTACATATCTCTGAAAAAGGCACGGAAGAGATTAAAAAATAATAATAATAATAAACAGTCCTGAATCATGGACACCATCCCTCTTCTACCCCTAGCAGTGGTAGCCTGGTGTGCAGCATGTCTGGGCACTAAAGGAGGGAGAACACAGGAATTCTAAGGTATTGGACACAGTATTGTCCTGTTACAGCATAAAGGAAAATTGGACCAAACTTAACTGATGCCTGCCCATGGAGGCAGCATTTAAACCAGCCCTAGCCAGAGGGGAGTCCCTGATCCTAGAGGTGGGAACTTGAGTGTCTGCAAACCTCACCACAGAGGGCTAATCCAAGTAAACTTGAAAGGCAGTCTAGGTGGTAAGGACCACAACTCATAGGTGAGTCCTAGTGCTGAATAAGGCCCAGAGACAGTGGGCTGGGTGATGGTGGGGGCACATGACATACTGAGACAACAGCTGGGGCAGCCAAGGGAGTGCTAGCATCACCCCTCCCTTAACCCGAAGCTGCACAGCTCGTGGCTCCCAAAGAGACCCCTTCTTTCCACTTGAGGAAAGGGGATGAAAAAGTGGGGCAGACTTTGTCTTACATTTAAGGTGCCAACTCAGTCACAGCAGGACACGGCACCAGTCAGAGTTGTGATGCCACTGTTCCATACAAGTCCTAGCTTCCAGACAACACTTCTAAACATACTCTGGGCCAGAAGGAAAGCTGCTTCTTTGAAGGAAAGAACACAGTCTCGGCAGCATTCATCACCTGCTAACTAAAGAGCCTTTGGGCCCTGAATAACCAGCAGCAACACCCAGGTAATACATTGAGGGCCTTGGTTGAGCCTCTGAGACTTGCTGGCTTCAGGACAGACTCAATACATAACCAGCGGTGGTGGCTATGGGAGAAAAATTCGTCTGCTTGAGAAAAACAGCAGGAAAAATAAAAAGGACTTTGTCTTGCACCCTAGGTACCAGTATGGCCACAGTGAGTAGAGCACCAAGTGGGTTCTTAGGGTCCCCGATTCCAGGACTTGACTCTTGGATAGCATTTCTGAACCTGTCCTGAGCCAGAAGAGAGCCCACTGTTCTGAAGGGTGAGTCCCAGGCCAGCAGTATCCACCACAAGATGACTTAAGAGAACTTGAGGGAACATTGTCGGTAGCCTCGCAGTACTCCTCATGACCTGGTATAGCAATGGCTATGGGGTGAGGCTCCTCTGCTTTTGGAAAGAGGAAGGTTTGAGGGCCAGCTCAGCCACAATCCAATAGAACACAAGGTAGGCTTCTAAGGTTTCTGATTCTAGTCTCTGACACCTGGATGGCACTTCTGGACCCAACTGGGGTTTAGGGGACCTTGTCACCCTGAAGGGAAGGACACAGGCCTGGATGGCTTTACCACCTGTTGATTGTAGAGCCCCAGGCTTTGAGCAAACATAGGCAGTAGCCAGGGAGTGATTACAGCATGCTTTGGGTAAGACCCAGCACTCTGCTGCCTTCAGGTTTGGCCCAGCACAGTCATAGTTGTGGTGGCCACAGGGGTGCTTGTGTCACACCATCCCCAGCTTTAGGTGTCTTAGAAAAGAGAGACTCTATATGTTTTGGAGAAAGTAAGGGAAGAGAACAAGAGTCTGTATCTGGTAATCCAGAGAATTCTCTCATATCTTGTCCAAAACCATCAAGGTAGTACCTCTATGAGTCTGCAAAAACCAGTATTACTGGGCTTCTAGTGTCCCTAAAGCAGAAACAGCTTAGATCAGAAAACCCAAGTCTTTTCAAATACCTGGAAAGCCTTCCTAAGAGGGACAGCTACAAATAAGCCCACACAGTAAAGACTACAATAAATACCTAACCCTTCAATGCCAGACACTGAAAAACATCTACCAGCACCAACACCATCCAGGAAAACATGACCTCAACAAATGAGCTAAATAAGCTACCAGGGACCAATCCAGGAGAAAAAGAGACATGTGAGCTTACAGAGAGGGAATTCAGAATAGCCGTATTGAGGAAACAAATAAATTCAAGATAACACAGAGAAGGAATTGAGACTTCTATCAGATAAATTTCTCAAAGAGATTGAAATAATTAAAAAGAATTGAGCAGAAATTCTGGAACTTAAAAATGCAACTGGCATACTGAAGAATGCCTCAAAGTCCTTTAATAGCAGAATTAATGAAGCAGAAGAAAGAATTAGTGAGCTTGAAGACAGGTTATTTGAAAATACACAGTCAGAGGAGACAAAATTTTTTTAAAAAATGAGGGATGTCTACAGGATCTAGAAAACAGCCTCAAAAGGGCAGATGTAAGAGTTATTGGCCTTAAAGAGAGGGTAGAGAAAAAGATAGGGGTAAAGAGTTTAATCAAAGGGATAGTAACAGGGAGCAAACCAAAACTACAAAACAATATTAATATCCAAGTACAAGAAGGTTATAGAACACCAAGCAGATTTAACTGAAAGGAGACTACCTCCTACATTTAATAATCAAACTCCTAACAGCTAAGGATAAAGACAGGATCCTTTTCTCAATAAGAGAAAAGAAACAAATAACATAAAATGGAATTCCAATGCATCTGGCAGCAGACTTTTCAACCTTATAGGCCAGGAGAGAGTGGTATGACATATTTAAAGTGCTGAAGGAAAATTACTTTTACCCTAGAACAGTGTATCTAGTTAAAATATTCTTCAAACATAAAAAACAAATACAGACTTTCCAAGATAAACAAAAGCTGAGGGATTTCATCAATACCACACCTGTCTTACAAGAAATGCTAAAGGAAGTACTTCAATCAAAAAGAAAAGAATATTAATGAGCAATAACTAATCACGTGAATCTACAAAACTCACCGGTAATAGTAAGTACACAGAAAAACACAATATTTTAACACTGTAACTATGGTGTGTAAACTACTCCTATCCTAAGTAGAAAGACCAAACAATGAACCAATCAAAAATAATAACGACAACCACCTTTCAGGACATACTTGATATGATTTGGCTGTGTCCCCACCTAAATCTCATCTTGAATTGTAGCTCCCATAATCACCACATGTTGTAGGAGGGACCTGGTGAAAGATAACTGAATCATGGTGGCTGTTTCCTCCATAATGTTCTTGTGGTAGTAAATAAGTCTCGTAAGGTCTGATGATTTTCTAAGAGGGGAGCCCCTTTTGCTTGGCTCTCATTTCCTCTCTTGTCTGCTGCCGTAAGATGTGCCTTTCACCTTCTGCCATGATTGTGAGGCCTCCCCAGCCACATGGAACTGTGAATCCATTAAACCTCTTTTTCTTTATAAATTACCAAGTCTCAGGTATGTCTTTATCAGCAGCATGAGAACTGACTAATATGATATTCAATACAATAAGATACAAATAGAAACAAAAAAAGTTAAAAAGTGGAGGAATGAAGTTAAGGCATAGAGTTTTTATTAGTTTTCTTTTTGCTTATTTGTTTAAGCAAATTGTGTTAAGTTGTTATCAGATTTAAATAATGGGTTATAAGATAGTATTTGCAAGTTTCATGGAAACCTAAAACCAAAAACATACAATGGATATACAAAAATTAAAAAGAAAGTACCTAAACCATGTCACTAGAGAAAGTCACCATTACTAGAGGAAAATAGGAAAGAGAGTCACACAGAAGAGAGGGTCACAATACAACCAGAAAACAAATAACAAAATGTCACCAGTAAGTCTTTACTTATCAATAATAACATTGACTGTAAATGTAACATTGACATAGACTAAACTGTGTAATCAATAGACATAGACTGGCTGAATGGATAAAAAACACCTATTGACCTGCTTTTCTGTTGCCTAGAAGAAACATAGTTTACCTATTAGAACACTCATAGACTGAAAATAAAGGGATGGAAAAAGATATTCCATGACAATGAAAACCAAAAAAGAGAAGGAGTCATTATACTTGTATCAGACAAAATAAATTTCAAGAAAAAAACTATAAGAAGAGACAAAGAAAGTCACTATATAATGACAAAGATATCAATTCAGCAAGAGGATATAACAATTATAAATATATATGCACCCAACAATGGAGCACCCAGATAAATAGAGGAAATATTATGAGAGCTAAAGAGAGAGACAGGCCCCATTACAATAATAGCTGAGATTTCAGCACCCTACTTTCATCACTGGAAAGATCTTCCAGATAGAAAATCAACAAATAAACATCAGACTTAATCTGCACTAAAGACCAAATGGATCTAATCAATATTTACAGATCATTTCATCCAAGGGCCTCAGAATACACTTTCTCTTCCTCAGCACAGGGATTATTCTTAAGAATACACCATATGTTAGGTGACAAAACAAGTCTTAAAGCTTTCAAAAAAATGAAATAATATCAAGCATCTTTTCTGACCACAACTGAATAAACTAGAAATTAATAACAAGAGGAACTTTGGAAACTATACAAACTTTAATGGAAATTAGACAATATGTTTCTGAATGACCAGTGGGTCAATGAAAAAGTTAAAAAGAAATGGAAAAAATTATTGAAACAAATGATAAAGGAAATACAACATACCAAAATCTATGGGATACAGCAAAAGCAGTACTCAGAGGAAAATTTATAGCTATAGGTGCCTACATCAAAAAAAGGAAAAAAAAACTTCAAATAAAAAATGCAACAATGCTCCTTAAAGAACTAGAAAAATAAAAGCAAATCAAACACAAAACTAGTAGAAGAAAATAAATAATAAAGATCAGAACATAAACAAATGAAATCGAATGTAAAAAACAACTCAAAAGATAATGAAACAAAAAGTTGGCTTTTTGAAAAGTTAAACAAAATTGACAAACCTTTAGCCAGACTAAGAAAAAAAAGAGAATCTCCAAATAAACAAAATAAAAAATGAAAAAGGAGACATTACAACTGATACTTCAGAAATTCAAAGGATAATTAGTGGCTACTATGAGTAACTATATACAATAAATTGGAAAATCTAGAAGAAATGAACAAATTCCTAGGTACATACAGCCTACCAAGATAGAACCAGGAGAAATCCAAAATCTGAAGAGACCAATACCAAGTAATGAGATTGAAGCCATAATAAAAAGTCTCCCAGTAAAGAAAAACCTGGAACCTAATGGCTTCACTGCCAAATTCTATGAAACATTTAAAGAAGAACTAGTATCAATTCTGCTCAAACTATTCAAAAAAATAGAGGAGAAGGAAATACTTCCAAACTTCTTCTATGAGGCGAGTATTACCCTGATACCAAACCCAGACAAAGACACATCAAAAAAAAAAAAATTACAGGCCAATATGTCTGATGACTATTGATGCAAAAATCCTCGACCAAATACTAGCAAACCAAATTCAACAATACATTAGAAAGATCATTCACCATGACCAAGTGGGATTTATTGCTGGGATGCAAGGATAATTCAACATATGCAAATCAACCAACGTGATACATCGTATCAAGAGAATGAAGGATAAACACCATGTGACCATTTCAATTGATGCTGAAAAATTCAACATCCCTTCATGATACAAATCATAAAAAAATGGGGTATAGAAAGAATGTACCTCAACATAATAAAAGCCATATACAACGGAACCACAGCTAGTATCATACTGAATGAGGGAAAATTGAAGGCCTTTCCTCTAAGATCTGGAACATGACAAGGATAGGATGCCCACTATCACCACTGTTATTCAGCACAGTACTGGAAGTCCTAGATAGAGCAATCAGAAAAGAGAAAGATATAAAGGGGATCCAAATTATAAAGGAAGAAGTCAAATTATACTTGTTTGCAGATGATATGATCTTATATTTGGAAAAACCTAAACACTCCACAAGAAAAGTGCTAGAACTGATAAACAAATTTAGTAAAGTTGCAAGATACAAAATCAACATACAAAAATCATTAGCATTTCTATAAAACAACCATGAACAATGTGAGAAAGAAACAAAAAAGTAATCCCATTAGAATAACACACATAAAATTAAATACCTAGGAATTAACCAAAGAAGTGAAAGATCTCCATAATGAAAACTATAAAACACTTATGAAAGAAATGGAAGAGGACACCCAAAAATGGAAAAATATTTCATTCTCATGGATTGGAAGAATCAATATTGTTAAAACATCCATACTACCCAAAGCAATCCAAAACAATTTGATAGGGATTCTATGTAATCTCTATCAAAACATCAATGATATTTTTCACAGAAACAAAACAAAACACTAAAATTTATATGGAACCCCAAAAGACTCATACTAACCAAAGCTATCCTCAGCAAAAGGAACAAAACTGGAGGAATCACATTACCTGACTTCAAATTATACTACAGAACTATAGTAACTATGGTAACCTAAACAGCATGGTACTGGCATAAAAACAGACAGATGGAATCAATGGAACAGAATAGAGAACCCAGAAACAAATACACACACCTACAAGAAACTCATTTTCAATGAAAGTGCCAAGAACATACACTGGGGAAAAGATAGTCTCTTCAATAAATGGTGCTGGAAAAACTGGACATTCATGTGCAGAATAATGAAACTGGAACCCTATCTCTCACTATATATATATATATATATATATATATATATATACACACACACACACACACACACACACACACAGACACACAGACACACATATATATATACATATATACACATACACATACATATACATATATGGTGATATATATTATATATAAATATATATAATATATTTATATATAATAAATATATATAATATATAAATATATTATATTTATATATTATATATATTTATTATATATAAATATAATATATATTTATATATAATATATATATTATATTTATATATAATAAATATATATAATATATAAATATATTATATATAACATATAAATATATTATATTATATTATAATATCGTACGTTTTCATTTATAAGTGGGAGCTAAGCTATGAGGATGCAAAGACATAAGAATAAGATAATAGACTTTGGGGCCTTGGGAGGAAGGATGGCAGGGATGAGGGATAAAAGACAACATACTGGGTTCAGTGTACATTGCTTGGGCGACAGGTGAACCAAAATCTCCGACATCACCACTAAAGAACTTATCCATGTAATCAAAAACCACGTGTACCTCAAAAACTATTGAAATAATTTTTTTCAAAAAAAGAAATCATGATGGATTAAATATTTAAATTTAAGACCTCAACCAATGAAGCTACTACAAGAAAACTTTGGGAAAATCTTTAGAACATTGGTCTAGGCAAATATTTCTTGACCAATACCCCACAAGCACAAGCAACCAAAGCAAAAATGGAAAAATGGGGTCACATCAAGTTAAAATTTCACACAGCAAAAGATACATCAATGAAGCAAAGAGACAACCCACAGAATGGGAGAAAACTACCCCTCTGACAAGGGATGAATAAACACAGTATATAAGGAGCTCATACAACTCTATAGGACAAAATCTAATAATCCAATCCAAAAATGGGCAAAATGTTTGAATAGACATTTCTCAAAAGAAGGCACACTAATGGCAAACAGGCATATGAAAAGGTACTCAACATCACTGATCAACAGAGAAATGAAAATCAAAACTACAATGAGATATCATCTCACCCCAGTTAAAATGGCTTATCTTCAAAAGACAGGCAATACAAATACTGGTGAGGGTGTGGAGAAAAGGGAACCTTTGTACACTTTTGATGGGAATGTAAATTAGTAAAACCCGTATGGAAAACAGTTTGTAGGTTCCTCAGAAATCTAAAAACTGAGCTACCACATGATCCTGCAATCCCACTGCTGGGTATATAACCAGAAGAAAAAAAATTAGTGTATCAAAGAGATATCAGCACTCCTATGTTTGTAGCAGCATTGTTTACAATAGCTAAGATTTGGAAGCAACCTAAGTGTCTATCAACAGATGAATGGATAAAGAAAATATGGTAGATATTCAGCCATAAAAAAATGAGATCCAATCATTTGCAACAACATGGAAGGAACTTGAGATAATTATATTAAGGGGAGCTGGGGGAGATATGGGGGTGGTTAATATGTGCAAACAAAATAGAAAGTATGAATAAGGCCTATTATTGATAGGACAATAGGGTGACTATAGTCAATAATAACTTAATCGTATATTTTAAAAAACTTAAAGAATGTAATTGAATTGTTTGTAACTCAAAAGATAAATCCTTGAGGAGATGGATACCCCATTCTCCATGATGTGCTTATCTCACATTGCATGCCTGTATCAAAACCTTTCATGTATTTCATAAATTTATACAACTACTATGTACCCACAAAATTAAAAACAAAAAAAGAATAAGATACCTAAAAATAAAGCTAACCAGGGAGGTGAAAAATCTCTACTATGAGAACTACAAAACGCTGCTCAAAGAAATCAGAGATGACACACACAAATGGAAGAATATTCCATGCTCATGGATAGGAAGAATAAATGTCGCTAAAATGGCTATACTGCCCAAAAAATGCATAGATTCAGTGCTATTTCTTTCAAATTACCAATGACATTTTTCACATAACTAGAAAAAAGAACTATTTTAAAATTCATATGGAACCAAGAAAGAGCCAAGGCAATCCTAAGGGAAAAATAAATGAATAAATTAAAGCTACAGGCATCATGTTAACCAACTTCAATCTTTACTGCCAGCATGGTACTGGTACAAAAACAGACACATAGACCAAAGGAACAGAATAGAGAGCCCAGAAATAATGCCATATACTTATAACCATCTGATCTTTGAAAAAGATGACAAAAACAAGCAATAAGGAAAGGAATCCCTGTTCAATAAACGGTGCTTGGATAACTGGCTAGACATACATCGAAGATTGAAATGACCCATTGCTTATACCATATACAAAAAAATCAACTCAAGAAGAATCAAAGACTTAAATTTAAAACTCAAAACTATAAAAAAACTGGAAGACAACTGGATAATACCTTTCAAGACATAGGAAAATGCAAAGATTTCATGACAAAAACACCAAAAGCAATTGCAACAAAACCAAAATTGACAAACAGGATCTAATTATGTTAATGAGCTTCTGCACAGAAAAAAAAAATCAATAAACAGACAACCTACAAAATGAGGTTGTTACATAGGTATACACGTGCCATGGTGCACATGCTGCACCCATCAACCCGTCATCTACATTAGGTATTTCTCCTAATGCTATCTCTCCCCTAGCCACCACCCCCTAACAGGCCCCAGTGTGTAATGTTCCCCTCCCTGTTTCCATGTGTTCTCATTGTTCAACTCCCACATATGAGGGAGAACACGTGGTGTTTGGTTTCTGTTCCTGTTTTAGTTTGCCGAGAATGATGGTTTCCAACTTCGTCTATGTCCCTGCAAAGGACATGAACTTATCCTTTTTTATGGCTGCATAGTATTCCATGATGTATATGTGCCACATTTTCTTTATCCAGTTTATCATTGATGGGCATTTGGGTCTGTTCCAAGTCTTTGTTATTGTGAACAGTGCTGCAATAAACATACATGTGCATGTGTCTTTATAGTAGAATGATTTATAATCCTCTGGGTATATACCCAGTAATGGGATTGCTAGGTCAAATGGTATTTCTCATTCTAGATCCTTGAGGAATCGCCACACTGTCTTCCACAATGGTTGAACTAATTTACAGTCCCATCAACATTGTAAAAATGTCCCTACTTCTCCACATCCTCTCCAGCATCTGTTGTTTCCTGACTTTTTAATGATTGCCATTCTAAATGGCATGAGATGGTATTGCGTTGTGGTTTTTATTTGCATTTCTCTAATGACCAGTGATGATGAGCTTTTTTTCATGTTTGTTGGCTGCATAAATGTCTTCTTTTGAGAAGTGTCTGTTCTTATCCATCACCCATTTTTTGTTGGGGTTGTTTGTTTTTTCTTGTAAATTTGTTTAATTTCCTTGTAAATTCTGGATATTAGCCCTTTGTCAGATGCATAGATTGCAAAAATTTTCTCCCATTCTGTAGGTTGCATGTTCACTCTGATGACAGTTTCTTTTGCTGAACAGAAGCTCTTTAGTTTAATTAGATCCCATTTACCAACTTTGGCTTATGTTGCCATTGCTTTTGGTGTTTTCATCATAAAGTATTTGCCCATGCCTATGGCCTGCATAGTATTGCCTAAGTTTTCTTCTAGGGTTTTTATGGTCTTAGGTCTTACATTTAAGTCTTTTCTCCATCTTGAATTAATTTTTGTGTAAGGTGTAAGGAAGGGATCCAGTTTCAGCTTTCTACATATGGCTAGCCAGTTTTCCCAACACCAGTTATTAAATAGGGAATCCTTTCCCCATTGCTTGTTTTTGTCAGGTTTGTCAAAAAGCAGATGGTTGTAGATGTGTGACATTATTTCTGAGGCCTCTATTCTGTTCCATTGGTCTATATATCTGTTTTGGTACTAGTACCATGCTGTTTTGGTTACTGTAGCCTTGTAATACGGTTTGAAGTCAGGTATCCAGATGCCTCCAGCTTTGTTCTTTTTGGTTAGGTTTGTTTTGACTATATGGGCTCTTTTTTGGTTCCATGTGAGACTTAAAGGAGTTTTGTTCTAATTCTGTGAAGGGAGTCAATGATAGCTTGACAGGGATAGCATTGAATCTGTAAATTCCTTTGGTCAGTATGGCCATTTTCACGATATTAATTCTTCCTATCTCTGAGAATGGACTGTTTTTCCATTTGTTTGTGTCTTTCTTATTTCCTTGAGCAGTGGTCTAGCAAGACAGGCCAACATTCAAATTCAGGAAACACAGAGAACACCACACAGACACTCCTTGAGAAGAGCAACCCCAAGACACATAGTCATCAGATTCATCAAGGTTGAAATGAAGGAAAAAATGTTAAGGGCAGCCAGAGAGAAAGGTCAGGTTACCCACAAAGGGAAGCCCATCTGACTAACAGTGGATCTCTTGGCAGAAACCCTACAAGCCAGAAGAGAGTGGGGGGTCAATATTCAACATTCTTAAAGAAAAAAATGTTCAACCCAAAATTTCATATCCAGCCAAACTAAGCTTCATAAGTGAAGGATAAATAAAATTTTTTAAAGATAAGCAAATGCTGAGAGATTTTGTCACCACCAGGCCTGCCTTACAAGAGCTCCTGAAGGAAGCACTAAATATGGAAAGGAAAAACCAGTGCTAGCCACTGCAAAAACATACCAAATTGTAAAGACCATTGACACTATGAAGAAACTGCATCAACTAACAGGCAAAATAACCAGCTAGCATCATAGTAACAGGATCAAATTCACACATTACAATATTAACCTTAAATATACAGGGGCTAAATGCCCCAATTAAATGACACAGACTGGCAAATTGGATAAAGAGTCAAGACCCATTGTTGTGCTGTATTCAGGAGACCAATCTCATGAGTGCAAAGACACACATAGGCTCAAAATAAAGGGATGGAGGAATATTTACCAAGCAAATGAAAAGGGAAAAAAAAGGATGGGTTGCAATCCTAGTCTCTGATAAAACAGACTTTAAACCAACAAAGTTCAAAAAAGACAAAGAATGGCATTACATAATGGTAAAGGGATCAATGCAACATGAAGAGCCAACTCTCCTAAATATATATGCACCCAATACAGGAGCACCCACATTCATAAAGCAAGTTCTTAGAGACCTACAAAGAGATTTAGACTCCCATGCAATAATAGATGGAGACTTTAACACCCCAATGTCAATATTAGATCAACAAGACAGAAAATTAACGAGGATATTCAGGACTTGAATTCAGCTCTGGACCAAGCGGACCTAATAGACATCTACAGAACTCTCCACCCCAAATTAACAGAATATACATTCTTCTCAGCACCACATCACACTTATTCTAAAATTGCCCAAATGATTGGAAGTAAAACACTCCTCAGAAAATGCAAAAGAACAGAAATCATAAAAATCAGTCTCTCAGACCACAGTGCAATCAAATTAGAACTCAGGATTAAGAAACTCACTCAAAACTGCAAAACTACATGGAAACGAACAACCTGCCGCTGAATAGCTAATGAGTAAATAACAAAATTAAGGCAGAAATAAATAAGTTCTTTGAAACCAATGAGAACAAAGACATAATGTGCCAGCACCTCTGGGACACAGATAAAGCAGTGTGTAGAGGGAAATTTATAGCACTAAATGCCCACAGGAGAAAGTGAGAAAGATCTAAAATTGACACCCTAACATCACAATTAGAAGAACTAGAGAAGCAAGAGCAAACAAATTCATAAGCTAGCCAAAGACAAGAAATAACTAAGATCAGAGAAGAACTGAAGGAGATAGAGACAAGAAAAAACCTTCAAAAAATCAATGAAGACAGGAGCTGGTTTTTTGAAAAGATTAACAAAATACATAGACCACTAGCCAGACAAATGAGGAAGAAAAGAGAGAAGAATCAAATAGACACAATAAAAAATGATAAAGGGGATATCACTACTGATCCCACAGAAATACAAACTACCATCAGAGGATACTATAAACACCTCTATGCAAATAAACTAGAAAATCTAGAAGAAATGGATGAATTCCTGGACACATACACCCTCCTAAGGCTAAACCAGGAAGAAGTAGAATCCCTGAATAGACCAATAAAAAGTTCTAAAATTGAGGCAGTAATTAGTAGCCTACCAACCAAAAAAAGCCCAGGACCAGACAGATTCACAGCTGAATTCTACCAGAGGTACAAAGAGGAGCTGCTACCATTCCTTCTGAAACTATTCCAAACAGTAGAAAAAGAGGGACTCCTCCCTAACTCATTTTATAAGGCCAGCATCATCCTGATACCAAAACCTGGCAGAGACACAACAAAAAAAGAAAATTTCAGGCCAATATCCCTGATGAACATTGATGTGAAACTCCTCAATAAAATACTGGCAAACTGAATCCAGCAGCACCTCAAAAGCTTATCCACTACGATCAAGTCGGCTTCACCCCTGGGATGCAAGACTGGTTCAACATACGCAAATCAATAAACATAATCCATCACATAAACAGAAGCAATGACAAAAACCACATGATTATCTCAATAGATGCAGAAAAGGCCTTCAATAAAATTCCACATCCCTTCATGCTAAATCTCTCAATAAACTAAGTATTAATGGAACATATCTCAAAATAATAAGAGCTATTTATGACAAACCCACAGCCAATATCATACTGAATGGGCAAAAGCTGGAAGTATTCCCTTTGAAAACAGGCACAAGACAAGTATGCCTTCTCTCACCACTCCTATTCAGCATAGTATTGGAAGTTCTGGCCAGGGCAACCAGGCAAGAGAAAGAAATAAAGCGTATTCAAATAGGAAGAGAGGAAGCCAAATTGTCTCTGTTTGCAGGTGGCGTGATTGTATACTTAGAAAACCCCATCGTCTCAGCCCAAAATCTCCTTAAGCTGATAAGCAACTTCAGCAAAGTCTCAGGATACAAAATCAGTGTGCAAAAATCACCAGCATTCCTATACACCAATAATAGACAGAGAGCCAAATCATGAGTGAACTCCCATTCACAATTGCTACAAAGAGAATAAGATACCTAGAAATACAATTTACAAGGGATGTGAAGGACCTCTTCAAGAAGTGACACTTTTCAAAAGAAGACAGACATGCAGCCAACAAGCTTATGAAAATAAAGTTCAACATCACTGATCATTAGAGAAATGCAAATCAAAACCACAATAAGATAACATCTCACACCAGTCAGAATGGCTACTGTGAAAAAGTAAAAAACTAACAGGTGCTGGTGAGGTTGCAGAAAAAAAGGAACACTTATACGTTGTTGGTGTAAGTGTAAATTAGTTCAACTGTTGTGGAAAACAGTGTGGTGATTTCTCAAAGACCTAAAAACCAAACTACTATTTAAGCCAGCAGTCTTGTTACTGGTTACATACCCAAAGGAATATAAATTATTCTATCATAAAAATTCATGTATGTGTGCTTATTGCAGCATTATTCACAATAGCAAAGACATGGAGTCAACTTAAATATCCATCAACAATAGACCAGATAAAGAAAATGTGGTACATATACACCATGGAATACTACACAGCCATACACAAGAATGAGATTGTATCCTTTACAGGAACATGGATGGAGCAGTAGGCCATTATTCTTAGCAAACTAATGCAGGAATAGAAAACCAGATACTGCATATTCTCACTTATATGTGGGAACTAAATAATGAGAACACATGGACATGTACAGTTGAACAACAGATATGGGTGCTGGAGGATGGAGGGTGGAAGAAGGGAGAGGATCAGAAAAAATAAGTAATGGATACTAGGCTTAATAGTTGGGTGACAAAATATTCTGTAAAAACAAAGCCCCATACATGAGTTTACCAATTGTATTAGGCCATTCTCACACTACTATAAAGAACTACCTGAGACTGGGTAAATTATAAATAAAAGAAGTTTAATTGACAGTTTTGAGGGCTGTACGTGAGGCATGGCTGGGGAGGTCTCAGGAAACTTACAATTATGACAGAAGAGGAAGTAAAAGCCCACACAACTTGCATGGTGGAAGCAGAAGGAAGAAAGAGAGAAGGGGGGAAGTGCTACACACTTTCAAACAACTAGATCTCATGAGAACTCCATCACAAGAACAGCAAGGGGGAAGTCTGCTCCCATAATTTAATCACCTCCCACCAGAACCTTCCTTCAATACATGGAGATTACAATTCGATGTGAGATCTGGGTGGAGACTAAGAGCCAAATCATATTACCAAAATAACAAACTTGTACATATACCCCTGAAATTAAAATAAAATTTTAAAAAAATAGCAAGAAGCTTGGATAATTTTGTACAACCATATGTAATGAATTTAGAAATTCTGAGCCTGGTTTATTCATGAGTGAAATTTAGAAAACAGGCTTATTTCAAAGGTTCTTTCTAACTCTAAAAGTATTTGAAGCTACAAAAAAATAATTTCAAACAGTCACTATCCGGCTAAAGACAGAGAATGGTATAAGAAAAGAATCTCTGCCATGTGTCCTCAAATATTGCATTTCCCTCCCTTCCTGAGAGGTGTCCATAATTCTAAATGTTTTCATGAATGAATGCATGCATTTCCAAGCAAAATGTTTACTTTTGTGTTTTAAGCCTTCAAAAATTATATCATGTTGTATAAAATTTCTGAGTTAGCTTTTCACTTATGCTTATGAAATTCATACATTCAGATATGTACTAATGATGGGATTCTAACATCTATATGCATAAATGAGGTAGCTCCATATTTTCTACACTGTTTCTTGTCTGGTTTGGATACTAAAGTTTATATTATCTACAGTCTGTCCTCCTATCTGTAGGTTCCATATCTGTGGATTCTACCAACTATGAATCAAAAATATTTGAAAAAAATAAAAATTACATCTGTACTGACCATTAAAAAAGATACAGACTATCTGAATGGATTTTTTAAAATGACCCAACTATTTGCTGCTTACAACAAACTCACCTCACCTGTAAATACATACACAGACCAAAAGGAAAGGAATGAGACAAGATATTCCATACAAATGGAAACAAAAAGTGAGTAGGAGTAGCTCTACTTACATCACATAAAACAGAATTTAAGTCAAAAACAGTTAAATGAGACAAAGAAGGGCACTATATAAGGATTAAGGCTTCAGTTTAGCAGGAAGATATAACAATTCTAAATATATATGTACTCAACACTGAAGCACTTAAATATCTAAATATTATTAGACCTAAAAGGAGAGATAGACTCCAACAAAATAGTTGGGCACTTTAACACCCCACTTCAGCATTAGATAGACCATCTACACAGAAAATCAATGCAGAAACATTAGATTTAAACTGCACTTTACACCCCCAAACAAACCTAACAGAAATTTACAAAACATTTTATCCAACAGCAAAATACACATTCTTCTCATCAGCAAATAGAATATTCTCCAAGATAGAGCATATGTTTAAACACAAAACCAGTCTCGACAATGTTTTTAGATCACAATGGAATAAAATGCTTTTAGATCACAATGGAATAAAACTAGAAATCAATACAAGAGAAACTTTGGAACCTGTACGAATACCGAGAAATTAAACAACAGTCACTGGGTCAATGAAGAAATTAAGAAGAAATAGAAAAACTTGAAACAAATTAAAATTGTTAACACAACAAACACAAACCTATGCAATTAGCAAAAGCAGTGCTAACAGAAAAGTTTATAGCAATAAACGTCTACATTGAAAACTAAAAATATTTCCAATAAACAACCTAACAATGTGTCTCAAAAAGCTGGAAAAAATCCAAAACAAACCAAACCCAAAATTAGAAGGAAAGAAATAAAAAAGATCATTGGAGAGCTAAAGAAATATATTTCCAAAAATTGCAAAGAATCTATAAAACGAAAAGTTGTTTTTTGAAAAGATAGACAAATTCAATAAATCACCAGCTAGACTAATCAAGAAAAAAAGGGAGAAAACCAAATGAAATCAGAAATGAGAGACATTACAACTGATATCACATAAATAGAAAAGATCATCAGAAACTATTATAAACAACTATATGCTATAAAAACTAGAAAACCTGGAGGAAGTGGATAAATTCCTAGACACATGCAATGTACCAATGCTGAATCAGGAAGAAATAGAAAACCCAAACAAGTCAATAATGAATAGCAAAATTGAATCAATTATAAAAATTTCTAAGAAAAAGTACATCCCAGAGGACTACTTGGTTTCACTGTTGAATTCTACAAAACTTATAAAAAACTAACACCAATTCTCCTCAAATTATTCTAAAAAATTGAAGAGGAGGGAATTCTCTCTAGCTCATTCTATAAGGCCAGTATTACTCTAATACCAGAACCAGACAAGGACACAAGGAAAAAAGAAAACTACAGGTTAATATCCCTGCTGAACATGGACATAAAAATCCTTGACAAAATACTAGCAAACCATAACTGAGAGCACATCAAAAAGTTGATACACCATAATCAAGTGGGTTTTATTCCAGGAATACAAGGATAGTTTAATATATGCAAATCAATAAACATGATACATCACATCAACTAAATGAAGGACAAAAAGTATATCACATCTCAACAGATCAGAAAAAGCATTTGATGAAATTCAACCTTCGTAATAAAAATCCAACAAATGAGGCATAGAAGGAACATACCTCAACATAACAAAGGCCATATATGACAAAACCCACAGCAAATATCATACTAAGTGAGGAAAAGCAGAAAGCCTTTCCTCTATGAACTGCAATGAGACAAGGAAGCCCAATTTCATCACTCCTATTCAACATAATACTGTTAAGTCCTACCCAGAGGAGCCAGGCCAAAGAAAGAATTAAAGGCATCCGAATTAGAAAAGATGAAATGAAGTTAGCCTTGTATGCAGATAATGTGATCTTATATTTACAAAACCTAAAGACTCCACCAAAAAAATGCTTAGATCTGATAAACAAATTCAGTGAAGTTGAAGAGTACAAAAATCGGTAGTATTTCCATACAACAATGAAAAAGAAATCAAGAAGGTAATCCCATTTACAATAAGAACAACAACAAAAAATACTTAGGAATAAAGTTAATCGAGTAGGTGAAAGACTTCTATAAGGAAAACTATAAAGCATTGATGGAAAAAATTGAAGATTACACAGAAAGATTGACAGACATCCCATACGCATGGATTGGAAGAATTAATACTGTTAAAATGATCATACTACACAAAGCAATCTACAGATTCAATTCAATCCCTATCAAAATATCAATGACATTTTTCACAGAAATAGGAAAAAACAATCCTCGAATTTGCATAGAATCAAAAAAAAGAGCCTCAATAGCCAAAGCAACGTAAAACAAAAAGAATAAAGCTGGGGGCATCACATTACCTGCCTTCAAATTATATTACAAGGTTATAGTAATCAAAACAGCATAACATTAGTATAGAATCAGACACATTCTAATGGAAAAGAATAAAGAATCTAGAAATTAATCCACATATTTATAGCCAACCAATTTTTGACAAAGCCACCAAGAACATACATTGGGAAAAGAACATAAACTTCAATAAATTGTTCTTATCCAAATGCATAAGAATAAAACTGGATTCCTATCTCTCATCATATAAAAACATCAACTCAAGATGGACTAAAGGCTTAAACATAATACCCAAAATTATAAAACTACTAGAAGAAAACATAGGAAAAACACTTGCCAAGACCTTGATCTAGGCAAAGACTTTATGGTTCAAAGTTTTTGCTATGAGCACAGGCAACAAAACAAAAAATAGACAAACAGACAAATTGAACTAAAAAGCTTTTGCACAGCAAAAAATAAATAAATAAATAAAAATCAACAGAATGAAAAGACAACTTGTAGAGTGGGAGAAAATATTTTTAAACTATTCAACCAATAAAGGACTAATATACAGAATATACAAGGAACTTAAACAACTCAGCTGAAAAAAAAAAAAATCCCTTAATAACTGGGCAAAGGATCTTATTAGACATTTCTCAAACGAAGACATACAACTAACTGGCCAACAGGCATATAAAAAAATGCTCCACATCACTAATCATCAGGGAAATGCAGATCAAAACCACAGTAAGATATTATCTCTCCCCAGTTAGAATGGCTATTACCAAAAAGACAAAAAATAACAGATGTGGACAGGGAGGTGGAGAAAGGGGAATTCTTATACGCTGTTGGTAGGAATGTAAATTAGTATAGCCAGTATGGAAAACAGTATGGAGATTTCTCAAAAAATTAAAAACAGAACTATCATACGATCCAGCAATCCACACTAATATCCTTTTCTTTCATATTTATCCAAAGAAAAGAAAATCAGTGGACCAGGCAAGGTGGCTCATGCCTGTAATCCCAGCACTTTTGGAGGCCGAGGCAGGCGGATCACAAGGTCAGGAGATTGAGACCATCCTGGCTAACACGGTGAAACCCCATCTCTACTAAAAAAAAAAAATGCAAAAAATTAGCCAGGCATGGTGGCGGGCGCCTGTAGTCCCCAGCTACTCCGGAGGCTGAGGGAGGAGAATGGCGTGACCCCGGGAGGTGGAGGTTGCAGTGAGCCGAGATCGCGCCACTGCACTCCAGCCTGGGCAACAGAGTGAGACTCCGTCTCAAAAAAAAAAAAAAAAATCAGTATATTAAAGGAATACCTGTACCCCCATTTACTGCAGCACTATGCACAATAGCAAAGATATGGAATCAACCTAAGTGTCCATCAACAGGTAAAAGGATAAAGAAAATGTGGTATATATACACAACTATTACTGAGCCATAAAACATAATGAAACATAATGAAATACTGTCATTTGCAAAAATATGGATAGAGCTAGAGGTCATTGTGAAATAAGTGAGGCACAGAAAGATGAATATCATCTCATAAAGGCAGAGAGTAGAATGATAGCACCAGAGGCTGGGAAATGTGCAGATGGGGTTTGGGGAAGGGCATGAAGAAAGGTTGGTTAATGGGTACAAACATACAGTTGGAAGGAACAAGTTCTAATGTTTGATAGCAGAGTATAGTGACTACAGTTAACAACGATGTATTGCATATTTCAAAATCACTAAAAGAGAGGACTTAAAGTGTTCCCAACAAATAATACATGCTCAAAGTGATGGATATCCAAAATACCCTGACTTGACCATGAAACATTCTACGCATGTAACAAAGCATCACATGTACCCCATAAATATGTACAAATATTATATATCAAGTTTCTTTAAGGTACAGCAGGATTCGCAATTAGAAAAAAAGTCTGATGTCTCTTCAAGTATCTTGATTGAAAATGAAGTTCCTAAAGGTAAAAATTTTGATGACCTTTTTGACTTTTGCAGAAAATGAACTGTGGATGTGATTTTGCAGAAAAATGAGCCAGGAAAACTTTATGATCAATCAAGGTACCACATTAAAGAGTATTCTTATTTATTGCATTATATAAAATTATGACACCAAAATATATCTTTGCAATTTGTATGTTTATGCTTTTACTCATGTTACCCCTATTATGTTATGTAATTAATAAAATATTTTAAAAGAAAAGTAAATTTTTAAAAATTACTTTAACATGGTAACTATAGTTGTTTTAAATTCCCCATCTGATTGTTCGAACATCTATGTAATGTCTTTGTCTGGCTCTGTTGACTCCTTTATCAAGTTAGACTACTTTTTTGCCTTTTTGTATGCTTCATAAAGCTTTTGTTGATGGTTGGACATATGCAAGGTGACAGATATTGATATACATATTGTTATGTACTATGTACTCCCCCAAAATTCATATTTTGAAACTCTAACCCACAATGTGATAGTATTAGGAGGTGGAACTTTGGGAGGTAATTAGGTTTAAAGGAAGACATGAGAGTAGAGTACTCGTGATGAGATTAGTGCCCTTAGAAGATACCATATCTCTCTCTCTCCCTCTCTCTCTCCTCTCCACTCCCCCTGCCCCACCATGTGAGGATACAGGAAGAAGAGACCCATCCACAAGCTGGAAAGACCCTCAATGAGAATCCAACTATGCTGGCACCCTGATCCCAGACTTCCAGCCTCCAGAACTGTGAGAAATCAATATCTGTTATTTAAGCCATCCAGTCTATGGTATTTTGTTTTAGCAGCCTGATCTGACTAAGGCAAAAATTTGTTTATTCTTAGAGAAGAGCACACTTTTCCTTCTGTTAGGCCTGTAGTGTAGGGGTTCATGTTAATCTAATCAGAAGTAAGGCTGGGTTTAAAGATCACTTCCTTGTTGGTTTTGGGTCTCCCCATTTGGCTTAAGTTTTTCCTTTATGCAATAGAGAATTGGTCTCTTGCAGTTATCCCAGCCGTATTCCACTCTTAATTTTATCTGACACTTGGTAGGATGATGGAGGTCAGGGGGGTAAGGGGAGGAGGTATTCTCTGATATCCTTATTAGGCCTCAGCTTTAGATGGGCATTGAGAACCTCAGTCTTGGGGCTGTGACATTAACAAACATCCCTGCTCCTTCGCCAGAGGCAATACTAGGACAAGCACGTCTTCTCCCCTTTCCCCAGAGTCCTCAGTCTACAGTTTTGTTCACTTCTCCCTGCACAGTAAGGCTTTTTTTCCTTTGAGATGATACAGATGAGTCTGGCAGTATTACTGCTATGGCTTCTAGATCCCCTGCTCCAGCCAGTGTCACAGGGCAAGTTTTCTTAGGCTTCTTCCCAGTCTTCCTCATGAATGCCTGATTGAGTTGTACAGGAATATCCTGCAAGATGATGTGACCCCCCACACACACACCCAGCCCCCAGAGACTTCACAATTATACTCAGGTTTTAGCAGTTCATTAAATATTTCTAGCTGATCTTCTTACTAGATTATTCGAATTGGCAACTTATTGGCAGACACTTGTCTCTTCCCAGATTTCAGGGTAGGTTTTACCGTGCAAGCTCAGTTATCTCATGGGTTCAAGAAAATTGATTAATTTCTAACCTGACAGCTTTTGTTTTTCTTGTTTTTAGGTTGGAGGAATGGTAGTTCCAGCTCTCTTAATCTCCAAGCTGAAATCAGAAATCTTTTTCTACAAAGAGGCAATTTGACCCATCCTACATAATATTTCTCATAAAGGAGTGAATAAATGTAAAGGGGTTAAAGGGCCTACAATTTTTTTTTTTTTTTATTTTGAGAGAGTCTCACTCTGTCACCCAGGCCGGAGTGGAGTGGCATGATCTCGGCTCATGGCAACCTCCACCTCTGGGGTTCAATTGACTCTCCTGCCTTAGCCTCCGAAGTAGCTGGGACCACAGGCACATGCCACCACACCCAGCTAATTTCATATTTTTAGTAAAAAAGGGGTTTCACCATATTGGTCAGGCTGGTCTCGAACTTCAGACCTCAGGTGATCCACCCACCTTGACCTCCCAAAGTGCTGGGATTACAGGCGTGAGCCACCGCACACACCTGGTACAATCTTAAAGTCTTACATTTTATCCTTTAGTCTAAAGTTGTATGATCACAAATAAAATAGATATTTTACATCTGACAAAATATTCAAATCAATTCAGTAACACTTAATGAGCATGTACTATATGCCAAACCCTGTCCTAGTCATTTCTGCATCTGAGGAATGAATAGGACACATTCTGTGCCCTCAGTCACTTTTAAGTTTATCAGAGGAGACAAGGATGTGTTTAATTTGATTTTATCATTTAATTATAAATATCTGAAACAAACATATTGTATACTTCATTTTAAGAAGAAAACTAAGTAATACAATATATACACATGGCAATAAATTTTATGCAATTATAATATTCCACATCAGGATCCTGTTTTAAATTAGAATATGACAACTATTTTCTATAAAAATATCACCCTGATTAAAACTTAAAGAAATAAAAATTCTTCTTATAAAAAAATCTGCTATTTAAACAATTAATTTGTAACTCAGATACTGCAGTAGCATGCTTTAGAGAGTTAAAACTTGTTCTTAGCAGGAAGATTGTATTATAATGCTTTATTGTTAAACATAAACAATATTTTAATGTATTATTTAGGTAGCTCTTTAAATGATTTACTCTTTCCTCCTGCAGGTCATTTATTATTGAGGGATTCCTGAAGCTGAATAGTTAGATGCAAAAACATGTGTTCAAAGTTGAGACAGATATGGCAAATGGCCACATTCTTAAGATCATGTAATTGAGTGAAATAGGGAATTCAATACCTCAGCAGATGACAAGTCCAAGGATGACGCCTGTTTTAGCAAAAGCTAAGTTGGAACACATGAAACCATCTGATTTTGAGTTTTCATGTGAATCATTTTGGAGCACAAGGATTAATGAATGTATGAGAATGTGTCCTTGGATTAGAATGCATTCCTACAGAATGAGAGTAAGAAATATGAGAAATATTAAAAAGAAAACAAATACAGCATTGTTAATTTCTTACTATGTGACTAAAAAACTTGAACCAAAGAACACGTGTGACTTTCACTGATGGGTTACTTTCCCACAATGCACCTGCATGCAAACTGCAACTGTAAACAGTATATGATTCTGTTCAGTCTAAAATATTCAAAAGCTACCATTAAACTTGGCTCAGTCTTCTTTATACACCCCTAGGATTATCTTCTGGAACTAATAAGATTAAAATTTTAAATCTATTTATGCTTTGAGCTAAACAGAATTATCTAAAAAAAGATATGTAAATAAAATTATGACCAGCATGATTTCAAAGCATTTTGGATAGTTAAAGAGCATTTGAGGTTAAACTGAATGTGTAATTTAATACCCGGTATATGGAAAAACTCTATCGTCAGCTTATGTGAATTATTTTATCAAACATAACAATAGATGAAGAACTAAATGGCTAAAATAAATAATTCAGATGCTGCTCTCATTATAACAAAGGCGAACTTTTCTATGGTTCAGGGTCAATCCAAACAAGGATACCAGCTGTTCTATGAGATAATGTCTTGGATAAAGTCACTCTTGAATGAAAATTTTCACACTTTGTTATAATAATGCATCACGACTGCAATGAGAAAATAAAAAACAAAAAGATGATGACAAATATCTGAGATAGACCAGAAACAAATTCTTTTCCATGATCAAATTCATCTTACAATCCAGGAAATAAATTATTAACAGTTTGCCAAACCCCATGTTTTTGTAACAGTTTAGAAATTAAAAATAGTACTAATACAATGACAGCATGTATTTGAAGTGAAAAGCAGTTTCTCTACTGTGATCTCACCTCCCACTTTAAGGAGAAATAAAAATGAACAGCTATTTTTAACTTTCAGACCCACTTGGAAAAATTCGGTAGATCAATGCAATGCATAAGTTGATACTGGAATTTGTTCTTCTTCCTTCTTCTAGAAGTGTCATGCTTTCATCTTACAAACACTTATCTATTGATAGTGAGGGAAAAAGGAGACTATACTTGTTCATGATAGAAACACAGGCAGGAATGTTGATAAACTTATTGTAACTACAGCTGCCATTGCAGTGGTAATGAGATTTAAGGAATATATATTGAATTGTGTAGCCAAAACATGTCTGCCAATTGAAAAGGTCAGCTATGCCCATGAGTGCATATTTTGTTCATGCAATTCATGCAGTTTTTCTTTTTATGTTGCATATTTTCTTTTTAGATTGCACAAAAAAATGCAATAGCTTGCTAAACTTCCTTCACCAAATCATAATCATTGTGGGAAATTGGGCAGCACTGTTGAAGATTTGCTAATAGTAAATCATGTTCTTTTTTTCCAACTGTGGCTTCACAATGACTTGAATTATGCTGGGATCCTGTTCTATACAATTTGAAATCAAACATGAGAATATTGATTTCTTGCAACTAAGACATCTCATACCACAATATGATACGCATGGCTTATATAGAGTAATAGCCGAAAAACATTTTTTTTTAAGTTGAGAGCACTTAGTGTTCTTTTTCAAGGCAGATGTTTTCCAGATTTGCTATTGTCACTCATTAAGAAAGCAAGAAGGCTGTGAGTTATGATAATGTGAGGCACGATGTTAGATATTGTATACGCCATCTCACCCATAAAACACCACAAATTTTCTTAGCTAATTCTTTCCTTCACTTGCTTTATTTGGTTCAATGTGACTGTTTTTCCATTAGTGTGTAACTACTTATTATGTCTGTGTGATGAAATGTATCCAAACAGAGAAAATAAATGGAAAGTTAGAAAGTTGATAAAGTGGAAGTGAGGGAAATATTTCAGTTAATAGGACTCATATATATTCAAAAATTGTGTTGCTTTGAAGTAATTATGAAGGGAAATTATCGTATGTATTATATGAGACTTAATTAGTACATATATTTGAATTTGGGGAGCAATGTGTATATTTTGAAGCGATTTAAAGCACTGTACAATTATTATTTCATGAACATTTCCATGTAAGAGAAGAGGTCTTACTATATCTATAAATCAATGGAGTAAACACAGTTCAGATGGCTTGACAGGTACTGTGAGGCATTTCATGAGGTAAAATTCAATCTGTTTTTTTTCCTTCCTAGAAATTTAGTCTGATACATGCATTATCAGAAATATTATGTGGACATATCAGTAGGCAAATGAATGTTATTTCCCATCCAAAATATGCCTTCTTAAAGCTATATTCTTACCTAAATTAAGATTAAATTTTGAAGTAAGATAGATGATATATGTAATACCTTGTTTAATCTGTTATGGATCTAACTGGTGCTACCATCAATTTTTAAAATAATAATTTATCATCCTTTCTCTTGTTTCATCTAAACACTTGAGTTGAAACATCTTTAAAAGAATAGAAAGTGAGATTTCAATAGCTACAATTAGAATTTCTATCTCTTTTCTTTGAATTTATGAACCATAGAGGTCATTAGTGTTGAGAAGGGTTTCAGTTTTCCCACAGCAGTGAAGCATGATATCTGTGCAGGGCTCCCAGCTGGCTGGCTGCTCAAGGCACAGTTTGGAAACCCACATTCCAGATTGCCTCAATATTGCAACATGAGATGACTTAAAGAAGTAGAAACACAAATATCTTAAGGAACAAGCAAAGAGAATAAAAGGATGACTATTTTACAAAACTTTAAGTGGGAACATTTAAAAGGCACTAAGTTTTTCAAACAACTGAAAAATGATGACAAGACCCATATACTAATCATGATACTTTTCAGCAATTTTATGCAAAACACTGAACAAAACATTAAGCCTTACACTACAGAAAACTCATAATTTATTAACACCCCCTGAACATAACTTTCAGCAGTAACACTTAGGAATTCATATGCCAAGTGTAAACCCACAGACTTGGCTGTGGATATAGCAATAATGGTTTCCAGAGCCTAGTAATTCCAAGTATGAGTATTATGTATGTCTCTTCTTTTTTCCCATTATGCTAGAAACATAAAATTTATTTCCATCCCAAATAGCCAGCATGTACTGCCAATTTATTATTATTAGAATGACATAAAGGGAGGGGGTGGGTTGTGGCTCAAGAGGAAGGGACTTTACAAATATAGAACAACCTCTTTGAACAGATGTCAATACCAAGAAAATTCTGAGGCTGACTAAGGATTCCAGATGTAATTGATGAGATTTCAACACAGATGCATTGTTGAGCACTCAACTGGATCTTCTCACTCTTCAGTGAGAGCCCATGGTTGAAATGTACCCAGCTCTGATGTGCCTAGTCTGTGGCAAAAGCAATAGTGAACTGCAAAATCCCCATGCTGAAAGAAAACAGCAGTCTTGCAGAAAGATGCTGAATTTATTAACTTTTGATGAAACTATTTCTTTACAAAACAAATGACTCCATCCCCAGACAGATTCATACTATCTGCAACAGTCTGAAAATTATTAACAGCAATAATGTTATCTCTGGAACCAAGAAAAGGCAGCTAGAATTCATTAATAGCTTTTGACCACCCAAAATGCCTCCACACAGTGAGAATTAACAGATGGATACAAAATCTCAGCACATTTAATAACATATTACAATTGAGAGGGACTCTACTCTTGATAGAAAGGGAACTTATATGCTGTATTCAAAAGGTGAATCTCTCTAAAGAGATCAAACTATAATTTACTGAGTGACTGCTATGTGCCAGGCACTATCCTAGGGCACTTAACACAAATTATTTCACTTGATTCTCAAAACTTTATGAGAGAGGTTTTATTGCCCCCTATTTTACAAATTGAGGCTAAGAAATCACAGCGAGGAGTAATGAAGCCCTTCTTAGACAGGTTTGTCTAACCCCAGAGTTCAGCCTCTTTCAACTGTACTATATCACCTAGGGGTAGATTAAAGATGGCTGCAAATCTTGCTTGCTGCTCCTCTCATTGAAAGATGGAGTTGAACTGTCTAATTCTTTTACCCTTTGACTCTGGATTGGCATTAGTAACTTGCTTGACTGATAGTATGAGGTATATATGACATCCTGGGACTTCTGAGTCTAGATAACAAGAAGTCTTACAGCTTACATTTAAGACGTCGTGCAATACTCACTCATGAAGCCCTGATCCACCAAGAAAGAACATGTGAAGAAGCTCTGAGACTAAATGGGAAGTGGCCCCGGTGCAACCCAGCCTTCCAGCCATCCCCTCCAAGAGGCCATGCATAAGCCATTTTAGACTGTCCAGACAAGGCCAGTAATCAGGTGAATGTCTCCAGGTGACCCCAGTTGGGGCCATGTGGAAAAGAAAAGCTATCCAGCTGGTTCCTGGTCAAAGTCATGACAGACAACATGATTATATATGACAGAATGATTGCTGCTGTAAGCCACGAAGTTACAGAGTAGTAACACAGCAATAAATAACTGCAAAATATCTTCCTACTGCGATATTTCTACACTATGAGCTTAAAAAGGGTCTTGGGCAAAAAAAAAAAAAAAATGGTGAAAAATAGAACAGCCTACTTGGAGAAGCTTTCAATGTCTTCCTTGCTCTGGAAAGTAGTGAAGTCATCACTCTAGTTTCTCTTCTTTTACTTGTTCCTCCTAATCTTTGATAAATGGATATAAATTTCTGCTTTATTATTCAGGTTAGAATATATTTAGGTGAATAAAAAGCAGAAATAGAGGAGAAAAGGGAAATGTTACTCACAGGTAACATGTTTGAGAGTTTCTAAAGAGAAAGAGTCAAGGTTATTTTGAATTTGACTTACGGAAATATTATTTAAACAGCTGTAAACAAAATCAGAGGAGAGTATAGAATTGTAAGGCTGATGTAACTGAAAATTGTAGTGGGATGCTGACTTTGCACAAGCCTGATTAAGATGCTCAAAAACATCACAAGAAATAACGTTCTTTCCATCGTTCAGCTTTGCTTTACTCTGGGCCAGCCTTATTCTCAACTCAACTCCCTCCTCACTGTGGCAAGATGGCCAACTTCAGCTCTAAGTTTATATCACAGCATCTCAGCTATAAACTCTTCAGCAAAAGGAATTTTCATTTCCAAGAGGACCAGTAAAAGGGTGTCCTTTTCTTGGGTTGGATCACATGACCTTCCCTAAACCAGTTCCTGTGGTCAGAGAAATGAAGTGTTCTGAATGGCCAGGTCTTAGTCAGCAGACTTCCCAACAGCCTTGGGAGAGGGCCAGCCCCACTTTTGCCACGTGGAATGAGAGTGGCTGCTCCCAGATGGAAGCCTAGTACTGTTCCCATCGTAATAAGTGGAGGGTAAATGCTACAAAGAAGAAAACAAGCCTTCAAAGGGGAGGAAGAAAGAAATACATATTCCTTATTTATACAACATAAACCATGCTTATGACCTGATATTATCTTGATTATCTAAATCAGTGGTGTAATTTAATATTTATAGGAAATTACATTAAACAAATTTATAATCTTCCTCTCCTCTACATCCATTCTGCTCTCCCCTCCCCTGTTTAAGAGCAAACTCCCTTGGGTCCCCAGAGGACCCAGTGTTCTTATGCTGCTTTCTGGCAGCCCAGGGCCCCCACCAAAGTCCTACCCACCTGGTGTGGGTTCTATTTTCTGAACCAATTCCTCTTTCTGAGAATTAGTCAATTTCTGAGCTAGTGACCAACCTGCCCTTGGCCCCTTCTTACTATAAAATGAGGGGAATATTTAAGTGACCTTTAAGGCACCTTCTATAACCAATTTCTTTGGACTTTTCACTGAGACAAACCCTATAAAGCAAACCCTATTTGCATACTTATTTGCATACCTCATTCCAATGGTTGTGTGGGAGGAGGACTCTTGCTCTTCTTCACACATTCATACATAGAGGGGGAAGCTCCCAATCTCTTCCAGAAAGCAATGAAGTCATCACTCCAGTCTCTTTCTTCTGCTTGTTCCTCCTCACAAGAAAGGGAGGTGCTAATCTGTTTGGTAAGAGCTTCACTTCCACTAGAGCCTATTTCCCTACTTGATGGGATTACAGGGTACTGCTCACTGGTAGCACAAAATATAATTCTTTTTGATGGTCTTGTGCTCATGCAGTAAGATCCCTCTCCTTCCCTGGTGCACACCTTTGCATTTCATGTCTCTGAGTACTAACCCACCTTGGGAGGGCTTGCTCAGCTCAGTGGGGAGGTATGCTGTTCTCTCTGCATTCCAGTTCCTCCTGCCTTTCAGAAGCAGTCCTTGAACTTGCCATAGGTGGACTGGAAGGCTGCACAGAACCCTTGACTTACTTTGAAAATACAGAGGTTTTTCTCTGGACTAGGGGGAAGGGGACCTACTTTTGGACTTAGATCTAAGTCACATTCTCTAATCTACTTTTCTCGGATCCCTGAATTCTATTGACTACTTCTTTGCCTAAAAAGATGATAATTTGAGCCCCCATTTGACTAGTACTTCTCTCTGTAGGTTAGAACCTAGCAAGGAGGAGAGGTAAGTTTTCACTCTTATCTACCTCTAATAGTCATTTCCAAATTACTTTCACATGCATTCTTATCACTTCATTCTCAAAACCACCTTGTGATAACTTCCAGGGCAGGAAATACTAATTCAATTAAATTCAAGGAAATAGAGATACAGAGGTCAAGAGACTTGTCCATGATCTAGTTAGTTGCAGAACAGGACTAGATCAGCATACACTGAGAATAGAATCTCAAAATGAGAGACACACTAACATTCTACAGCTTCAAAATATAACCAGAGAAATAATTCCTCCAGCACTTATTTGCACTCCTCTGGCAAGAAATTGTTGTGAAAACTTAAGACTTCTAATCTTTATGTAGTATACAGAGTATAGACAAAAAAGAAAACCGCAGTTAACAAAGTATCGTAATGTCAGATGCATGATTTAATTTCTAACCTGCTGTGACACTGTAAACTTAATGATCACAAAAATTACACATTATCTTTGTGTAGCTCTGAGTAAATATTGTGGTGGTATATGCTCTGGTGAATATGTATAACTGTGTTGCTTCTGTTGTTTTTATGGACCTCATTGTACAGGATATTGGATATCACTAGAGATAATGTAAGCCTTAAAGCCTGTCAAATTGAGATAGTCTGTGCACCTGCATCCAGTCGTCCACCCCTGCAGCAGTTCTGGGCAGCTGTCAGTGTTCCCACCCTCCCCCACATAACTGGGAGTATCAAGCTGCATATAGAATATTTTGGCTTATATACAAAGATGAAATAAGTAAATAGGCAAACCTTGGATATCAATCTTGGCAATCCAATACTAAACCAGGATATTCTGAACTCTACAAAGTAAATTGATAAAATAATTTTGAAAATTATATCTTGCACATATTTGATATAGAGGTAAACTCTTTCAAAAGGAAAATTTCCCCACAATCTTAATATCTCAAAGTAGTGTTGGAACATGTCTCTGTATGGTGAGCAAGGCCAATGAAGAAGAGAAAGAAATAACAGATGGCCATTCTCTAGTTGCCCTATCTAAGACTAGGAAGTGGTGTGAGCTAAAAAAAAACTATCTTCACCTAACATTTCTTATTTTTAGGTAGTTTTTTCATTTCACTGTGTGTGAAAGAGAGAAAAAGAGAGTGAGAGTTTGAAAGAAGGGGAGAGAGAAACAATATTGATTTTTGTATGACATCTGGATCACTTTGTCCTGTGTTTATGAATGAAGTAAGGGACAGTAAAAATAAAGCTAATTCTATAGTCGGTTCACAAGCAGGATATAGGAGGAATGGGAGAGTTCTGAAATTCTGGGAGAATGGCAGCAGAAATTTAATCATATGCCTAGTCCATACTAGGTACTCACTATGTCCTTGCTTAAAGAGTTAAATTAACTGGGTTCATCACAGAATTCATTGACAGAATATATGCTAATTGACTACTTCTACTTGGTCGTAGTGGGAGGCTTGTGTTTTTTATGTGAAAGTACTAAAAGGATAAGAATAAAGAAACTAAATACATTCTATTTATTTTTATTGATCTAAAAACTGTTTTACAAAAGGATTAGAAGATATCAACCTGTCATCATCCTAGATACAAACAGTTAAACCCACCCCTCCCTCTAATTAGCTTTTCCTTTTGCATACAGAAGGAAAGCCTTTCAGACACAGCTGTTCTTAGGCCAGATTCTCTCAAGGGAATGACTCAGCCTCTGTCATGGAAAGACTAGTCAGAAACAAGCTATTGAGGAAGATGGAGAGACAAGAATATAAATGCACAGGAGTGTGGTTTACATAGGAGAATGTGGTAGACAAGCAATGTGAAGCTAATCTTGCTGAATCCCAGTGGTTCCTCTGCTCTGCCTCATTCTTGTGCCAGTGAAAATTGGAAACTTCAGAAAAGACTAAATATGGAGCTTCTTAACATATGTGAAACTTCTTAACATTCTCCTTCCTACACGTAGAGAACTGGTACTTAATTTACTGCTCTTTTAATTGGACCTCATGATATATAAAATATACATCAAGATTCAGTGGAAGACAAGGTGATGTCCGCAAAAATGACAGACTTGCGAAAATAATCTTCCCCATGAAAGCAATGAGAAAACTCACAAAATTATCAGAATCAACATTTTCAGAATGCTAGAAATTAGCCAAAGTTCTGCAGCAATCTGGGTATTTTTTTTTTGAAGAAAAACAGCTGAATATCAGTAAGAACAGTAAGCTTTGCTGTGTTTTAACTTGTCCTACTCCCATTCCCTTCTTCTCTTCCAGCTCCATAGTAGCCTTGAAAACTGACAGCTTACAATCACAGTGGAAGCCATAAATTAAGCAGACCTTTCAGGCATTGGAGGAACACTCTACCCCACAGCAGTAGGATATACATTTTTCTCAAGTATACACAGAACATTCCCTAGGATAGGCCCTATTCTAGGCCATAAAACAAATCTCAGTAAATTTAAAAGGACTGAAATAATACAAAATACTTATCCAGTAAGAGAAATACATTTGGGGAATTCACAAATTTATGGAAATTAAACAACACAATCATTTAAAAACCCATGGGTCAGTAAAGAAATCACAAAGAAAATTAGAAAATACCTTTATGGAAGAAAATGAAAACATGGCAAACAAAAAACCTAAGTAATACAAGTAATACATTTCTTATGGGGAAATCGCAATACCAACAATGAGATAGAAAACCTAAAAAGAAAACAAAGAGAAATTCTGGAGCTAAAAGGTATAATAACTAAAGTAAAAAAAAAAAATTCACTAGAGGGATTCAAAGGCAGATTTGAGCAGGCAGAAAAAAAAATCAGTGAAGATAGGACAATGGAAATCAACTTCATCTGAGGAACAAAAGAAAAAAAGTTTAAACAGGGCACAGTGGCTCATGTCTGTAATCCCAGCACTTCAAAACAGGAAGAGCCCTTGAGATCAGGAGTTTGAGATCAGCCTGAGCAGCTTAGTGAGACCCTACCTCTATAGATAATTTTAAAAATTAGCTGAACATGGTGGCACATGCCTGTAGTCCTAGCTACTAGGGAGGCTGAAGTGGGAGAACTGCTTGATCCCAGGAGTTTGAGGCTGTTGTAAGGTATAATCATGCCACAGCACTCCAGCCTAGGAGGCGGAGTGAAACTGTCTCTTAAAAAGAAAAAGAAAAAAGAATGCTTAAAGAAAAGTGAGCAGAGCCTAAGGGATCTGGGGGACAACATCAAACAGAATACATGTATTCTGGGATTTCTATAAGGAGAATGGAGAATGGGAAAGAGAGAATATTTATAGAAATAATGGCTGAAAAGTTCCCATATGGGATGAAATAAATGAATACAAACATCTAAAAAACTCAACAAACTCCAAGTAAGATGAACTAAAAGAGATCCACACCAAGACACATAATAATACAACTTTTGAGAGAAAGACGAGAGAATCCTGAAAGCAGCAAGACAGAAGGATCTCATCATTTACAAAGGATCCTCAATAAAACCACCTGCATATTTCCCATCAGAAACTTTAAAGGCCAGAAGGCAGTGGGGCAATATATTCAAAGTGCTGAGAGAAAAAAATTTTCAACCAATAATCCTATTTCAGCACACTATCCTTCAAAATTAAGTAAGAAATTAAGACATCCTTATATTAACAAAAACTGAGGGAGTATTTTAGTGCATTTTCTGCTGCTCATTACAGAATACCTGAAACTGGGTAATTTGTGAAGAAAAGGAATTTATTTCTTATAGTTATGAAGGCTGAGATGTCCAGAGTCAAGGGGCCACATCTGGTGAGAGCCTTCTTGCTAATGGGAACTCTGAAGAATCTTGAGGCCTGGAATCACATAGTGATGGGGCTGAACCTTGCTCAGGTCTCTCTTCCTCTTCTTACAAAGCCACCAGTTCCATGCCCATTAACCCATTATCCCATTCATCTATTAATCCATGAATAGATTAATCCATTCATGAAAGCTGTGCTTTCAAGATCCAATTACCTCTTAAAGGCCCTTTCAATACTGCCACATTGTGGATTAAGTTTGTGACATATACAATTTGGAGGAAACATTCAACAAATAATAAATGACATTTATAACTCAACAACAACAGGACAAAAAATTTAATTTAAAAATGAAAAATATCTAAATAGACTTTTCTGCAAAGAAGATAGATAAATATACAACAAGTACATTGAAAGATGCTGAACTTCATTAGCTGTTAGGGAAATGCAAATCAAAACCACTATAAGATATAACTTTCACACCCAGTACGATGATTATAATCAAAACAAAGAACAATAACAAGTATTGGTAAGGATGTGGAGAGACTACATTGCTGCTGAGAATGTAAAATGGTATAGCCACTTTGGAAAATAGTCTGATAGATTATCAAATAGTTAACCATAGAGTTACTATACGACCCAGCATTTCCACTATTAGGTATATACCCAAGACAGTTGAAAACATATGTTCACAATAAACTTGTACATGAATATTCATAGCAGCATTATTCATAATAGCCAAAGATTGGACATATCCCAGGTGCCCATAAATTGATAAATAAATAATTACAATTTGGTGTGTGTATATATATATATCATTATATGTATGTTATATATAATTATATATAATGAAATATTAATTCAGTCACATAAAATTGAAATACAAAAGCAAGCTAAAATATGAATGAACCTTAAAAAACATTATGCTTAGTAAAAGAAACAAGGCATTAAAAGTCTGTGGCTTATTATATAGAAAGTTTTTCAATGGAATATTATTATATATGTAGTATGTCCAGAACAGATGAATCTACAAAGACAGATAAACTAGTGGTTGCCAGGGGATCTGGAAGAGGGAGAAACGGGAAATGACTGCTAATGGTTATGGGGTTTTGTTTGGGGATGATACAAATGTTTAGGAATTACAGAGTGGTGATGGTTGCACAACCTTTTTGAATATACTTAGAAATCACTTAACTGCACATCTTTAAAGTATGAACTTTGTGGTATGAGAATTATATTTCAATTAAAAGAAAGGTTCAATGATTATCAAAGCAAAAATACTATAATTAAAATTAGTATTTTTCAACCAAGTAGTATAAACATTAGAATTAAATATAAAAAGTTAATGTGTTTTGTGTCACAAGTAAGTATAAAAGTTACTTGTAACATTTTCCTCCCTGGTCAAGCTTATTTTTCTATGACTTCTAAAACGAATGCTAAATATCAAGAACTAGAAGATTTACTATCACTTTAAATACTCTGGAGTTAAGCACAGAGTGCCTGGCATTGTAGCTTAGCCTGCTTATTAAATTCTCTAGTATTTCACATGCATTGTCCAAGAACATTGTATTAGTAAGGATACTCTAGAGAAACACAATGAATAAGGGGTGTGTGTGTGTGTGTGTGTGTGTCAGAGAGGAGAGGACAGAGAGAGACTTATTTTAAGGAATTGGCTCACACGATTGTGGAAGATGGCAAGTCTAAACTCTGGAGGGTAGCCTGGCAGGATGGAGACCAGAGAAGAGCTGCGTTCTAGTCTGAAAGCAGTCTGCTGGCAAAATGCCCTCTTCTTCCTAGAAGGTGAGTCATTTTCTATTACGGCCTTCATCTGATTGGATGAGACCCACTCATATTACGGCAGGCAATCTTCTTTACTCCAAGTCTAGTGATTTAAATTTATATCTCATACAAAAAAAAAAAAAAACTCCACAGAAAAATCTAGAATACTGTTTGTGCAACTATCTGGGTACAATGGCCTAGCCAAGGTGAGACATAAAATTAACCATAATGGACATGATATAGCAACAAGAGCACTAGACTCTCATTCTAGACATCTGAGTTCCTCTTCAATTATCTTTGTATTCTTCAGCAAGGAACTTCATCTCTCTTAACTCCAATATCTTTATCTGTAAAATATGGGGGATATTAATGTTTAAAATGAGAATATAAGGGTATGGGGGTGCAATCTGACATACTCTGCTTTTTCTCCCTGTTAAACTACATGTTAATGAGTTCCCTATAGCAAAAATGAAGAAATCATAAGTTTATTATTGATTTAAAATACCCTAAATTTGCTGTGTTCCAAATGCCTATGGAATATGTTGAAAGAAATCTGCTAATATCTCCAGAGAGCCTAAGTTTTGAAAAATAGTTTGCATGTATGTCTGTGTGTATGCATGCATTCATGTATTTTGTCGTTAAGTCCATTTTACATAGATAACGCACAACTGAAAGATCTGAGAAATATATAGATCACTCCATATTATATTCTGTCAGTGGCACCCCCAACATTTCTGCAATATAGTGATACTGCAACTTTGCAAATCCTTCCCTCTCCACCTACCCCAAAGAGTTAAAAGTATGGCTTCATTTTGCCTCCCTCCTGCATACCATGGGTCCCCAACTGTAGAATCTTCATCTAAATCTCCAAGAGTATTTCCCCTGAACTCCAAGTTCCTAAATTGCATCTCTACCTCATCAAAACTTAATGGTCCCATAAATAGTTCATTCTTGCAAGTTCTTGCTATTGAAAATATAAACAGGTTAATTTGTTAAGATTCAGCTATTTCTAGCTGAAAACCACTCCATGTGAATCACTGTGCTAGATAACTTCACATTTGTTAATGGGTATAAGTGCTCATCAGTCAATGTCATCAAAGCCCTTAACACTGTTTTGAAATACATTTCCTTACCCCTACTTAGACTCTTTTTATATTCTCCAGAATGGTTATTCCCCACATTTCCCATTTCTGTTGATTCTAGTAACTCATGTCTACCCACCTATTCTATGTAGACAACTTTAATTCATATTCCACTGAGAAAACAGAGACCATCAGGGACTAACTTCTTTAACTTCCCATTACAAATCTCTACTGATCTACAGAGACATCCTACAGTATTTCAGGCAAAAAGATATGTACATCCTCTTCTTCAAGGCTAACTCATCAGCCTCCATTTCCTGTGGGATTTGCTCCATCACTATTTCCATATTTTTAATATATTTTTCCCATATGTTAATATCTTTAATCCCCTCCCCATATTTTTAATATCTTTAATCTCTTTCTTTTCTCCAGTATCTTCCTCTCAAAATACAAGCATGCTCAAGCAGGTATCACTCTTAAAAACAAAACAAAAATAAAATAAAATACGTTTCCTATAAAGGTGCCATTCCAAAGGCTTCCACCTGGGGCTAAGATTGCGTAACAGGGATAAGACTTAACTTTCTACCTGAAACTTCCCTAAAACAGACAAAATGTATCAAACCATGGTTCTTAAAACATTCTACAGGAGGTAATGAAGGACAATGAACCCTGAGAGATGGGAAACAAACAAAGGAAGCCCTACAACTGTCCCAGCCGGTGCCGTGACAGAGTTTCCACGCTGTGGAGCAGGACAAGGGGACCCAGGAGAGCCAAACACACTCCCTGAGTTGAGAAGACAGACCTGAGAGGCTGGGCAGACCAAAGTAGCTAGAATTCACCCGGCAGGGTAGCAGAGGGAAGAGAGGTGCACAGAGAAAGAACCTGGGGATCTGCAGAGGGTGCCCTTGGAGTATTCAGCCAATCATCACGAGCATGTGAGGAAACTACCAGAGGCTGAAGGAAGAACCACCAAAAAGGATGAAAGGGAACACAGCCAGCTACTCACACAGAGCCAGGAATAATATCTGTTCTAGCCAGACTGGAAAATTTCATGTTCCCAGTGCATTAGGTTGAGTGCTTATAAGAGTCTTGCCTCAGCAATGGGGGACAATTAGCTCTAGAAGGAACACTGCTCTGGTTCCTTCTACACATCTTAAAGACCCAAAGAAATCATTATTTCCAAGTAACTCAACTGCATCTGAGAACAAAGATCAATAATATTTGGTGGAATACAAAAAATTCCCAGTACCCAAAGGGCAAAATTCATGGTGTCTGGCATCCAGCCAAAAGTTACCAGGCATGCAAACAGGCAGGAATATGTGACATATCATGAAGATAAAAAATGAATCAGAACTGACCCAGTCATGGAGCCAATATCCTGGCCAGGCTGGGTTTACTCCCTTTGCTTCCTTACCCTCTCCCACATCCTAATTTCAGCAGTTATCCAAGTCAGCCTCCCTCCATTTATGAGACCACTTTGTTCCCCATCTGCAAAGAAACTCAACTCCTGGACCTGGCAGGAGTTTCATCCCTACTTAACATTCATTTTCTGGTCCACTCCTCGTCTAAAGAGATATTTTCCTTGCTTTTGGACATGGCTGAATATTTTTAGTTTTTCTCTTTTCACATTTTAGCTCTCACTGCTATGTGTTTGGAGCACAGGCGACGCTTCAAAATGTGGTCTTACCAGACCATCTCAACTGAAAGTCCCCACCCATGACTTTCTGAAATGACTCCCTTGCTTTCAGTAACACTACTCTCTTGGTTTTCCTCTTGCCTCTCTGATTACTGCCTTTTTTCTCTGAATTCCCCTTCTCTGCTTAACCATTAAATTATTAAAACCATTAACCACTTTTAAGGGCTCCACAACTTGGCCCTTTGCTCTCCTTAATCTAAGCTTTGTAAGTGTGTGATCCCCTGAAATTTTATGAAGATTCTGAATTTTTTCAATCAGGAAAAAAAATGGTAGCAAATGGTACTAAAAGCACTATTTCATTTTCATATAGAGAAAAGAATGTTACTGGGATGTTTATAATAAATATAATTGTTGAGTTATTTAGACTTCCTCTGGGCGTTGTGGCAAGCACAGTGTATAATAAATAGAAAGATATATACTCCATTTGATAAGAGGAAATATTCCTTAGAAGTCCATTCAGTTAATAAGAAATGTAAAAGAGTCCTTATAACTGCTATCAGTGGGTAGAACACATAGTAATACACTGAGTTGGTTAAATAAAGGACAAATGATGGGTTGAGTACCTGTCTCCTGTTAATTATGAGTGCAGATGGGCTTGTGTTCATGTGTTGGTGAGAGTTTTCAATCATCAAATATTTATTTTTGTTAAATGGAAAAAAAATAATTTGAGAGAGTATCTCGCCCTGTCACCAGCACGTAGTACAGTGTTACAATCATGGCTCACTGCAGTCTCGACCTCCCAGACTCAAGCAATACTCACACCTCAGTCTCCCGAGTAGCTCGGGCTACGTGTGGTGCTCCCATGCCTGGCTACGTTTAAAAAATTTTTTGTAGCAATGGGGCCTCACTATATATCCCACTCTGGTCTTGAACTCCTGGGCTTAAGCAATTCTCCTGCTTTGTCATCCCAGAGTGCTGGGATTACAGGCATGAGCTACTGGGCCTGGCCCATCAAATATTTAGGTAGTACCTTTCATGAGTTGCTAGACACTAGGGATATCCCTATGAACAAGACACAGCCTCCGCCTTCATTAAGTTTACCATTTAATCTTTTTGTTTTCCTCTTACTTATTTTAATTTTGTTGGTCCCTTTCCTAGAGGAAGTTGCTTAAAGGTGGCAATGTAAGAAGAAATAGGAACGGAGTGATGAAACAAAGCATGAGAATACCTTAAGTAGTTCTGTTTCCAATATCCTCAAGGGTTCCTCCTTTAAAACTGAAACCTGAAGAGGAATGTAGTTGGGTTATTTTTGTTTATTTGTTTGTTTCTGCTAACTGGACAGAGTAGCACAAATGAGCCAAAGGGGGAAAAAGTACTATGAGAAGTGGGCATATTTCCTAAAATACCTCCCTGTTTTGATCATCTGTTAGAGCTCACTTTAGAATTGGAGGTCAGAGGGGCTTGGGACTAGGGAAACAAAGGTCATACGTAAATAAGTTAGGCCCTTCTTTTATAGATGAGTCGGTTAAGGGACTGGTTGACAAAGAGGACAGAATCCTTGTTCTGTGACACCAGGAAGTATCTATTACATGAGAACTTCCTTCTGGCACCAGGAGGCATTTAGCTGGTGTTCTATAGGGGATGAGCCATGGCTGGGGGTTGCACTTTGAGCAAGGCCCGCTACTGGGAGAGGGAACAGGGAAAACATGAGCTCCTACAGGAGAGAGAATGGGCATAATAATGTAATAACTGACCTTCTACAATGCTCCACAGTTTCCACAGGAGCCTGCATGCTGGCAATCTCATTTAACTCTGGCAACTTTCATGGGTTATACACAGAGAAACAAGCTACAAGAGTATAAGTATGTGGCCTGAGGCCTCTCAGCTGATAAATGCAGAGATCTCCTCATGTCCACAGCAAAAGGGGCTCTTTTCAGTACATGCCACATGGCAGGATGATATTTCTCTCCCGGGTTAACTCCACAATTAAACCAAGGTAGGCTTGGGACCACACACTGGAGACCAGAGCTGTGTGCTACAATTTCAAGGGCTGTTTTGGTACCAGAGTATTTTCACATTTCCAGGTATTGCCAATAAAACCACAAGTACTTAAAAGGAGAAAATCCCCTGAGACAGAACTTTCTTAGCTTCTGCATAAGAGTGAAAGGCTGTTCCAGGGGTTTACAAAATAAGATTATTTTCAGACCTACAAGCCACACTCCTAACCCAGACTAGGACTGGGTTAGTATTCTCCAACATCCTTCAGGATTCTCCAACATCATGGAGGGCCACGGATTATGTAAACAGGCCTCCTACAGAAGACTTCACTACAGCACCTTCACTTTCTGAAAGCTGGGCTTCTATACTAGGCCAATTGAGTAATCAAAGTCATTTACAGGAAACACACAGCATTCCAGTTGGAACTTGGGGTTCCCAGGACAGTTAAGCCTCAGCACCTGCTCCCTAAAATCTAGAGATATTGTTTAAAAAAAATTTCCTGCAGAAGCTGCCTACAGTTTTTGTTGTCAAGACAATCAATGAGGGCGTTTTTCTTTTCTCCTGAAAGGCTGAGTCTTATCGCTTTCCCTCTCCCCAGCCTACCCCCAGCCCCATTTTTCATTGTTTATTTGTTAAGCCTGGCTTTTCCACCTTCAACCTCCACAAACCATCCAGGCACTGGCTTCTCCATGCTAAGGCCTCATGACTTTCGGAGGGAAGGGTAAAAAATCTTGCTGCAATCCTTAGATAAATAAACCAGCAGCAGAGGCCTGTTTGTGTTGTGGATGACAAAGGACTCCACATGTAGGCTTTGACTATTTCCATGGATGCCCAACCTGATGGCTGGTAGAGCCCGGGTGAAGGGAGTTTTCTTCCTTTCCTGGTCTGAAGAGTGGTGGCATCCTGCACAACACCAGGACAGAGGCTGCCCTGAGCCTGGAGCAGAGCCCAAGGCTTTGTGCAGACAAGGGACAGGCCTTGGGTTATCCAGACCTAACCCTGGGTCTTACACGTGACCTGTCCCCACCTGACTGGCTCCCCATGTGACTAGCATGCCACGTGGCCAACACACACTGGGACTAGCATTCCATGTGACTAACACACCACTGAGGAGGAGCGTTCATTTTCCCAGCACGTGTGTGTGTCTGGTGGGGTGTGTTATAGACAGGAGGTTGAATACACGTGGTAAGACGCAGTCTGGATAATACAGAGAAGCTTATTTCCACAAGAATGTGCCCTCCCAGTGGGTGAGAGTGGGTCTCACCAACACCTTGCCACAACCAACAGTAGATACTCAGTCCATAGGGGTATAGTTAATCCATGAGATTAATCCCTGAGTTGTCCAATAGAAATATAATGGGACCGGTATATTTAATTCTACATTTTTAGTAACCATATGATAATAATTTTAAATGGTGAAATTAATTTTTGTAATATATTTCATTTAACCTAATAGATCCAAAATGTCCTCACAGATTGACATAAATTTATATTTTAAAATATTAATGAGAGCTTTTATATTCTTTTATTCATAGTAAGTTTTCAATACTGGTTATGCATTTTACACTATAGTACCTGAATAGCCACATTTCAAGTGCTCAATAGCCTAATGTGGCTAATGGCTTCCATATTGGCCAGTGCTGATCTAGATTATTCATTTTCCTAGATCAAAAGTATAGGCAATTGGCCGAAGGTATGGCAATTCCTCCAGGCAACAGGAGGCTGTGGGTTGGTCCCACTGCTGTTTCTTAAGTACCTACTCACTACATAGTTTTGGCATGGCCTTCACAGAGGACAGAGGAAGCCTTTGCTCTTCCTGAGTCCTAAGTCCACATGACCTACCCAGTTCTAGAGTTTCTCACCCATTACTTAATATGCTGTTGGAGGAAGGAAGTGGCAACAAATGGCCTTTTTTCTATGATGTGTAATTATCATCCCATCTCATGGCTCCCTTTTTAAAAAACAAACCAAGCCTGCATTGTTAAATGTTTCAATCTGTTAGGCACTGATCTGTGTTCCACCTGGGCATGCTCCTTTGACCTACACCACACCACCAGCAGGATTTCTGGCTTAATCCTTTATGCCAGTAGGGAAAGTAAGGCTTGGAAAAGCACTGCAATTTTAGGGTGAGAGAATTTGGGGGACGAAAAGAAAATTTCTAACGACGTCCCATCCATTTTTCCCTCAGTGAAGTCCCTCATGGGACCTGTGAAAAATGTCATGTGATGAGACCATGTACTTCAGACCCTAGCAGCCTGTAGTCAAAGCAAATGAAAGACCCTGGTACTATCTGAAACCCAGAATAGGCCCTGGAGTACAAAACTTGGGTCAGGTCATTGCCCTAACTTTTACTAGCTGTGTGATATTGGGCAAGGCAATTCATAATACTAACTAGCATTTACTGATCTTCTCCCATGTACCAGGCTCTGACCTAGCCAACTGCTCATATACTTTCTCTTCCGCTCAGAGAGATAATCCATTTTATAGATTAGAAAACTAGGGCTCAAAAAATGCAAATTCCAGAAGTCATATATCCAGCAAGCACGGAAGCCAGGATGAAGAAATATTAAAGGTAATATTAAAAGAATTATTAAATATTTTGTTTTATAATGCAACTTAAGCCCTACTCACCCCATTGAATATTTTTTAAATGTCACTAAAGAATTTCAAGACCATTGATGTACACACAAACAGTCTATACCTGTTTCACATCTAAGAGTTTGTAAAGCATAAGCAAATAGGAATTGATTTCAGTGTGTTTATAAGATAAAAATAAAGGCTGTATTATTCATTTCAGTATGTCACTTGTCAAAACCATGAAAAACACTGGGCTTTCAAAAGAGAGAGTTATACTTACACTGTTCAGCTCGAGAAGCTGTTGTAATCATCCAAGGAGAAGAAAAAGTAATAGCACTTTGAAAGTGGAAGGAGGTGACCAAATGCCAGATATTACAAACATGTTAAAGCAAACTGCAGTTATATGCTTATAAAAAATGCATATAAGGTACATTTCCTAACCTTCATTACCAGTCTGCAACTTGAAAACAGAGTTACAAGTGAAAATATAACTTAATTTCACAAAAATGAAAGAAATGGAGGTTAAATGAAAGATGATGAAACAAACAAAATAAAATAGCTGACTTTCTTGAAAGCGAACAGAGGGAGGGTGAGGAGATGGAGTAGAAGAGAAAGGGAGGGAAGTAGGGAGGGAGGGGAAGACAGAGAAAGAAGACAGGGAGGGAAAGGCGAGTGCTGTGAAAAATAAGCCCGAACTGGTGGGGTCAGACCATTTCTTCAAGAAATAAAGAAACTGGCCATGACCTCCTCAGCGTTGAGGCTGGGTATAGTTTTTGTGACTGTTTAGAGAAATCTAGCGCTCTCCTCACCATTAATCTTTTCTAAAGAAAGACTTTGTTCTGCACCTGTATAAACAATTCAGATTTTAAAAACCTATTCGCCTGCCCCTAATGTGTGAGACTATATATTTATACTGATAGCTTCAAGTCATCAATAGTCGTTGCAGAGAGCTAGCCTGGCTCTCCTCGGTCCATCTCTTTGCCCCTCTTTGTCGCTCTCCTCTCCTTCACCTGGCAAGGCGATCCTAGAGTCAAGTTCAAGTTCAAACGCTCCAGGAAAGATTTCTACACTCTGTCAAATATTCCCTGCATTTCCCTACCCTAGAGAGAGCTGAGGGCAAATGATCTTTTTATTCACATTGTCCCAGAACCAGCCCACCCCCTGCCCCCAACCAAAAGACAACTTGTACAGGGAGAAAACCTTTGCAAATGTGGGTGAGCCGGAGGGGTTATGTGAAACATTCCCCCGGCCCCAAAACGCCCCTGCTAAGGGTAGCGTGGCCTGGGAGACTAAGGTGGAATGATGCCTGAGTGATGAAGTCAGCCTCTGCCAGCCACCTGTTGCAGCACTTCAGCCATCGAGCTGGACGCATTTGTTCTGCTGTACGAACTGGCGGGAGCCAGGCTGGCCCAGCTATCTCTGCCAGCTCTGTCCTGGACTGACTCCACATAGGTCCCCTTGCACCTTGCTCAGCTTGGGAGCCTGTGGACTTTCAGGAAAAGAACAAGTGAACACCTAAGCCTGTGTGACGACTCAGTTTCATCATTGTAAAATGGGGTAACCATATGCCAAACTCATACGGGTTTTATTACTCAGTGAGCTGCTCACAAGCCGCGAGTACAGTGACGGGCACACAGCGGGCACTCAGTCTCTGACCACTGGGGCCCGTATCCACAGACGTACTTATCCCCTGACCAGGAACTGCGATGACCTTCGAGTTAGGAAATAATGAGACTGCAAAATTGTTGTGTTTTCTTGTGTGGAAGAGCAGGATGTTTTAGTCTTGTTTGGAATGGAACATGATCATTCAGGGTGCTCCTTTGTCGTTTTTACTTTGAATGGACGATTGTGCTAACTTAGCATTCTGCTTCCAGGAGCTCGCTCTTCAATACACAATCTATTAAATACAATAGCAAGGATTCCCTACATTATAATGCAAAGCTTTAGGGCCGGATCCTCCAACACACGCATTGTGGTATTAAAACAAAATCACATCACGCATGGAACTCTCAAGATAGTGGAAAATACCAGCTACAACATCCAGTGATGTGTGACCCGGAGGCACGGAGCTGACTAGAATACCGACGGGCCAGAATTTCAAAACGCGGATTTTGAATCTTTTTTTCTACTTAGCCTAATAAGTTTGGGTCTTTTACTTAACGTCTATCTAGGCGGCTCAGCTTCAAGTTCTGCAAATTGGAGATAATATCATTAAGTTACAGATGTTATTTGAAAAGGCAACGAACCATTGTAACCATTTTTGTAAACCATGAAGGTATATTATAAGAAAAGGAGGAGGAAAATGAGAGGTAACTTGTGCATTGTTGGATGTTGTTTGCCTGTTCTGCTTTTTCTCTTGTCCAGCAAGGCTTGGGTAGACAATCATACATCATGAATGGTTAACTTGAAAACTGAGTTCTACTGGAAAGACTGGCAGGCAAGCAGAGGTCGGAATCCCGTCGTTTCTAAGTGTCTGGTAATCTTTGCCACTGCTAAGATTACCTGGGGGTAGAAGCACCGTCGGTAGGAACAAGATGTGCCCCTTCACTCCCCGAAAGCTCACTTATCCTGCGCAGACATGTTGAAGGGCCGTCGGGCTTCAGAGCCCAAATCTCGGCTCTGCAGAGACGTCCCCTTCCCCCGCCTCCACCAACCGCTCTTCGGCATGCAGAAAAGCGGTCCCCACCCCTTCCACGCCCCTGCCCCACCTCTTGGCCCCCTTTACAACCCCCTCTTCTTTGCCCGGGGTGGTTTGTTCCAAGGAGTACAGATAGCCTTTTCAAAAGGCGCAGCTTACCGCGGTGCGCGCGGATTCTGGACTTGGGCGCCAACTCGTAGTCCACGCTCCCCGGGGTCAGCAGAGGGGCGCTCACGCTCTCGCCACCCACCTCGCTTTCTCACCCCGCGCTTCCCGGCCTGGGTTTTTAGTCTTCCTTGGAGCGCTCTCTGGCCTCCGCCTCCGCCAGGGAGCGGAAGGCGGAGACAGCGAGACTGGCCAGGGGGGAGGAAAGAGGACGCGTGTGGGCAAGGGGGACAACGGGATGTCCACGGGCTCGGTGAGTGATCCGGAGGAGATGGAGCTTCGGGGGCTGCAGCGGGAGTACCCGGTCCCCGCCTCCAAGAGGCCGCCCCTCCGCGGCGTAGAGCGCAGCTACGCCTCGCCCAGTGACAACTCGTCGGCAGAGGAGGAGGACCCCGACGGCGAGGAGGAGCGCTGCGCTCTGGGCACAGCCGGCAGCGCGGAAGGCTGCAAGAGGAAGCGGCCCCGTGTGGCTGGGGGCGGCGGCGCAGGTGGTAGCGCGGGCGGTGGTGGCAAGAAGCCCCTCCCGGCCAAGGGCTCAGCCGCAGAGTGCAAGCAGTCGCAGCGGAACGCGGCCAACGCCCGTGAGCGTGCCCGGATGCGCGTGCTGAGCAAAGCCTTCTCCAGGCTCAAGACCAGCCTGCCCTGGGTGCCCCCCGACACTAAGCTCTCCAAGCTGGACACGCTCCGGCTGGCTTCCAGTTACATCGCTCACCTGCGGCAGCTGTTGCAGGAGGACCGCTATGAGAACGGCTACGTGCACCCAGTGAACCTGGTAGGGGCGCGGCGCGCAAGGATTCGGGAGAGCAGCCAGGAGATACCCAGGGCGCTCCTGGGCGCCGGGCAGGGTCAGCCCGTTGGGAAGAATTCGAAAGGGGTGGAGGTTCTGGGACTGGGAACGAGAAGGCCAGTTTAGTTTCTCCCAAATCAAGGGAGTGGCCAGCCATTTCCCTGAAGAAGAATCAACCCTCCGTGTCTGTTTGCATCGTTCTGAACATTGTACCCCAGTGACAGCCATTGACTAATATCCTACTTCCAGGGTAAATCTTGGTTCCATCTCCATCTGCCACCAGGTTGCAGACTGACGGCAAATCTCCCTTGCCCAACTTAATCCAGCTGAGTCGGGCAGGTTTGAATCGGCAAGCCCTTTCTTAAAGGAGGGAAGGCCGAGCTCTATAAAAGAGCATTTGCATTTTTAGAAAAATTGCTTGTGGAAGATAGTAACGTTTCCCCAGATGGGATTTATCTGGAAAGTCCCTCTCTGATCTGCCAGCTCTCCCGGCTTGGGAAAAATCCTGTCCAAGCCCAGTTCCTACTTGGAGCTTGGAGTGGATGACTGTGTGTGTGTGTGTGTGTGTGTGTGTGTGTGCGTGTGTGTGTGTGTGTGTTGGGGAAGGGAACTAAACGACAGAACCTCAAAGTCAGATGAGTTTCACCAAATTATCCTGCGGGCAAAGTCCAGGAAGAAGCGTGAACGGATATGGCAAGTCTCGGATTATCAACCTCCAGTAAAATGAAAATCTTAGTTCAGAGAGAGGACATGCAAATTCCCAGAATGCTGATAAAATCTTAGCTACTCCAAGTCAGGAATATCTGGGGTTCGCGTAGGAGAGCTGTTTCGGTTTGAGACAATCGTTTCTCTCTAATATCTCACGTTCTTTTTGATTTACAGACATGGCCATTCGTGGTCTCGGGAAGACCGGACTCTGACACCAAAGAAGTTTCCGCAGCCAACAGACTATGTGGAACCACCGCTTAAATCGGACTGGAACTCACTTGATGGGATTATTCGTTAAATGCGAGTGTTTGGGGGCCACGGAGAGAAGGGAGAGCTCGTGAGATGGGAAGAAGTTTCCGCTGGATTCTCCTTGACCCTTCCCCTTTCCCTGGAACTGTGATCGTGACAGGTGGCGGGTGTGGCTGTCACTGCACAGCGCCCACGGCTACAGCTGCGCCGGATCTGGGCGACCACGTTTTGCCTCTCCAAAAAGAGCTTCCTTTCGTGACGAGACGCGGACGCAGGTCCACCCTCGGGCCCTAGCTCTGTAGACTAACTCTCGGCTGCTGCCCCAGCCCGCGCCAGACAGCCCACGGATCCGTTCTCAGCGGAGCCAGATTCATCGCACACGTGCGGGACGGTTCCACACAGCCCCGGCCTTTCGCGGTGACACAATGGTTAGGGAACGGTTAGAACGCGCTCTACATCCGCTTTAAAGACAGAGGTCTAGACGTGAGATCCGCGTCGGGACAGGGTTTTAAGTGACAAAGAAGGGCGAGTGGCTTCTCTGGGCCGGGTTCGTACTCCAGCACAGCGCCCTTCTAACGGGCGGGAGGAAGGCCGCTGCTCGCAGGGCTAGGTGGAGACACACTTCCCAGATCACCGCAGGCGGGTTTTACCCGGAGAGCTCTGGGCCGTTCGGCCTCCCTGCCGGGTGGCTTCTTCAATCCCGTCTCCTTCCCAAGCTCCCGGCTTTTTCTAATCAGGCAGGCGTCTGTCAACCCTCTCCACTTCTGGGCTGAAGCCTCCCCAAGCCCCGCTGCGCCAACCTGTGTGGGGTCTTCTTCGGGCCTCCCTCTCCGCCCCGCTCCTGCTCCTACCTGCAGCACCCCCAGCTCCGACTCCAGACTCTCTGCATCAGGTCTCCCCACTCCACGCTCCGGGCGCCCCAACTCCAACACCACGTCCTGCCGCGCAGGTTCTTCCCCGCGCGGAGGAGCGCGCAGGGTGGGCGGCTTACCATAGCAAGTGATCCTGCGATAGGGAACGCGCCCTTGCCCCGAGGCTGCACTACCACAGGAAATAACATATGTAAATAAATTTATTTTTTTATGAATAATAAAACGCGCTGTAAAAACCGTGTGCCCCTTGGAGGTGTCAGGATGTGGTCTTTGTTGCCCTTTACTAAGAGGGTTTGGCTGTAGAAGTTAACTTTTAAGGGCTGATCTCCTCTGGTCAGGGCGGTGGGTCATTGCGGGAGGAATGGTGGCGATCACTTTTGGATCACTCCATTTCCAAACGTCATTCTTTATTAATCTCTATGATTCTGCTGCTTCTCCGCGCCGGGCTTCCTGGAAGGCCATAACTGGAGGCCTAATAAAAGTCCTGAGTCTTGAGGCCCCTGCTGTCCTGACAGACATACACTCCTCAGGCTAACATAGGTGCACGTCTCTCATACACACACACACACACACACACAACACACACAGCAGCTACTCCAGCTAAAAGCACACTCCAATCCTTACCATTGCAAGTAGTTCAAAAAAAAACCCTAAGGCCCACCCACAAGTCTCCAGTGTAACTGGCAGAATAAAACCCTAATATAAGAAGCCAATTTGTATTTCAACGGTGCTTTTCTTTTATCAAATGTTTATATATCTTTTTAAACGTACACTCATTTTCCGTGTTATTTTCTTCCACTTGTACTGCAATTTTTGTAGAAGGTAACAACTTGGAAACCCTATAATACAATTTTTAAAACGGCTGGTTCTTTTAAAAGCAACGTTCTCTTTGTAGAACATTTAGAAAAGTGTAAAGGATAAAACTACACAAACAACTGCCCAACTTGGGGTTCTGTCCATTTTGTGCAATTGAAAGGCAGTTTTCCTGACCCTGAGAGAAAAATACAGCTGGATTTTAGTTAGGAGGTAAGGGGGGTTGGGGTGGGGAGAGTGACTTCCTGTTTTGAGTTAAACCAACCAAAATGCTAAAGAACTGCTTTCTGACAAGATTGTCTTGGGCTTTTATTCATAACCTGGGACGGAACCCGCCCTGGGGATCCAGTCTAACATCAGTGGTGTCTGTGGCATTAGGGGCTTTCTGACAAGAGGGAACCTGAAGTAACCTGTGGCAGGAAACCCTACCAAGCACTTCAGCGGTGAGTCCTGGGTAGAAAGCTTCTTGAGGAAGAGTGTCTGCTGAAGGCCAGATCTTAGTCAAGGTGACTTCCAAAAAGTCCAGCAAATTAGGCTCTTTTCAAGGAAAGGAGGCAGCTCAGTGTAAGTAGGTTAAAGGGAACCTGAGTGTCTAAAGAACCCAGCTTGAAATTCAAGCTTTGCCACAGGATTAGTGAGCATGTGCAAGTTACATTATGAACACCTCTGAGCCTCAGTTTCCTCTTCCGTAGAATGGGGGTCATCACAGTGCCTACCTGGAATATTGCCTTAGGAATAAATATGATAATGTATTTAAACAAATCATTTAATATGCAATGAGCAGTGCACTAAATGCTGGTCACTAAAGGAAATCCAGAGGCAGAGGGAACCACTTCCGCAAAGGGGGATACTTTAAACAGGTGTGACATTCGCAGAGTCCAGTCTTTAAGGTTGGATCTTGTTTTGAGATGCCTGGATTACAACCGTGAAAGAGAAATGTCCCACAAGAGTGGACAAACAGAAATACAGAAAAACAGAAAGAATAGCTATATTTGTAGTGAATACAAATAAGAACAAGCATTTGAATAAACAAGGAAATATTTGGGCAAATTTCCACAAGTGAAAGAATAATATTTAAAATATGTGTTTCTATAATTATATTCCTTCTGGCCAACTCAGGAGTAAACTCACAGATTTTCTGTCTCTAACCCCCAATTAAGGTGATGCTTGTCACTGACTCACATGTACAGGGAGTGTTGCACTGCACCCTGGAAATTCATTTTAATGACCACTTTATAGTCCTATAGTTTATGAAGAAAAAAAAACTTTCTCAAGAATGCTCTGCTCCACAGTTTCTGTAAAAAATCCAATGCCAGGCATTACGTTATTTAAGAAAAGAAGAAGAAAAAGAAAGAGGCCACTTTCTAGTAAGCCCCAATGAGTCCATGTAAATTATGCAAGCTTCTGTGCATGTGTTGCTGTTGGGACAGGCCTTAAACATCTTAAACCAGCCTTTTCTTTATCTACCATTACTAGAGTGTGTTCTAAGTGGTAGACAGGCATCACCAAATCTCTCTCTCTCTCTCATCATTTTCCTTTAGTGATTTGAGTTTGAGAAATGGGAGTTGGGGTTGGAGAAGTGGGCAGGAAGTGGGGTGGGGAGCGGGGCTTAAGAGAAAAAAATGAAGTATGTGCTTAGGATTACTTCGATTTGATTGTACTGCTATGAGAGAAAAGATGAGAGAAAGAAGTCTAAGAAATACAATGTACAATGTGCTAAATAACAAACAAAATGAGTAAATTGAATAATACTCTTCAGGGGGCTTTTTGAGGGACCAAAGCATTATTATTAGTGATGCTGACTCAACCAAAGAGAACAAAAATCCCCTTCCACAGACTCTTCCTAAGATGAATATCTGAAAAGAAACGCTTTCAGCACTGTAATTTTGAAACATTCAGGCGTTTCTCTTGGTTGTGGAGTTGAATTTATGTTGTGCGTATTCTTTTGCACTGGGCTTCAACTTATAATTTCACTTTAGTTTGGCAGCTCCTTCAACAGATAGCAACAATGACCCTTAAAATTCACAAAAGACTTTCACAGTCACAGATTTTTCCCTGATAATAAATGCCTAGAAGTTAAAAAAATAAAGAAACATCTCTTGTCTGTAAAACACACACACACAAACAAACAACTAAATGAACACATTCTATTTTAATAGATATTTGGTAGATAATTTGGTTGATACTTCTGAAAAAATATTAAAAATTAAAACAGTAACTCAGAGTCACATTTGGAAAGGAGAAACAAGGTAAATTGATAATTCACTTCTCACTACCAAGCTTCCAACTTGTGGGAAAGTCCACCAGATTGGCTCCCTTCGTAACTGATCACGTGGCCATATCTCCTTTCAGTGTGAACTCTGCATACTCATTTGTGGGCACCCAGGGTGTTTGCATCAGTGCACTCACCACTCTCCATTCATCCCTTTCACTGTTGTGTTCACGTTTTGTGTTATTTTTCGTCTTTCTCCCACAACAGTGAAAGTTGATCCAGAGAAATCCTTCAAACCCAGGGCTCTAAAAAGGTCCAGAAAGTAGCCACAGTCAGAAATCCACATGTAATCATGTAAACTCGTGTAGCATTTAGCAGCCTTCTCTCTTGTTGGTTCTGCTATCACCAAGATAGTTCTGGATCAGCCTTGAGATTCTTTATGGCTTATGGTAAGGAGGATCGTGGAGCAAATAAAAGCTGGGGCTTTCATTTGGTGAAAATATGCTGTCTGTATGGACTATTACTAACTTTTAGCAGTGGAACGGGAGGGGAGGAAGAACAAGAAGCTTTTATCTTTTACTTTTGTTTGTTGAAAAAATTTGCATATTACGTTTGGAATTTGTAAAAACTCATTTAAAAAAAAATTCACAGATGGCTGGGTCAGATGTAGTGGGTTCCAGTCCCACATTTCCTGGCGCTGCATAATGTACCTTACCTCTTCTGTAAGTCAGGAATCATTCATTCAACCTCACACAACACTTTAAGAGTGGATTACATGAAATCGTCTCATTAAGCACTTGGGAAATGCTCCATAGATGAGAATTTAAAAAAAAAAAGGCTTGATTTTCTTTCTCTTTTGCTTATAATAGTTTATGTCCTTGATCCTCTGAAAATTTATCTCATCAGTCCCTTTTGCCATTTTATCACCTTGCTCTTTTATGCTACTTTTGTATATTGACCTCTTTCTTGTTACTAAGGAGAAATTTTCATTAAGCTTCTTCCCATAACACTCAGCATCAAAAATTATGCATGAGATTTTAAACTCATTTCAGGGTACAAGATAAAACAATGAATTTGTTTTAATTTTTTATCTTCAATTATTATGGATACATAATAGCTGTATGACTTATGGGGTACATGTGATATTTTTATACAAGCATACAATGTGTAATGATCAAATCAGGGTGATTGGGGTATTCATCACCTCAAACATTTATTGTTTCTTTGTGTTAGGAACATTCCAATTCCATCATTTTAGTTATTTTGAAATATACAAAAGATTATTTTTAACTATAGTCACCCTATTGTGCAACTGAACACTAGATCTTACTCCTTATCTAACTGTATTGTTATTTGCATTAACCATGCCCTCTTTATCCTCCCTCCTCACTACCTTTCCCAGCCTCTGGTAACTGATATTCTACTCTCTATATCTGTGAGCTCACATTTTTTAATTCCTACATATTGGTGAGAATAATGGATTCAAAAAAGTGGTACATATACACAATGGAATATTATTCAGCCATAAAAAAGAGTGAAATTCTGTCATTTGCAACAACATGGATAGAAATGAAGGAAATTATGTTAAGTGAAACAAGCCACACTGATGAATTTTGATGTTACAGAGTACCACAAGTTTGTTTAGCTAATTTTGGATTTCATGAAATGTTACAACCAACATTTCAGGAACTACACTTGTGGAGTTTTGGTGTCATATCAAAGAATGTTCACAATTACTTGCAATATCCATTAAAATATTTTTACATACACATTTACATACATACAATATTTTACATACATATTTAAACTACAATTACATGCCTTACTTCTTTCTCCTTATAATTACATGTGTTTGTGAGGCTGGACTTTCAACCAAAATAACATATCACAACAGATTGAAGCAGAAAGCCAATATGAGAATGCAGCTGTCTTCTATAAAGTGAGACGTTAAAGAGATTTATTTGCAAAAATATCAAATTATGCCACCCTTCCCATCAAAATGTTTTAGAAACATAGTTATTTTTTATTAAAAATGTTATTTACATTCACATGTAATTAGCTTATTATTTTAAAATTTATTAATAAATAAATATTTTTGTTTGGTTTTGATTTCTTTTTATTTTAATTAATTAGTTTATTTAAGAGACTGGGTCTCACTGGTTTTGATTTCTGCTCCAGTGAATGTCAACAGATACAAGCCAGCTACATAAGCAAAAGCTTTTAAGAGTTTTTAATAACTTTTAATAACTTTTTAATGAAAGTATGAAGAGACCAGAGATCAAAAAGTTTGAGAACCACTGGCCTAGATAATTCTTAAGGCTCTTTTCATTGATAAGAGTTAGTAGTGTTTTCTTGATTTTGCAGCAGTCTCAGTAGGACAGAAGCCTGTGGATCATGTATAGGTTGGATATGGGAGTAAATATTTCATCAGAAAGACTGACTAGAGAGGTTAGGATAATGACTTAACTGGGCTAGGCTTTCTTCATGAACACCTCTGTAGTCCAGCCAGGCAAATCAGTAGGGCCAAATGCCTGAGCTGGTCTCCTGTAGTCTGCACTCAGAAGGCTTTCTTTACCACCTCCTACTCTTTCTTCCTAGTACCCATCTCTCCTGTCTCCTATTTAGGCCCTTGAATTTTGAGTCTTTGTAACCTCAGGGCTGGACCTGGAATTCAGATGAAAGGAAAAGTGATGCCCAAAACCCAGGTCTCTAAAATCCCATTTCTTTTGCACATATATTATTATTCTCTGAGAATTATGTTAGAATCATAACATTATATAATCCTAATAAAGAAATTTATTTCAAGAAACTTGGGAATCATTTTCATTGATTCTCAATAAAGACGATTTTATCTATAGGTCTGCCAAATGGCCGACAAATATATTTGCTCATGATAATATAGATTAATTTCTCTAAGGTAAGCCACTAAAACAACTAAATGCCTTGGCATGCAATTTAAGTACAAAAGAAACAAAAACAAACAACAATAAAAAAAAAACGAGGGAATCATCAAATATTTTTGAAGCAAACTTCTTCCAATGTAAAGAAAGGATACCATAAAATTTAAAAAGTCCAGGACATGAAGGCCAAGGGATTTGAACAATCTTTAAAGAAACTGTTCCAAGAGCTAGGGAGGGGGAAAGGAGGGTCCCTTGTGCAAAAGTGACAAGGACTCTGATATGGTTTGGATCTTTGTCCCCTCCAAATCTCACATTGAAATGTGATCCCCAATGTTGGAGGTAGGGCCTGGCAGGAGATATTGGATCATGGGGGCATATCCCTCACAAGGGGCTTAGCACCATCTCCTTGGTAACGAGTGAGTCCTCACTTAGTACACACAGGAGCTGGCTGTTTAAAGGAGCCTAGCACCTCCTCTCTCTTGCTCCCTCTCTAGCCATGTGATACGCCTGCTCCCCCTTTGCCTTTTACCACGATTGTAGGCTTCCTAAGGCCCTCATCAGAAGCAGATGCCGGCACCACTCTTCCTGCAAAGCTTGCGGAACTGTGAGCCAAAATAAACCTCTTTTCTTTAAAAGTTACCCAGTCTTGGGTATTTCTTTATAGCGATGCAAACAAACTAACACAGACTCCTCATACAAAATCCAGCTAAGGAGCACCTATACCATAAATGGCAATGCTCTAAAATGTGGAAACAAAGGCCTTAGGAGCCTGAGAGGAAAAGGTGGGTAAACAAAATATAAAAAGAGGACGGGTCTGTGAGTGATGGGAAAGACCAGAGTTATAACACAGTTCAAATCTTTGCATTGCCAGAGGTGCGCTGCTGGCACAGGCTAAATGCTATGCTCTTGAGTCAAGCATCGTAGATGTTTCTGACAAGGCACTGTATTACCAGCTGTTTACATGCACAGACTCTCTGGGTATCTCTAACATTTATTTATTTTCATTATAGGTTTTCCCTCAAGTTGTGGTGATGAAATAGGCTAAGCTATCCACCTTCTCGGGATCAGTCTTCCTTTGACTAACATTTCTTTGGAGACTTGGAGAGGGACAAAGATGGCTCTATTAAACTATGGGGTGCCTAGTCACAAGAATGGTCCCCAGTGAACCAGACCCCCTAGTCTCCAGGCCCTGTGTAGGGGTGGCCCAGTTACTTGCTTTAACCAATAGAAAGGAGGCAGAAGTGACTCTGCCAGTTCTGGCCTAAGCAGTAAGGGCTAGCAGCTTCCTCATTTACTTATTGGGATCCTTATGCGTCCATGTGAGAAGTCCAACCAAGTCCCTGAGGGCACCAAATGGCGAAACCACCTGAGAGAGAGATGCCCTAAGACCACACTGAGAGAACCAAGGAGCCCAGCTGACAGTGCAGACTCAGACCCCAGACATGCAATCTTAGGACCCCAGGACCCCAGGGGTGCCATTCCAGCCAGCTGTGAAATCATCCTAGTGGAATGAGAAGAAGCCTTACAGGACAGATAGCAGAGGTGCACCATTCCCGCTAGGTCCTGTCCTAATTCCTGACCTACAGAGTCATGAAAAATGAAAATATAGTTGTTATTTTAAGCAACTAAATTTGGAGTTCTTTGATACTCAGCAATAGATAACCAAAACATACTGTCAAGTAAATTTTTCACATCAGCCATTTATTCAAGAAACATTTTTTGATCATCTGCTATTACCCAGGACAGTGCTGGATAGACCAGAATGAATCAGAGAGTTGCCTCTTCTCAAAGAGCTCTAAAGGAGGAAAAGGACAAATGGCCCAACAATTGAAGTGCAGTGTGCCAAGGGCTATGACAGAAGGTGGCGCTGTGAGAGGAAAGGCACAAACCCCAGCCCCAGGCTGTCATGGGGGTCTTCCCAGAGAGCCGACAAGGGAGGTGACTATTGGAGGAGGCTAGGCAAGGCAGCAGGAGGGCATACCAGAAGAATATAAATGACAGCAGGCTGCCATCACTAACCAGTGATGGGGATTATCATCTAGGATGGTGGTTAAGAACATGGACTCTTACAAGGGACTTCAAATCCCTGAGCCTCAGTGTTCTCATTTGTAGAATGATGATATAATAGAAGCTACCTGATGGCTTTGTTGGGAAGATTAAATGCAATATTGGAAGTGAAATACTTAGCACAGTGCCTGGCACATAGTAAGTGCTTAGCAAATGCTAGTCTATTAGTATTGTTGTCACCATTATCATCGCACTGAGATGATCTCCATGTTCTCTTGACAAACTTTAAGCAGGTGCTGAGGGGCCTATCCCTGACCATTCAGAGTCACTCATTTTCCCTTAAAGCTGAAAGATATGAGCCTTTAACTGATTCTGTTTCAGTTCTCCTCTGAAAAGGTTGGCCTCTTCAGAATTTTGAAAATCTCAAGGTATTGATTTGCATGAGAAGCAACACTTCTGGCTCATGCTGGGGGTGAGGGAATAGAGAGTAAAGTACATTTGCATGGTCAGGAGAGCTGGATAGAAAAGTGTGTAGATTGATGGTATGGCCACTATAACATATCAGGGTTAAAGCAACACCAACAATAGGCACTGACTCAGATGGACTCTCAGGATGCTCCTCTGCTTTTCAGGTCTCCTGGGGTGGATCCCAGAAGCTCTGCTCAGTCACTTCAGGGAATTATCCCCTGGTTGCTAGACTAACAACAGCCTGTGACAAAGGGAGGGAAATTTAAGACCCTATGACCAGAACTGTTTACTAGCAGGTCCAGGATTAGAATTCACAGACTCTGAGTTTCCCCTTGGCATCCAGCCCACCCAATCTGAAGGACACCAGCAGATAAGAATTTGGCACCATGACAGCTATTTCTCTGCAGCTGTTTTCCATGCACACTGGCCAAGTGCCCCGGAGCCCGCGTGGGGTTGCAAGTGGGGCGTTCTCAGAGCCTGACTTGTTGGGTGGCCTTGGGCAGTCTCTCCCTCTTCCAACTATGATTTCTCACCTAAAATGAGGGGTCTGGGCTGGATGGGGCCTTAACTGCACCATAGTTTTAAATGAATGCCCTGCTTACTGTGGGTCTTCAGAATAGCACTGATTATGTCTCCCTTTATTGCTAGTACATCACAATACGGGGAGGCTGAAAGCTTGAGAAAATGAACAAAGTCAACCTACACTTAAATGTTTTATGAGTTTGGTGCAAAAGTTACTGAGGTTTTTGCCATTACTTTCAATGGCAAAAACCTCAATTACTTTTGCACCAACCTAACAGATGAAACTCAAGCCATTCAGGTGTCTTTTGACTTGTTCTGCAGAAGATCTGTAATATCTCTACGTGATTTCACTGTTGATGATAAACTTTGCCACAGACTCTTCATTTCTGTGATAAGTATTTAATCTTACAAAGGTAGAAAACAACTTCTCCACATTATATGGAAACCAAATAAGCACAGAAATGATGGTACTTAAAACTGTTCTAGTCTCAAAACAAACTTTCATTAGTGTTTAAAAACCTGGCCAGGCACGGTGGCTCAAGCCTGTAATCCCAGCACTTTGGGAGGCCGAGGTGGGTGGATCATGAGGTCAGGAGATCGAAACCATCCTGGCTAACACGGTGAAACTCCGTCTCTACTAAAAATACACAAAAATTAGCCAGGCATGGTGGCGGGCACCTGTAGTCCCAGCTACTCGGGAGACTGAGGCAGGAGAACGGCGTGAACCCAGGAGGCGGAGCTTGCAGTGAGACGAGATCGTGCCACTGCACTCCAGCCTGGGCGACAGAAAGAGACTGTCTGAAAAAAAAACCCAAACACAAGATCTGTTCAGACCTTTTAAAAAGATTCTATGATTGAGTTTGGTTTGCTCCAGAGTAAAAATTATAGTGGAAAAACATCAGATCCAAATAAAAGAATCTTCAGGAAAAAGTATAATATATAAACAACTACTGGTTTTCTTCAAACTCCTGACAACCTAGGAGATGCTGAAATTTGACCTATCGTTTCAAGAATCTAGTGAGTTTTCCCTTTTTAGGTTAGGACATCTCCCTGTGACAATTTTCACCTTTCTCCAAGACTTCTCAAAATATACTGTTGTTGTTTCTATACTCGGACCTTTAAACCTGTCCCATATCCCGATATGTGATTCACCTGAGCACAGACTCATAGAAAGCTACTTTGTCTGGCAATGTGCAGAATAGATTGAACAGAGCACAAGTTGGACAGTCCAGGCAAAAGAAACTGAGGCCTAGGCTGAGACGATGGTGGTGGGAATACCAGGGATAGAGCCAAGAGACTTTTGACTGCTAGAATCAAATTAACTGGGTTATAGACTGGATGTGTGTGATGAAAGCCAGGGTAAAAGCCACAATGACTACAAGGTTTCTAATTCGGGCCAGACAGTGAATAGCAAAGTCATCATGAGTCATGATTTATCACTAAAATTTAAAAGGGCAAGTTTGAAACAGTACAGAATTGAGAAACTTTGCCATTCATTTGGGAACTCTACCATCCATTGGCCCATACAGATTCTTATCAAATTTGGTCTTACTCTGGGGACTTAGATTCTTTCAGAGGGGGTAAAATCATAACTGAAAGCTTAAAGAGAGAAGGGGTTTGTGCAGCTCAGAGACACAAAGCTTGGAAACAGGGCCCTTGCCTTGATCGCATGTGAGCATGCCTTTTTTCTTTCATTGGATTCTAAATATCTTCAGAGCAGGAATCATCATTTTTCATTTTGTGTCTTATGAAATTACAACCTCCATCTGTCTGGTACAAAGCAGATGATCAATAAATATTTAATAAATTTCTCTTGATAGAAAATAGTTATTGCTACTCTTTAGTTTAAATTCCTTCTCACTTGTAAAACGAGGGTGATTTGATTTGGGAAAGTCCATACCCTGGAACCACCCGAGATATGTAGTCATCACAGACAACTAAGAAAGTATGTCTAATTAGTCACTACCATTTGACACTACTATTTCTGCTGTACATAATCTGATGGTGCTAGGGAGCCCTCAGACAGAAAAAGAAGAGTATTGACTGAGTTCAGTAAAGTACTTTAAAATGTAAAGCTTTAAAATTGGAAGAGGCAAATTCATACTGTAAACACGCTAAGCACCATGCTATACGCTTTACAGATATCAGCCCTTTAATGCCTCTGATCAGGCCCATGAATAGGCCTGTGATAGTCTTGATTTATGGGTGGGAAAACAGGCTCTCAAAGCTTCAATAACCTTCCAAGGGCCACACAGGGAATAACTGGTGGAATCAGAGTTTAAATCTATTTCTCTCTAGCTAAGAATCTGAACCCAAAACCATTCCCTGAGCCTCCCCAAAAGTTGTCTGCTGGGGTGAAAGGAAGCTGGTGGGAAGATGGTGCCCACCGATGAGACTAACTGAACTTTAGGAGTTAACTCGGAACAACGGATGAGCCATAGAGCTATACCTCCTTCCGAGGGCTTGACACGGGACGAAAGCGCAGAAAGGAGTCAAGGCTGTCTGCTTCCTTGGCGGTGCCCACCAATGCAACCCAGGGAGTGGCACTTGTCTATAAACATATTTGTTTCTTTTTGGGTTTGCTTTCCTCTTTATTTTATAATGAAGATGATTTGAAAAACACCCAATTTATATGTGCTGAACTAAAAAGAAAATAGATCTATTCTCACTTAGGATTTTTAGCTCACAAAATTACATACTCCTGGAGAGCCCAGCAGTGGAGGCAGGGAGTGGCCAATCTGAAGATGAACAAAGAACTGCTCCTGGGAGAAACTGAGGTAGGGGAGCCAAGAAATGCCATGACCGAGGAGAAGCCCCAGTCTGCCTAGAAGAGCTGATCATTTTTGTTTGACCTTAATAGATACTTGCTTAAGTGAGTTATAGGAACAAACAATTTCCCACCAACAACAAGTGATCCACTTTTTTCCATCTTCACCAAAGACAGAAAAAGAGAAAACATGTGTGAATTGAAACATATAAGAAGTACAGTAGATTTAATGAAATTGCCAGAGAGAGGTTTTCTAACCGTCTAGGATTTGTGATGTAGAATTTGCGCAGTTAGGGAAGAATCTGTGGTACAGATTTCGTAGAATCATAAAGCCACAAAACTTTAGAGCTAGAAGGTATCTCATAAGTAATCTACTTTGGTTTATCATGGCATTCTAAAGATAATAAAAAACAAAGACTATATGGTTACTGTAATTACCTAACCGGGACTGTTGTGCAACAATGTAAAATTATGGCCCCAAATTATGCAATACCTAGGAAAATTTTATGAAATAAACAGGATAAGAAACTATAATTATAGCAATGACAATAAAAATCAAAATAATCTAATCATTTTAAAGATAAGGAAAATGAAACTGGATTTTTGGAAACTGGCTTCTCATCTGTCTTGGATTAGAGAAAGATGCTGCTTGAAAGTTTGGCTTTTTAAAAAAAAATCCCCTTGTCATTTAAGGTCATTTCTGGTCTGTCTTTTACTGGCTGACTTCTCTTTGTCTTCCTCCCCTAAACCCTTCCCACTCCCTCTGCCTTAACCTGCAGAATTAATTCTACCTCATCTATATTTGTGCAATACTTTACACACATCTTCATTTTTAAAGAAAAGTTATTAAAAGTACTATATGCCCCAAAATGCAAGAATGGTGTGGCATAAGAAAATCAGTCAATGTAATACACATTATAGAATGAAGGGGAAAACTCACACAATCATCTTCATCGACATAGAAAAGCATTTAACAAAATCCCACACTCTTTCACGATAAAAAACAAAACAAAACAAAACAGAAAACCAGGAGAAGGCAACTTCCCCAGCACCATAAGACGCCTTTATGCTAACATCAAACCCAATATGAAAGACTGAAAGCTTTCCCCCATAAGGTCAGGAACAAGACAAGGATGCCTGTTTTCACCATGACTATTCAACACTGCACTGGAAGTTCTCACCATAAAAAGGAAGGAAACACTGACACGTGCTACAACATGGATGAACCTTGAAAATATTATGCTAAGTGAAAGCAGGTAGACACACAAGGTCACACATTGTATGATTCCATTTATATAAAATATTCAGAATAGATCAATCCTTTGGGACAAAAACAGATTAGTTGTTGCCAGTTCAAGGAGGGAACATAGAAACTGTTTAATAGCTAAGGGGTTTTAGTTTGGAATGGTGACAATATTTTGAAACTTATAGAAATGGTGATTTCGTGACATTGGGAATATGCTAAATGCCAGTAAATTGTCTACTTTAAAATGGCAATTTTTTTTTAGCATTCCACAGTGTGATCCTTTACTACAGCAAGGTGGCTGATTATCAAAAACTGAGAAAAGCAAGAGTGAATACGTTAAAAAGGTTTGTTGCAGATACAAGAAGGTAAGCGGAGGCAAAGATAACTCAGTGCTAGAGGTCTGGATGTGGCTCCTCAAGGAGCTCCCTGCAGCCCGGCTCCTCCAGGATGGCGCTCTGCACACAACCCGGGCAGCATCTGCTTCCCCGGGAAAAGTTACCCATTGACATCAGCTGTGTTTAAGAGCTAATTTTTATGTTAGGTGAATTTCATGATGTAACCAAGTTCAAAAAAATGAGTCCTTTGAAACCCAAATTCAAGGGCGGTAAATATATGTCAATGGGTATTTCCCCACTATATTAAGTACTTACACGCTCATTGTTTCTGCTGTTTGGGGACCTCTCTGCAGCTCCAGCACTTTCCACAGGATTCAATAGGAAAAATAATTGAGCGCCACGCAGCCGGTCCCAGTAATAAAAAGACGTCATTAGCGCGCCATCTCGTGGTAAATATATAAGTTGCAGCAAACCCTCAGGCTGCAGATTTTTTTTTTTTTTTTTTTTTTTTTTTTTTTTTTTTTTTTGTTAAGACAGGGTTAAGCCTATGTTGCCCAGGCTGGAGTACAGTGGCACTATTATGGCTCACTGCATCCTTGACTTCCTGGGCTCCAGCGATCCTCCCACCTCAGCCTCCTGAGTAGCTGGGACAACAGGCATGAGCCACCACGCTAGTTGTTTATTTTTATTTTTTGTAGAGACAAGCTTCTCACTATATTGCTCAGGCTGGTCTCAAACTCCTGGACTCAAGTGATTTGCCTTCCTCGGCCTCCCAAAGTGCTGGGATTGCAGGCGTGAGGCACGGCACCCGACTAGGGAGCAGAGATGAACCCTGAGGTTACTTTCTGTCCTTTCCTCAAGCCAGAGTGGTTTAGGTCACTGGTCATGAATACAAGGATCGGGGTTGTACGCCTTCTCAAAGACCTCATGTTCCTTAACATCAAAATGCTCTGACTTATTCCAGATTCCTTAGGAAACAGCCTGAAGGAAAGCCATGAGTGCAGACTCCCTATGGAACCTGGTCACAGCTTCAGGACATCCTTGGGGAGGTGTCAGCAATCCCCCTGTACCAATGGTGATGGTGTGTAGGGGGGGTCCAGGGAACCTTTTCCCCTACAACCTTCAAGAAAGCAGCTGGTGGCAGGAGTCTTTCTAGAGCAAATACTGTGCAAGAGGGAATCCAAGAGGGCCGATAAGCTGGATTTCTGCACATGTGTCACTGTGTCAGGGGCATCCCCTGCACGGCCACCACTTCTGCCTGTGGGCCATCTGTGGCTTCTCAGGTCCCTTGTAGTAACTGCAACAGCGCTACTGTCATCACAGCTCTTCCAGAAGACAGCTCTGGGTGGTTCCCCACTACTGTATTTGTGAGATCCAAAGGTGTAGCTCTCTGTTGCCTTGTGGATCCGTTATATTTGCAGGCAGTGTTATAGTTCTGAGGGGATTTTGGAAGTGGTGGTTACTTCAACGAAGAGCTTGAGATGAGCATCTCATCTGAGCTTCACAAGTCCTCTGCGAGATAAATAAGGAAGATTATTATAATTCTCTCCATTTCATGCAAGTGTTAAACCCAGGCCTTGTCTTTGTTTAAGGATAGATATAGGCCAGGCACAGTGGCTCACGCTTGTAATCCCAGCACTTTGGGAGGCCGAGGCAGGTGGATCACGAGGTCAGGAGTTCGAGGCCAGCCTGGCCAATATGGTGAAACCACATTTCTACTAAAAATACAAAAATGAGTGGAGCCTGGTGGTGGGTGCCTGAATCCCAGCCACTCGAGAGGCTGAGGCAGGAGAATCGTTTGAACCTGGGTGGAGGGGCTTGCAGTGAGCCAAGATCGCCCCATTGTTCTCCAGCCTGGACGATAGGGTGAGACTCGGTCTCAAAAAAAAAAAAAAAAAAAAAAGCTATAAAGTAGCAGATTCACTTGCTGTGTCTTTCCAGAAATACAAGAACCATTCTACTTCTTCCCATGGAAAGCCTGCATTTCACACGTGTAATGATTCAAATCTGTGTTTTAAGATGAGAATAGGCAAAACAGTATCGTGCTCTGCTCACCTTCTCCACCTTCACTCTTCACTCAAGCCAAATTATGCTATTATTGATGGAAACACAAACAAAGACAATATATTTTTTAAATTATACTTTAAGTTTTAGGGTACATGTGCACAACGTGCAGGTTTGTTACATATGTATACATGTGCCATGTTGGTGTGCTGCACCCATTAACTCGTCATTTAACATTAGGTATATCTCCTAATGCTATCCCTCCCCCCTCCTCCCACCCCACAACAGGCCTCAGTGTGTGACGCTCCCCTACCTGTGTCCATGTGTTCTCATTGTTCAGTTCCCATCTATGAGTGAGAACATGTGGTGTTTGGTTTTTTCTCCTTGAGACAGTTTGCTGAGAATGATGGTTTGCAGCTTCATCCATGTCCCTACAAAGGACATGAACTCATCCTTTTTTATGGCTGCATAGTATTCCATGGTGTATATGTGCCACATTTTCTTAATCCAGTATAACATTGTTGGACATTGGGTTGGTTCCAAGTCTTTGCTATTGTGAATAGTGCCACAATAAACATACGTGTGCATGTGTCTTTATAGCAGCATGATTTATAATCCTTTGGGTATACGCCCAATAATGGATGGCTGGGTCAAATGGTATTTCTACTTCTAGATCCCTGAGGAATCGCCACACTGATTTCCACAATGGTTGAACTAGTTTACAGTCTCACCAACAGTGTAAAAGTGTTCCTATTTCTCCACATCCTCTCCAGCACCTGTTGTTTCCTGACTTTTTAATGATCGCCATTCTAACTGGTGTGAGATGGTATCTCATTGTGGTTTTGATGTGCATTTCTCTGATGGCCAGTGATGATGAGCATTTTTTCATGTGTCTTTTGGCTGCATAAATGTCTTCTTTTGAGAAGTGTCTGTTCATATCCTTCACCCACTTTTTGATGGGGTTGTTTGTTTTTTTCTTGTAAATGTGTTTGAGTTCATTGTGGATTCTGGATAATAGACCTTTGTCAGATGAGTAGATTGCAAAAATTTTCTCCCGTTCTGTAGGTTGCCTGTTCACTCTGATGGTAGTTTCTTTTGCTGTGCAGAAGCTCTTTAGTTTAATTAGATCCCATTTGTGAATTTTGGCTTTTGTTGCCATTGCTTTTGGCATTTTAGTCATGAAGTCCTCGCCCATGCCTATGTCCTGAATGGTATTGCCTAGGTTTGTTTCTAGGGTTTTTATGGTTTTAGGTCTAACATTTAAGTCTTTAATCCATCTTGAATTAATTTTTGTATAAGGTGTAAGGAAGGGATCCAGTTTCAGCTTTCTACATATGGCTAGCCAGTTTTCCCAGCACCATTTATTAAATAGGGAATCCTTTCCCCATTGCTTGTTTTTGTCAGGGTTGTCAAAGATCAGATGGTTGTAGATATGCGGCATTATTTCTGAGGGCTCTGTTCTGTTCCATTGGTCTATATCTCTGTTTTGGTACCAGTACCATGCTGTTTTGGTTACTGTAGCCTTGTAATATAGTTTGAAGTCAGGTAGCATGATGCCTCCAGCTTTGTTCTTTTGGCTTAGGATTGACTTGGCAATGCGGGCTCTTTTTTGGTTCCATATGAACTTTAAGGTAGTTTTTTCCATTTCTGTGAAGAAAGTCATTGGTAGCTTGATGGGGATGGCATTGAATCTATAAATTACCTTGGGCAGTATGGCCATTTTCACGATATTGATTCTTCCTACCCATGAGCATGGAACGTTATTCCATTTGTTTGTATCCTCTTTTATTTCATTGAGCAGTTATTTGTAGTTCTCCTTGAAGAGGTCCTTCACATCCCTTGTAAGTTGGATTCCTAGGTATTTTATTCTCTTTGAAGCAATTGTGAATGGGAGTTCACTCATGATTTGGCTCTCTGTTTGTCTGTTATTGGTGTATAAGAATGCTTGTGATTTTTGCACATTGATTTTGTATCCTGAGACTTTGCTGAAGTTGCCTATCAGCTTAAGGAGATTTTGGGCTGAGACGATAGGGTTTTCTAGATATACAATCATGTCATCTGCAAATAGGGACAATTTGACTTCCACTTTTCCTAATTGAATACCCTTTATTTCCTTCTTCTGCCTGATTGCCCTGGCCAGAACTTCCAACACTATGTTGAATAGGAGTGGTGAGAGAGGGCATCCCTTTCTTGTGCCAGTTTTCAAAGGGAATGCTTCCAGTTTTTGCCCATTCAGTATGATATTGGCTGTGGGTTTGTCATAGATAGCTCTTATTATTTTGAGATACATCCTATCAATACCTAATTTATTGAGAGTTTGTACCATGAAGTGTTGTTGAATTTTGTCAAAGGCCTTTTCTGCATCTATTGAGATAATCATGTGGTTTTTGACGTTGGTTCTGTTTATAGGCTGGATTACATTTACTGATTTGCGTAGGTTGAACCAGCCTTGCATCCCAGGGATGAAGCCCACTTGATCATGGTGGATAAGCTTTTTGATGTGCCGCTGGATTTGGTTTGCCAGTATTTTATTGAGGATTTTTGCATCGATGCTCATCAGGGATATTGGTCTAAAATTCTCTTTTTTGGTTGTGTCTCTGCCAGGCTTTGGTATCAGGATCATGCTGGCCTCATAAAATGAGTTAGGGAGGATTCCCTCTTTTTCTATTGATTGGAATAGTTTCAGAAGAAATGGTACCAGCTCCTCCTTGTACCTCTGGTAGAATTCGGCTGTGAATCCATCTGGTCCTGGACTTTTTTTGGTTGGTAAGCTATTAATGATTGCCTCATTTTCAGAGTCTGTTATTGGTCTATTCAGAGATTCAACTTCTTCCTGGTTTAGTCTTGGGAGGGTGTATGTGTCGAGGAATTTATCCATTTCTTCTAGATTTTCTAGTTTATTTGCATAGAGGTGTTTATAGTATTCTCTGATGGTAGTTTGTATTTCTGTGGGATCGGTGGTCATATCCCCTTTATCATTTTTTATTGCATCTATTTGATTCTTCTCTCTTTTCTTCTTTATTAGCCTTGCTAGCGGTCTATCAATTTTGTTGATCTTTTCAAAAAACCAGCTCCAGGGTTCACTGATTTTTTGAAGGGTTTTTTGTGTGTCTATTTCCTTCAGTTCTGCTCTGATCTTAGTTATTTCTTGCCTTCTGCTAGCTTTTGAATGTGTTTGCTCTTGCTTCTCTAGTTCTTTTAATTGTGATGTTAGGGTGTCAATTTTAGATCTTTCCTGCTTTCTCTTGTGGGCATTTAGAGCTATAAATTTCCCTCTACACACTGCTTTAAATGTGTCCCAAAGACTCTGGTATGTTGTGTCTTTGTTCTCGTTGATTTCAAAGAACATCTTTATTTCTGCCTTCATTTTGTTATGTACCCAGTAGTCATTCAGGAGCAGGTTGTTCAGTTTCATGTAGTTGAGCGGTTTTGAGTGAGTTTCTGAATACTGAGTTCTAGTTTGACTGCACTGCGGTCTGTGAAACAGTTTGTTATAATTTCTGTTCTTTTACATTTGCTGAGGAGTGCTTTACTTCCAACTCTGTGGACAATTTTGGAATAGGTGTGGTGTGGTTTTGAGAAGAATGTATATTCTGTTGATTTGGGGTGGAGAGTTCTGTAGATGTCTATTAGGTCCACTTGGTGCAGCTGAGTTCAATTCCTGGATATCCTTGTTAACTTTCTGTGTCGTTGATCTGTCTAATGTTGACAGTGGGGTGTTAAAGTCTCCCATTATTATTGTGTGGGAGTCTAAGTCTCTTTGTAGTTCTATAAGGACTTGCTTTATGAATCTGGGTGCTCCTGTATTGGGCGCATATGTATTTAGGATAGTTAGCTCTTCTTGTTGAATTGATCCCTTTACCATTATGTAATGGCCTTCTTTGTCTCTTTTGATCTTTGTTGGTTTAAAGTCTGTTTTATCACAGACTAGGATTGCAACCCCTGCCTTTTTTTGTTTTCCATTTCTTGGTAGATCTTCCTCCATCCCTTTATTTTGAGCCTATTTGTGTCTCTGCACATGGCATGGGTTTCCTGAATACAGCCCACTGATGGGTCTTGACTCTTTACCCAATTTGCCAGTCTGTGTCTTTTAATTGGAGCATTTAGCCCATTTACATTCAAGGTTAATGTTGTTATGTGTGAATTTGATCCTGTCATTATGATGTTAGCTGGTTAGTTTGTTCGTTAGTTGATGCAGTTTCTTCCTAGCCTCAATGGCCTTTACAATTTGGCATGTTTTTGCAGCGGCTGGTACCGGTTGTTCCTTTCCATGTTTAGTGCTTCCTTCAGGAGCTCTTGTAGGGCAGGCCTGGTGGTGACAAAATCTCTCAGCATTTGCTTGTCTGTAAAGGATTTTATTTCTCCTTCACTTATGAAGCTTAGTTTGGCTGGTTATGAAATTCTGGGTTGAAAATTCTTTTCTTTAAGAATGTTGAATATTGGCCCCTACTCTCTTCTGGCTTGTAGAGTTTCTGCCGAGAGATCCGCTGTTAGTCTGATGGGCTTCCCTTTGTGGGTAACCCAACCTTTCTCTCTGGCTGCCCTTAATAATTTTTTCTTCATTTCAACTTTGGTGAATTTGACAATTATGTGTCTTGGAGTTGCTCTTCTCAAGGAGTATCTTTGTGGCGTTCTCTGTATTTCCTGAATTTGAATGTTGGCCTGCCTTGCTAGATTGGGGAAGTTCTCCTGGGTAATATCCTGCAGAGTGTTTTCCAACTTGGTTCCATTCTCCTCATCACTTTCAGGTACACCAATCAGACGTAGATTTGGTCTTTTCACATAGTCCCATATTTCTTGGAGGCTTTTTTCGTTTCTTTTTATTCTTTTTTCTCTAAAGTTCTCTTCTCGTTTCATGTCATTCATTTGATCTTCCATCACTGATACCCTTTCTTCGAGTTGATCGAATTGGCTACTGAGGCTTGTGCATTCGTCACGTAGTTCTCGTGCCTTGGTTTTCAGCTCCATCAGGTCCTTTAAGGAATTCTCTGCATTGGTTATTCTAGTTAGCCATTCGTCTAATTTTTTTCAAGGTTTTTAACTTCTTTGCCATGGGTTCGAACATCCTCCTTTAGCTTGGAGTAGTTTGATCGTCTGAAGCCTTCTTCTCTCAACTCATTAAAGTCATTCTCCATCCAGCTTTGTTCTGTTGCTGGTGAGGAGCTGTGTTCCTTTGGAGGAGAGGAGGTGCTCTGAATTTTAGAGTTTCCAGTTTTTCTGCTCTGTTTTTTCCCCATCTTTGTGGTTTTTATCTACCTTTGGTCTTTGATGATGGTGATGTACAGATGGGGTTTTGGTGTGGATGTCCTTTCTGCTTGCTAGTTTTCCTTCTAACAGTCAGGACCCTCAGCTGCAGGTCTGTTGGTATTTGCTGGAGGTCCACTCCAGACCCTGTTTGCCTGGGTATCAGCAGCAGAGGCTGCAGAACAGGGGATATTGGTGAACAGCAAATGTTGCTGCCTAATCTTTCCTCTGGAAGTTTTGTCTCAGAGGAGTACCTGGCCATGTGAGGTGTCAGTCAGCCCCTACTGGGGGGTGCCTCCCAGTTAGGCTACTCGGGGGTCAGGGACCCACTTGAGGAGGCAGTCTGTCCACTCTCAGATCTCCAGCTGTGTGCTGGGATAACCACTACTCTCTTCAAAGCTGTCAGACAGGGACATTTAAGTCTGCAGAGGATTCTGCTGCCTTTTGTATGGTTATGCCCTGCCCCCAAAGGTGGAGTCTAGAGAGGCAAGCAGGCCTCCTTGAGCTGCGGTGGGCTCCACCCAGTTCGAGCTTCCCAGCCGCTTTGTTTACCTACTCAAGCCTCGGCAATGGTGGGCGCCCCTCCTCCAGCCTCGCTGACGCCTTGTAGTTTGATCTCAGACTGCTGTGCCAGCAATCAGAGAGGCTCTGTGGGTGTAGGACCCTCTGAGCCAGGTGCAGGATATAATCTCCTGGTGTGCCGTTTGCTAAGACCATTGGAAAAGCGCAGTATTAGGGTGGGAGTGACCCAATTTTCCAGGTGCCCTCTGTCACCCCTTTCTTTGAGTAGGAAAGGGAATTCCTTAACCCATTGTGCTTCCCGGGTGAGGTGATGCTTCTCTCTGCTTTGGCTCATGCTCGGTGCACTGCACCCACTGTCCTGCACCCACTCTCCAACACTCCCCAGTGAGATGAACCCAGTACCTCAGTTGGAAATGCAGAAATCACCCGTCTTCTGTGTCTCTCATGCTGGGAGCTGTAGACTGGAGCTGTTCCTATTCGGCCATCTTGGCTCCACCCCTCACAAAGACAATATTTTTAACATGTTTTCTTGCCCTTGGAGCAAAGAACAGCAAAGACTAGTTGACTTAATCTGATTTGAGGCAAAACTCTTGACAGGCATTAGTAACCTGAATGTATATTGCCCTCTTGTGGCCATAGTGTTATCACAGGAATGTAGGTGTGTCCATGAGAAAGAACTGTAGTAATTTGGGGAAACTGTTTGTATAATACTATGGTTGTTATTACGATGTACAGATTTTAATTGCTTCATTGTCCCACCATCAGCTATATACATACATACATAGGTACACAGACACACAACTCTGAATCCTATATTAACAAAAATGTGCACATGAATTTTTGGAAGTTTTCAAACTATAAGTAACATCTAAACAGCCCAGACCCCATGTTTTCTTCCTTGCTTATTTCTTAGGAAAAGGGCTCTTTGACAAGAATTTTGAGGTTTTTGTTTTTGAATACAGTTTTAATCTTATGTTTCCTTTTGGTGTAATCTGGAGCCATGGTTTCCAGACTTTTTGATTTCCCAGAAGAAAATTCCAAAAATATTACAAATGATATTGGTGATTTCAATTATTTTTGTTTTGCCAAATTAGACATTTAAAATAATTAGTTTCAAACTACTATCATCATAATTTCAAAAAATAAAGTGCATTCTAACATTCAGGAAAAAATGTAGGGGCGATGTGATGACTATTGTGGCTTCAGTTTTTCTCCCTAATGGCCATCACAGGTGGGCGGCAGGAGGTGAACATTTAGAAACCACTGAGTGATGGCACAAGCCAGGTGCATTGGGTTATTTTCCAGTTGACTGGTCATTAGCTAAAATTAAGACTGTATTGATATGAGACAAAGCACAGAGTGTAAATGTGGGTCTTCAAGGATTTCTCCCTTTCTACAAAAACCCTGTTTCTCCCTCCTTGCATCTCAGTTTGTACTGCTGTGGGGACTGCCAGTTCACAGGTTGCTATGGGTGTTTTCTCCACTCACACTGCCAGGCCCAGGCTTGGAACTGTCCCTTGGCTTGCCTGATGGCACCTTCTTGATTTCTTCCTCCTGCCCTGGCCACTTCTAGTTAGTCCCTTTTGCAGGCTCAGCATTCCTTGCCAGAGCCCAATGTAATCCCTATGATGATCATTTGAAGGCATGAAGACACCATCACATTCATCCTACGGATATTTTCCAAGCTGAGAACCATCAAGTCTTTCATCTGATCTTTATTCATCATTACACTCACTCTCTAGAGTCCTAGTTGCCCTCCCTTGGATGTGCTCAAATTTGCAGATGCCATTCTCAAGGAGCAACAGCATCAGGTACAACAGACCCTGCCTACTGCCTCCTTTGCTCTGTTTATTACATTCTTACTAATGCAGCCCAGGATTTTTGGGTTGACAAGCACATTATTTTCCATTTTTATTGACTTAATTTAATTGTTCTTCACACATTTCACTGTCAATCTCTTTAATCTCTCCTCGTACCGTTGTTGCATCTTATCTCAATTTTGTAGCTTTGCACATATGTTCATGTTAAACTAGCAAAATTAAAATGGCCTTTAAATTTCTTTCGTCGTGGGCCCCAATTAAATTAACTTTGGGATATCTACCCACTGGGTGTGAAGTTCTATTAATTTCTCAAATTTGCTTCCCTGTTTGGGAGGCTGAAGGAAAATGTGCCTTGAAGAAGATTTCCATAGTTCAGCAGCAGTTTGGGTATTTGACAGAGAACAGAGGAGCTCGGCTTATTTTAAACACTGGAAATTGCCTCATCAAAAGAAATCCTAGACAACAAAAATACTTTGCCTCTCTGATGGAATAAAGGTGTATTTGTTTCCTAGGACTGTTACAAATTATTATAAACTCGGTGGCTTAAAATAACAGAAATTTATTTCTCTCTCATAGTCCTAGAGGCTAGAATCTGAAATCAAATGTCAGCAGGGCCGAGCTTCTCCTGACAGCTCTTGAGGAGGGGCCTTCTGTTTCTTTCAGCTTTTGGTGGCCCCAAGCATTCCCTGGCTTCTGGCTGCACAATTCCACTCTCTGCCTCCATCTCCACGTGGCTGCTGTCTTTTGTAAGACACTTGTCATCAGATTTAAGGCCCACCTGGATAATCTAGGATGATCTCATCTTGATATCCATAATTTAATTATATCAGCAAAGAAGACTTTTTTTACCAAACAAGTTCACATGTACAAGGTCCAGGGAGTAGGATGTAACATTTCTTGGGGGCCCCCATTCCACCTACCACAATAGGCCATCCTATTGCCTCGAGTTACATGGTTACCAAGGATTCTGGGGCTTGGCTATGTAGTCTTAGTTTTAAAGCCCATCAGTCACCACCAGTTACTCACCCCACCTCACAGTTTCTTTTTCTTTTCTTCTGTTGCATCTAGCTTGTTGAATCTCCCTAGGGTTGGTGAAGTTGGATTTTTTGACACAGAAAATAAATTTTCTGTGTGGTCTCCAAACAAGCTATCGGAACTCAATTTCAATTTCTGATCTGTCCTTGTTACTGAGCAGTTGTATTGTGACAGTAAAAGTTTTGTGGGTCTAGCATGAATGACATTATCACTAGGAACATCCTAGGCTGCATATGTACAGAGGCCTGAGAAGTGAATACCACAGAGTCAAGTTTTCACCTGATGTAAATTGTGAGTTTGGTTTCTGGATGGGGAACGTTTATTAGGTATGAGTTTTACAAATATCTTCCCCTCTTCTGATGCCTGTTCTTTCCCCTTCTATCAATTCATCACCTTTTTGAATGGTATTCTTTGAGGAACAGAAATTTGTAATTTTACTGTAAGCAAATATATTTTTATTGTTATGCAGCAAGGAATAAGTTTCAGAAACATACAACATAATAATGCTATGTATAGAGAATTTAAACACAGGCAAAGAAATGCCATATGTTGCTTGGAGATACACTCATATGTAGCAAAAGTGGAAAAAAAGTGCATAGGAATAGAGCACCAAATTCAGGTTGGTGGCAAGAAATGGGTGCAATTCAGGACAGAAACACAAAGAACACTAAAGTTACTATTAATATTTTTGGTTTTTAAGCTGAATGGCAAATTTAAAATTAAAGAAGTTTGGAATTCACTACCTCTTCTCCTGCTGGCTTTTTCTACTTGGGGGGAATGTGTTAACTTATAGAATCATTAATGTCACTTTCAAGCTTAACATCAGTTTTGGCACTGAACATGCAACAACGCTCTCTATCTGTGAATTCTGATGGGGCATGAGAACTGCACCAACTTAATCACTGCTTACTTCTTCTGTGTTATTGGGGAAAATTGTGGGGTATATGGAAAAGGGAAAGAAAGCTTTCCTTTATTGACGTATATTTCATAAAGATTTTCCATTCATAAATATTATATACTGTGCTTCTAGAACAAAAGTTGAAAGTGATCATTTGGTAGTGAATTTTGTAGACAGATATCATTAATTTGTCTTTTCTTTTTCTTGTTTCATTTATCCCCAGTAAACACTCTATGTGCAGTTGAGACATTCTCCTTGGGATGGATTCTTATCTCACAAAATGCTCACATGCCTTTTTCCTGACTTCAGTTGGGAGAAGCAGACTTTCACAAAGAAAATCCCCTCTGAAGGCTGAGCAGAAACAGGTGCCTGTGTCCTCTCTAAAAGTTGTATTTTGGTGCCGTAGTAAATCAAGTCAACAATTAAATGAACACGTATTGAGCACCTGCTTCTGAGGTGCTTAGCACCAGATATGCTCTCTGTCCTCAGGAGTGTTCACTCTGGTTAGGGAAGAGTGAGGAAGGAAGGGTAATATTACTATAGACTAAATGCTTTTACCCACCCAAAATTTGTATATTGAAGCCCTAATCCCCAATGTGATGGTATTTTGAGCTAAGGCCTTTGGGAGGTGATTAGGTCATGAGGGTGGAGCCATCATTATGAACTTAATGCTCTTAGAAGGAGGAACATGACAGCTCTCTCTCTCTCTGTCTTCTCTTCTATGCCCTTCTCTCTCTCTGTCGTGTGAGAAAACTAGAAAGAGAGCCCTTACTAGAACCTGACCATGCTTGATCTCAGACTGTCAAGTCTCCAGATGTCTGTTGTTTTAGACACCCAATCTGTGGTATTTCGTTATAACAACCTGAGCTAAGACAAACATGTACAGCAATTCTTATAAAGGCAGATATGCTAAATTCAAGCTTCCTTCATTTTATTCTCATTTTCTCAATACCTTTCCTCCTTACCTAAGATTAATACCCAGAAGCCAATGCCAACTCTTCTAGTCAAGGGCACTGAATAACTCTCAAGGGCCATTGGGTATTTGCCCAGTGGCTTGTGAGTGACCTGCAGTGCTTCTACTTTCAAAAGGGCAGAGACACAGTGTATCACAACAACTCTAGCAATTCCACACAATAACTTTCTCTCTTCAAAAGGAATTGCTGAAGAGTGAATTGCTCATTGGACAAGTCAGACCCAGCTCTAACTTGGTCAACTGGTTTGCTCCCTGAGAATAACTAGGTGGATTTTCCCATTGGTTATTGCCAAATTGGAAGGATGTTGGTGCGGCTTTAATGATCCCTAGAGTGGCTAAATTGTTTTAGGAAAAGATGGACTGTGGAAGGACTTGCTCATTCTGTTGAGCATTTAAAAGAGATGCATTATCCACAGGTGAGATCATCCTTACCTGTTCCTTCTTTTGGAGGGCAGAGTTCACGATGACTAGAGTTTACATGATATGTGATTAATTCTCTGCATAATCAGGATTTGCAACATTCTGTTTGCTCCTACCTGATTCTTTCTGAAGAAGAAAAGAATAAATTTAAAAATAAGTGTATTATCATGGAGCATTGAGAATCATCCACAAGTGTAACTTTGGTTAATTAAAAATCTTTTGTTAAAAATATACATACATATATAATTATGAAAATCATAATAGTTAAAATAATGAAAATAATAATTAGAATCAAGTACTTGGTTTTAATATATATACAAGCAGGTAAATAACAATTAAGAATAGTAATTACTGAATGCTAGAACCATGCTGAAGTTGTTTCATAGGTTATTTTCATTGAATTCTTACAATAACTTTCTGGGGTGAAAAATATTTATCCACATTTCACAATGAAATAAAACAAGATTCTGGGAAGTTAAATTAAATGCCAAGGGCTGGGCGTGGTGGCTCACGTCTGTAATCCCAGCACTTTGGGAGGCCGAGGCGGGTGGATCACTTGAGGTCAGAAGTTCAAGACAAACCTGCCCAACATGGTGAAACCCCGTCTCTACTAAAAATATAAAAAATTAGCCAGGCATGGTGGCAGGCGCCTGTAGTCCCAGGTCCTCGTGAGGCTGAGACAGGAGAATGGCGCGAACCCGGGAGGCGGAGCTTGCAGTGAGCCGAGATCGCGCCACTGCACTTGAGCCTGGGTGACAGAGCGAGACTCCGTCTCAAAAACAAACAAACAAACAAAAAAATTAGCCAGTCCTGGTGGCACGCCTGTAATCTCAGTTACTTACTTAGAAGTCTGAGGCAGGAGGATTGCTTGAACCCGAGAGGCAGAGGTTGCAGTGAGCTGAGATTGCGCCACTGCAATCCAGCCTGGGTGACAGAACGAGACTCTGTCAAAAAAAAAGAAAAAAAAAAAAAAAGGCCCAAGAGCCTGGAACTGCTGAGTGCTAGAGTTGAGATTTAAACCCAGGCTACCTTACTTCATGTTCATGCTTTGACTACTTCACTTCACTGCCTTCTCCAGAGGATTTCTCCCCAAAGAACCTTGCTTTTGTGCATAGCTCTTAGTTCAGAGGGGCACTAAGGAAGAGAAAATGTCATATTTGCTTATCAAAGAAGTTATTGGGAAATCTAGCCAAATGGGTAAAGAAGTATATCAGTCATGAGGAAAAGAAGAATTGGCAATGAAGGAAACTGGCCAATCTTATCTTCACACTTATCTCTTCATGGGTCCGTGGCTTGCTGTGCCCTCTCCTCGTCCCACTCACTCTTTGCACCGCTGAAGAAATCATCAGTAATATTCTTCAGACTCAATATTTGTTAAGTGCCTCTGTCTTGCAATTAATAATTTCTATGAACATTAATCACTGGATATCTGACATGCTTCAGTTCAAAGACTATGGCCCAAGTGTTTATGAGCCATTTCCATAAAACAAGAAATGGCTGGTTTTACCTGAATAGTTGCCCTTAAATCCCTTAAAAATCACAGGGTGTATGTTTTTACCTGGTTTAATAGATGAAGGACTATAGTTTTTGCTTCCTGATCCCAAATTTCAATGAGTTTTCAAAGAAAGGCTCATAGACATGGCTGTATCCATGCACAAAACTCCGAAGGTATGTTTCTTCATAAGATCACTGTAAGTTGGGGGCTTGAAACCTGAGACAGATTTTAAAAGTCACTCTTCTCCTCCCTTTCTGTTTGACTACTTGTCTTCCTATTTTCTGTCTTATTAATAGTACTAGCTAATATTCCTTGAGTGTTATATTGTACCAGACCCTAAGCCTAGAGGCATGAGCTCTCAGAACAACCCTATGGGATGGGTACACTTGAAAAGATTGCTGCTTAGAGACCTTCAGTCACTTGCCCCAAATGACACAGCAGCAAGTCAGTGGCAGCACCTTTGCCTGAGCTCAGTGTTTCACTCCAGAGCCTGCACTCCCAGTCACTCATGCTGCTGCTCCCCCTCAAAGGCTGGAACTTTATAGCTTTTAGCATTTCTCCTTTACCCCTTGTCTCATTAGTCCTGGGAAGCATTGTTGGGGAGTATGGATTTCACACCCGGCATGAAAGAAAAAGGGCTTCGTGAGTAAAGTGAGAGAAGTGTGAGAACATTCCATGCAATCAGGGCAGCTACTTTGGTAGTTCTAAGGACGTGAACTTTCATCAGCTCTGTGATCCCAAGTTCAGGGACGAGGTGAATGCAGGAAAGGAAAGGGGAGGCGAGGCTATGGGGTTGGACCTAGAGTCATTCGTGTTGACTCCTCCTGTGGACTGTGTTTCTCAACCCTTTAAAGCAAAAATCAACCAAATTCAATCTGCACTTCAAAAAGGTTTTGCAATGAGCCACTCATTTTATTTATTCATTCAGCATGCATCTTGACCCAGCAATTAGATATAAGGTACTATGCTTAACATGAGAAATATCAAAAGGAATAGAACGTGTGCCCGACATAAAGGAGCTGTCACCCAGTGAGGATGGTGAACGGAAGGGCAATGTAAAGTGATAACAAACAGCATGGCTTAGAGAAGGAAAGGAAATGGGTTGACATCTGCAACCCAAACACACAAGCTGCGTAATCACAGGCAAACCATGTAACTCCTCTAACCCTCAGTTTCCACATCTATACAATTTCACACTTATGAATGGGGGGATTGGAAATAATGCTTATGAGATATATCACAGAGTTCCTATCATGGTATCCAAAGTCAACAACGTTAGCTGTTATGGTCATTATGTCAAGAAATAGTTGCCTTTTATTATAAGTCCTATAATGGAGGTACATTTTATCATGGAAAACAAATTCTGCGATGATAAGGAAGATGTCCCAAAGCATCAAAAGATTTGATACAAGATGTAAATAATTATACGTTTGACAGGCAAACAAAATGGGAAGTGAGAGGCATTCTAGACAAAAGCAATAGCTTCTGCAAAGGCAGAAGGATTGAAGTGGATGATTGTGTTGTGCTCAGGGGTTGGCAGTTTGGGGGAAGAGTGTGGAAAAAATGGAGAGGGAGCCTGCAGCAGGACCTCGTGAGTCCTGTGGTCCTCGCTGAGAAGTCTCTTTCCTAGCAAGTCCCTGGAGGTCATGGAATGGATAAAGTTGCAATAGTATCTGCTACACTTCAAAAAAATTGATGGAAATAATTTTAGGTTAACAAAGAAGATTTATAAAACCACAAAGATTGTTATTTTCCAAAAGGAAAGCACCCTATGGCAACACGCTTTGACTGTTTGCCAAAGGATAAAATATTTTCCATGGTGAGAGAAAGGAGAAGGCTGAAGGCTAAATGATCATTCTGCTAAATATATCAATTCATTGTATTCTTTCCTGTATTAATTGTATGATCTTTCTCCAGTTGATTTCTTACACCCAAAACACAAGAAAAATTTAAACCTCAGCAAGCAAAACAAGAATGACATTTGATGCACTGTGCCACTTTCCTGAGTTGCCTTTGGAAAAGGATGTGGCAGTGAGCCCAGTGAAAGTTGTTCTGGCTGAACCACTCAGATTTTTTTTTTTTAATGAAATCCACAAAGATCTTAACACTTGCAGTGTTTCTACTGTTGTCACTCCCTCATGCCAATAGCTTTGGATTTTAAATGACTTGTAAATGAAATACCAATTTGGGAGGCCAAAAAATAATCCTGTGAGTGCAATATAATATTTATTCCTAGTACAAAGTGACCTCCCATAAGGAATATGAATCTCTTTGATGTTCTTGCAGTGTTGGCATGAAAAAAGGGGCAGGCTGTTGGCTACTGTTGTTTATCAGTACTAGAATCCATTTTGGCTGGAAGATGTAAGAGGAAATCACTGAAAAATATAAAAGAGTGAATAAATGAAAATGGGGTTTTTCTTGTTGAATTTTCAACTTAAATTAGGATATATCCAACATTTTTTTTACATTAAGTATATGTTGTTTAGCCCTTATGAAAACTTTCTGAAAAGTGGAAGGCTAGCCTTGTGAATTCCATGCAAGGAGCACAAGTGAATTGTATGGTACTTTAGGGTCATTTTATCAGACTCAAATGATGAAATACTCATTCTACCCAACCGCAGGCCTAAATGGTGGTAGGGTGGCAATCAGCCTGCCTGTGCTTTCCAAGACACTCCCAGAAGATGTTCTTATTACTTTCCTTTTGATGCAATTATGATGAAGATTAAGATGATAACTTCTATTTGCTGAGCAACGACCACGTGCCTGGTCTTGTGCTTGGGTTCTTTACATGTATGTCATTTAAGCCAGACAACAGTCCTGCCATGGGAACTTGGGTCATATTTTGGCGCTTTCTTCTGAGAGGAGAGTACAAGAAACGCTCTGGCTGGTGGCTCTGACCTCTCATTAAATGAGATTTGGGCTGTCAAGGAGTCACTATTTAAAAGGGTTGTTTTTAAGACACATGAAAGTCATCTTATTACCTTAACCCACCAATATGAATCTCCAGATTCTGCCTTTCAGATCTAAGGCAATAACCTTAGCACGTAATGAGTAAATGCTGTACTTAAATCCTCACAATCTTGTTTTTTGGGGGCACATCTGATACAAGAGTTGTGTTTTTGAAACCGACAAAGAGTTGTAAGAGCTTATTTCTGACAGCAGAGGGCAGCCTATGCCTGTGAAAGCAATAAAACTACTCCCCCGCCCCACCCCCCTGGCAACCCCACCGATCCAGAAAATACGTGAATTTCCACCCCCTTCTTTTTGTTACATTTTTCTGAAAACTCATCTAAATTTAAAATCGTGTTGTTAGATAAGTCTTGGTAGAAAATAATCTTGAAAAAGATTATCTTTGATAAAATAAAGCCTGCTATGGAACTTTTGACATGGTCATTCCCCTGGAGAATGATTCTATCAAAAATAATAAATTCTACTTATTTTATTTTTTGCCATAGACTTTTTTAAATTATAAAAAACATCAAACATGTAAAAAACACAAAAGAAATTAAAACAGATAAAGAAGAGTACCTATCACTTGCAGATATGAAAGCAAATTGTATTAGATTTTAATTTGCATTTTCTAAGCACTGGAAAACTTGCCTTATTTACTAGCAAAATCTGATTGAAAGTGGTAAATGAAAGAGGCACAAACTAGATATCAAAAGTTTGCGGCTGTCATCTTTTGCTGCTAACTCGTTGAAAGGTCTTGAAAACATTGCTTTAACTGCATAACAAAGAACATTGTTGAATCAGACAAGATACATTTTTAACCTCGATTCTGTCTGCTCCTTGCTTTATGTACCTTGGAGAAGTTGCTAAACCTCTGCAGCTCTCAGATTTCCCACATATGGAATGTGGATTAACAACCTTGCCCACTTCCTAGGGTGATAAGGATTCCAGGTGAATCACTATAAAGCATTGATCACAGTATCTGGCATCTTATGAATGTACCGGGGTAATAGGAATGCCTTGGCTTCCTTCAGCTTCTTCGTGGTTGAAATGAGGGAAGCAGAGGAAATCTCTAAGTTCACTGTCAATTAAAATGCTAAATTTTATTGTTAATACCCATATTGATCTAGAGATATTGAATCAGAGAATCCTATACTTTAGATGTCAGTATACTTCATCTATATACAATCCTATACTTCAATGTCACTGAAACAGACATTGATGGCAGATGGTATAAACCTGCCTTCCTTTTCTGGTTGGTAGTAAAATATCTCTATGGCCAAAAGCTGACGGCTTTAACTATATCATGTTCTTCCATGTATTCCCCCCCCAGTTCTTTTATGAGTAAGGGCTATATTTCTCTGTACAATTAAATTCCATCAGAATCATTTATTGGGTGCCTAAAATGTATAAGGCATTTGTTAACCATTGGAGGAGAAAGACGAATGAGAAACAAATTTTCCCCATAATGAGATTATCACCTGGTAGAGAAGAATATGATATGATAACAAATAATCAGAATGTAAGAAAGCATGTGGTGATGAGTGCTGTAAGTAAAATTAACTCTGAGAGGACAGAGAAAAATACTAATTAAGAGTCTGTACAAACTAGCCTTCAAAGGCGTGTGGAATTTGGATAGGATGAGATGGGGTGGGAATGAGGGTTTGAGGAGAAACATTCTAGACAGAGAGAAGGGTTCAAACACTGGCAAGGTCATGTTTGTCATCTGGACTGGATAGAACAGTTTTAGGATGCGATGTGGCAGGAGAAAGGACTGAAGAGATGAAGGGCTAAATTGTGAAGGGTTTTGAATACCAAGTTTAGGACTTTGGGCTTTATGAGGAGTAACGAGAACAATGGGACAAGACAAGATGAGACCAATGCTTTAAAGGGCAGTGTATGGAATGAACTGGCGGTGGAAAGAAAGTAGGGATGGGGGACTGTGTCAGTGGGTAACCTCAGTGGTCTATATGAAGGTGTGACAGACATGAATGAAGACACTGGTGGTAGAAAGAGGGTAAAGATGTGAGAGAAGTTAGATAATGAATCATTCATTCATTCCACCTTTATGAAACACCTGCTCTGACCAGGTGCCAGCCTTATATGGAGAATTCGAAGGGAAGTCCAAGATCCCTGCTTAGGGGTGGTTGGGTGTATAATTTAATCACTACTTAGATTTGCAAGGATACAGTCGTGGTGGGAAGGTGTGGCTAATGAGGAAACAGGAAAAGTGAAAGACACTAATGCCGTTAATAGAGAATGCCAATGTCAGAAAAGAGGACAATTTAAGGGTGAAAGATGAGATAATTGTAGAATGGAATTCGGCATTTAAACCTCAGATAGTAGGTGAATGAACACATGTGGAAGAATCAAAGAACACACGAACACGTGAATGAAAGAACAGAGGAATGGGAACTTTGCCGCCCTCCCTGATTTTGGGTACCCAAATATTCTTCCTTTGTGATGAAATCTCTCTAACTGAGCAAATCAGTCTCTGAATATTCTAAAACATTTTTATAATGAGGAGCAAAGAAAGGAAGAAAACAAGACTGTGGCCTAGGAGTTAAGTCTATAGACCTGTACGGCAAAGAGATGCTAAGTTATGTTTTACTTCTGATGCTGTGCTAAAACTGTGTGTATGTATGTGTGTGAGAGAGGGCAAAAGAGACAGAAATGCTTCGTGTTGGACTACTTTATTTAGCCATTTGATTTGTAATTAGAGTATTTCTCCCCATAAAGTATTTTTAAAATCACATTTGTTTTATTATAGCACTCTTGAATTTTTACATTCATCAATGTAGGTTTTCCCTCAAGAAAGCCCTAGAGGTCAAGAACGAAGATTCTTACCACACACAACAAATTCACAAAATTCACCTAGTCTGTGCAAACTGAAGGCCTTGAGGATTGAGTCAAATGTGTCCACAGACACGGACTATGATGTTCTCATTTGGGAACTCAGGATCTCAGGACTCCATGAGTTGCCCACTGTACCTTCAGAAGACCTTTCAAAGAGCAAGCCTGACCCCGCCACCATGGGTCTTTGAGCAGCACCATGGACTTCAAGGTCATTTCCCTCAGAATCACTCAGGCTGTGATGTGATGGCATTGGCGGAGCCCAGTCAAGGCACTGACAGCCTGAGGGGAAGCCACTCCTGGCTGTGAAGCTTCCAGTAGTGGTGAAATATTTGGGAGGATTCAAGTCATGTCCTGATGGTCTTGTTTGAAGACTACAGTGTTTTACACCATAATTTGTTTTTAAATGGAAGACCTGCAGGGTCATCTCACCTAAACGTCCATCCTAGAGAGAAGCTGACGGTGAGGCTGCTGCACCAGATGGCGGCCGTGGGGAGTGATCCTGTCACAGCAGGTTCCACTGGAACAGGATTCTCTGGCCACCTCCAGGGTAGAGATGCTTATCCCAGGAGAAGAGGACATGGGACAAGAGGCCTCTATGGACCCTTGCTCTTTCAGTTGTGCAAATGGGCTGTTATTTCTCCTCTCTTACCTTGTTCAGGAATGAGATTAAGATCCGGACCATTCTGGAGCTGGGCCTTCTGTTTATGTAGCATTGAGTTTGCAGGGTTAAAGCTGAAGGAATCTCCAAATACAGTCTATAGCCACAGTTCCAATCTTTGTCCATGAATCTCATTTCTGCCATATTTTGTTGGACATAGATCTCTGGCTTGTCATTAAACATACAAGGGATTCCCGTTACTCTCACAGTGGCAGACAGAGACCACACATTCTAATGATGGACACCATTACTTTTATAGAGGCATGAAATTAGAAAAGTCTATGGTACACAGCAGGCAATACCTAGTTCCAGCAATGATCTCTATTTTCAGTAAGAAATACCTAGGTTCCAGATCATTCTGCTACCAGATTATCAATGTTGTCCAGAGTAAGCCATGTGATCTCTGTGGGCTTCTGTCTCTTCATTCATAACGAGATGGTTAGAATAGATGAATTTTTCAAAGTGCTTTTCACAGACAACCTGCATCAGAAGTTTACAATGTTGTTTACAAGGTAGACTTCTGGGCCCCACTCTGATAGCTCGTCAGCATACCTAGAAATATGCTGGGAAACATGTGAGGCCTTTTGTGATACACACAACCCACGGAGAACCTTGGACAGGCTGGTCTCTGAGGTTCCCTGAACTAACCTATTAATAAGGCAGATTTGACTTGAGACAAAAATACAAAAGTAATCTTGGACAGGCTTTGGTTCTCCCCACTCCCTTGGGGAGATCACCCCACAGTGATATTTGGCATGCTTTATCCTCTACCTCACTATCATTTCCCTCATCCTGTATATTCCCAGTGTCTAAAGCCCAGTCTCTTGGAGCTTACTCTCTTTTCTTGCCCTCACTAAGTCTAACCAGCTTTGGCTTCAATGATATCCTCACTCTCTGCATCTTCCAACATGTGCAGAGGTCAAATCACTAGAATTGTTTTGGAAACTGCAAAGGGTTATGGAGATAGGATAGCTTCACTTCAGAATTTATCCACTTCAGAATTCCAGTGGAAAGAGAGCCAGGTGAGAGTGCCCTCAAGCTAGAACCCTAACTCTCTCCAGAAGAAATGTCAGTTTTCTAGAGACAGTGGCTAGTCCAGGAAAATGATTCCTCTTGGGGAATCTAAGACCAGCTGGAGTTGGGGAGGGCAACATCTTGGCAGATGAGTGGGGTAACCATTTTTTCGAAGACGTGACTTTTTGAGGTTTCTGAAATCTTATCAATTGGTAGATGTTTCCACACAAGGTTTTATAGAGAAGAGATTCAAGTAAAATACCTTGAACCTTGTGAAGAAACTCAAAATACCTAGAGACCAATCCAAATCTTTAACAACGTTTCCTAAATGCCTCAGCTTTGATGCATGTGAAAGTATGGGGATTTCCAGTATTCTAACTAAACATCTTTTCCAAGTGTGCAATTCTCACCTGTTTTTTTTTTTTTTTTTCAGAGTTTTTCAGACTACAAGACTCTTGCGCTAGAGATTATTTCTTCCTGTTTCACAAAGATGTAGGACTTGATTATAAGAGTGAAACGTTCACTCTGGAATTCTCTGCTGAGACTCCCTATTAAGTTGCCTATGGCATTCAATACAATCCTACTAATTTAAGAGAACTCAAAGGATCCTGGTGAGCAGCCCAGTCACCAGGATCTCAAGATTATTTTCTTTTTACTTAAAGCAAAAACAAGAAGATATGATTGTCTTAAAGTATGGACCCAGCCTGTTTGGTGAATGATGTTGGTGGGGTTGGAACAAATTCATCCCACCCTTATTGGGAAATGCTACTGGGATAACTCTGGCTCACAGGGTGTAAGAAGGACACATGTAAGCAGGTAATCACAGGTCCAAGGAAATGACTCTATTCATTTCATCCACTAAATGTATTGCATCGATAACAACAACAGCATCAATATAATAGCACAATATAAGCAACAGCTAACATTTATTGGGTGCTTGCTCTGAACTAAGCTTTTAATACATCTAACCTCATCTAGCATCATTTAATAGTGGATACTTTTTATTTATTCATTTGTACAAAGGGAGAAGCTGAAATTTAGAGAAATTCAACAACAGCGAAAATCAGCCAGCTATTTAGTAAGTGATGGAGGTTGAACTCAAACCCAGAGTCCATATTCTTACAACAGTAGAAAGTACAGCTAACCCAAATCCCACTACTCAGAAGTCACTATTTCTAACCTTGCTGCTATGTAGATTTCCAGTTTCCTCTATGAACATTATAGAAAAAATTTATTATTATATGTACAGATATATATTTATATGTACATATCTTTTGTAATCTTTTTAATTGAACAAAAATTAGCCTAGAAATACTTCTATGTAAGCAGTTTTGATGACAGACGGTATTACAATCTGGCCACTCCAAGTCTGCCCAAGTCTAGGCAGCACAGTGCTTATCCAGCGCAATGCCCACAGAGCACATGAGGCAATGGTTTTCTAAGGGCACAGCCAGGCACCCAAGCAGATACCAAGACCAGAAAGTCCGACGGCTTTGAAACCTATTCCAGCACATTCTCACATTCCTATATTTTACACACAAGGGTAATGAGCCCAAGAATTACCACCCTCGATTTTCAGGGGAGTGAAAAATGAAGGGTTGTTTTCCAAGTAATGCGACGCCAGGGAGTTAGCTCAGCCATCAGCAATGCCAGGCCTTCACCAAGGCCCGCGCCACCCCCGGCTCCTTCTCACCAGTAAATGTCGCGGTGTGCCCCAACCCCAGGAAATCCGTCCTCCTATAGGATGTGTAACTGCAAGAGCAAAGGAGGCTTTGTTGGCTTGTGGTTTCCTCGGCTTTCAGAATGTTGAGCACGGCCTGTGCGTTGGCAGCCACAGAGCTCAGGAGAAACCGCGGCGGGTGGAATTGATTAGTTCCTGTTGGTCCCCTTCTTCCGCCAATATCAGTACCTGTCTCCTGATGAATAGGCACAGGAACACACTCCAAACACAGTGTTCTCAACAGCAGGCAATAAAACTGTGCTTTGACCCACTGAAATAAATTGCACCAAATGGAGTTATTGTTTCCATTTATTATTTATTAGTCATGTCCTGTGGAATGGTTAGTGGAATAAATATATATTTTTTCCAATGGAACATAAATGTACCTCCAGAGAAGAGTAACTTCACAATCTGATGGAATAACAATCACAGAACAACTCTTCTTCCCAGCTGGGGCCAAATTTAATTATCTCTACCCTGAGCAAAATCCCCTTTGCAGGTTAACATATTTCCTTTGTCATTCGATCTTTCTTTTCTCAGTCCATACCTCAAGTTGTTTCTCTCTTCTGTCCCTTCCCCTTCTGGCCGCCACAACATGGCTCTCCAACAGCCCCGCCAGATGCCACAGCTAAAGAAGCATCAGAAGGCCAGATAGGTTCTAAGGATGCTGAGTGGTCCAGGAGTGGGTTTTGAATTGATTTTAAAGGATGGCCACTCAATACAATATTTTGTTTGAAGTAGGAAGAAATGTGTCAGTTAATGACAAGTTATTTATTCAGAGTCACTATGTTATTAAGATGTCTGAAAAGCATAATGAGAATTTGATTAATTTGGCTCACCCCTAAAGATGACCTGGAAGAATATGGAATCATTTATATTTATTATCACTTAGCATACATTGTTCTTGAAATTGAGTAGATATAAATAGTAGTATTAACGATTAATCAAGTGGTTAAAAAAAAAATTCTTTAACCATAGAAGACTCTGCATTGAGGAAGGACTCATTAGTTTCCCAAATCATTTTGCAATTAAAATAACTCATGCAATGCCATTTTTCGTGTTCTATTTTATTTAACGGTTATAAGAATCAGAAGTACCTTAAAAATGTAGGCGTTTGTTCAGTGGTGGCCTCCCCCATGAGTCTAGTGGAATAATGCTGAGCTGCCTCCTAAGGTCCATAGAGCTTCTATTGACCTCAAACTTCAATAACAAACTGTTTTTAGCCCAAGTGAGCTTTCTAAAGGATTGTCAACCCCCTGCTTAAACATGTCAATGTCTCAGTTTGGCCATGAGGATAAAGTACAAACAGAGCATGGCTTAAAGCAGGGATGCTCAATCTTTTGGCTTCCCTGGGCCACATTGGGAGAAGAATAATTGCCTTGGGCCACGCATAAAATACACTAACACTAACGATAGCTGATGAGCTAAAAAAAAGTCATGGCCACATTCAAAACCATGCTTGGCTTAAAGCATTCATCTCTATCTGGCCCCAGTTTATCTCTCCTGCTACTTCCCCTCACTCTCTGCTCTCCAGCCAGACCATAAACTATCATGGATCTTCTGACCATGGGGTTGGCAACCATGCCTGGGCTCAAGCACAGGCTGGCCCTCCCGGCTGCAACCTGCAGTCTCTCACTCCACCCCCTAGCCTACCTATTCTTAAGTATTCACTGAGAAGTCACTTCCTAACACATGCCTTTCCTGACCACAGTAGGTTCTCCTATATGGCACTCCCTTGGCACCTTGAGGCTCCATCAGTTGTAGTTACTGTAATACCTGTCAGAGGGCCACCTCCCCTCATTCTCTGGCCACCTCTCTCTACAGCGACTTCTCTGCTTCACTTTTAGCTCCACTTCTGGTCACTATTTCCTGCAACCCTGGACCACTCTTTCCTATGGCAGATGCCTCTCACTTGCATGGGCACTAGGGGAGTGGGAAACCATGGGATGTGGCATAATTCTTTATTCCCCACATAGAAGGGTACATGAGAGTATTTGAATTTATGAAGAATTTACAGAGGTGTTAGAGGGTTATCTCATAGTAACAGAAGCAATTTGTAAATCCAATGATTAAACATCCCCGGACTAAAAGTCCTTTGGCCTCCAACCCTTGCAGGAAATGTCTCACTTTTCTCTGGGAAGGCTCCAGTCTCCTTTCATGGAGTCGGACTGCTTTCTCTCATTGCCTCTTCCTCATTGTCTTCCTTTCCCCGTTGAAATCCCAGTTTCTTTTTTCCTTTTATTTTAAAAGGATGTCTTGTTAGTCAGAGTGATCCTTTTCAAACACAGTCGTGATTCCATCTACTCAAAACTCTGTGTCTCACTCAGCATAGAAGTCAAATCCTTACAGGCTGGTGAGTTCTGAGCACAGGGAGTTATCACCTCTCAGGCCTCACCTTCCACACCTCCCTACATTACTCCCTCTACTCCAGATACTTGTCTCCCTGCTATTCTAAGAGGTGAAGGCTTGCATCCACTTTAGATGTTTGGGCTGGTTGGTGCCTCTTCCTGAAACACTATTTGTAAAATTGCTGTATAACTAATTTCCTCACATCCTGCATGGCTTTCCTCAAATGTATCCTTTTCAGTGAGTCCTACACTAACCATCCTTAATGAACACACACACATATGTACACTTCCAGGATTTTCGCCCTCTAAATTATTGTCTATGGTCATCTGTCTCCCTTCACTAGATTGTAAGCTCCATGGCAACAAGATGTTGGGATTTGTTTACTGATAGGTCCCAAGGGTTAGGAGGGTCTAGAATATAGTAGGCTCTCATTTAAATACGTGTTCAAGGAATAGGCTCCTGCTAGCTCATTACTTTTTTCTCTCCTCATCCTTAAGGTGTTTTTTCTAAATAAAGGCAGTTCCAGCCCTAAGTGTATTAGCTAATAACTTTGTGTATCTTTCATAGCCTATTCTATTGAAATTGCCTATTTGCTCGCTTATAATCTTCACTATACTGCCTTTAAGTTCTTTGAGTTTTGGGAACTACAGATTTTATTCATTGCTGAGACAGCATCTCAATAATGCTTTGCTTGGTTTATAACAGATCTCACAAAAAATGTTAAGCAAATAAATATCAGTGCTTGACAACTGTATGATGCTTTATTAGTACACAGAGAACTTTAATCCTCCCATGGGGAATAATATCATTCCCATTTTAAAACTAAGGAATTCAAAGCCCAGTGAATTACAATAACTAATCCAAGGTTATGCAGTAAGGAGCAACCTGGAGCCTTTTGCCTCTAAATCTATTTTTTCCCATGACCTTGAATTGCTCCCCCATTCTTGGATTCATTATGTTCCAGGTACTCTAACTCTATTTGTTGCTATATTGAAACAATGCTAGAAGGAATGTTTGTTAAGTCCACTAGTGTCAACATCAGAAACTTTAGGGAGGTGTATTAGACAAATCATGTAATCACATGTCCTGGGGCAGGTGTTCATGAGGTGGTCTCTGATGTGGGCTGATGCCTGTTATCCTGGAGCACTCACATCCCTGAGGACAAGGCTATGGTCCCTGAACTTCCTATTTCATAAGATTTGACTCTTGGTCAATATCTAGCAATTGCTCATCAAAAATTTACTTTATGTGGGAGAGGTGTACATCAGTAGGCACTTTCACATTAGCAAAAAATAAATTAGTTTATCTGACTTTGGGGGGGATTGGGTGTCATTTCTAAGACTTTTCCTACTTTTAAACAATATTATCTGATACCATAAATACTTCTTTCTATAAACACATTCATTTCATTTCAATATTCCCTTTGCTTTTATTTTTCTTCAGATATGTTAAAGAAAATTTCAATCACGTTTTCTTATTTATTTACACTTTGCAGATCAACATATTACTTTTTCATGGTTCTTTGGTATCCAAGTGACATCCTCAAGACTGTGTACCAGGCAATGGCAGAGTCAGGATTCCAGGACATAAACACTGAACATTTAACCATGGCCCTTAAGAAACAGCTATTTGGAGTGTTAACTCCATGGGAGTTAGTTGGCTTCTGCTTGGAGATTTTCTCTGCACTATCCAATGCTACCAAAATGTTCATTTTATTTCCCTGACTTGAAGTAGGAATCAAAGCAGCAATTTTCATCTCTAAGACAAGAGCAGGATTTTAAAACATGGATTTAAATATAGAATTAGCAATTACCAGCACTGCTCATTTTAGTGTTTGTTTCTTTGATGTGTCATTCACATTTAAGCACTACAGCTATTAAAGGTAGACAAACCTTTTGTGTGTGTCTCCTTGAAGCACTCAACCCATAGAAGTGAATTACACAGTGCAGATTCGAGCTGAGAAGTTTATTCTCCAAAGCATACTTAGGTATTCAAAACATTATAATCATAGGATTTTATTGATTGCTGAATGTTTCCTATGTTCTCCAAATGGGATCATTTATGGAAAATAAAGCAAATTTCTTCTCAATTGCTATGATTTCTTTCAAATATTGGCCCACATTTCTTTATGAGTACAAAGATATACACAAGCCAATGTCCTTGTATATGTTGGTGGGAACTATGAAAGGGAGTTGGTTGTCTTAATGCAACAGAGAGGGTGAGAGATAACACTGGAACGAGTGGTAAGAAAGTGAGTGGAACAGAATCCAGCATGAGAAGACTAGGAAGGAAAGTCCCGAGATGCCATCAGTCAACTGCATGGGCTGATGAAATGGCTCCTGGGGTGGGACAAACAAACCATTTAGTTGCAAAGACAAGGCCACATACACCAACCATTTCTTTGATCATGCCATTCATTTTGTCTACCACAAGTTACTGCAAACTCACACATAAAACTACAATGAGTCTATTATGTAGACATAGTCTCAGTTATTTTATCCTGTAATAAACTTTGAATGCCTCTTAACCAAAATAAACCCTCATGGATATATTTGAATAATTATAGATGCTTTAGGAATAGGAAAATTATTTTTAAAATATTGAGTTAAATAGTTTAATGGAGCCTAGGTATTCTTCCCACATGTTAATTATACCCCATGCTAAATATGCATTGAAAGAGTGTTTGCCAGGTAATATACAGATGCATGAAATATCTCATGGGGCCAACAATAATTATTTTTCTGAAGGTTCTTGGGCTCCATTTTATCTCTCAAGATAGATCTATAAATCTGATGGCAATTTTACTATATCAACTGTATGAAGCTCTTAAATAAATGTAAGGAAAAAATAGGGTATTTAAAATTTCATGTCAATGTAAACAACTGAGTGCATCATAGCAAAGACAACTTTACATCAGTGTGAATGCCAACACGTGGAAGCAATTAATAGAAATATTTTCAGAGAGAAATAAAAGCATATCTATGGTCATTGCTGAAATGCATTAAACAAGATGAACTTTTTGGAGAAAGTGAAAAAATAATATTTGCTAAAAAAATACAAGCTTTTGGCAGGTGTACAGCAATGTGTAATACTAGTGTTTCCGAGTTTCCAGTCTTTCAATCGTCTTTATACATGAGCACCTTGGAAACGGCGGATTCCTATTCAAATCACCTTAAATTCAAGGACTGCATTAATGTCGGTTGGCCTCCTTGAAGAATTTTCCTAGAATGATTGTGCTGTCTGGAATTTTATTTATTTGTTTTCAAAATGAAGATAAAAGAATTCAGAGCTGGATATGGATCACACAGTACATATGCCTTTTAAAAAATTATTTGCTGAAAAGTTATTCACATTCCAAAAAAAGCAGAATTGCCCCCACCCCATTTCTTTTACTCCTTAAGCCCCAAATGACCTAAGCTTAAAGATACTTGAAAAATAAAGGTCTCCAGAGGATACGCAACGTGTGGAATGAATTAAGAGGAACCACAATGGCACTAAAGTTAATAATTATATAGTAAAAGAATGAAAAGTTGGCATGCTTCTGAAGTTAACATAACAAATAGGGAATATGTAGGGAACACTCTTGGCCAAATTTAGGATGAACTAAAAAACAGAAAAACTGAACTAGAATTGTACCTATTTTGTATATTTGAGGAAAGATCTAAATAAATATATATATATATATATAACGCATGTCACAAAAGCTGTTGGACATTAAATGACCCTTAGAAAATAATATACTTATGATTCAAATGTAAATGAGTCAGAAACATATGGATTAGATTTCCCTTAAATGTATTCAAATATTGAGGGGGGCACTTGGCAAATGTATTGGAAGCTTTTCAAAACTATGATGTCTAAATGTATGCTTGAAAACTTTTAGGAAGCCTAGATTCTCCCAAAACACAGGGATTGGCTTAGGCAGGTAGATCCTATAGTCATAGAAGATTTAAACCATTTCTTTGACAATGGAAGCCTGTGCCTTCATGTAAGAATCATTTACCAATACTCAACTTGAAATTCTGGAGATTTGTCTGTAAAGCAAAAAATTAAAAATCTCATCTCTAAGTGGACACAGCAAAACCAGTTTTTGACATTAAATTCTGAATATCTGATTATGCATAGACCTTTCCAAAATGTAATATACTTTCAGGCTTTTGATAGACATAGTGAGCTATTGGGTTACTCTGCACTATGCAATCACTATGGGTGGGATTGAAAGTATTTACTGGCCTGTAATGCACAGACCCCATATTCAGAAGAAACACTGGTGTCTCAGCACATATTTGTTGAATGTCGGCCCTAACAGGAGCAATCGTTTTAGAAGAATAAGTTCAATAAAGGTAAATGAAATATCCTTTGAAACTCTGGAAATAAAGTTGCATGGGAGCTGTCAGTTTCCTGCAGTAACTCATTTTGTTAGAGACTCATGGCACCATGGCTAGGACATGATTTGAACCAGCAAGTTGTGCCCCTGATTCATGTTCTGGATTTCATTCAAACTCCACCCATTGTCCATGAATTCCCAACCCTCATCACAAGGTGGTCCAGGCAAGACTGTGAGGGGTCAGAGCACATTCAGCCCCGTTGCCAGAAAAATGGATCAAGATTTATGGGCCACAACCACAATATAAAGGACAGATTATTATTTATGTAAGTCTGTGATTATCTGTTTTGGCTCTCATTTCACTACAAGATCTTTTAACCTATTTCTTGATGATGCTGGCGTTCATAAGAATTCTTTCCCAATCAACTCACTTTTATTTTATCTGGCATGAAACAATAAGGCTTATTAGAGTGTTCACTGTATCATGACTTTATATGCATTTATTTTTTTTCATCTCTGCAGAAACTGTCAGAATTGAGGCTCTTGTCTGACTTTCAGGAAAATGTGTGTATCTTCATGTGTGAATAAATACAGGATCCTAATATTTTCTTTTAAAATATTCATGGATGTTTGAATAGTTCAGATTCATTTTTAGGCTTTCTTTTTCACTGGAAGAAATTCTCCCCAAAGAAATTTTGCTCTATACTTTCTCCATGACAGATGAGAGACTAAGTCTTTATAAGCCAATGGTGAAATGCCTTCGCAAAAACAGCAAAAAAAAAGTATAAAAAGTTTGGAGGTGAGACAAGCAATTTTAGAGCTGCATAAATCAACTTTGTAAATATAAAACTCTTCCTTGATATCTAATGATAACTCTAGGTAGAGAAAAATTAGCACAGAATAACTCTATTTTGAGGACCTACTGCTTGTTTCTTGTTGGGGAGAATATCAATTTCCGGGACTTAACATTGAGATGTGAAAATGAGAAAAAAAGTTTGTAAAACTCCATCTCAAAATAAAAGACAGTTGTATTTATGTATTATTAAAATATATACTTAATAGATGAACATATTTGTGGGGTACATGTGCTGTTTTAATACATTCATATAATTTATAAAAATCAAATTGTATTATCTTTAATATTTTTCTTTATACTAAACACATTTGAATTATTCTCTTCTAGCTATTTTGAAATATACTATAGAATATTGTAAACTATAGTCACCCTACTGATCTATCAAACATTAGGTCTCATTTCTTCTATCAAACTGTATATTTGTACCCATTAAGCAACCTATCTTCATCCTTTCTCCCCACTACCCTTCCTGGCCTCTGGTAATGACACACATTATACAAAACATCCAATCTCATGAGAGGTATTATTTATTAAGTTCTAATATATATCCGACGCTTAGTAACTGCTTGATCTACAGGTCAACTGTGAGGTTCTTGCACAACTTAAGCAATCTCTACCACAGTTCCCTAAATCATAATTGGATAATAATAGTACTACTTTATAAAGTGGTTTTGAGGATTAAATGAGGTAATGAATGTAAACTGTTTTATATAGTGCCTCTCTCACAGTAAACGTTCATCAACTGGGAACTCATGTTATCAGTACAATGGCCCTCTTAAAGGAAGGTAGTCCAGGCTTTGAGATGTTAAAGTAACAAGCTTGTCAAAGTGGCACCACTGCCATATCTGCCTGTCCCCAGAGTTTATACTCTTCACTCCTAAGCTATGCTGTCTCCCTAGTGTGCATGCAAATGTATCTGTTCGGAAATTTTCCTACTTGTTTCCTACCATGTTGTTAATGTCTTCTGGGTTTTATTTACACAGAATCAAAAAGATAATTTTTGGTTCTATTGGTAAGAACATGTGCTTCTTCTTTCTCCTTGTTCCAAAGGTAAATATTCTAAAACTGGTGAGTCCTTATAATTATTTCACCCAAATATGATTCTATGTAAGTTTAAAATATTTCCAGGTAAATGTTCAGCTCAATATTTTAAGGTTGTGCCGTGGAGATCATGTTCTGCACCAGTGCAGATTTCAATGAAATGGACCATGCAATTTTATAATCATGCATATATCTGATTTACCTGAAACCTCATTTAGTCTCTGTGGAAGCAGCAGCTAACATCTGGCTTTACTTTGAAAGTCCACAAAAGGGTCTTATATGTGAGTCCACCATATAACGTCATCCTAGCCATAATCGAGCATGCAAGAGGAAACTTAAGAGTGTCCTTTCATGGAAAATCTGTGTGGCTCTAATATTCACTTAGTGAAGATGCCTTCAGAGAAGGAGGTACAACTCTTTCAGTTTGGAAAAGAAATGTCAACTTAGAAAGGCACAGTGTTTTGAATACACCCTCAATTCACTCTAGGGACCGTGGTTCTCCACTGGGTTTGAGAACAGTGTTGGTATTTTATTGTTTGCTTCCATGTGGTTCTGGCTGCTATGGGAACCACCACTTTGGTATTCTGATGGTCAGCACATCTGACTCACTTTGGGGAAAGGTATAGTAACACTGTGGCACACTTTCAGGAAAAAGCATGGAAAGCAAAACTGAATCTATGACCCCCTGAAAATAAAAGGAGACTGTCTGACATCCAAATCAGGATAAACATGAGGACCTAGCTTGGCAGGGTGTAAAAGGAGCCCAAGGATGGTGCATCTGGTTATGTACACTCTCCTCTGAGTGGTAGTTTCTCTATTCATGCCCCCAACCTCTTAACTACATTTTTAAACACAGGATATGACCCTAGACTGGGGTTCTCAACACTTCGCCTTATGTCATCTCACACTGCATCTTGAAAACAGCTGAGAAAGGAGTCCAGACTGTCCCATAACTGAGTCAACTACATTCCTTCCAGGGAGCTCAGCAGTGGCTATTTTGTGACCCACATCCCAGCTAGAGTTTATCTTCAATCTTGGCTCCTGCCCTGGCTCAACCTTGCACCTATCAGAATAATACACAGTCATGACATTGGCTTTCCCAGAAGACCTGGGAGCAGATTTGCCCCTTTTCAATCTTTCTCCTAACATCCATGACTATTCCAATCCCTGGAAGCACAATTTTTAAATATGTACTCTTCCGTTTTTAGATGACAGGAAAAACAAATGACCTTTGAGGTACTGTTAATATTTTCTGATCTCATGGGTAATATTATTCAATAATAGGAGAAAATATAAAGGCAATACTTTCAAAGACTTTATTACACAAAGGTAAAGTGGATGAATAGAACAGATCAGCATAACTAAATATGATCTATTGACAAAGAGAAAAAAAAGAAATAGCTCTTAAATATGCTAGTCAAGAAATCAGGTTTCCAGTTTAACCTGGGGTCATAAATTAACTATTTGCAGTATCAATTAAGGCCTTTTTGGCCACCACAAGCAAACCAGGCCCTTCTTGAAGCCATCAGATAAGAGTCTATCCCACTAATAGTTCAAGGATCAAGAAAGCCATTCCAACAGACAGTTATCTCCCTGATAAATGAGCAGAGATGGAAAAGTCACCATAATATGAAGTCAGAGAGACCGAACTCTCTCTTAAGTCCAGATTTAACATGAAACTCCAGCCCATTTGAACGCTCAGGGAATTAGAGAAATATTTATATCAATAGCCATCTGCAAAGGAAAGGAGTGCTTGAAAGACTATAGTTTGGAGATGTCTTTCTAACATAAGCAACTCACAGAAATGGCTAAGTTACTTCTCTTATTTATTAATTTTGGAGAGCTTAGAAACCTCCAGGAAAGGCTAAGTGAAAACAAGTAAGGTATTAAAATTTAAACAATGGTTTGGATGATTTTCCAAATTATCAAAACCTCATATTTCTATGTATCTGTGTATGGATTGGGCAATTTTGTAGGGTTCAGACATGTCTGTTGGTTTTTTGACAGGGTAAAGGAGTTTTCTTTCTAGTTTTGGATAAAAGCAATTCAAAAATAAAACTGATAAACTTTAAGAGAGGCAATCTCTGTCTCATATGGGATTCCAAGAGACTCCTTACTGACTTTCAGCAGTCTGATTTGTTCCACTTGCCATAGAGTGTTGTAAACACTTTATTCATAGTCCACAGAGGAGCCCATCCCCTCACTAACTCTTCATGATATCTGTGCTTTTCCATGGCCATTTCCTCTGCCCCCACTTATCTTCTTTTGCAGGCCCACCAGCACACTTCTCTCCATCTCTCAAGAGTCAGGAGCCCAGTTCCTGGATAAATGGAGTTGAGTAAGAAGACTCAATGTAACCTGGGAAACCACAAGAAAACAAAAGTCTGAAGGACTTCAACAGTCTAAGGAGCTTAGTGCTTGTAACTTAAAAGTCTCCCTGATGCTCTACACAAATTTGAAGGAAGGAAAGATTTCCAACTTCTGATCTAGGTCTTAAAAGGCCACACCATAGTAAATTTTTACTGGATTTAACATTTCCCAAATAATGGCATCTGTCCTCCCCTGTGGAGACAGACTTGGAGTTTGGATTGATTCACAAAACAGACTAAGCAAATTCCCATACCCGCAGGCCCCCAGAAACGTTTTCCAAATGTAAGAGATAATTGCCATTGAATCTACTCCACTCTGAAAAGATTCAAGATCAGGCCACCTAAAGGTTTACCTGCAGTAGGCCTATTTTGCTGGAGTGTTGTTAGAAGAGATGGAATACACGCATACAAGTAAAGGAGCACATGCTGTGGAAAACGGTATGGCGGTTCCTCAAAAAGTTAAACACAGGATTATCAGATGACCCAGTACTTCCACTCCTAGGGATAAACAGGTATTCAAATTTGAATGTGGACGCCAATATTCAAACACCTATATACACATGCCCATAGCAGCATTATTCACCATAGCAGAAAGGTGGTAACAACTTAAATGTCCATCAGTGGATGAATGATGAATCGATAAACAAAATGAGGTGTATCCCTACAATGGAGTGTTATTCCATCATAAGAAAGAATGAAGTACTGATACATGCTGTAACATAGATGAACCTTGAAAATATGCTAAGTGGAAAACTGGCACAAAAGAGCATATATTGTGTGACTCCTTTTGTTTAAAATATCCAGAATACACAAACCCATAGACACAAGTGGATTAGTGGTTGCCAAGGGCTGGAGGAAGGGGGCAATGTAGAATGACTGCTAATGGACATGAAGTTTCCAGTGGGGATGATGATGCTTTAGAGCTAGATAGAGGTGATGGTTGCACACCTTTCAATATATTTACAAAACACTGATTTCTGCACTTTAAAATGGCTAATTATGTGAATTTTGCCTCAATTAAAACACATATACACACATACCCCTGAATGCCTAAGTGTTACATGCCCAGATACCTTCTTTGATTCCAATTCAGTGCCAAGACACACAACCGTAAAGAAAAAAAAAAAAGAAAGAAAGAAAGAGAAAGAAAGAAGAAAGAAAGAAAAGAAAAAGAAAAAGAAAAAGAAAAAAGCATCTCCAAATGTATCTCCCAGTAACTCTGTTCCTGATCTTTGATGGACCTCTGGTGTATTTTTGTTCTTGTTGCTGGGAGGGAGAATGTCTTAGATAGTCCACATGACAAGTTTTTTCAATAATCTCTAGTCAATTTCTGACACAATCTGAGTGAGAAAGAGTAATTTTAAAATGAAAAACAAGGTAAGGAAAAGTACTCTCTCCCAGCTTCTAACAGCTTTATTTAAATAAAAGTTGGTTCTCATCGCATTTGGACTGCTTCTCTCATCCCAATTTTCATTTCAGGAAACTATTTGAGGCCAGTCCTCAAATTCAGTCTTTGGCTCTGTTTCTCTTGGTTTAGTCAACAAAATAGAACAGTTTAACCTCTATTTTTTCTTTTAACAATTTTGCAGTTATTACATGGAGGCAAATATATTCATCTCTACTGATGTTCTGCACAAGTTTTCTAATAGAATTTTAAATAGCTTCATGTGTTCTGTAATTCTCATCAAAACATTAATCATAAACAAATTCATCTGCAAATAAATTTAAAGTGACTTAGCCCATCAGGGAGACTTACATGAATCCATAGTTCCTTGACAGTTTTCTCTGGACTAAACAATAGAAATTAATCTGTAGTTGGCAAGTACCAAGGGGTGATCAGTCCCTCAAGGTCACTGTGTAGAACATTGTGGGCTTTGAGCTTTGGAGAATTAAAAAGGCTTCCTTCCTGACAAGAGTGGATGTGGTGAAGGTGTCATTCAGGAAGATGATACTGTTACCAGCCTGGAGGTAAAATAATAATTTGGAGCACAGTGTCTTTTGCGTGTGAGCAGATGTTTAAAGGTCAGGCTAAGGGCTACAGAATGACATGTCAACTTCCAGCCCACAGGGCTTCCTCTCCTGCCATTTGAAATCCAACAACGTGTAAACTTGCAAATGGTGCATACCTTGGATGTCGAGTTTCTCATCGCAGCAGCTTTTCCTGTTCTTTCAGGTTGATGCACTGTCACACATTGGTAAAAAGCAAGGGTCTTTTATTGTACCCAAACACATTGAAAAGGCAATGATTAAGCCTTTGCTGTTAACAGAATTGTGATCTGTGAAATTAAAAAAAAATACCAGTTAGGCTCACAAATCACTTTAAGAATTCAAATCTCAATGCAATAGAAGCCAAAGATCAATATTATTCCCACTTTTGTTTAGTACGCAAAGAGATTACAAGTATTTGAGAAGAAACATAAGCCCATTTAGTGCATCATCTGCATATCTAATACCAATATAGAATCACTTTGTGTATTGTGCTCACTGAAATTTCCATATTGCCCAGTTCCCCATTGGAGCTGGCTGGATTCCCAGAATGCAGCACTGCTTATCATGGAAAAAACTGCAGCAAAGTGTTTCCATCTAGAAGAAACATCATTCTGGTGAAAGAGTAATTGTAAGCTTGTCAAAGTCTAAATTTCTCATTGTAAGAAAATGCAAAACTTCTTGCAAAACTTCTTACAAAACTTCAAGCCCGAGATCATTATAAATGTAACATGTTGTAACATGTTTTATGTATCTACATTAAGATATGTTATGGGGGCAAACTAGCCTTGCCATTTTAAGTTTAATTTAATTTAATATTTTAATTTTAATTTAATATTAAGATATGCCACATAAAATGTCCACTAGGGGAGGCAAAATATTTGAGCTGCTTATCAACAATAACCCCCAATAAGCCTTATTGCACATTTTACAGGACATTGTCACATACTTTATCTCACTGGGTTCACTATGACAGCCCTATAGGATAAGTAGGAGGTTTCTTGTCCCCATTTCATAGATGAAGAACCTAAAGGGAGATGAGAGACTTTCCTGAAGGCATATCACACCAAACCTAGCCCCCTTTCGTCTTCACCACAGCAACTCTGAACTCAGGTGGCATTCTTATAAGGTGAAGAGTCCACCCCAAACTACAATGGTGGAAAACAGCTATCCAATATAGACCTGTTGAGGGTCTTTTTGAGGTGATCCTTTTTCCAAGAAAGAAGAGGATGGTTTTACTCTTCCCCGCTTTCCCCTTTCTTTCCCTTTTTTTTTTTTTTTTTTTTTTTTGAGATGGAGTCTTGCTCTGTTGCCCAGGCTGGAGTGCAGTGGTGCGATATTGGCTCACGGCAACCTCTGCCTCCTGGGTTCAAGCGATTCTCCTGCCTCAGCCTCCTGAGTAGCTGGGACTACAGGCACCTGCCACCACACCCCGCTAATTTTTTGTGGTTTTAGTAGAGATGGGGTTTCACTGTGTTAGCCAGGATGGTCTCCATCTCCTGACCTTGTGATCCGCCCACCTTGGCCTCCCAAAGTGCTGGGATTACAGGCGTGAGCCACCGTGCCCAGCCTCCTCTTTCCTCTTTCAAAAGCAGTGTTATGCATTTTGCTTTCAAGTTAAACAATAATACCTGGAAATGCTTTGAAATGATTAGAAAATAATGGCATGTTGCAGAAATAATCAGTGTGGTTTCAATTACTATAATCGTGAAAATAAGTGTGGTTGTGAGATCTCTGAGTTTGCTTTGCAGTTCATTTTCAACCAATAGAAAATGAATAGGGGACTGCTCCAGCCAGAGACAGAAGGTCAAGTTCCTGTTACCAATTCATGGCTACCCAAATGCTCTGGAGACACTGAGCAAAAAGGTGAAGTACTTTATATTAATAAGTTTCAGACCTGTCAAATCGAAGGTGCTGGTATGACCGTGGCAGATGGCTGAGTAGGGAGGCAGAAATACGAGGATGCCAGAAAGTGAGGGTTGAAACCAGTGGGTATGAAACCTGGCACAGGGCATATGTCATCAGAAAAGGCACTGGACTGGGAGTTGAAGCTTTGGTTATAGTCACAGAGCCACTAGCTACTCATTGCCTATGGTCTCTGATCAAGTAACTCCTGCATTCCCTGGTCCCGGGTGCCATCTTTAACGTAAAGGAATTGTACAAAATCAGGGTTTCCCTGACTTCAGTCTTTTACAAACCACTTACAATTGTGGGGTTATTTTGATTTGACATACCACCTGCATAAGTATTTATTTAATATTGCTTCACATTTTTATTTCCACCTACTGTTTTATTTTTGTAATTTAAATTTTGAAATGTAATTGAAGTATACCTTATATACAGGAAGGTGTACAACTCATGACTATATGCTGGATAAGCTTTTACAAACTGAACATCCTCATGCCACCAGACCAAGAAGCAGAACATTACCAACACCCCAGATGATCCCCCTCAGGCCCCTCACAGTCATTATTTCGTTGGGGTAAACATTATCTTGACTTTTGGCAGGATTAGAATTATTGCTAAATATTTTCCAATGTAATTACCAAATACATTAATTCGAAAAGAAACTTTTATCCATAGGGCAAATGAAGAACCAATGCCACTTATGAAAATAAATACCATAAAAATAAAACCACGTTATTAAATAATAGCTAGATAATGTTGTCTGCTATGTACCTGAGGTTTTACTTCTTCTGGTTTCTATCATATGCAAATATTGGGAGGTGTTAAAGATGTTCTAGTAGTAAACAGAGACTTTCTTCTTGATTAAAGAGAACACCTGAAAGAAAATTGAAAAGATAATTACTTTCTACTATGTAATTCAATGTCATTTAATGCTGCCTCTTCCCTAAAATCATCAAGTATACCATGAGTGGTCAAGAAGCTACAACTTAGAAAAAACAGAACTACATGTGAAGTTTCTTTTAATTCCTATATTTTGTGACCCTATAGATTAGTATTTCTTTTGCCTTCAATGATTATTTGGCAATGTCTAGAGACATTTTTGATTGTTGCCACTGTGCAGTGGGACTACTACTGACGTCTAATGGGTGGAGACCAGGCTTGCTATTACACATTCTACAATGCACAGGCCAGCCTCTTATCCCCAGTCAAAGAATTATTCAACCCCTAATGTCAAGAGTGCTGAGGGTGAGAAGTCTTGCCCTGCTGTAGACTGAGATGTCATCATTGTGAAGGCTCTTCCATGGAAGCATAATAGGACTCTGCAGTGATCAAAGGGATTCTGCACTAAAAACCATTGGCTAGTCCTTTCCCAGAGAGTGAATAAAAAGACAGTCAGTGTAATAGAGCAGTGTGGATATTTAGATCTAAGACCTGCTTCTGACTGCTTTCACCTACCTTTGAAACTAATACCAGAATGAAGTCAATTTCACAGCAAGAAGAACAGGTTCTACTTCCCAGGCTATACACAGGTCTCTCAGAATCCTTCCAAAAGAAATTAGGCTAATTACAACTTCCTACAAGTGAAAAAGGCATGCTTCTAACACCTTGTTTCTACTGCCATTGACTTGATTAGCATTTTGGGACAGAGTTGCTTCCCAGAACTTCCGCCCTCACTCAAGTGGAATGCATTTGGAAAAGCATTTATCTCTTTCTACATCTTCAGATTAGTGATGCCAAACGAAACATTACTCAGTAATCTTTACAACATATCCATGAAGTATTATAACAATATACATTGTCTCAATTATGAAACTTCAAGATTTGATAATGAAGAGGAGACTGTGCCAGAGTTTGAACTCACATTTTCCTGTGGTTAGTTCACTAGGCTCAATTACATCTTCTTTCATCATGAATTCAAGGCCCTTTGTCACTCAGTCCAACAAGGAGGAAAAAGGATGATGTAATGGGGAAGAATAAAAAGAAGTACTTTTAAAAATCTGGAGAAAAGCACTACATATTGGAAATCAAATTAAAGAAGGACTCTATGAGGACAAAAAAAAAAGCATTCTTCAGCACTACCAAAGTGCTTTGGAAATAATTAATTAGCTGACCCATCATTTAATGGTATGAACTTTATATAGATTACATGAACATGATAATCTTATTTTACCATATAATTGATTAGGGAAAGGAAATATTCACTGATACAATCTTGAGTTGCAGTTTTCTTTAATTAAGCATAAAAATTCCTATTCAAAACTAAAAATCAAATTTTCATCTTATAACCAGAAGTAATCTGTCAAAGACATAGTGTTCCAAAGAGAGCTATTGATCGAGTCGGGAATTTTCCCCTCAGAGTTTGGCAGCAGTCATTTTTTGAGCAACTACTGGAAAAGTTCACATATATTAATTCTCTTTTCCTTTGTTTTCCTTTCCTTTCCTTTTTTAAATTTCTTCTCTCTTTCTTTCTTTCTCTCTTCTTTTTCTTTTTTCCTTCCTTCTTTCCTTCCTTCCTTCTTTCCTTCCTCTTTTCTTTTGACAGGGTCTCAGTCTGTTGCCCAGAAGGGAGTGCAGTGGCATGATTACAGCTCTCTGCAGCCTTGACCTTTGGGGCTCAAGTGATCCTCAGCCTCCTGAGTATCTGGGACTACAGGCATGCACCACCATGCCCAGCTAATTTTATATATATATTAGAGACAGGGTCTTGCTATGTTGCCCAGGCTGGTCTCAAACTCCTGGTCTCAAGCAATCTTCCTGTCTCAGCCTCTCAAACTGTTGAGGTTACAGTTGTGAGCCACCGCACCCAGCAATTTTTATTTCTGATACCTTAAAATGATGTTTGAGGACTGAACTTTTGGCGTTAGTCTCAGAGTGTGACTCAAAATCAATTGTGAGAAACTTTGGAAAGCCCAGACAAAGACAAAACAAGGTAGAACTTGACATTAGGGTAGTATTAAAGTGTCTTCTTATTAATTAGGTTACCAATCAAATACATTTTCCATATAAAAGTTACAAGGGCACAAAGAGACAGTTAAATAAAACACCATCTGACACTCATTTGGGTGATAACAATCTCTATCAAAAACCAATGTTTTTCCCTGTCTGAATAATAGGAGGTTACAAGAAGAGTTCATGGGCCTGTCTATATATAGATTGGCAGTGTAACTATTTTTTAATGAAGGAACAAAAGATCACAATATTTTATCTTACCAATTAGGAATTTTTTAAAAAAATTAAGTATCTAATATCTACTCTCATCATCATTTCAAAAAAAGTGTGCATTTTAACCCCAGTACCAGCAGTTATGTACCACTGAGACAGAGGTGATTTAGCCCAGCAGTTCTCAAAGTTTTTTGGCCTCAGGATGGTTTCCACTCTTCAAAATCATTGAGAATCCCATTAGATTTTATGTGGGTTATATCTATTGAGATCTATAGTATTGGAAATTAAAACTAAAAATAATTTTAAAACATTAGAATATTTAAGCATATATTCAGAGTGATGACATCATCATATATTATGTAGCTTCTGGAAAGCTTCACTGTACACTGGTGAAAGCATGGGGCTGAAAAAGCAGTACCTTAAGTATCATCATGAAAATAGTTCTGCCCATTGTCTCAGCCCAAAATCTCCTTAAGCTGATAAGCAACTTCAGCAAAGTCTCAGAATACACAATCAATGTGCAAAAATCACAAGCATTCTTATACACCAACAACAGACAAACAGAGAGCCAAATCATGAGTGAACTCCCATTCACAATTGCTTCACAGAGAATAAAATACCTAGGAATCCAACTTACAAAGGATGTGAAGGACCTCTTCAAGGAGAACTACAATCCACTGCTCAAGGACATAAAAGAGGATACAAACAAATGGAAGAACATTCCATGCTCATGGGTAGGAAGAATCAATATCGTGAAAATGGCCATACTGCCCAAGGTAATTTATAGATTCAATGCCATCCCCATCAAGCTACCAATGACTTTCTTCACAGAATTGGAAAAAACTACTTTAAAGTTCACATGGAACCAAAAAAGAGCCTGCATTGCCAAGTCAATCCTAAGCCAAAAGAACAAAGCTGGAGGCATCACGCTACCTGACTTCAAACTATACTATAAGGCTACAGTAACCAAAACAGCATGGTACTGGTACCAAAACAGAGATATAGATCAATGGAACAGAACAGAGCCCTCAGAAATAACGCTGCATATCTACAACTATCTGATCTTTGACAAACCTGAGAAAAACAAGCAATGGGGAAAGGATTCCCTATTTAATAAATGGTGCTGGGAAAACTGGCTAGCCATATGTAGAAAGCTGAAACTGGATCCCTTCCTTACACCTTATACAAAAATCAATTCAAGATGGATTAAAGACTTAAACGTTCGACCTAAAACCATAAAAACCCTAGAAGAAAACCTAGGCATTACCATTCAGGACATAGGCATGGGCAAGGACTTCATGTCTAAAACACCAAAAGCAATGGCAACAAAAGCCAAAATTGACAAATGGGATTTTATTAAACTGAAGAGCTTCTGCACAGCAAAAGAAACTACCATCAGAGTGAACAGGCAACCTACAAAATGGGAGAAAATTTTCGCAACCTACTCATCTGACAAAGGGCTAATATCCAGAATCTATAATGAACTCAAACAAATTTACAAGAAAAAAACAAACAACCCCATCAAAAAGTGGGCGAAGGACATGAACAGACACTTCTCAAAAGAAGACATTTATGCAGCCAAAAAACACATGAAAAAATGTTCATCATCACTGGCCATCAGAGAAATGCAAATCAAAACCACAATGAGATACCATCTCACACCAGTTATAATGGCAATCATTAAAAAGTCAGGAAACAACAGGTGCTGCAGAGGTTGTGGAGAAATAGGAACACTTTTACACTGTTGGTGGGACTGTAAACTAGTTCAACCATTGTGGAAGTCAGTGTGGTGATTCCTCAGGGATCTAGAACTAGAAATACCATTTGACCCAGCCATCCCATTACTGGGTATATACCCAAAGGACTATAAATCATGCTGCTATAAAGACACATGTGCACGTATGTTTATTGCAGCATTATTCACAATAGCAAAGACTTGGAACCAACCCAAATGTCCAACAGTGATAGACTGGATTAAGAAAATGTGGCACATATACACCATGGAATACTATGCAGCCATAAGAAATGATGAGCTCATGTCCTTTGTAGGGACATGGATGAAATTGGAAATCATCATTCTCAGTAAACTATCGCAAGAACAAAAAACCAAACACCGCATATTCTCACTCATAGGCGGGAATTGAACAATGAGATCACATGGACACAGGAAGGGGAACATTACACTCTGGGGACTGTTGTGGGGTCGGGGGACGGGGGAGGGATAGCATTGGGAGATATACCTAATGCTAGATGATGAGTTAGTGGGTGCAGCGCAGCAGCATGGCACATGTATACATATGTAACTAACCTGCACAATGTGCACATGGACCCTAAAACTTAAAGTATAATAATAATAAAAAAAAAAAGAAAATAGTTCTGACCTCACAGACTTTCTGAAAGATTCTCACGAACTCCCAGACTTTCCAGACAATGCTTTGAGAGCTGCCAATCTAGTTCAATGATTTTATTTTATTGATGAGAAGACTGAGGCCTAAAAGGGCAAGTGACATTTTCCAAGGTGACGTGTGGAAAAATGTCAAAAGTCCACACACATAAATATTTAGTTCCATAGAGTTAGGGAGAACAGGCCCCAGAACCCGCCCCACAGAGTCAAGATGACAAGCTCCACTGAACTACATATGGTCATTTTTTTTTTTTTTTTTTTTTTGAGACGGAGTCTCGCTCTGTCGCCCAGGCTGGAGTGCAGTGGCGGGATCTCGGCTCACTGCAAGCTCCGCCTCCCGGGTTCACGCCATTCTCCTGCCTCAGCCTCCCAAGTAGCTGGGACTACAGGCGCCCGCCACTATGCCCGGCTAATTTTTTGTATTTTTAGTAGAGACGGGGTTTCACCATTTTAGCCGGGATGGTCTCGATCTCCTGACCTCGTGATCCGCCCGCCTCGGCCTCCCAAAGTGCTGGGATTACAGGCGTGAGCCACCGCGCCCGGCCCATATGGTCATTTTTATGAGAGCAACAGACTAGAGAGTGGAATGGACAACCTGACCTTTAGAATATGCTATATTCTTCACAATGCCTGCCTGTGAAACAGACCCATCTTGATGGAGATTATACAGGTAAAGCTGATAAGGAGTAGAACTACAAATGTCCAACAATTTGGTGGAGAATCTTTCCATATGTTAAAGGTTGTTCTGCTTCAAGCAGTAGCCTTCTGTTGAGATACTGATTTCTCTAACGTGGAGGGCTAGTGCCTGCTCTGTGGAACAAAAGGACAGTTTGAAAAGGGAGGTCTTAATTTGAAGTTTGTTGCTTTGTGAGTTTAAGCCAGACCCTGAAAGGAAGTTTACAATGAAGTTTGAATTACACAAAAACAATTTCTTAGCAATGCTAATAATAGAGTTTATATATATTAGTTGAAAGCTTGATGAGAAAAACATACCTCTTAAAGCTAATGTCATTTGTGTGTTTTTATCTTTCTTACATGTTTAAGAAACATATGGGTTTAGAACAGTATTGCTTGGATTCAGCTACCTTTGCTTATGCTGATGAAAATAAGCTGTTTTTGAAGCTTAATATTCTCTTAAAAATTTATATCCTCAAATCAATCTCACCACAAAACTTCCTTAGTTGGTCATCTTCTATATCGTTGAAAGCTTCTTCTTGTCAAGACAGATACCATCTATATTTCTAAACTTTTTATGATAAACAAATACAAATTGGTAAAGTAGTTGAATGGAACTATAGCAGACATGAAGTACAAAGAGCAATAAAGCTCTTTGGTGAGAAGTCTGAATTTAACTGAGGCTTTCCATTTATCAGCTAGGTGAGTCTGGCAGGTGACTAGCTTCCTAGTCACAGTTTTCCCATCTACAAAATGGGAACAATATTGTCTGCTTCACAACACTCCAATATTGAATGGTGTATCTTACTGCTTATGAGCCCCAGCAACACCCAGAAGAATTTGTGTCCTTGTGCTGGCTCTGCTTTATAGCGATACTGTCCAAGTGGCCCCTCATTGCTTTGGATTCAGCAAAACACTCCCCCACAAAATTAGGACAGAGTTGTCCACTGAAGACAAAAAGAGAAAATGAGTGCGAAACACTCCTGATGCAACAGCTCAGTAAATACTAGCTGTTCTGTTCTTATTCATATCATTAACAAATGCTATTTACAGTAGAAGATATTTTACTGGGATGGTCTGAAATCTGTCTTTGCCCAAAACAACACTATTTCTGAAGCTAAGGTAGAATTCCAGTAGAGCCCAGCAAAAAAGGAAAAGACTTGCTCTGTTTCACTAGATGTGTTCTGCAAGTATTTCTTTCCATTATGCTAATTAATCAATGATTTATCTAATACACATTCGTGCAATTGGAAAGCAGCACTTCAAGACAGTTGCTGTCTTTTGAAACATGTACTGGTTAAAAACTAAGGCAGTAAATATGGTACCTGCAAGTCTAACCAGGTGATTTTCTTATTCTGATTGCAACCTTGGCTTTGATTAGGCCACAGGGCAGCTCTGAGCTGTCATCTCTGCCCGCTGAAATACACCTTTGTTATTTTCAAATATGTCAATATGCAATTTAAAAAGTGATAGTCACCTAAAAATTATTTCTGAGCAATTCTACAGTTTGAATGTTTCCAGTGCTCAGACTCATGATTCAAATATCTTCTATAGTATGCATATTAGTGGCTCATGGAGGTAAGAATATCTATCCTAACGTTAGACATAATGGTGCTCAAAACATGTTTGCTGAAGTGGAAGAAGATTTCTTATCACATACCTTTTACTTTATAGCAATTATCATTATATATATTGTTAAAATCAGGTGTGGAAAAAATGTTATCTTAAAAAAATCTAAGATCTAAATTCAGACAGCAAGGACTGCTATATATCAGACTTTTTAATTGTCATATTAGTTTTACTGAAAATGAAAAAATTACAATTTGCAAAGACACAAGGCATCCAGAAATGAACCTGATAAGTATAAACTTAAGAAATCTTGAACTGGCAGAAGCAATTCTAGGATACGTACAAAAAAATATGAAGCTTCCATTTCTAAGCAGATAAGACTGCGATTCAAACAAATGTTACTAAAATTCTAAAATTTGGCTCTGGACTCTGTATAAAGCCACATAAATAATAATTTGGAAAACTGATGAATACAGCTGCATTTTAAGTTTGCCAGATCATCATAGAATTACAGAATCATAAAAACAGAATCAGTGGCTAAGCTAAAAAAAAAAAGAAAAAGAAAAGAAAAAAACAACTCTCCCTCATTCTCTGTGTTGCCATATTTTACTTTTAAATAAACAACTTCCCTAAAGAGGACCGTGTAGACAAACTTGAGGCTCATCTACTTTTGGGATTTTATGTGTGAAAATTGTCAAAATCAAAGCAGTCACTAATGTTAAAAGAAAACAAGCAAATAAAAAGCGTGACAAATAGAGTGGGGGAGGAGGCCGTGAAAAGAGGTTTCTCATGCTTGTATGCCTGATAACAAAAACTATCACAAAATAATTCCACAAAAAACACAACCTTGCCCAAAGGACACACAGTCTTAGACAAAAAATACTTCGGCAACGACAACTGCCCAGCAACTGCCTGTCCAATCTCAGACTGGCATCACACTTATTACTGACTTTGGTAGCCAAGGATAATTATTTCAGAACAATTATGACATCTTCCTCATTTATTTCCCTTAAAAATCTTTATCTCCCTGAGTATGTACATAGTTTACTGTGACATGTGTATTCCCAATGCTCTATTCCCAAATAAGTATCTTTCTCTTTTAGAGAGCCTCTCTCTGTTGTTATTTAGGTTGAAATATGTTATAGCCACCTACTAATTCCCTTTATTGTTTACATCTGTCTGGGTTAGGTTTTTCTATTACTTGCAGCCAAGTAATAGAACTGATAAAAGGACACATTTTTTTTTTAGTTCCATGTTTCACCTTTTGGTGGATTAATTATTCATTCCTTCTTCCTTCCCTAAAAAAAAGAAGAAAGATTTAAAAAAGGTCTTGTTCAAGTGTTCATCCTTTCCCCACACAGCAATGTACTTCCAAGGAAACTGATCCCACTCCTAGCTCCAGAAATGGGCTGTTCCCCGGCAATAATTTTGGCTTTGTATCTTCTATGGGTCAGATTCCCTCATAGCAGCCAAATAATTACCAGCAATTTCAGGGGCTCCCTATTTCTTGTCTACAGCCAAGGGAGAGCTAGCATTTCTAGTTCTGTGTTCCTAACAAGAGTCCTGAGATTCGCTTTGACTTAGGTTGCATTTTCACCAAACAACCAATCACTTCTTCCAGGGGATGAAATGTGCTGATGGGCTTAAACTATCTAGGGGCCTGGCATAGTCCACTTGAGGGCCAGGTAGAGTCAACTGTTGCAGCAGAGGGTTCATTACCAGAATAAAAACTGACGTGTTGTTAGAAAAGGGTAAGTAAGGAATAGATGCTGAGTAGGCAGCCTTGCCAGACTTAGCAAATAAAAATGCTGGAAACCCACTTAAATTTGATCTGAAATTTAAATTTTTGGATAAATAACTTTTTAAATGTGCAAATACATCCCATGCAATATTTGGGACATTCCTATGCTAAAAAAGAATTCCTTGCTTATCTGAAATTCAAATTTAGCAGGCTTCCTGTATACTTTCTGGCAACCCTATAAGTAAACACCAAAAAATATTTCCTTTGGGCCATATCAAGGTAAACATCACAATATATACAATATCACAACGCAATACAGTATCATGTATCTCAGGATGAAGAATGGGAGAGGATGGATGTAATAATGACTACAATTTGAGTACCAACTACATTCCAGGAGTTTTACTTATATCACCTAATCCTAGCAAGATCACTGTAAAGTAAATATCATTATTATTCCCATTTCAAGCATGAGAAAAATGTTAAGCTCAGAAAGGTGAATTAATTCACAGTCCCAGAGCTAGTTAACTCACTAATCTGAGATTCAAAGTGAGATTTGCCTGACTCTGAAAATCCCATGCCCCTTTCTTCCTTTCTAGATTGAGTCAATGTAAGAAGGACACATCCCTATCTCTACTCAACAATTTCCAGGGCCCGTTCCTTTCACTCTAAAAGTTTTCTTCAACTTTAATTATAATCTTATTTTAAATATGGCTCCTGAGCTCAGGAGAAAAATCTGGAGTATGAAGAAAACAAGACTAGAGTCAAGACCAGCTGACCGGAAGATCCTGGATACTTGAGCTTTTCTTGAAGACTATCCTTCCACCCTTAAATGTACATGTGCTGCCTGAGAAGTTCTCAATTGATGATAGTTCAAAATTTGCATAACTTCACATATCTTTGATGTAACTGAATAAATGCTTTCCAAAATGCTGTATGTTTTCTCTGAAAAATTTACAGCAAAGTGCATTATTGCAGGAAATGGTTCATTTCAGGAAGATTTTAATGTCTAACTTGAACCCATTGTGCTGCATAGCAAGACTCCTGAAACATTCTCAAGTGCACAGAGAACAGCAGCTAACCATCACTACCAGAATCCCCATAATCAAGTCCCTAGACAGGATTCTCTTCTGTTCATTTAATATATACAGTTCATTTTTCTTTTTCTCTCCAGATCAAGTTCCCAAGCCCATAATCATACCATTAAAAAGAAACCCCACTGTTTTTGAGCACTTTCCAAGTTTCCCACCACATATTGGAGTTGCAGTCAGGACTCCAATGACCTGTGTGTGTGTTCTAGGCACCTGTGTCCCAATTCACTTTCTCCATGGCCAGTGAGCTCTTGTCTCTTATTAGCGATGACAAGTGAGAGGCAACAATGACTAGGTAGGGGCTGTTGGGGATGCTGTTGGAGTGGAGATATGATTAAATGTGCTTTGGTAAGTAGCAGAATAATTGTTCCAGGTGCAAAGGGTGTCCATTGATTTCAGGTTCTTCCAGCAAAGCAACTGTATCGAGAATTTAGTTCTCCAGATGGCTAAGGGCTACCTTTCCCCACGGGCTGCCTCCTTCTTACTAAGTTTTTACTCAAATGATTGTGAGGTTGGATATTAGGAGAGAATTCTCAAGACCAGTGGTCACAATTTCCCAGGGGAAGCAGGAACCATGAGAAAATCTATCTGTGAAAAGATGGCCTCACTCCAGGAGATCCAATGTGGTGGGCTTGAGTGGTAAAGGTAGCTTGTTATGGCTGGTTGACTTCAATCTTAGACAGCATGAATTTAACAAACTGAGAATATAGCTCACATTTGCCCTGCTATATCCCTATTCATGTATTAATGCTAATAGCTACCATTTGAAAAAAGCACTTAACTTCATATAAAGCACTGCGATAAGTATTTACATATGTAAGATACTTTACACATTACTGACTAACATGAAAATCATTATGACCTTCAGATCTTTTCTGTCCAGTTTGTGCTGAAGGGATCCTCCTATCTGCTCTCCTACCCCTTCCTCATTCCTCTCTTTTGTTTCGGTTCTTGTCAAATTGTGAGAACTTTTAATCCTGTCAGCTCCATCTTGTTTACACATACCCTCATCTTCTATTTGACAGTTTAACAAGGTTGCTTTCCTATTTTTAATTTGGTCCTGTCTAGCACCATGGTGACCTAATTTGGGTCATATGTATACTTAATGACAATATTTTGTATTGGTTTTCATGAGTCATTAATTAAGAAGTTAAATTGTCCCAAGCCCATGTCAGATCCCTGTGGAATTCCAGTGTAGGCATTCCCTCTGGCTTGTTGCCCTTGAATAGTAATTATAATTGAGAAATATTAGGTGGCAGGTTGTATGTAGGGTATCCAGAACACATTTATATCTCAAGTTGCTTACCCTGCACAATATTAGCCTCTAGGGTCAATTTTTCTGACCTGTGTGAATGCTCACTAATGTCAAAGTTTTACGTTAATGCTGAACTTTGGAAAGTTAGGAAATTCAATATAAAAAGATATTTCCTTGTGTACTCCAAGTACATCTCAATTCTGATCTCTATAATCAATCTTAATTTTAGCAACTGTTCAAAATAATTGGTAAGACATTTTGTCATGTGTCACATCACACACATTTATGTTGCTAATTTTAAAAGCACTTGAAGGAGAAAGGTGGCAATCTGAAAAACAAATCCATGTTAATGGCTTCTAATATTCTGTTAGGCCTCCTGCTTCTTAAAATTGCAAATTAACAAATGTTTTGCCTTAACTCAAGGGGGACTCATGGGTGCTATGGAAGCCCACTTAGAGGGACACTTTTCAGTAGGTGGCTTGCTATGCCAGTCATGACATAGCCTGCCTAGCTCCTGACTCCGCTAAACCTCTTTCTAATTTATTATTCTAATCTATGGTCCCTTCCTAAATTTTTTGCTTTTTTACTTTTTAGCCTCACCTGTCAGCAATGAGCCACCTGCTTATGACTCTTCTTATAGTTTTTCTCCTAGTTCTCATATAATTTTTAAATTTTTAAAATTTTCATTTGTATAAACTTAAGGGGCACAAGTGCAATTTTGTTACATGGCTATATTGTGTAGTGGTCAAGTTTGGGCTTTTAGTGTAATCATCATCCACATAGTGTACATCATACCCATTAAGTTTTCAACCCTCACCCCCTCCCATCCTCCCACCTTCCAAGTCTCCAATGACTACTGTTCTGCACTTTATGTCTTGTCTCTTTTCTCTGTCCCAATTCACCAGCTATATGTGTTTTCCTGGGAGCATCTACTGCATTACAAGCAATTGTCTAGGCACTGGGACTTCCCCAAGAGCAAAACAAAACACCTGCCCCTATAGAGCTTACTTATAGTAGTGGGGTGAAAAGAACAGACACTAAATAAGTATAAAAATGCCAAAGAGTGAGAAAGAAGAGAGTGCTGGTGGATGTGTGAGGAAGTTGCGCTGTTAATCACTAGCATCTATCAGGCACCCAGCTTTACCTTTTGCTGGTCCTTCTCTGTGTTCCAAAATTAGGGAAATTGATTTGATTACACAGTTCCTCCCTAAAGTTGATTTCTAAATTTCTATTCCTATCTATTCCTTTCTATTTCCAATATCACCAGTATTCTCAGGAGTGATTTCATTCTTCCAGCTGGTTTTATCTGAAATAATCCTCATTATAATTTCCCCATAGGAAATTCCAATGGATCCTGAAAATAATGTTACAGGGAAGTTCTAGTGTCTATAGTTTTGTGCATTTTCATGTTTTTCAATATTGGATAGGTCAAATATCTAGGACAATTTATTGCCATTTTTGGTTTTCTTTCAGGTGTTTGCTGTTGTATAGACTCGGCACAGTCATCAAGTAAGATTTTAGCCATCAGCCATGTAACTGTAATTAGTTTTCACTCTTCAAACAGCCAGGGAAGGAATTCCCCATAGCAGCACTTCTCAGTAGATTTATTAATATTCAACTGGCAGATTCAAGAAATAAATACTGTGGTAGCTTTGAAACTTATAAATTTTACCTTTCAGGTGATCAGTCTTTATAGTCAGCCTGAGTATAGACAACTGGACGCATACTGCTGCTTGCTTGGGCTGCATTATTTCTAGATCTAGAAGTGCTCAGCCTCTGAGAATAGCTCTGATGGTATGGACAAAATTATTGCAAGTTGAAGATGAAGCCATTTTGTTTCCATTTAAGGATGGAAACCATACAGTTATTTATTTATGTATTGGTCATGAGTGTGGAAATTCACACTTTTTTCTGCTTTGCCACAGCACTTTCCCATGAACAGAATGGCTTAGAAGGAAAAACCACCATGACCTGAGTCTATCTTCATCTTGCCATATGGCTCTAAAGGGGTGTAGAGAAGGGTTTCACTTGACTTCTGAATGTAGTCTCACAAATCAAGCCTAGAACATTGAATTAAGCAGGGCTCTAAAACATCTTTCTTCCTTTATGATAATTTTGAAATATCAGTTGAGAAAAATCAAATGTCAGCTGTGAAATGAATACCTACTCTGGAGGTCAGGGATTTTGCTGTTTGATTCCAATTAGAGGTAATGGGAATCATGAGGCTTTTCGCTGTATTTCTCCTTAGGGCAGGTGTTATTTTTGCAATTAAAGCACTATGTGTGTCTCTGTAGGATTTTTATTTCATTGGCAAACATCGTATGACATACGTCAAATTTCATTTATTCTTAGGCCTTTTCATGGAAAAATTGCTTTGAATTTTCTGATGTTTAACATCCATATCCCAAGCCTCCTATTCCAAACACCGTTGCAAATTGGTTTTTTATAGCTTCACTGTCAGTGGTCAATAGTCTTACAAATAGATTTATGAATGACATTCATTAAGTAACAGCTTAGGAATAATCAGAACAATCTCAGAACTATTTTTTCCCGTTTCCTTTTTTTTCAGTGCCAAAAGTTATATATACAAAAGCCTTGTCTGAATGAAAGCTACAAATATACTTGAACACATCTGGAAGTAGAATTCATTCAAACGTTATTTTTACCCATTATTAACATTTCTGCTGGCACATTATCCCTGAATATTTATTCAAGGTGACACTTGACTAAACCTTGGTTACTTTGGGGAGAAGAAGGCTCAGAAAATATAATAGCACCTCCATACAATTATTTTTAAAAATGCATGCTTGTTACATGGACATATTGCATACTGGTAGGAACTGGGCTTCTAGTGTACCCATTACCCAAAACGTGAACATTGTACCTGATAGGTAATTTTTCAACCGTCTTGTAAAGCCTCGTGAATTCTAGAGTATTGCCTTTGCAAATATTACAGAGCCCCATTCTTCCCTCAGCCCACAAGGGGGCGCTAGGTTAACACCTTCCTGTATACACTACTGAGTCAGGTTAAGCTTGTCAAAGAGCAGCATCAACAGTTAACAAAAAAAAGAGCTCCCATCAGCCATTTTGAAATTACCACAGGAAGGAAAAAGCGGTCTGAAAATCTTCTACAATGTCTTAAGACTCATCACCATTAAAGAGAAGAAGGAATGGAGTTCACAGGCCATCCTGGGATAACCTCAGCCCGTTACAGTCCTTTGCCCCTTCCTATTTCGGTCTCATTGTCTTATCCCTGGCCTTTCTCCCTAACTCAAGGGAAAAAAGGTCCCTTCCCTTCCTTACAGGCTAATCTCCATCTCTTCTCACTTCCAAAGAGGCCATGCTGTCACTCCCATTGCTCCCTTCTCTAACGTCTTCATTCTCCCTCGGCTATGAATCCCTTGCTCTTCCTGTATCCTACATTCTTAACTCCATCTCCATCTTGAAAAATCTGCCTCTTAAACCGAAAGTCCCATCTAGCACCTACATTTGTCTTTTCTTATCATTACCAGACTTCTTACAAGAGTGGTTATTTAGATGTCAGATTAATGCATTGTTTACCTAAGAAATAATAAAATGTTAGACGGGGTGACCCTTTTGCTGAAACAGCTCTTTCTAAAGTCGACAACTTTCTTTGACATTTAAACATGCTTGCCATCATCTGCTTCTAGAAAGTTTCTTCCTTTCTCTTCCAGGACTTTACATATTTTTGGTTTTCTTTTTTCTTTTCTGATGTCTTCCTTAATTTTTGCCATAGTTCTTTTTCTTTGTGACCACACAAGCTAAAACAAAAAACAAAAAACAAAAAAAAAAACAACGCTTGATTCTTTTTTGCTGTTTTACTTTTACTCTACTCACTTTAAAAAATATGTGTGCAGTAAGGTTAATTCTTTTTGGCCTATACGTGATACATTTAGATATATAATTTAGGCTTACAGTTGTGTAACAACCTCTAAAATCACGATACAGAAACATTCTTTCACCTCCCCAAATTTCCTCATGCTGCCCTTCATCCACCCCAGTCCACTGGCAAACACTCATCTATTTGCTGTTCCTGTAATTTGCATTTTCCAGAATGTCATATAAACAGAATCATCCAGTATTAGCCTTTAAGTCTGATTTCTTTCACTTAGCATACTACATTCATGCCATCTACGTTGATTAATATATCCATTTTTTTTTTCCTTTCTATTGCTGGATAGCACTCCATCCTATGCATTTGCATTGTTTTTCTATCACCAGTTGAAGCACTTTTGGGGTATTTTCAGTTTGTGCATGTGTGATTCTGAATAAAGACTCTACAAAACTCTGCATACAAGGTTTTTGTATATACATAAGTTTTCATTTCTCTTGTGTATGATACATGGTAAGGCTATGTTTAACTTTATAGAAATTGCCAAACTGTCTTCAGAAATGGCTGTACCATTTTGAATACTCACCTGCAATTTGTAAGAGTTCTATTTACACCACATCTGCTTTAGCACTTCGTATTGTCAGTCTTTTTCATTTTAGTCATTTTAACAGATTTGTAATGGTATCCCATGGTGGTTTAAATCTGCATTTCTCTAAAAGCATCTTTTCATGTGCTTATCTTCTTTAGCAAAATGTCAGTTCAAATCTTTGCTCTTTTTTTTTTTTTGAAAATTGGGTTGTTTGTTTTCTTATTGTTGCATTTTGAGAACACTATATGATAGTGACAGAAGGCAGCTGAATGCCTAGGCAGATAGGGGTGGGTCCCCAGTGAAATCCCACTTTCAAGCCAAAAACAGCTTGAAGCCTGAAAGACTGGACTACTGGTCCCAGATGAAACCGACGACCCAGAGTGAGAACTTCTGTTCCTGTTTGCCCACCTTTTCCCCATTGATTCTTTCTGAATAATGCCGTTTAACCAATTGAATGTTGCCTTTTCCAGTACTACCTACAGCCTGCCCCTCCCCCATTCTGAGCCCATAAAAGCCCCAGACTCAGCCATATTAGGGGGACTTTCCTGCCTTCAGGAAGGGGGACCACCCCGATGTCCCCTCTTCCCCTCTCCACTAAAAGCGGTTTCATCACTCAACAAAACTCCCCACCTTGTTTACTCTTTGATTGTCAGTACATCCTCATTCTTGGATGTAGGACAAGAACTTGGGAATTGGTGAAGAAGCCAGACTTGGCTTGGGCTGGCCAAGTGAGAGGGCTGTCTCCTGCAGCATGTTGTGTGGCAGAGTGAGGACCAGTGGGGCACTGCCGGCCAGAGGTCCCTGGGTTGCAAAGTGACCCAGAAGAAAATCCTGCATCATTTATATACACTGGATAAAGTTCTTTGTTGCACATATGATTTGTAAATATTTTCTCCCAGTGAATGGCTTTTTTTCCTCTTAAGGGTATTTTTTAAAGAAGTTTTTAATTTTGATGAAGCCTGTCTTATCCATTTTTCTCTTGTGTAGATTATGATTTGTCATATGTAAGAATTATCATATATAAGAAATATAAGAAATCTTTGCCTGAGGTCACAAATGTTTTCCCCTATGTTTTAATCTAGAAGTTTTATAGTTTGGGGCTTCATATTTAAGTCTGTAATCCATTTGAATTAACTTTTCTGTACATGCATGGTTCGGGTTAAGGATTATATTATTCACATGTGGAGATCCAATTGTCCCAGCACCTTTTGTAGAAAAGGTGATTTTTTTCCCCCACTGAATTGCCTTTGTACCTTTGCCAAAAATCCATTTATATCTGTCTATTTGTGGGCTCTTCTTTTTATGGCACTAATCTATATGTCTATCTTTTGCTAATACCACCTGCCTTGATTATTGCAGCTTTACACGTAATTCTTGAAATCCACTAGTCCTCCAAGATTGTTTTTCTTTTTCAGATTGTTTTGGTTATTCTATAAATTTAAGGGATACAAGCATAGTGTGTAGTGATTAAGTCTGGGCTATTGGTGTAACCATCACCTGTAGAGTGTTCAATGTACCCATCAAATAATTCTCAACCCTCACCTTCTCTCATCCTGCCACGTGTCCAAGTGTCCAATGACTGTTATTTTACACTCATTGGGACTTCAGCAAGAGCAAAACAAAACTCCTGCTCTTATAGAACTTACTTATAGTGGTGGGGTGGAAAGGACAGACAGTAAGTGTATACTTGTCAGATAGTGAGAAAGAAGAGAGCAAGTGAGGAAGTGTTGCTATTAATCATCAACATCAAGGTTTTGTTTTTTTTGCTTTTGCTTTTCAATAAAAAAGCTTTTAAATTAACTTTGTTGATATCTGCAAAAAAAAACCTGCTGGGATATTGTTTGGGAGTGCATTGAATGTATAGACAAGTTTTGGGAAAATTTACATGTTAATAATATTGAGCTTTCCAAAAAATGAACATTATAAATTGCTCCATTTGTTTTAGATTTCTCTGATTTCTATCATCCGTAGTTTTCAGCATGCAGATCCTGTACATATTTTGCTAGATTTTTCCACTAAATATTTCATATTTCCTGGTGCTATTCTAAATAGTACTACTTTCTGGGTTCATTTCTTCAAACTATATATCTCGTTTGTATATCCTGAGGCTCATTTCTTAAAACTGTATATCTAGTTTACTGCACTATCTCTGAGGCCTACCCCCTTACCTCCAGTTAACACCTGGATTATTTTAACAGCTTTTGTCATTGGCTTCTGTGTTTCCTGTCAATGTACTTAGAATGTTATTCTCAGACACCTTTCCTAAACCACAATTTTGCTCGTTTTACATAGATTAAAAATCTTTGTCTACAACCTCTGCAGTCTAGTATTTAAGGCAGACTTTACAAATATTTTCTCCTACTCTCTTAAAGAAAATTCTGAATGATCTAGATTCATCCACTCAAATACTTTTATTGAGTTCCAGAAGTTGGGGATGTATTGGGAGAAAGTCAAAGGTAATAGTGGCTTAACAGCTAAACAATGAAAATAACAACAATTACAAGTCAGTACCTTGAAAAAGAATATATGCTTTGCCAAGAAGCTTTCAGGAAGGCTTGAACAACATTTCTGAATATAAATAGAAGCTACAAGATACTGAACATTGATTTTGTATCAAGCTATATATGCTAAGTACTTTACATATATTATCTCCTTCATCTTAATGATAACATCAGAGGATGTTGTAGGTGTCTTATTGCCCATATTGTACTGATGAGGAAACTGAGATCAGAACATTTAAATAATCAGCAAAGGCCAATCAGCAAGCGGCAGAAGTGGAATTAGAATTATGGTCTGACTCCAGAACCTAGGTCTGGAGTTCCAATTCTGGAACTGGAACTAGCTTTGGAATTCCAATTTGGCAACTGGAACTGGAACTGGAGTTCCTATTCTGGAACTGGAACAGATTGGAGTTCCAACTTTAGAAATGGAACAGGAGTTCCAATTCTGGAAATGGAACAGGAAAAGGAGTTCCAATTCTGGAACTGAAACAAAAACTGGAGATCCAATTTGGGAACTGGCAGTGGTACTGAAGTTCCAATTCTGGATCTGGAAAAGAAACTGGAGTTCAAATTCTAGAAATAGAATTGAAACTGGAGTTCCAACTCTGGACCTGGAATTGGAAGTGGAATTCCAACTCTGGACCTGGAACTAGAACTGGAAATCCAATTCTGGAACTGGCACTGGAACTGGAATTCCAATTCTAAACCTGGCACTGGAACTGGAGTTCCAATTTTGGTCCTGAAACTGGAAATGGAGTTTCAGTCCAGGACCTGGAACAGAAACTGGCGTTCCAATTCTGGACCTGGAACTGCAACTGGAGTTTCAATTCTGTAACTGGAACAGGAACTGGAGTTCCAATTTTAGAACTGGGCCTGTAACTGGAGTTCCAATTCTGAAACTGGAACTAGCACTGGAGTTCCAATTCTGGAACTGGCACTGGAAGTGGAGACCCTATTCTGGAACTGACACTGGAACTTCAGTTCCAATTCTGGAACTAAAACAGGAAGTGGAGTTCCGATTCTGGAACTCCACTGGAACATGAACTAGAGTTCCATTTCTGGAACTGGACCTGAAACTGGAATTCCAATTCTGGAACTGGAACAGAAACTAAAGTTCCAATTCTAGAACTGGAACAAACTGGAGTTCTAATTCTGGAACTGGAACCGGGGTTCCAATTCTGGAACAGAAAAAAGAACTGGAGTTCCAATTCTGGAACTCAAACAGGAGCTGGAGTTCCAATTATGGAACTGGAACAGAAACTAAAGTTCCAATTCTGGAACTGAAACTATAACTAGAGTTTCAATTCTTTAACTGAAACAGACTGGAGCTCCAATTCTGGAACTGGAAAAGGAACTGGAGTTATAATTCTGGTACTGGAACATGAACTGGAGTTCCAATTCTGCGACTGGCAATGGAAACACAGTTATAATTATGGAAGTGACAATGGAACTAATGTTCCAATTCTGGAATTGAACCTGGAATTGGAGTTCCAATTCTGGAACTGAAACAGACTGGAGTTAGAATTCTGGAACAGGAACTGGAGTTGCTATTCTGGATCTTGAAAAGTAACTGGAGTCCCAATTCTGAACAGAAACAGGAACTGTAGTTCCAATTCTGGAACTCGAACTGGAACTGGAACAGACTGGAGTCCCAATTCTGAACAGAAACAGGAACTGTAGTTCCAATTCTGGAACTCAAACAGGAACTGGAGATCCAATTTTGGAACTGGAACAGACTGGAGTCCCAATTCTGAACAGAAACAGGAACCGTAGTTCCAATTCTGGAACTCGAACAGGAACTGGAGTTCCGATTCTGGAACTGGAACAGAAACTTAAGTTCCAATTCTGGAACTGGAACTGGAACAGACTGGAGCTCCAATTCTGGAACTGGAACAGGAACTGGAGTTCCAATTCTGGAACAGGAACTGGAGTTCCAATTCTGGAACTGGAACAGGAACTGGAGTTCCAATTCTGGAACTGGAACTGGAAATGCAGTTCTAATTATGGAACTGACAATGGTACTAAAGTTCCAATTCTGGAATTGAACCTGGAACTGGAGTTCCAATTCTGGAACTAAACCTGGACCTGGAGTTCCAATTTTGGACCTGGACCTGAAACTGGAGTTTCAATTCTGGAACTGGAGTGGAATTGGAGTTCCAAATCTGGAACTGGCACTGGAACTGGATTTCCAATTCTGGAATTGAAACTTTAATTGGAGTTCCAATTCTGGCACTGGCACTGGAAATGGAGTCCTAATTCTGGAACTGTAACAGGACCTGTAGTTCCAATTCTGGAACTGGAAAATTATATGGAACCTGTGGCCATATAAAGATGTTGAATGTATCATTCACTTTGGGGAGTCATGCCCATGATATTTATAAATACTATTCAGGAAGCCATTGCTCCATGGAATTCCCTTCATAGCACTTGGTTCAATGTGGGAAACATAGGAGAGACTCAGAAACTGTTGTATTATGTTGAATTGATATGAATGTTGACAATATGAATGTCTCAGATATACATGTATGTGGTCTTGGATCCTTTCCTGAGCATACAATGCAGCTATAAACCACTCCTCATTTGAATAGTACAGATTAGTTACATAAATTAAAACATGTATTTACCTGCTTAACTGAGTGCAGAACCAAACTAAGAACTCAATAAATGCAACTGGAATCAGGTTTGGTAAATGGAAACCTTAACAACCATTTTCAGAGAGTAGAGAACATCTAATGCCCAGAAAATTTAACTTTGTACTAATAGAAAAACATCAATTCCCTCCAAAGAATGCAGATTTTTTTCTCTATCTTCTTCATTTATTCTGGAAAAAAAATTTATTTTTTTTTTTGCACTATATGTGACTTGAGATATCCTTTGACCCAAAATATTTGATAAAATAATTTTCCATTCACAAAAATGGTGGGGGGATATCTGTCCATAAGATACAAACTAATCTTTCTTCCTTTCATTATTAGTAATGAATCTTTTTTTCTAGATGCTTATCTAGTCTTAAAAAAACATATTAACATTTTAATAGAAAGAGCACTGAAAATCAGTTTGTAATGGACATTTCTCTCCAGTTTATAGTTCCATTAAAGTCTATGAATTTGTTCAGCAAACTGTATCGAGTTAGCCCTATTTGATAGACAATCAGTCTACCTGAGAGATGGCCTTCTCTGGGGGCCCTTCCGTGTGATCGGATATCAAATGACTTGTTGATTATTTTGACTTCAAAGGCTACTACCGCTGAGACCTTCAAGGTGGTCTGTAATGCCCTGGGTGTTGAGGCCACCTGTCAGTGTTACTTCCAAATTAAAGAGAATCTGTTGAGAAATGGGGAGTAAACTTCCTCTCCTTCAGATTAGGCTGATTAACATTAAGCAATTTTACTTTTTCAATGCCAGTTAGCATGGGAAAAATATCACCAGGAAAAGTCTAGGTCCTTTTATTGTTGAGATAGATGCACTTGCTTGTCAAAAAAAAAAAAAAATGTAAATGCCATTTGTAGGGTGGCAGAATTTTAGGAAAATTTAGAGTAAAGAGTTATAATCTCCTATTTTTATCAGTTTCTAAAAATATTTTGGTACTGTATTTATACTAACGGAAAATAATCATTTGTGTTATAGACATTTATTTTGGAGAGAAAAAATGCAAACACTCATCAGTCACTTTTTTTTTTTTTTTTTTTTTGCTTATCAGCTGATACTGCTTCCCAAATGTAAAATAGGCAGGTCACTATGGCAGTGAGAGTTATTTCTGAAACTTGTATATTTGTGCTGATTCATATTATAAAATACAAGACTTTAAGTAAATGATTAAACTCTGTACTTTTTAACATTTTAATAAAATTTTAAAATTAAATACAACTATTTAATAAAAGTGATAGAAAGGTAACAAGCACATAGGTACTGAAATAATTTATTTGGCCAGTTTGGGCATTTCCTACAAACTCTCACTTGGATGTTTCCCATTGCTTTATCAATCTTCATATAAATTGATAGTTGAAAACAATTTTCTTGAATATGTGTGGCTTCCACATAATGTAATGGCAAAGTTTACTGAGGCTTGTTCACCTTATTTTCAGGTATTTGGAAGAACAAAAGAAAATGATTTCTATTCATTAGGCTCTGAAACTAAACCACATTGTGAAAGCTCAACTTCAACAGAGATAAATATTACAAAGCAACTCTTCACTATCTGTTTTCAGATACCTGTACATTTTGGTGGTACAGAATTAATTTAATGCTTTAAAAAAAAATCTCAACTCTGAGGTGGAACTGAATAGAAATACACACACATCTGATGCTGATTTTTATCCTGTATTTTGATGTTTCAATGCTTGCATCTCTCTCATTTTAATAGCTTCAGCATAAATACAGTAATTATAAAATATCACCAGAATCTCCTAACATTTTAGGAGATCAAAATGGTACTGGTTGTTACCTTATGATTTTATGTTTACCATTAGAGATTTTTAAAAACTTTTATTTTGAAATAATTTTAGACTTAGAAAAAAGATACAAGATTAGCACCTTGCACAACCATGGTACAGTTATCAGAACTGAGATTAACTGAGGAAACTGAAGCTTTTAGAGACTCGTTGAGTATCTAAGCTTATACAGCAATAGTGCCAGGAATTCACATGTAGGTTTTTCTGACTCCAAAGCTGGGCTTTTGAGCTCTATGCAATGCTAACCCATTTCCAGAAGACTCTGCTATAGTTGGATTATACTTGTTTTACCTTTACCAAGGTATTCTTTTATTTTAAGCCTGATTGAGTAGTGAGAAGAAATAATAATTTGTTTCAATAGATTTACCTTAAGTCCAAAGTTTTTTTGTTTGTTTGTTTTTTGTTTTTTGTTTTTTTTTTTGAGATGGAGTCTTGCTCTGTGGCCCAGGCTGAAGTGCTGTGGTGCCATCTCGGCTCACTGCAAGCTCCACCTCCCAGGTTCACACCATTCTCCTGCCTCAGCCTCCCGAGTAGCTGGGACTACAAGCACCCGCCAACATGCCCAGCTAATTTTTTGTATTTTTTTAGTAGAGATGGGGTTTCACCGTGTTAGCCAGGATGGTCTCGATCTCCTGACCTTGTGATCCACCTGCCTCAGCCTCCCAAAGTGCTGGGATTACAAGCGTGAGCCACCGCGCCCGGCCAATCCAAAGATCTTTTAAACTACTATTATACTTGTAACCTATACTTAGGGTGGCCAACCTTTCAGGTTTACTCAGGACTTGCCTGGTTTAGCACTGAAAGTTCTGCATCCCAGGAAATTCTTCAGTGCTGGGTAAACCAGGATGGTTGGTAATATAGTTTGAATGTATGTCCCCTCCAAATCTTACCTTGAAACTTGATCTGCAATGTTGGAGGTGGGGCATGGCAGGAGGTGTTTGGGTCATGGGGCCCCATCCCTCATGAATGGCCTGGCACAGTCCTCATGGTAATGGTAAGTTCTCACTTTATATTAGTTGTTGTGAGATCTCAATGTTAAAAAGAGTCTGGCACCTTCCTCCCTCTCTTGCTCCCACTCTCACCATGTGACACACCAGCTCCCTTTCCCCTTCCACCATGATTGTTTGCTTCCTGAGGGTCTCACCAGAAGCAGATGCTGGGCCCATGCTTCTTGTACAGCCTATAGAAGCATGTAGAGTCAAATTATCCTCTTTTATTTATAAATTACACAGCCTCGAGTATTCCTTTATAGTAATGCAAAATGGACTAAGACAGTTGGTTACCCAACCATATGCCAATTTTGAAAGTAAATGAGGATTTAAACACAATGTCCCATTTCCAGCCAAGCTAAGCACCCATGTACATACGTTCTGTAACAAAAATCTTAAAGGGGGGGCAGGAAGGAGAGAGGAAGGAAGGGAAGAGAGGAATAATATTGTATTCAATGTGTGCTATTGCAAAAGTTTTAAAATTTGTACCTAAAATGTATACCTTGTATACTTGCAGAGTATACCTTACCTTTTACAGGAAATATTGCTAGCCTGGTCTGCCCACAACAGGTACCATGATATTAACTGCAATCATTGTCTCAGACTGAAATTCATAATGAGGTAGAAAGGAAAACATGAAGATCAGTCCTGGAGAATGACTAAACCTAAGCTCCAGAATGCCATTCCTACACTGGGTTACATGACAAAGGATGAGGATGCTCCTATCACAAGCCAAGCCATCCATGTTGCCCTGGCTCCCACCCCCTCTAGGTTTCTTGAAGATGCAGCCATTTTGATTTTCCTCCTCCCTCCTTCATCACCATTCCTTCTTTATTGGATGATTTCTCTCAGTATACAAAGATTCTTTAGTACCTTTCAACTGAAAAACCACACACATAATCCCTTTAAATCCCAGTCCTTTTTCCAGCAGTTACTCTATCACTCTGCGTCTGTCCAAAATCAAGCATCTTTTAAGAGGAGTCTTACATATGCTATGTGCACTTCCTCATCTTCCATTCACTCTTCCGCTCACTACAGTTGGTTTCCAACCTATCAGTTGGCTGAAACTCAAGGTCATCAGTGACCCCATTTGCCAAATCCAATAGATACATCTTTATCTTCAACTTTCTCAACCTCTCAAAAACTTTAAACAAGGTGACCTCAAATCTTCTTGAAATATTCTCTGCTCTAGGCTGCTGGAATTTACCTTCTTGGTTTTCTGTCTAAATCACTGGACTCTTTTCAGTTTCCTGTGCTGGCTCCATCTCATCTGCCCAACCCTTAATTATTGGTGCTTTTCAGATATTAGTCTTCAACGACTTTCAGTTACTTCTAAATACCTTCTCCCCAGTACTTCACAAATTGAAGTGCTAGGTGGAATGAGATTGCACCTAGCAATCTGTTAGGAACTGCTGATCAATTCCAAATTTATGTCTTCAGCCCGTACCATTTCTCGGGATTCAGGTTGTTGTGGGTTTTTAATTATTATTGCCCCCATGCTTGCTTAACAAAGCCTCATGGATATTTTAAACTCCACATTACCCCAGTGGACTTCTGATTTCTCAACCTAGTGTTTCATGGTCTTTTCCAATCCCCTGTGGCTCCCATCTTGTTTGCTTGCTTTTCCTCAATTCTCCACTACAATTCAGCAAGGTTCAATTCAGCAAGAATTCCAATTCGGCAAAATTTTACTTCCTATTATATCTCAAACCCAGTAGTGCCTACCCAATATCATTTTTCCATCCTCTTTACAACAAAATTTAGATTTGGTTGGGGGCGGCAATGTACTCAGATGAAAAGGCACGTTTTTCAGCCACTTTTGCAGATTGAGGTAGCAAGATTCCTTGCAAATAGAAGGTAAGCAGAAGAACTGAGTGTGGCTTCCAGCAAGTAAGTAAGATCTCCAGTAAGAAAGATCTCCAAAAGGTGGCTAGATTTTGGGGGGTTCTTTTATCTACTTCTTTCTTCCCGCTCAGAGCAAAAGCAGAACAGCTAGGGCCACACAAGCTGTTTTGCAATCATGAGATTATTTTGAGGATGTAGGCACTCTTGGGGAAGGTAGAGGTGGGAGCTGCAAAAGCCAGCATTTCAGCCCTGAAATGCTCATTATATAAAAGAAAATTAAATACTTGTCTTAAATAACAATTCTGGGGGACCTCTGTATATCATTAACATACAATGGGAAGCATCCTTCCTATCTCCACTGTATCAGTCTCCTCTCAGGCCATCTCCTCTCTTACCTGATCTTTTAAAAATCTAAATAAAAGCATCTCACATCACTGCTTAAAAACTTTTAATAGATTCTCATTAAGCTTAAATGAAATGCAAGTTATTTAACATGATCTATAAGGTTGCACATGATGGGGTCCCTGCCCAATTTCTCCAGGTCATCTCATATCACTTATTACTTGCCAGACAGAAGCCTTCCTCAAATATATCTAGCTCTGTCTCACCCCACTTTGCATGTGCTGTTCAAATTACTTAGAAATATTTATTCCATCTCCTTCTCACCTTTCTTCCCCTATTCCAAAGACTAGCTCTTTGTCTTCCTTCAATTCCTAGATTAAGTGTCACCTCTCTGATCATTCTGTCTAAAATTCATCGTCACCTCATACCCCATCATTATTTTTCAATTATTGTCACCTTTTAGTTTTCGTCATCCCACTTGTCACAGATTCTCATAATTTATTTGTTTGTAGCCTGTTCTTTGCCTGTCTCATTAAATTTTATATTTTGTGAGGACAGGGATTATGTCAGATTTGTTCACTACCGTTTACAAGTATCTAATGGGAGTGCCTAGCACTGGCCAGTGGTTCACACTGTTGGCTGAACGTTAGAATCACCTGGGGACATTTTTAAGTACTGATACCTAAGTCCTTCTCTTCATGAGTCAGATTTAATTGGCATGTGTTGGGACCCAGGGTTAGTACATTGTTAAAGCTCTCCAGGTGATTCTAATGTACAGCCAGGTTTGAGAGCCAATATACTAGGCCATGGTACTCAAGCCTTAACTATACATTAAAATCACCTGGGGGCCTTTATCGCAATACCAGTACATGTACTCCACCATCAAGATTCTGATTTACTTGATCTAGAGTGGTGACATTGAGTATAAAATCTTTCCAAGTGATTCTAATGTTGGCTGGGGATGGAAACTATTTTCATTAGTGCTCAACATGTCTATTAACTGAATGAACAGGAATGAACTGTTCTTGGTCACTTCAGGACACATTGAAGTTATTGCTTCTTTAGGGCCTGTGTAACTACTGCACGATAATTCTCAATTTTGTATCTACACATATCCCAAGTTTACTCTTTAAATTCAAAGACACTTATACTCCTTAAAATACATACTACCCTGACCCATCCCTCATAGAGCACCTGGCACAAAGCCCCTCAAAGGGAAGGTGCCTGGTGAATGTTTGCTAAATGGAATGAATTCATTAGCTATATTTAAAAAGGGTTGTTGCCATAGCCCAGGTTCCTCAAAATACTCTGTGCTGGTGGTGCTGTTTTTATTTACTTGTAAGGAAAATGGCTGTGCTGCCACCAAGCAGACATAGGGCAGCAGGCATAGGCCGAGGTAAACACCTAGATGACTCAGCAGGATTGGGGGCATGAGCACATGGTCCCATGTCTTCTATAATCTTAACCATGTAGACATAACATAGAGAATCTCACCACCTGGCTCTCAGCCACTATTGTTTGTGTAGTGTATAAACCTAACACTGACCCTGTGAAGGAGCTGCTGAATAGAGGTATGTCTCATTTACCTGCTGTCTCTCGAGTGTTCTTCCAGCTGCCTGCCCCATGTCCACCCACTCCCCTTGGACCTCAGCTGAGGCTGGACCCCAACCCTGAGCATGAAATTACTGCAGTCTATGCCTTTACTTTCCAGAAACTTCTGTTCTAAACCATGCTGGCTTCAATGTGAAGAGGGAGCAATAAGATAAACTTCCAAGTTGAAATCGGACTGAAAAGGCAGCTCCCACCATGCAGAAGTCATGGATACCATGATTCCTCTTGTGCAAAGGGGCTTAACGTCCATCTCCACTCCCCCAGCCCCAAATGTTACCTTTACATGTTTTCTGAATTGATGTTTATCCTCTGCTGTATACATTTTAACGTGTTATCCCAGCATTTCTTTTATTATAAGCAATGTTTTTAAAAAAGTCTTCAAATAGTGAATTGAAAGTGTTACACTGTCTGTCTGTAGTGCCACAGAACAGTCTGAGGATTCTGAGGAATAGAAGATACAATGTGGTTTGTCACAAAACACCAGCCCCAGCAGACGGTGCCTCCGGGAGTAACAAAATCAAATGGCAGGACCAGAACGCTTTACAACTTATGAAGCATGGCACAAACGATAACTGCTATCATAATTCATACTATTACCAAAAAGACTAAAAAGTATCCTATTCACCCTTGAAAAACTTTTCATCTGACTTGCAAAGTACTGATGTAACCAGACCACATAGCCAGGAAGGAGATCATTAGCTCCAGGAAGGCAAGAACTTTGTCTACTTACTGCTGTACCCCCAGCACCAGGAATGGTAGCTACTCAGAAAGTATGTGCTAAATAATGAATTAATGAACTAAAGGAACTTACACACAATGGAGAAAAAACAAACAAGCACAGGATTTTAAAAGTAAATGTTAATGTCAGACAAACTGGCCCAAGAGCATATTGTCAGGTGAGGGGTTATGAGACTTAGGTGTCTAGACAAGAGAAGTCAAAAAAATCCCCCACCCCCTTTTCCACTGTGTGTGTGTGTGTGTGTGTGTGTGTGTGTGTGTGTGTGTGCCATTATTCCAGAGACACAGCTCCTAAATGAGACAAGGACATAATTCATTGCTCTGCATACGGGAATGGGAGGTAATATGACCCAGGTACATTATTAATTGCTTTGTTTGTGAGCTCCTAACCATGTAATTGTTTTAACGACTAGCAGGTGGGAAAGAGGACCTCAAACTAGTATGTGGGGAGATTAGTGAGCCTGAATGAATCGCACAGGGTTCTGGGTAAGGCCACAGAAATGTTAGTTTAAAAACAAATGAGAAAGATGGCTCACTGGTAATTGAAAAGTGAGAGAAAGCAGCATTGGGCTCAATTCAAGCAAGTCAAAAGTAAGAATTCCTTACCGGGAAGCTTATCTTCTTGTGTTCCAAGGTCAGCGAGAGCTTAGGCTATCACAGGTGCTGCGAACCTAATCCCTTTTTGCAGCATTTCCAACTTTGGAATGCACACCTAAGAAACAGAGTTCAGCTGGTACAACCAAGATCTGGAAAGGAACTGCTTTCCCTGTCTGTGGCCTCAACACTGTTCCTCTGATTCCAATGAATAAGTAACATGTTTTCCTAATATACACCCAATTCCTGACTTAGGATGGTTTGACTTATTTTTCCACTTTCTGATGAGCTTATCAGAACTTTAACCCCATCTTAAGTCAAGGAGTTTCTTACAACATGTGATGGGGTTACAGTCTCTGCTGAATGTATATTGCTTTCTACACCATCATAAAGTTGAAAAATCAAAAGTCAACCATTGTACATCAATAACTGTCTGCTGTGTTGCCAGCACGAAATGCATTTGATTCATCTTATTTTCAAATGAGTTTCTTGGGATGTCACTCCTTCATAAGTCAAGGAGCTTCTGTCTACATCTCCTTTGTAGTTACTTCTTCCCTCTAATTCTAGGAGAAACTGAGGCTATTCTTGTAATTACCCACTCCTCCAAGGTGTTAACACATGGGAGTCACTCCTTTCAAGATGAAGGGAGAAGTTAACCCAAAACTCTATACTCATAAAGGCTTTTCAACCACAAATCTGCCAGTTGAATATAGCTACTGCGACACGAACCTGTAAACCTTGTACAGTGCTAACAAATGGTATTCTTTGTTTTCCTTGCTCAGTGGTCATCTTGTGACTGAAACTCATTTTCTGTCTTTATATTAGCCTTGAGTTGCCATTCATCCTTCAAAATTCTTCTAAATCTTAAACCTTCATGGAATATTCCAATAAAAAACAGACATTGACTCCCAATCAACTCTGCTTCCTGAACATCTGTAATCCTACCACACCCTTAGTCGGACAATTCCCCGGACTCTTTCATCCTCAGATTTTAGGCCATTCCTAGATGATTCATTCCTAGGTTTTTACTCAGGAGACTCTGGTCTGAGCAGAAGCAGCAAATGGGACCCTGGCTGGCACAAGGAGTGATTACCCATCTCAGAACCCAGCAACGAGTAAGTCAGACACTAGAAAACTCTGGAAAGCTCATGTAGCCCCCTCCCAATTCTGGGCTTTTCTTGTTAATATAGTGTACAGTAGATTCTGACAGCCTGGAGAGAAAGCTTTGAAAAGCATACTCTTCTCTAGACACTGAGATGAATCCACTCAAAGGACCCTGTCTAGTATCTGATCTCTATACAGCAAATGACCATTGAGTGCTGGTCTTGTGCCAGGCAGTGCTGCAGGTGCTTCGTTTATATTAACTCATTTCATCCTCACTTCAAGATGTATTGAGGAATCTGTTGGGGAAATGGAGGTACTGAGAGGTTGATGAAATTGCTCATAGTTCCACATCTAGTAAGTGACAGAGCTAGTACAGTAGTTACCCCTTATCCATGGAAGATATGTTCCAGGACCCCCAGCAGCGGCCTAAAACCATGGATATTACTGAAGCCTATATACACTGTTTTTTCTTATACATACTGATATGGTTTGGCTGTGTCCCCACCAAAATCTCATCTTGAATTGTAGCTCCTATAATTCCCATGTGTTGTGGAAGGGTCCTGGTGGGAGATAATTGAATCATGAGGGCAGGTCATTCCCATACTGTTCTTGTGGTAGTGAATAAGTCTCAGCATATCTGATGGTTTTATAAATGAGAGTTCCCCTGCACATGCTCTCTCTTACCTGCTGCCATGTAAGGCACACATTTGCTTCTCCCTTGTCTTCTGCCATGATTGTTGAGGCCTCCCCAGCCAAGTGGAACTGTGAGTCCATTAAACTTCTTTACTTTATAAATTACCCAGTCTCGGGTATGTCTTTATTATCAGTGTGAGAACAAATTAACACATATGTGTGCCCATAATAAGGTTTAATTTATAATTAGTCACTGTAAGATATTAGCAACATTAATAATGAAATAGAACAATTATAACAATATACAGTGATAAAAGTTATGTGAATGTGATCTCCCTCTCTCTCTCTAAATATTTTATTGTACTCTACTCCCCCATTTTGGACCTCAGATAAGGGGAAACTACTATATTTACACCAAGCTTGCCTGGCTCCAAAGTCCAGGCTCTTAACTGCCATACCCCTGCCTGTTTTATTGACAGAAAGTTGAGTATGTCTTTGTCCTCAGTGGATTTCCTGTGTCCCAGTCAGCATCTCCAGGACAGTGCCTTTGCCCTCCTGCTGAGTATATAAACCTTCTCAGACTGGATTAACTGACTTCTCTGTTTTTGATTTGTATACTTAGGCAATGCAATATATAGAAACTTTGTTCCTATGTGCTTCTTTTCTAAGTCTTCATAAGCTAACCACTCATAGTGGTCAGTAATCTAATTTTTCCCCTTTATCTTCTTGAGGCGCAAAAATCTTGATTATTATATTGCGTGGCTGCTGTGTCTCCATGAGTCCCAGCCTGTACCCAACAGTTCTATCTACTGGAGTGGCAAAAGAGTCCGTCTCCAAGTTTATCTTATTACATATAAGCATCGATATTTATATACCTATATCTATCCCATATAGATATATAGAGAAATATAGATATTGAGATATACAGAAATATAGATATAGAGAGATATATACATGTGTGTATATATATATAGAGAAAGGGATCTATATATAGAGAGAGATCTGTGCGTGTATGTATATATGTGTGTATACATACAGAGAGAGAGAGAGGGAGAGAGGAAATATAAAATAAATGTTGGGCTATAGGTATAAAGAATATATATGATCATATAGAACCCACACACATATTGGCATATGGAAAGCACTAGACTAAGAGTATCACATGTGTCGTCTCATTTAGTCCTCAGAACAGCCCTGTGAGGTAAGTACTCTCTTCATATCCACATTGTCGAGAAACTGGGGCCCAGAGTTCTGTATCCCACCCATAGCATATGGCTCAGATCAACACTGGGATTCCACTTCTCTTTGACTCCGGCATTCTTATCAATGCTGCCTCCATTATTAGCAGTGAAAGCAGAGAGTTACCATGATAAAAGCATTGCAGCACTGGACTGAGCTTTCCAGTCCTTCCACTGTGAAAGCCTAGTACAGTATTTTCGAATTCTTTTAGTAAAACTCATCCATTCTAGTCAATTTCCCTCAGGGAATTGTCAATTCCATGGGAATCAAACCAGGTTTACATTTTTTTGTGTGTAACTCTAATTAATTAACTGTTTGTCATTTCTATAAGAGGAATAATATTGAGCTAAGAGGCTTCTTGGAGGATAAATTGAAATGAACACAGACTAAGCACCCTCCACAATGCTGGGTGCATGGATACCCTCAACACATATGAACATTCCATGTTATTATACAAGTGAAGAACAATGTTATGGTGGTTATTAATAACCTTGCAAAATAGCTGTAAAATAAGTCATTTTATCTTACATTGAAATTCAGACTTTAAAAATCTGAAGCACCTTTAGATATTATCATTTTTATTTTAAAGATTCAGGAAAGAGAAAATATTATCAAATGTTTTCCATATCTAAGTTCGACTTCAATTTTGGGTCGAACTTTCTCCGTATCTACTTTCTTTCCCTATTTGTGTTCAAATAGAACATTCCCTCAAGGAGTCAGGTGAATTTAAGAAAGCCACTTATATGCACAGTTTAAAACATTAAATATACAAGACTCCCCTCTATAATTGTGCCTTTTGATTTAGATATGTTGTCAGTGAGAGACAAATAATTCAGTTTCTGAATGCTATCTTTAGGAAAGACAAAATGGCAGAAGATTGGTTCCAGGGGAGAGCATCCTTGGAGTGCCAATTTGTCTGCAGACCACAGAACAAACAAATGATGGGGGAGGAGGACAGGGGAACAGTGAGGAATGAGGATTAGATGTGACCCAAAGAGAATAAAACCCAACCCGAAATAGGCCAAACACATAAATTGCTATTAAATCACGGCTTTATTTTTTCTGCCTTTGCCCTTCTAACGTTTGGTTTCTCAGTAAATGAAAGGAATCATTTGAAGTAAGGGCCTGAAGAAGGCAGGCCTCTGACCTCCAGCTCGACCACAGAGATCAAAGGCAGGCCCCATATGTGTGAGATATTATCTTTTCCAGGCAAGTGGGCATGATGTTTTGTGATGCAGTAGTGTGGAAACAGACAAATAGCCAGGTTAGTGACCGCTGAGAGGAGGTGATTGACGTGGGGGCTGAGCACGAGGAAGGGAGAGTCGGAAGGTGCATCACCCTTCTGAGGCGTTTTGTTTTTGTTTCGGTTCTCCAAATCCTTTGGCGTTTTTGTGTTGTTGTTAATTACCTTACTTTAGTTGAAACCACATTTTCTTGTTCACAATGAACATTTATCCCTGTAAACATGCCCCTTATTTTTTTAACCCTTATTATCTTTAAATGCAATTAACAGTTTATTTTGCAAGGCAAGGCTTTTTACAGACTTTTTATGTAGACACATTATTTGACTAAAATTTTTTACTAGTACCTATGCCATTAAAATACATTTAGATAAATCTCAGTATGAAAACAGGTAGCACAATTCAGCAGCTACAAAGCCATTCAATGTAAGGGGAAATTATAAACTATACTTCTCTTTTTCTCTGTTGTTCCCTGTAATCACCTCCACCCCCACCCCCACTCCTCCAACACACACAGAATGAATCCTCAGGGCAGCTCTCTCAGCTCTTTCTGGGGCTGATGCTGCATGGGCAGGAGAATGTTGTCAATGCTCAGGAGCCAGCATGCAGCTCAGAAGCATTCAGCGCTCTGGTTCTACCCGCTGCCCTTCATCAGGCTGACCATTAACAATCCTCAAAAGCAGAGCAAGACAGAACTGGAGGTGAGATGGACTTCAGCCCATGTGATTGAACCTGATCTTTCAATCGTTTTTCGTCACGTGCTCTATGGTTAAGTAGCTCCCCTGAAGAAGCCAGACCCCAATTGGCCCAGATGAGGTTTCTCCCTTTCCATCCTTCCGTGGTTTCTTTCTTTTTCCTCTCTCCCTTCCCTTCCTACTTAGGTCATGCTCTCTCTCTTCACTGTAGCTCCCACTTTCTCTCAATTCATGGCTTTCCTTCCAACTTCTTTACCCAGAGCTTCAGTGAACATGTCCAGCTGGCATTTTTATGAAAAAAATAAAAATAAAGAACATGACCATCAAGTTTCACAGTTTATCCTGGCCCCTGTTTTTGCAACACACACACACACACACACACAACACACACACAACACACACACTAATATACATACATATACCCACACACATACACCAACACATACACTAACACAGAGACACACCAATACACATATATCAACAAACACAAATATACATACATATATCAAACACACACCAACACACACCAACATATACACTAACACACACACACCAACGCATATACCAGCACACAGACACACCAACACACACATATATACTAACACACTTTAATATACATACATATACCAACACATACTAACATACACTAACATATACACTAACATATATGCATACTAACACATACACTAACACACAACACACACTAATATACATACATATACTAACATACATGCGCCAGCACATACACTTACATCCACATCAACACACATATACTAACACACTAATACCCACACTAATACACATACAGTAACACATGTGCCAACACACTGACATACACTAACACATACACACCCCAATATACATTAATACACACACCTGCATATAGTAACACCTACACATACACACCCCAACACACACAAATAGCAACATACATGTGTGTGTGTGCACAGAAAACAATCACATCTGAACCCCTGAACATATTTTTTCATTATCCAGTTGACAATTCCCAGGAGTAGATTCAGAATGCCAGCAAGTTTACGAGGTCATCTATTATGTCCACCCGTAATTGAGCCCCAAGGAATCCTTAGTACTCCCTGTGAATAAAAATACTATTAAATCCTTGCTGAAGCTGAAAAACTCTGCCAGAAGTGTGAAAACAAAGCCCACATTTTAGTTAAAATTCAGGAATATGAGGCTTTCTCTTTCAAGTCAACCCCAATAGCAGAAGTGTATCATGTATTTTTAGGGCTTTGTGAAAGAACAGACTTAAACAGCAAGATATTCATCACAAGCCACACAGGAGATTATTTCTGCTAAAAAATATTCATAATGTTCAGGCACCATTAGATAATGGACAACTAAGCGCTAAAGTTTCATTGAAATAAGTGGATTTACATTAGCAATTTTAAACTCTTTAGTAAGAACTGGTATGTAGTAAGTTAATACAGCCTCAATTATCACACTCAAAACAGCAATCTGGAATTCTCCCTGCCCCCAGTATTCGTCTAGACGATGTCAGACAAAAGAAACTCATTTGCTGTTAGGGGTGTTGAATGAAAAAGTACTTGGGGTTGGTCAAGAAGTGGGAGGTGGGGACGGACGTCAAAGGACTTGAAGCAAAGAGCCTTGTGCTTCCCAGGATCTCAAAACAGAGCTGTGCTATTTGTAGGAACCACTTTAGGAATAATTAGGGGGTGGCTAAAATCAAATGAAGAGTTCATTTACTTCTAAGTTCTTCTCATCATCTCTTTCCTTCAGTAGAGTATGAAATAAACAATTTTATTATTTTAATATATTTACATTTTACTTAAGAAGAAAAATATGCAAGTATACTTTTTATTTATAGATCACCTGAATAAAATATTGTTTCTTAAAACGACTAAACCAGAATCTTATTTCAATCGTATCCTTGGGAGCCATGCTACAGGCCCTAGGGCTGGATGTTTTCTAAGACCCCTTTATAATAAGGGTGATTTTTACATTCTAAAAATAAATTCCTGTTGACCCCAAGATTGACCCGTACTTACAATGCACGGTGCTAAAATATCAGCTGTATGTTTTCAAGACAATTTTTTAATGGTCTCTACCATTCCACTTAGGGCACAGATGTCCTGTTAATAGAAAACAATTCAAAGTTATTATTCATAATAAAAGGCAATTTGGGATGATATTATTAGTTAATAAAGTATGAAGGATATTTTATTTGCCAAAAACTAGTGAGTTAAATTGCAAACTCCATTTTAATGACCTCACTGTCAGTTCATGGCACAAACTTTTATAAAGCTTTTGCTGGAATTCCTCCTCCATGGCTTTGTTATATCGGAACAAGCTCATATCATAGAAACTATGATATCTTCTCTATTCACTTGCTTCTTTTGCCAATGAACAGTGAGTTCCTGAAGAGTTGGGACAATTAATCTTTAAATTCCCAGCACCTAGCAGTGTCTAAAACACAATAGAGACTCAATAAATGCTCAGGCATATTTCATGTTATATCAGAGCAAATCAAGGCAAAATTAGTTGACTGAATTCCTAGTAACCTATCAATTTGTTTATTTTGAGCCACTGTGCACCAATTCCTACAACTATAAAACTGGAAAAACTTAGAAGAAAATAATATATAATTTATATTGATTTGAAATATTGATATATTTTATGTGGTTCATCAATTGCTTGGTGGCCTTAAAATAGTTGTATGTTACTCTAATTGGGAGAAGTCTTACCCACTTGGGCTGTGCAAAAGGCATGTCCCCAGATGGTAATCTAACCTTGATCCATTGAGGTGTGCATGGAGGGGTATCATGATGTCTGTTATATTTATCTAACAAACATTTATAAGAACCTCCTATATGCTAAACTCTTTTGCAACTTTTTGTCACACACATACAAAGATAAATAACATACATTTGCCTCTCTCAAAGAGCTTACAGCCTAATAGAAAAAATGAGTCTTCAAGTTCTATAAACAAATGCCACTTCCCCCATGCTAATGTTTGAATGTTGTGTAACACCTAAAATTCACATGTTGAAATATAATCCCTAATATTACAGTATTAAGAGGTAAGACCTTTTGGGAAGTGATTAAGCCATGAGGCCTATGCCCTTATGAATGAATTCACAGCATAAAAGAAGCTTCAGAGAGTTGCCTCACTCTTTCTCTTTTACCTTCCCACATGTGAGGACGCTTTCTCTTTCACCTTCCCACATGTGAGGATGCAATAACAAGGTACCATAAATAAGAAACGGCTCTTTACCGGGCACTGAACCTGCCAGTGCTTTGATCTTGGACTTCCCAGCCTGCACAACTATGATAAAATATGTTTCTATCACTTACAAATTACTCAGTCTCAGCTATTCTGTTATAGCAGCACGAACAGACTAAGACACCCCATGAAGGCTTTGCTGGTTACTCCTTTTTCTCCTTGAATCACTATAGTAGCTTAATGTGTACTGGAGTGATTTAATACTATGCCAGTTAGCAATGCATTTGGCTGCATGTAACAATGTCAACACAAGATGGCTGCTGCATTTCCAGGTATCATGTTACATCCCAGACAAGGAAGGTAAAGGAAGGACAACAAAAGACTGCACTTTACTCCTGCTCTACTCTGGAAAGCAAAATCTTTTACAGAATCTCTCTCAGAAGACTGCCTCTTTGGAAAAGTCTTATTGCCACCCCTAACTGCAATGGTGGCTGTAAAATCAATTATTTGGTTTTCTACTTTCTAAGATAGATTAGAAAAACAAAGGAGAAATGGGTTGGGAATGGGTGTTCAGAGCCAACCTAAAGTAAATATTAGTCTCAGGCACTGAAATTAAGTGACCCGATACTTCAGATATTGATTTAGATATTGGTGTGTACTGATTTTCTGTCCTACTAAACCAAAAGCTCTTTGAGACAAGAGATGTAAATAAGCTCATTTGTTTATAGATGTAAATATATGTAAATATAGATGTGAATAAACTTATTTATTTACAGGTTCATTCAACTAACAAATATTTATTATAGGAGATATAAATATGTGTTGGTTGAACGAACCTATAAATAAATGAGTTTAGTTACATTAGGATAGAATAAACACAGATAGTTTTGGTTTGCTAAACTAGTCTCTGATACATTGGATCAAAGAAAGGTTAGTTTAGAAACCTCACTGGGGAAGATTTCCTGTTTGAAAGTTCTTGTTTCATAGAGTGTACCACTATCACTTTGCACATAAGGGCTCAGTTCATATTCAATTAATGCTGAAGGAATAAATAAAGTGAACTAGCTTATCATGTAGAAATTCTATATTTCATCATGATAAAGGCCACCCATGATATCTGAAAATTTCAGGACAAAAAAGCTCTAGCTTTCTTAATACTCAGACACTTGGTCCTCAGTAGATTAAATCAACAGATATTCAACATTTGAAAACATTCCTTTTCATGACCTTGGTACCAATTTTAGTCCGTTTCTGATTTTTCCTTCAATTCTCAATTTATAATCCCCCACCCCAAATCTAAAATAATCCCCATTGGATGCTGTAGGAACTGATAATCCTGCATTATCATTTATATTCTGGATAAATATGCTATGATTTCTCCTTTAGTTACAAACTCCAGAAGGTGTTTAACAAATGAAGTAAGGAGATCATGTGGGTGAATGCAGAGCAGACCTATAATGAAGGAATATGAAAAACCTCTTTTATTATCCAACCCCCATTATTATTCAGTGCAGAGGTTGAGGGCACTGGAGAGATCACAAAGTCTTTGTCCTGGACCTGCCCTCATGACTTCTAAATCATTTTATCCCGTTAAGGATAGACCTGTCCCTATGGATTTTTCAGAGAAACACAGTGTCCTTAATAAGTTAGTTCAAGGTCTGAATAGCTCAACCTCAAACACTTATCCATGCTTCTAACAGAAGTCCCACCTGCAGTATTTTGTTCATTTTTATTGCTCTGGCAATAGGGGAGTTGGAAAATAGCTCTAAAGTCTCACTGTAAAAAATTTTACGTGAGGGTGCTGCTTCTTTCTCCTGTTCTTGAAGTTCAATTACACTAGTTCATTTCACATCTTTCTTAATGCTTAATTTTCAAGCCCTCATTCATTCTTCTGATTGATATTCCCTAGAATTGGCTTCAAGTTTTCTTTAGCTATTTGCAATTGTTCAGCCAGATATGAACATCTTTCTCTCTGAGTAGGCATTCAACGCAGTGCTCAACTTATTCTTCCAACATAATATTTGGATCTCAGTATTGGGCTTTAACTGTTGTTAATCTGTTCAGCAAAATGACTTCACTTATATCTAGGAAATATGTATAGAATGCATATTATTCTCATCAATGTATTGTGTATCTTATATTTTACCTTTATGTTATTATAATTTGTTGCCATTACCATGCCAATTTTAAAAGGTTACTTTCAATTTGTATTTTCTTTAAGCATATATATATATATATATAAAAACTATCCCGAGTCAGGATATGTTCAATGGCAAACTTCATATATATATCTCATCTCTTCATTCATTCTTATATTTTTTTGTTCCTTCATTCTTTTATTTGAACCACTTATATGCTGAAGAATTACATTAATTAAAAGCCAACTATAGGCTGATTACTATGCTAGGTTCTATGAATAAAATAAATTACCCTCATAAAGCTTATAGATTATTGAAGAAAGAGATAATCAAATAATTACATAAATGTCAAATTGCAACTTTGACCAGAGCAGTGAAAGAATACAGGGCTAAGGGACCATTTCTCAAGTAGATTTGGCCTAGTCGAGAGGAGCAAGGAAAGCTTCCCTGAGAAAGCCACCGTTAAGTCAATATCTGAGAGATGAGAAGGGGTTAACGAAGTGAAGGGTAGAACATTCTTCAGCCCTCAGATCATTCCTCCACTTAAGAAGCTCTTACTGGGAGTCTATTATATGCCAGAGACCATGTTTGGTACTGGAAATATAGCAATAAACGAGACAGGAGTCTAGTGGGGCAGATAGATATTAAACACATCAACACATCCAACAGCGATTTAAATTACAATCAAGATAAGTGCTATGAAGGAGTGGTGGCAGGATAGCTGCTAAATCAAGTGAGACTCATCTGTGGTTTCTCTATAAAAGTAGCATGGAAGATCATTTGAAAATAGTATGAGTTTTGCAGGACCAACCTGCAAAACATCAACTGTGATGTTTCTAAGATTGATACTGATTTGCTGCCACTCATTTTCTCAAAAAGCAAAGCTATAGGTGTGAAAATACTTAAGGTAAGTGGTCTCAGATACTTTTCTGAGTTTGCTAATGACATGCTGAGTAAAGCAGCTGCGAAATCCTTCTCTTAGTCATGCACTGGCTTTGTTTTTTTCTTAGGCAGATATTTGCACAGTCTGACAGAATTTGTTCTTGGTTATTGTAGACCCTTAATGTCTGTGAGTGCAAATGGATTTTGTTTTGATTCTTTTTCCTATTAACCTAGTAATAAAAGGTAAGATTTTTCACTTTTTTTCTAAACTATGCACAATGCTGGTTCTTTCCTGTCTCTAGCCAGTGCCTTTTCAAAGACATTGGTGAATTATTTTTAACCTAGATTGTATAAAGTGATTTCCTACACAAAGTATTTTCCTTCTTATTTAAAAAGCATTGTCTTTAATTTGTATTTTAAGGTAAATTTTTTGTTTAAAAGATATTTATTCCTTTTTCTATGTAAATACATAAAAACACTATTATTTGTCCTTTTTTTCCCCTCTACACAACATTACGTTCCATTTTCTGTAGCTTTACTCTTACACATCTTAGCTAGATCTTTAGACTCATCCTTGAGGAATCAATGACAACTTTCTCCCGCCTCGGCATACATATTTGCATTTCAGTTTCTTGGATTGTCTGTGTTGTTGCTGTAGAAATGTTTGTTTTCTAAAAAATATTTTTTCATACATCCTAAGTGTTGCAGTTATTGCTCTTTTGATGTTCACCACTTAAAAATGCCTTTGCAAAATCTTTGCCATACCTTATTTTTTAACTTGATAAGCGTTAGTAATCTGCATGATGAAAATGAATTTTTTTGCTTTCATTACTTCTTGTTTCTGGAAGCTTCACTTCTAGCACCTACGTATCTTTTAAAGGTTTATTTATTTTTTGAGACAGAGTCTCACTCTGTTGCTCAGGCTTAAGTGCACTGGTGTGACCTCAGCTCACTGTAATCTGCCTCCCAGGCTCAAGCGATTCTCTTGCCTCAGCCTCCCGAGTAGCTGGGACTATAGACATGTGCCACTACACCCCACTACTTTTTTGTATTTTTAGTAGAGACGGGGTTTTGCTACGTTGGCCAGGCTAATCTCAAACTCTTGGCCCCAAGTGATCTTCCAGCTTCAACCTCCCAAAATGCTGGAATTAGGGGCATGAGTCACAATGGTTGGCCAAAAGTTTATTTTTTAATTTAAATTTTTACCGGTACCCTACTTTTTTTCTTTTTAACAAAATCAGATTAAGAAATATTTTAACTAATTCATTTGCGACCAATTCTTAGAAAAAGTCTCCATCAGGAAACAAGGCTAAGTTTCTTTGTGTACTCACTCCCACAATTCCTTCTTCCACGTGTGCACTTAGGCAAACATTCAAAAATTATTTGGCAGATACCATGTGCTAGACATTTTGAACACTAAGAAGAATAATGTGCCTCACTCTATGAGCTTGCAGCCTGGTTGGTGATTGGGGAGGGTGGAGGGAAAATGGATATAGGTATAAATATTTTCTTACATTCATTTTCAATCCTTAAATTCTTAGCCATTAACAAGCTGACTATCTTAAAAGCTAAACCAGTCAAAGAACTCTGCTTAATTCAAAACGTCAAGCAAGTTCCACAAAATAAAAGTTTTCTTATTTGCTCTTTTCATTTATTTTTATCAAAAGTCTTGCCTCATTTTGTGATCCCTATAACAAGTAAACAAGTGTCGGGTGTTGAAAGAGAGAGAGGGTGAGAACCCAAAATCTTTCTGCTCTGGCAGAGATGGCTAGCTATCCACTGAAATTTCCTGTCTGCTTTCATAGTATGGAGCTGCTGACAAGTGGGTATACAATCAGTACATTTTTCAGCATATTTTTCATATAGGTAAGACTGTGTGATTGAGTTCTAACCAATGGCATGTGGGCAAATGGGATGTGTGTCCCAAACACCTCCCTTCTCTACTTTCCTTAGTGTATTTCATTCACTGGGCTACTTTGGGAGCCACATATTGAGGATAGTGGAACTGCAGGACTGAAGAAGCCTGGGTCCCTGAATCACTACTTGGGGTAGAAACTCTTGACCAGGAACAACCACAATGAACTGTGGTGTGAGAGAAAGCAAAGTTTTATTTTATTAAGTCACTGCAGTATTAGGGTATATGTCTTTACAATAGTTAGTGTCGGCTTTGCAAATGCATAGTCATCAACACACTGTAAATAATGAAGCAACAAGAGAATGTATGGTTTGGCACAATGGTAGACATGGGCCATCTTACCACACTTGTGATAATACATAAAATGCATTCATTATTTTTTAAAGTTTAACTTTTAAGTTCAGGGATATATATGCAAGTTTCTTATATAAATAAACTTGTGTCATGAGAATTTGTTATACAGATTATTTCATCACCCAGTTATTAAGCCTAATACCCACTAGTTATTTTTTCTGATCCTCTCCTTCCTCCCACCCTCTACCCTCCAATAGGCCCCAGTGTGTGTTGTTCCTCTCTATGTGTCCATGTGTTCGCATCATTTAGCTCCCACTTATAAGTGAGAACATGTGCTATTTGGTGTTCTGTTCCTGCATTAGTTTGCTAAGGATAATGGCCTCCAACTCCATCCATGTTCCTGTAAAGGACATTATCTCAGTCTTTTTTATGGCTACATAGTATTCCATGGTGTATATGTACCATATTTTCTTTATCCATTCTACCATTGATGGGCATTTAGGTTGATTCCAATACATTAAATTTATAATCCAACTCTCCTACAATTAGTTATTTGAGTATTGGCATAAGTTCCTTACAAATTTATGGAAAAGTAAAGTTTAAAATTTAGTGCAGAATATTGATACAATATTATCCCAAATTTGAAGTGGGCTTGAGCTTTTTTAAAGTGCTACAGTAGAAATCATGATACCTTGGACAGGCGCAGTGGCTCAAGTCTGTAATCCCAGCACTTTGGGAGGCTGAGGCAGGTGGATCACCTGAGGTCAGGAGTCCAAGACCAGCCTGGCCAAGATGATAAAACCCCATCTCTACCTCACCAGCAATGGAACAAAGCTGGACAGAGAATGACTTTGACGAGTTGAGAGAAGAAGGCTTCAGACGATCAAACTACTCCGAGCTACAGGCGGAAATTCAAACCAAAGGCAAAGAAGTTGAAAACTTTGAAAAAAATTTAGATGAATGTATAACTAGAATAACCAATACAGAGAAGTGCTTAAAGTAGCTGATGGAGCTGAAAGCCAAGGCTCGAGAACTACGTGAAGAATGCAGAAGCCTCAGGAGCCAATGCGATCAACTGGAAGAAAGGGTATCAGTGATGGAAGATGAAATGAATGAAATGAAGCGAGAAGGGAAGTTTAGAGAAAAAAGAATAAAAAGAAATGAACAAAGCCTCCAAGAAATATGGGACTATGTGAAAAGACCAAATCTGCCTCTGATTGGTGTACCTGAAAGGGATGGGGAGAATGGAACCAAGTTGGAAAACACTCTGCAGGATATTATCCAGGAGAACTTCCCCAATCTAGCAAGGCAGGCCAACATTCACATTCAGGAAATACAGAGAACGCCACAAAGATACTCCTCGAGAAGAGCAACTCCAAGACACATAATTGTCAGATTCACCAAAGTTGAAATGAAGGAAAAAATGTTAAGGGCAGCCAGAGAGAAAGGCCGGGTTACCCACAAAGGGAAGCCCATCAGACTAACAGTGGATCTCTCGGCAGAAACCCTACAAGCCAGAAGAGAGTGGGGGCCAATATTCAACATTCTTAAAGAAAAGAATTTTCAACACAGAATTTCATATCCAGCCAAACTAAGCTTCATAAGTGAAGGAGAAATAAAATCCTTTACAGACAAGCAAATGCTGAGAGATTTTGTCACCACCAGGCCTGCCCTAAAAGAGCTCCTGAAGGAAACACTAAACATGGAAAGGAACAACCGGTACAAGCCACTGCAAAATCATGCCAAAATGTAAAGACCATCGAGACTAGGAAGAAACTGCATCAACTAACGAGCAAAATAACCAGCTAACATCATAATGACAGGATTAAATTCAAACATAACAATATTAACTTTAAATGTAAATGGACTAAATGCTCCAATTAAAAGACACAGACTGGCAAATTGGATAAAGAGTCAAGACCCATCAGTGTGCTGTATTCAGGAAACCCATCTCACGTGCAGAGACACACATAGGCTCAAAATAAAAGGATGGAGGAAGATCTACCAAGCAAATGGAAAACAAAAAAAGGCAGGGGTTGCGATCCTAGTCTCTGATAAAACAGACTTTAAATCAACAAAGATCAAAAGAGACAAAGAAGGCCATTACATAATGGTAAAGGGATCAATTCAACAAGAAGAGCTAACTACCCTAAATATATATGCACCCAATACAGGAGCACCCAGATTCATAAAGCAAGTCCCGAGTGACCCACAAAGAGACTTAGACTCCCACACAATAATAATGGGAAACTGTAACACCCCACTGTCAACATTAGACAGATCAACAAGACAGAAAGTTAACAAGGATACCCAGGAATTGAACTCAGCTCTGCACCAAGCGGACCTAATAGACATCTACAGAACTCTCCACCCCAAATCAACAGAATATACATTTCTTTCAGCACCACACCACACCTATTCCAAAATTGACCACATACTTGGAAGTAAAGCTCTCCTCAGCAAATGTAAAAGAACAGAAATTATAACAAACTGTCTCTCAGACCACAGTGCAATCAAACTAGAACTCAGGATTAAGAAACTCACTCAAAACCACTCAACTACATGGAAACTGAACACCCTGCTCCTGAATGACTACTGGGTAGATAACAAAATGAAGGCAGAAATAAAGATGTTCTTTGAAACCAACGAGAACAAAGACACAACATACCAGAATCTCTGGGACACATTCAACGCAGTGTGTAGAGGGAAATTTATAGCACTAAATGCCCACAAGAGAAAGCAGGAAAGATCTAAAATGGACAACCTAACATCACAATTAAAAGAACTCGAAAAGCAAGAGCAAACACATTCAAAAGCTAGCAGAAGGCAAGAAACAACTAAAATCAGAGCAGAACTGAAGGAAATAGGGACACAAAAAACCCTTCAAAAAATTAATGAGTCCAGGAGCTGGTTTTTTGAAAGGATCAACAAAATTGATAGACCACTAGCAAGACTAATAAAGAAGAAAAGAGAGAAGAATCAAATAGACGCAATAAAAAATGATAAAGGGGACATCACCACTGATCCCACAGAAATACAAACTACCATCAGAGAATACTACAAACACCTCTACGCAAATAAACACATACGCTCTCCCAAGACTAAACCAGGAAGAACTTGAATCTCTGAATAGACCAATAACAGGATCTGAAATTGTGGCAATAATCAATAGCTTACCAACCAAAAAGAGTCCAGGACCAGATGGATTCACAGCCAAATTCTACCAGAGGTACAAGGAGGAACTGGTACCATTCCTTCTGAAACTATTCCAATCAATAGAAAAAGAGGGAATCCTCCCTAACTCATTTTATGAGGCCAGCATCATTCTGATACCAAAGCCTGGCAGAGACACAACCAAAAAAGAGAATTTTAGACCAATATCCTTGATGAACATTGATACAAAAATCCTCAATAAAATACTGGTAAACCAAATCCAGCAGCACATCAAAAAGCTTATCCACCATGATAAAGTGGCCTTCATCCCTGGGATGCAAGACTGGTTCAATATACGGAAATCAATGAATGTAATCCAGCATATAAACAGAACCAAAGACAAAAACCACATGATTATCTCAATAGATGCAGAAAAGGCCTTTGACAAAATTCAACAACCCTTCATGCTAAAAACTCTCAATAAATTAGGTATTGATGGGACGTATCTCAAAATAATAAGAGCTATCTATGACAAACCCACAGCTAATATCATACTGAATGGTCAAAAACTGGAAGCATTCCCTTTGAAAACTGGCACAAGACAGGGATGCCCTCTCTCACCACTCCTATTCAACATAGTGTTGGAAGTTCTGGCCAGGGCAATTAGGCTGGAGAAGGAAATAAAGGGTATTCAATTAGGAAAAGAGGAAGTCAAATTGTCCCTGTTTTCAGACGACATGATTGTATATCTAGAAAACCCCATTGTCTCAGCCCAAAATCTCCTTAAGCTGATAAGCAACTTCGGCAAAGTCTCAGGATACAAAATCAATGTACAAAAATCACAAGCATTCTTATACACCAACAACAGACAAACAGAGAGCCAAATCATGAGTGAACTCCCATTCACAATTACTTCAAAGAGAATAAAATACCTAGGAATCCAACTTACAAGGGACATGAAGGACCTCTTCAAGGAGAACTACAAACCACTGCTCAATGAAATAAAAGAGGATACAAACAAATGGAAGAACATTCCATGCTCCTGGGGAGGAAGAATCAACATCATGAAAATGGCCATACTGCCCAAGGTAATTTATAGAATCAATGCCATCCCCATCAAGCTACCAATGACTTTCTTCACAGAATTGGAAAAAACTACTTTAAAGTTCATATGGAACCAAAAAAGAGCCCGCATCACCAAGTGAATCCTAAGCCAAAAGAACAAAGCTGGAGGCATCACGCTACCTGACTTCAAACTATACTACAAGGCTACAGTAACCAAAACAGCATGGTACTGGTACCAAAACAGAGATATAGATCAATGGAACAGAACAGAGCCCTCAGAAATAATGCCTATCTACAACTATCTGATCTTTGACAAACCTGAGAAAAACAAGCAATGGGGAAAGGATTCCCTATTTAATAAATGGTGCTGGGAATACTGGCTAGCCATATGTAGAAAGCTGAAACTGGATCCCTTCCTTACACCTTATACAAAAATTAATTCAAGATGGATTAAAGACTTAAATGTTAGACCTAAAACCATAAAAGCCCTAGAAACAAACCTAAGCAATACCATTCAGGACATAGGCATGGGCAAGGACTTCATGACTAAAACCCCAAAAACAATGGCAACAAAAGCCAAAATTGACAAATGGGATCTAATTAAACTAAAGAGCTTCTGCACAGCAAAAGAAACTACCATCAAAGTGAACAGGCAACCTACAGAATGGGAGAAAATTTTTGCAATCTACTCATCTGACAAAGGGCTAATATCCAGAATCTGCAATGAACTCAAACAAATTTACAAGAAAAAAACAAACAACCCCATCAAAAAGTGGGTGAAGGATATGAACAGACACCTCTCAAAAGAAGACATTTATGCAGCCAAAAGACACATGAAAAAATGCTCATCATCACTGGCCATCAGAGAAATGCAAATCAAAACCACAATGAGATACCATCTCACACCAGTTAGAATGGCAATCATTAAAAAGTCAGGAAACAACAGGTGCTGCAGAGGATGTAGAGAAATAGGAACACTTTTACACTGTTGGTGAGACTGTAAACTAGTTCAACCATTGTGGAAGTCAGTGTGGCGATTCCTCAGGGATCTAAAACTGGAAATACCATTTGACCCAGCCATCCCATTACTGGGCATATATCCAAAGGACTATAAATCATGCTGCTATAAAGACACATGCACACGTATGTTTATTGCGGCACTATTCACAATAGCAAAGAGTTGGATCCAACCCAGATGTCCAACAATGATAGACTGGATTAAGAAAATGTGGCACATATGCACCATGGAATACTATGCAGCCATAAAAAATGATGAGTTCATGTCCTTTGTAGGGACATGGATGAAATTGGAAATCATCATTCTCAGTATCGCAAGGACAAAAAACCAAACATCGCATGTTCTCACTCGCAGGTGGGAACTGAACAATGAGAACACATGGACACAGGAAGGGGAACATCACACTCTGGGGCCTGTTGTGGGGTAGGGGGAGGGGGGACGGATAGCATTAGGAGATATACCTAATGCTAAATGATGAGTTAATGGGTGCAGCACACCAGCATGGCACATGTATACATATGTAACTAACCTGCACATTGTGCACATGTACCCTAAAACTTAAAGTATAATAAAAAAAAAAGAAAATTAGCCGAGCATGGTGGCAGGTGCCTGTAATCCCAGCTACTGGGGATGCTGAGGCAGGAGAATCGCTTGAACCCGGAAGGCGGAAGTTGCACTCCAGCCTGGGTGACAGAGTAAGATGCTGTCTCAAAAAAAAAAAAAAAAGAGAATGGCCCATGGGATTTCATGAGCAAAATGCGCAAACCTAATTAAAATTAACAATGAAGAGATTTAATTTACAGTCATTCATCCTGGAATCTTTTAGAGCAATACAAAGAATTGCTTCAAATAGAAAATTTATATAAAGACCTTTACTGATGTGTGGGTGTCTTTTTTATTTTTCTATCCCTGATATCAATCCATCTGTTTCACAAAATACAAACTTTACACAACATATTTTTATGATACATTTCTGCCAAAATTTTATACACTACAAAGAGGAATCATGTTTCCAGATTCATCATAACTGGAACAAATACTCTTATTCAAGGCCAATCTTCACCACCCACTCTGTGTATAGCTGGTAAAGTCATAAACAGTCCTTGGACACTGCAATGTGATCTTTCAATCTGCCATAGCTGACGACAATTTTCTGCCTGATTGGGAGCACAATGTCTTAAAGGAAATTTCAGAGCTAGCCTTGGACAAACTGCGCTGTTGGTGACATCTGCCTTATTACCAATAAAAATGATGTATTGTGTAACAACAAATTACTCAGCAAACAATTCCCAGAGATCACCTTTGCTACGGAGTGTGAAACAGAACTACTCCCTTTCCTGAATGTCAGGAGTTTTACAGAGGAGAAATGACCTACCGACAGTTACTCAATGGGAAATGTCCCTCTTCAAACAGATATATGATGTTTAACTTTACACACTTGGTACCCATGGCAAAAATAAAGTAAAACCATCAGATCAACTATTTCAGAGGTTAGCAGAATATATATATTTATATGTAAATATATATTATATAAATATTTATATAAATATAACACATTTGTATATATATATCACATTTGTATAAATATGATATAAATATCTCATATTTATATAAATGTAATATTTATATTTATTTATACAATATAATATAATACATTTATATAAATATTTATATAATATAATATAATACATTATATAAATATTTATATAATATAATACATTATATAAATATTTATATAAATATAATACATTATATAAATATTTATATAATAAAATATATTTATATAAATATTTATATAATAAAATATATTTATATAAATATATATTATAATAAAATATATTTATATAAATATATATTATAATAAAATATATTTATATAAATATATATTATAATAAAATATATTTATATAAATATATATTATAATAAAATATATTTATATAAATATATATTATAAGATATATTTATATAAATATATATTTATATGAATAATTATGTAATAAAATATATTTATATAAACATATATTTATATAAATATATAATAAAATATATTTATATAAATATATGTTTATATAAATATTTATATAATAAAATATATTTTATAAATATATATTTATATAAATATTTATGTAATAAAATATATTATATAATAAAATATATTTATATAAATACATTTATATAAATATTTATATAATAAAATATATTTATATAAATATAATATATATTTATATAAATATGTATATATGTATTTTACTTCAGAATACACTTTGGAAATAAAAGCCACGTGCAATCAACAAAGGCTACTTTGAAAGGATGCTATTTCAGCAATTGTGAGTCTTGAAAAAATATTATGTCTGCAAATGGGTTTGAAATATCCTAATGAAGACAGATTTGAAGTGAAGAAATCTCTAAACTAACTGAGGTATCTCACTGCCCAAACATTGTCAAAATAAAAACCAAGGAACACACACAAAAAGTATTCAAAATGTTTAAATTTTCTACTTTGCTAATTTGAGTAGGGTTGGCAATCATCACTAAATAGTTAAACCTGAGCAAATTTATTAATTCTAATAATGCCCACATTAAGTGACTAGGAGTTGCCAGTTCAAACATCTGAAATAAAAGAGTACAAGTAATCTTGATCTCATCACCAAATGTGAGTTTGAGTGTCGTCTTATATTGTTCACTGCCTCTTATTTTCAGTCTGTATCTATGTCAATTTCTGGATATTAATATTTCTATATCTATATATCTATATCTATCATACTTTACATTTGGCAAACTAAAATTTTTAGTTTAATGAATGTAGAGAAAAAATGTTCTTTCTGTAACCTTGGAAATCAATATTATAGTCTGTCAAAGACAGTCTTCACATAACCTAGAAGGACTCTGGCCCTTTAACTTTTAACACACTTCCCCAATTAAGCGTTTTAGGCTCCAGACTTTAACAGCTGTCTGCAGCTGTTGAAAAGTGGTTTATCATTGTCAGAGTTCGTGACCAAAACATTAAAAGAATTTTTTTTCTTTATGTTTGGCAGGCTAACTTTCATCTGTAGTCATTCATCCTCTTTAATGCTTTCTTATTCATAGTAGCAATAAAAAATGAAAGAAAAATACTTTACTGAATAATTTTGAATTTTATTTTCCTGACATGGAACACTCTAATGATTTGTGAAAATCTTTTGTGTAAGAGAATATTACTCTGAAAAATATTTGTTTTGTTTTATGGAGAAAAGTGTGAAGTTTTGCTTAAAAGCCTTTTGATGAAAATCTGATTTTATTCATGTATGGGCAATTCTTTTAAATTCTAAAATGTTCAAGGAAATCTAAAACCATTTCCCTGTTTTTGAAATACTAAAAGATTTTGTTCTTTTTACTGATGTTGAAAAGGCTTCCACATCAAACATTTAGTGTTTTCACAGTGTTATACTTTGTTTTTAAAAGAAGCTTTTTACCTCAAAAATTGTAAGTGGAATGAATTTGGAAGAATCTGGAACCTCAGGTTCATCTTCTACTGAAGATCACTTGTCCACTTATCTTGGAGAAACTGAATTGAATGGAGGGTTTTTTTTTCACTTCTTACTTTTTTACTTCTCTTTCCTATAACCATTGCCTAAAGGCATTTGGGGTTTAATACTAACTCACTTTGTTATGCAGGTATTTACTTAACGAGCATTTCTTGCATGCCCACTGTGTGCCATGCCTTATAGTGGTCCCACAGCAGAAATGCAACCTATGGCATGCCCTTGCACTCCAGGAGCACATAACCCACATAGCATGTTCATCCCAGATCAGAGGGCCAACAGAGACATTTATGACAAATCATATATTTTGTTGTTTACTTTCTCATGATTCTGTGAAATAAAATGTTCCATTTTACTCTGGAAGAAATGTTAACACTGAATCTCACTGAATCTTAAATCCATGTATATCCTTCCCAACTTTAGTACGGGGAGTTTCAGTATGGATCTCCCTGTACATCCTATTTTTTGTCATGGGCTATGGGAAATAAGATTCAGGAATGTTTTAAATCAAAGCAGGCCAAGTGCAGCAGAGGTATTGGCTACACTTAATCAAAATGTTTTAACTCCTCACCTGAGCTCTCTGGCTGCCTCCCAGAAGCCCTGAAAAGCAGGAGCCAACTGCATGAGCACATATGAGTTGGAGCTCTCGGCAACAAATGAAGCGGAAAAAGAAGTCAAACTTGAATGAAAAGCCTTCGTGAAGCTCGCCACTGAACCATGAGCAAGGTAGGAACATAGAGGGAAAAATGAAGAGTGTGTTTATAACCATTTATGGCTTTACTGAAAAATATGAGTAAACCCAATTGAGTACGATGACTCTTTAACAACTTAGTTTAAGTGACTTATTTTTAGTTCAGCCAGCGGCTTCTCTAAGGGGTAAGAGAGAGACGAGAGAAAGCAGAAGCCTTGCATGTTTAGTTCCTCTGCTCCTGAAGTGTGCCTCTGTCTGCTGGCCTCCCTGAAGAACAGGCAGTTGGCCTTTGCAACATTTTGGCCATAGATCTGTCCTCCTAAAGATAATAATTTGCTTGAGCAACTTCCTGTTTTAAAGACACTCCCTGGGGCTTTAGTAGCCCTGAATTATAGAAGAGACAAGACGCCATAAGAATGTTAAAGCTGCAGACTCTGCACTAACCATGCTCTGGAAACCCCTCAGAAAACAGAAGGAACACTAATAAATGCAAACAAAAAAAAACAAAAAACAAAAAAAAACCCTCTAATTTTAACTCTTATTTTTCTCTGTCTATTTCCAAGGTAAGATACCACAGGGATTGGCTTCATAGGCATTGGGTAAAGGAAGCAAAGGTCTGGGGGAAAAAAGCAGAGGGGAGGGGGGTAGCAGAGAGAAGCCAGAATCTAGACTCGAGATTAATAATGTCATCACAAGATATCCCTTGACTTCATAGACTAAGGTGAAATCACTTGGTCATTTCCTCTTTCTCATAAAAAGATCAGAACACCTAGGAAACACTTTCTGTTGTTTATTACCATTGTCTTACAGGCCAATGACCAATTATGAATTGATGGGAGGTTCAGTGGGTTTGGCTGAGAGGAAAAGGAACCTTATCATAAATTTGCCTGGTGAGGCCTCATTATTTTAAAAATTTCAGGAAGGCTTCCAGTTTAAAGAGAGGCTCATGATGGTAGAAGGCTTTACAAGCTCAGCCTGAACACCTGGAGAAATTATGTCCAGGAGGAAAGACATTGGTGCTGCAGGCTTTAAAAAGGTAAAAAAGTTTTTCTTTTTTTTTAAAAAAGACCCCTATAAAATATACCACAGGAAATGTAGTAAATTTCATCTGTAGTAAATTTCATTCTCTAAGGACCAGCTGAAATGTGTCAAGCTATTTCCTCTTTAAGAAAAAAGAAGGGATTAGAACATTAATATCCTCAAAAAGAACACTTCTCAAAAAAAAAACCACATATTAAAAGTGACTGTAAGTTTCTGAAATCATGAGTAAATTGCTAGAAAATGCATACATGAACTTTGGTTTACATAAGTTCAATTGTTGAATATCATCTTGGAAGAAGAAAGTATTTATAGTTCGATTTCTAAATCGGAGGTTTGTTTTACACATTTATTTTTCTAAAGGCTTACTTCCTTTGACTAACACTCTAAAACAAAAATTACCTATGTAACTGAATAAATATACATGAGGAAAAAAGAAAGATTTTGTGGGTAGAAAGGTATTTTTCTCAATAAGGTGACTAAAAGCCATAGTAAGATAATAAGAGACTCTGAAGAGTAATATAGTCCCATAAACCAAAGATCCAAGATCCTCTAATTATATCACCAAATGTTGCCTTCAATCAGAAAGAAGTTCATAAATATATATGCAAGTATTTTGTGCATTCCAAAGAATCCTATAAATATGAGGCAATGTTGTTATTATGGATCCTCGTATGGAAACAGCCTCTTCTAAGTGAGAGAAACAAAACTCCAATCAGAGTCTGGCAGGGAAAGTGTAGCCCCATAGTGAGGAAAGGAAAACAAAGGATGGAATGCTGGGCCTATGCAAGGCAAAGGAAAATAAACTTATAGTAAAAGTGAAGGGGTAAGACCCTGATATTTAGAAAACTCAAAAAAAGGTCTTCTAATTAATGATAATCTGGCTGTTATTCCATATGGTAAAAACAAAACCAAAAAACTCAGTGGGTATAGTAAATGTTTTCCAGGGTAAATGGGAAGGAATCTGTTAAATAAAATAAGAAAACATTTAAGGAAACCCATAGAACATGGATAAAAGATGCTTTCACCCTCTACATCAACTCCAGTTGATTTATTTTGATGCTAGAGCAGTAGGTTAAGAAAGATTCTGAGGCTGTATCTTAGCTCATCAGGAAAGGAAGCAAAGATCAATTGATGATGGCTACCTTGGGCAAAGAAAGGGGAAAAGGAATAGAGGTCCAGTCTTGAATAAAATGAATGAAATAAGGGTCAACTGAGAGCAGGATTGAGCTCAGCCAAGTGATGAATGGCCTATTATCTGTTTTTGTTTCCAGAACATTGATGAATATATGAGGAATAGCTGAGGATGTGCCGAATTGTGAAAATTTCTGCCTAGAAGCACAAAATCATGAAAAGTTGTCCTGATTGCAGGTGGCGTAAAAGTCAGAGACTCACTCTAGCATGAGACATGTGATAGAATAATCTGTCAGCAAACAGGCTTTCTCTAGGCAAGAAGTGGGTCTATGGCAGTTACTTTCCACTTGCCCCTGCAGACTCTCTCTCCACCTTTCTCCACCCTGGTGGCCTGCTGACATCCCCCCAAGGTAACTGACTTTTAGGGACTGCCTCCGTGGCTTCTCTTCCCTGTGGCTTCCAGTTGGATACAAGTCCAGTTCACCCAATAAGAGGTACCAGCAGGAGGTCAGAGGCAAGGAAGAGAAAGGCATCAGTTCTCTCTCTGCTAGGTCATAAGTTGGCAGTGTCTCATTTTCTTTTCTATAGCGTTGGCTATGGCTCTCTCTGGGTCCTGGTAAACTTTCCCTCTCCTTCCTCTAATGGCTTCCTGCTGTTGCTGGCTATCATGTGCTTCCTTGTGCCTGTTGGCTTCCCACATCTTACAAATAGTTCCTTTATTAAAGTCTCCTCAATTACCCATTAGAATGTAATATCTTTTATTCTAATATAGGACTAATATAGGTGCCCAGAGATACTTTTCTCTCATTGCCTGGGGCTACAGTAGTAACCATAAGGGCATTAGGGAGCTTTACAACCCTCCTCCTACCCTCATAATTTCCACAGAGCCTCCCCTTCTTTGACAATTGATGTTATCTCAACAAAGTATAAAGGATTCTATAAATGAGAATTCAATACCCTCTCCTTTTCAACAAGATGACCCCTGCCCAACCCACCCCCCACATATAAACCAGCTCATCTATATAAAAATCTGGCTCTATACCCAGGCTTAACAGGATTAGCCATGTCTGCACAGACAAAATTATCTGCTTTCCCTGCCAATGCTCTTAGGCCAATGTAATCAGGTTAAAATTTTCATCAAAGTCAGTATTGAAGGAGAGAAGAAATCATAATATATGCAACGTAAAATAAGTTAACACAATAGTATACTGAGTGAGGTTTTAATTGTCGATCCATAAGAGGTGTCAAAGAACCCACATTGTAAAGGGGGTTTCAAGTAATTGGAACCAGAAGTTTCTGCCAGGTCTGGTACTTTGCAACCTCTTCTTAACCACAGCTCCTTCAGACCTCAGTCTATATAAACAGAAGACTAGAAATTGAGGAGAGGAAAAAAGATACAATTGTTAGAATCACTAGTTGTCGACTTTAAAGGAGAGTGCTGGCCATTTGCCACCCATCTTTGAACAAAATGTGGAGTACAGGAAGTGCTTATACCTCTCCAAAGGAAAATGAAAGAAAGTTGAAGTGAATCGTCTACAAACATTGACGGACCTTCAAGAAGAAAAGAACATCATCTCATTTACCATTATACAGACATCACTTTTAATAGTTATTTAGATCAACAGACTGGCTGGTCTTCCCTTTTCAGAAGGGGGGTGGGGTTGGGGGAATAAAGGAAGACAACAAGAAAGTCAAAGGAAAGGAATATGAACAGCCTGCCCTCAGACCCATGCTGGAACTATCTTACTGGAATCCCACTTGAGAAGACTGGCTGCTTGGGAGTTGCTCCAACACCAGGAGTCTGTGGGGTTTACTGCTGGGGTCAAGAGCTGGAAAGGAGTTGGCAAACAGCAGGGCTATAGCAGAATTCCTATACAGGCAACTGTGCAGTGAGAAACACCCTTCTCCCACTCACAGCCCCCTGAAGAGCCCATCCCTGTGCCCTGTAGAGCCGGCAGATCAGCGTCAGTTCCAGAGAGTGTATCAAGTTGCTGTCAGTGTTACCCAAAGAAGAGGAAATAATGGAAGGATTATATCTATGGCCAGATAAATAAGACAGCCATGTCCCATCTGTATCCGCCTCCCTAATGCAACACAAGAACCAGAAAAGTAAAAGAATGATTCAAAATAAGAGGCCACTGTCCCTGCCCACTGCAGGGCCCTCCAGCCTAGTGGGAGGAGGATAGAAGAGGAAACAAACATCAAGTAGGATATGAGTTGTATGCATTAAAGAGGACTTCATGAAAATTGAAAGTGACCACAAAGCAATGAAATGCACTCAAAATCACTAAAGAACAAAGAAAATTTTACAGAGAATATTTGAAGGTGGTGATTGAAGCAAAAAATTAAACTGAATTGAGGTTGATCAAGTTTGTGAACTCTTTGTACATATATGAGATTGTTCATTTTCAGAACTACCTGGAGAAGCTTTCTTTCTTCTTTTGTCCTCCCTTTCCAAGCTGAAAGCCAAATTAACTGTTCAGTCACAGGAAAATACCTCACCCTCACCTCAGTGTTCACCCTTCCCCAGCCTAAAGCATGGCTGGTGCCAGCTTATTCAAGAATTAGAAAATGGTGCCCCCGCTGGGCAGATGCAGCCCCATAGGCATGCACCCAACTGGGCAGCACAATGTTGCTATCCCTATGGCCTCACCCCTTTGAATGGCTTTCTTTTCAATATCATAGACTCTAATAAAGACATGTGGATAGAATTCAAAGCCTGTGGGAACTTGATCTTCTGTCAACCTTCATCCACGTAAGGTCATCCACAGAGTCACATATGAAACTGTGGAGTCTCATATTTTTAATTCCTTTAAAGACACGAGATCCCCTTCCTCACCAACTTGCTTTCCCTTCTCTTCTAGTGAGCTCTCCCTAATGACATGTTGAAATATATTCAGTAGTTGCAGTCTATTTCCTAGTTCTAAATGTGTTTAGTTGAAACAACTCAATCTTAGATTTTTAGTTGATGTTTAGTGTCAGAAAGATGTTTCAAAGGAAGTGTAAGTCTAAGATCATTTTTAATATTCCTCAGTGGCATCTCACTAATCAGTAAATTCCAAATCCTCCCAAAAGTCTAGAGGTTCTACTGGCTTCTAATCAAAACAAGAAACTAGGGAGGAGTACAATAAGCTCATATTGCAAAAGCTTCTTCATTCCTTGGTATTCACCTTATGGCAGTTTACATATACTGAAGCATTTACTATAAACATTGGGAACTAAATTATTAAAAAATGAAAAATATTTTATTTTATGAAGCAGCAACTATACTGTCTTTACTTGTATTTTTATTCCACTTCTTTCTGATGTAGGGGTCTGATTCTTTTCACCATTCGTTAAAAATAATGAGCTTTGGTAGAGAGCAACTTTGGAAAGGTGCCCCATATATTTTATCAAGAAATGAAAATCTACCACTACTTACTCCAAACAGCACATGTAAGGGAAATGTGAGATATTTTCAGTTTGAGGGTATTTTGGAGCCATAATAAATATCATAAACCAATTACTTAATTTTATTTGCAGTGCAATGAAGTGACAGTAAGCCAACATCACTACATGTGCCATTGTATTCTGAAGGATATTTTAAGAGACTTTATGCCCAGTGGAACTACAAGGAAATGTTCCACAGCTTGTGCAATTTAGTCAGCTAAGCTCTCCCACATTTTATGTCTCCTAATCCATCCAAGATATTAATGTGTTTATTGGCTACGTGTGAATGAATTTTTCCAAAAATCCACTAACCAAGGAAACTATAGGTTTCCATTCTTTTTTTTGTTCCTTGTGGTTAGAATTTCCCACTGTTGAATTTTGATGATTGTATCACTGCGGTGTCATTTAACATTTTCCTCTGTTCCATGTAAAAAAGTACTTAGAGCTTGAATATGTTTTTGTTTTTGTTTTTGTTTGTAAGAATAGTTACAAGTGATGCTATGTGCTTCTGTCAGTAGGGAAATAATTTTGAGTTGTCTCTCTTTTTGTGATGTTGCAACTATTGATGATCATTGTTAAGATCCATTAATAAACTAGCATTTTGACAAGTGGTGATATTCTATCATTCCGTCTTCATTTATTTGGTGCAACATTTCTATAAAAACACATTTCTCCTCATGAACTATTTGATTACCCTGAGATACAGTTCATATAGAAAAGGTACGTTAAATGCTCATTTTTTTCTTTTATTTGTTAATTTACAGATGAATAAGTTTGTTCCCTAGCATCCTCCAAAGATAACTATTACAGCTTTTTCCCCTTGTGTCACTCTGAACTCAGGGATTTAAACATATTTCAATCCACTGAAGTTGTTATTATTAATGTTCAAATTATTCAATCTTTGGCCAATGACACCATTGTTAAATTGTCTCCTGGGTCCTTTTGATGCCACCCCAAAAGTTTCTATTATTTCCTTAGTTTCTGATGTAAAAAGACCTTTCCAGTCCAATCTTGTATATTTTTTTACTCCAGATATTTTCTCAGTACATTTGTGTCAGTCTGGTACCTTTTAGGAACTATAAAATGGTCACTCTTGTCCTTTTTCAAAAGTATCATGGGTATTTTATTGCTAAAATTTGCAGGAGATCAACTAACAAAAATATTCAAGTTACGGTCAAGAAAAAAGGCTAGGAAAAATGAGGAAGGCTTTTTTAGCGTAGTTTAATTGCATATCAGCCGATTAATGAACATTGGTCTATTAAAGTATTTTTTTCTTAGCCTTCTAATTGCTGGAACTCACATAGAAAACACTGTGAAAATGAGAGCCTGCCCTCCTCCTCCTTCCTCAATCACCACATGTAAAGATTTCAACACAGTGCTGGTGCTCTATAAAGGCTATTGTTTTTATTACTATTAACTGGATTCTCAAATCTTTTTTTCTTATTCAAAAAGTATAGAAAGAAAACCAAAAAGAATTCAAATGAAAGGGGGGAAATGTGCTCCCAAAAGGCCAAGTAAGAGCTGTTTTGAAGCTGCCTCCACTGCTATCTCATTGAAGAGACCTGAAAATTACATTTCCCAGAATTCCCTGCTCCCCATAGTTTCTAGTTTAGATTGTGCCACTGATAGGCACTTATGGAAGATTAGACGGTGGAAGAACAGAAGAAGTGATGATTCTCTAGAGCCTTTCAGGCAGCACAGGGGCAGCCTTGAGGTTCAGAGTGACTTCCAGGCAGGCTTTGTGAGAATCACTGTGTTGGGGCAACAAGCTGAGATTGGCTGATTGACAGGAGAAGCTTCCCAGAGGTTCTTGAACTTAGCCCCTGCCAGGTGAGATTTTGGGAAGGTTGGCCACTGCAAATGTCTCTCCTGACCTTCACTCTTCAAGCCTTCTGAATTATACAAGCCTTCAATTCTTTGTATTAGTTCTTTCAATTTGGAATACCTAGAGTTTTGTCTATGTTCCTGACCAAATTCTGGCTGAGTTTATCTTCTCAGCACTACAGATTAAGAATCATGGGCAGAAACATCTCAGGTTTTTCGCTTAAGTAACTGAGGTTTGCAACACTTCCTCTCCTTCCATTTCATATTTAATCCAGGAAGAGAATAAGAAAATAATCATCCTATAGAAAAATTGACTTGAGATACGTGTTCACAGAAAAGAAATGCAATTGTGCCTTAACCACATGAAAAGATGCTCAAACTTGCATACAATGAAAGAAACGGGAATTATAGTTAGATACAATATTTCTCATTTAACATATTGGCAAATATTTAAATGTTTTGACAACATACTCTATTGACAAGGGTGTGGGGAATAGACATCTTCATATAATGTTGATAGGAAGACAAAATGTCAGAACCCCCTATAGAGGAAAATTCAGCAATATCTAAGAAAATTTCATAAGCATTTATCCTTTGACCTAGTAATATTTTCAAAAACTTATCTTAAAGGTACACAGGCAAACATACAAAAATAAATATACACAAGGCTACTGATTACAGCACTTTTTGTAATAGGGAGAAAAAAAACTAGACACTATCTAAGTATCCATCACTGAGAGATTGCTTGAGCAACCTATGCTACACATACATACATTGAAGTTCTATGAAGTTGTTAAAAGGAGTAAGAAGTATCTCTATAAACTGTTACTGGGTGACGAACATAGAGTATTTTAAGTTTAGAAAAAGTAGCAAAATGTGTGTATACAATACTCTCATTTATTGAGAAAAAGAATATAATTTGATTATGTAGATTTGACTTTATAACCATGTATATATTTCGCATAATTATAAAACAAATTAAATTGATACATTTTTTAAATCCCTAAAAATTAAAAATAACATAAAACAAGTGAACCAAACTGTGTAACAAGTTGGTAGCATAACCACACAAAGAGGCAGTTTTGCAAGTGAATTTGTTACACAAGTACTTAACTTACATCATGTCTATGGTATATCTAAAAGAAGAAATTTAAATATTAATCTTTACAGTAATTATATTCTTGTTACTATTATTCTGAGACTGTTTTGAGTATATTATAAAACAAAGAAAAAATGAATTTTTTTATTGGCATCATTGAGAACCAAGATTTTTGTAGCGTGATAAAGGAGGTACAGATGCAAGTCTGATGGAATTAAGTAAAATCCCTAAATCCCTGAATTTGAATTGGAGGTATCAATGTTACCTAATGATTTACACACACACACACACACACACACACACACACTTCCTAGTCTGCTCACTGAAAAAGCCTAGGAACTATGGCCAACACAGGAGCAATGAGTGTCCCTAGTGCATAAATTGTGGCCTCCAAATATATTTTTCTTTTTTTTCTGAAAAGAACTAATGCTCCTTAGAGAAATAAGCTGATTCTAGTTCTAGGGCATACAATGAACAAAATGAGACTGCTGCATCTCATCATAACTAAAAAGCACAAAAATGCTATCTAGTGTCTTGTCAAAACGACCAAAGTACCAACTTAAAAAGGCTTTCCTGGCTGAGCATGGTGGCTCACACCCGTAATCTCAGCATTTGGGGAAGTCAAGGAAGGTGGATTGCTTGAGCCCAGGAGTTTAAGACCAGCTGGGCAACATGGCAAAACCCCATTTCTATAAGAAACACAAAAAGTTAGCTGGGCATGGTGGTGCATTTGTAATCCCAGCTACTGGGGAGGCTGAAGTGGGAGGATCACTTGAGCCCAGGAGATTGAGGTTGCAGTTAGCCGTGATTGTGCCACTGCACTATAGCCTGGGTGACAGAGTAAGACTCTGTCTCCAAAATAAATAAATAAATAATAAGTAATTTAAAAATGTAAAAAGCCTTTCCTTAGCCAAGGAAGAGACAACTGAGCATCAAGAAGAGTAACAGCAATGGATTGAAACATATCAAATACGTTTAAATCCTCAAGATCACATTGATTCTAAAAACAACAAAGAAAATTCACATTAATGGACTTTTGAGGAAAACTGGTACATGAAGAGTGAATGCCTAGTAAATTAACGTCCTTTTTCACCGTAAGCCAGTCGACTTTTCTGCCACATTGCCTTGCTATGAGGGTTCTTTCTGGACATTTGCTTTAGAATCCAGAGTTCTATCAGCCTCCTCTTATTACACATCTAGCTATTACTGTCCCCATCTATTAATACATACACAGAGGGCTTCATCTTTTATGCTATTTAGTTCTCAAGGAGACACAAGCAGCCTCCAGAAAACAGTATCTGATTAATGTTTATTGAAGAACTCCTGTGTGTCCGAGACACTTATCCCTGGAGATACAGTAAAATCCAGGCTGAGTCCCTGCCGTGGAGAAGCTTTTATTCTGACAGAACCCGGTTTTACATGCAGGAGCAAAGAAGGCGATGAAAGTGAGGTAGGTGGTCAACTGGCAGATGATTCTGACTATAATGCATACGATAAAGGAACTCGTAGGACATGAGATGGAAGCAAGAGGGAGGTACTGTGAACATATGTTTCCATGGCTATTGATTTCTCCTTATTAAACAAAACCTTTAACAAAGTATTGACATTATGCATTTTAAATGTTCTGTCTCTTTCTCTTTCACTCAGTTCAATTTCGTATTGAACAAAACCTGGATTATTCATCTCGTCACCCTATGGCTTCAGCAAACGTGAATGTGAATACCCCAGCATAATAGAAGCTCCATTTAGTAACATACTACTTGAGTGTAATGACTCTTTTCCTCTGAGAATTGGTTTTGAAACACAACCAAACTTATTCAGAGGAAACTCATTTTGACTGTAATGGCTACATGTGTAATGAGATTAGGCTGACAGAACTCTGTTCTTTTGATTTTTTTTTTTTTTTACAGACTAAAATATATCAGATTCAAATGTCTTTTTCTCAATCTGAGAGTAAAATAGGAATAATTTGTGAGCCAGTGGTGGTTTACAAGTGTACAAAGCTTGTAGTTTTATTCTCTCCACACAAAGACTGCTTTTATTTCAGATAGAACGCTCTAGCTTGGGAGTGTCAATTCTAACATCTAAATCTCCAGGTAGAGGCATTTCCCTTCCCAGGAGTCTAATAAGCATGCCAGAAAATCACATGGAGCAGAACGCTATTGTGCCTCATGCTAGCCTGGGACCATCGTCCTGTTAATTTCCTGGGGCTCATGTGTGTTTTGTTAACTCATCAATTCAGCAGTTTCTGTTTATTTCAGGCTTTACCATGTATGTCAGAATAATGGAACGTGGGTGGCATTTTGTAGGCAGAAGGGGATAGACTTGTCAGAAACAGGTCCCTGGGTTTCTGAAAATGGGCCCTGCAAGAATTCATCTTAAATAACAAACTCTGGTGGCACTCTATCATTCTAGGCTGAAATGTTTCTGCTTGCTTAAAGTACTGTATGATTTTATTTAGAGTGTGTTACATACATACCACACACACACACACACACACAGACTAATTATCTGAACACATCTCTGCACTCTTTTGGAACATATAGTTTGCATAATTCATTTTGGCTTTGATCATATACTGCCTTGCATTCTTAACACTTTCATGTCTGTAAATTCTATTTATTACCCTAGCATAGAGTACTTAAATCATGGAAGAATGAAATTAGGTGTGTTTATATCTGTCCTCCTTCCCCCTACTCCAGTTCTCAAAACATTCCTTTGTATATAACCATGGTAACCATAGCTAAAGTCGTACAATAATTGAGCCAGGCAGCCGGGTGCGATGGCTCATGCCTGTAATCCCAGCACTTTGGGAGGCTGAGGCAGGCAGATCATGAGGTCAAGAGATCGAGACCACCCTGGACAATATGGTGAAATCCTGTCTCTACTAAAAATACAAAAATTAGCTAGGTGTGGTGGTGTACACCTGTAGCCCCAGCTACTCGGGAGGCTGAGGCAGGAGAATCACGTGAACCCAGGTGGCAGATCGTGCCAGTGCACTCCAGCCTGGCGACAGAGCAAGATTCCGTCTAAAAAACAACAACAACAAAAATTTAGCCGGGCATGGTGGCTCACACCTGTGATCCCAGTTATTTTGGAGGCTAAGGCAGGAGGATTTCTTGGGGTCAGGAGTTTCAGACCAGCTTGGGGAATGTAGTGAGACCCCCCCAGTTCTTAAAAACATTTAGAAAAGCTTAGCTGGGTGTGGGGCATGAACCTGCAGTCCCAGCTACTCAGGAGTCAAAGGCAGGAGGATGTCTTGAGCCCAGGAATTTGAGGTTGCAGTGAGCCACAATCATGCCACTGTAACTTTAGCCTGGGCAACAGAGTGAGACCATGTATATATATTAAAAGTAATGGCAAAAACTGCAATTACTTTTGCACCAACCTAATATATGTATAGATGAGACTGCATATATATAAAATATATATAATATATAAAATAATTGTTATCTGCATCATTATTAGTAATAATTATCAATTATTACATCATGCTGAACTGGGTGGTTTGCATTCGTCATCTCCTTATTTTCTTACAAACTTTCATATGTTTTAGGTGCATATTAAATTTATAATAAAATATTTCAAACACTCAAAAAATAATAGAAGCCCATGTGCCCAGCATCACTAATACAGTTGAATCCCCAGTTATAAGCATTTAAATAATAATGATGCTGAAGCTCGCAGAGGGTAAAGTAACTTGCCAAGATTTTACCTTTAATAAGAACCTGCTTCTAACTGAAGTTGATGGGACTCCAAAATAAAACACAGATGACATAGAAATGACCAAATGTAATGGTGGTATGGTTCCCGAAAGGGCTAAAGCAATTTCTAAAGCTGTGTGACCTATAGCCAGAAGTTGCTTATGAGTTGTGAAAATCTTGCCCAGGATTTAGAAGAACTTATTCCACAATCGTCCCAGAGGGCCTCATTGATCACCCACTCCTTCCTCTTCCTTATTATCCCATGGTTTGGTGATTTTTATAGCATGTTTTTCTTATTTTCCATGAAACATTAATGAGATCCCACCACTTTAAAATGTTGCCCTAATTCCAGAAGGCAAATGTAGAATCACTAGAAGTGAAACACTCCTTTAATTTTACCAATGCTTCAGATACACAAATGCAAAAAGAATTGGAGTTTTTGCTTGAAACATGTTAGATGTTTGGGGGAAATTATCTTCAGATTTGCAATATCTCCAGGCAATAAAATTCAACTGGAAAATCCTATGAAAAGGGCCTTTCTAGTAGGAGTTTTCAGAATCTTGACTATGACTGAAAATACCACAGAATAATTAGAATGAAAATTATTTCAGTATTCGTAGGATTGACTGGAAAATGTAGGACAAAAAACCCACAATATTTCAAAAACTTAGGACCTCAGAAGTGTTTTAGATAATCCTAAGGAAAATGTGTCTTGTTGAAGAAAATACTTGCATTTTCATGACAATTCTTTTAAACCTGTATCACTATCACTTAACCTTACCAGACCAAAACACTGATTACTATTATTCCAAATGTGTCTTCCTAAATGAATAAGCAGGCCTTACCAATTTTTCAACTGTGTGAAAATTCGCTTCACAAGTAATAGTTTCTCAATCTGTCAGTGAAAATGATGTGTTTTTCTCATAGACTATCTGCTTTGTATTTATCATATTTTCAATTTCCTTTAACTTATTCTTCAAACATTCATTTGTTAAATTCATATCTGTTGAATACCTACTATGTGCCATGCATTATACTAGAACCTAAGTGAAATATACAGAAGAATTAGTCTTGGTCCCAAAATTAAGGAGCTTGCTAGGGAAGATTAGGTATTCCCTTATCAGCTATAATACAAGAAATAAAGGGTTAGGTATCACAAGAGAGGTATAGATACAATTTTATATAAGATCAAAGGAGGGAGAAAGAACTTTGTTCTATTATAAAAGGATAAAGAAAGCTTTTTGGAAAAGGTGGAATTTAAACCTGGCTTTGAAACATTGATAGCAGTTGGACTTGTGGATCTAGAAGGGCATTGAAACCAAGAGAAAATATAAATAAATGTGCAGAGGAAGAAAATGTGAAGCATGTCATGGCTCAATGTAGAATATGTCAGACAGAGCAGGCAGTAGGGAACTGGATGGAGAAGGTAATTATAGCCAATCCCACCAAACTTAGACAAGGGCACACAATCCTTCTTATTAACTTTGAATGTCATGCTAAGGAGTCCACACTTCCTTTCCTTATGCACTGGGGTTGACATGTTTCAGTAAGACTGCTGAGGGATGTGTGATGGGCAGAGCAAGACTGGACACAGGAGACCAGTGAGTAGGCATTGTCTTTCAAGCAAGTGGTAATGGACACTAACCCTACAAAAGTGTTTGGAAAAGTGGAAAAAGATGAGGCCAAGCCAGAAATAACAGGAAGACTATGTTATACTTAGGAAAATTGTGGCTTTTGCAGGAGCGAAGAAATAGGAAAGATTAACTAAAAATTAAAGATATCTTGGCTGTTTTAAAACACTGTGGCTGGAAGGATGATAATGCCATCCACAGAAGTGTAGAATACTGAGTAAAACAAACAAACAAACAAACAAACAAACAAACAAAAAACAGATTTGGACAGAAATATAATTAGGATTATTCCAATGTTAGTGAATGTCAATGCTTGGCAGCATATGTAGTCCTGGTAGGAGCAACAGACAACTGGTTCTCACCCAAACTATATTCTCCCCTTCTTCCATGACAACAGAGTATAGCAGAGTACAGGGTCAGGTAGCTAAAGACTCCATGTCTCAGCCTTTCTTGCAAGTTAGGCATGGCTACTTAAGTCAGAGTGATGATGTGAGCTAGAGGGATGAGAACTCTGGGGCTTGGTCTTAAAAGACTGGTCATGCACCTTTCCATTTTCTTTCTTTTTCACATGCTATCCAGCTGTGGCCATACAGGTGTAGACACACTTTGTGACATCAGAGCCACAAATTGGGAAAGGGCCCTTGGTTCCCTGAATGACTTTGTGGAGAACAAGTGCTCTGCCATCTTGTAAAGTAAGAGAAAAATAAACTCCTGCCTTATTGAAGCCATTGCATTTGGATAGCAGCTTAACCTTCATTTTAGCTAACATAGTGGACATTTAATACATGTATATTGAGTAAGTGAAAAAACAAATTAATGAATGAGTTTACAACCAAAATAGGAGATTAAAATAAAGATATCCAGAAGCCAATGGACATACATGTTCAGAAGCTAGAAATGCACTTAAAGCTAAAACAAAAGATTTGGTATTTACCTGCATAGATTAATAGTTGGGACTGGATGATATTATCAATAAACAGAAGAGGAGGAAGCAGAGGACAGAAATAATCCCAGAGACAGAAGTGGAGGGGCCAAGACAAATTCCTGCAGACTATATTTATATAGGGAATGGCAGGTGGAAGAAGACACAGAAAAGGCACAGTAAGAGAACCAGGAGAGATAAATGAGAGTCAGGCAAGCCAATATGAGTGTTGGAGAGAGATGCTCCAAGAAATTGGGAGGATCACATCAGGGGTCTGAGTAGGTGCTCAGCAACTGTGGTCTGTGAATGTGGGCAATCATCTTTCCAGAAGTTTGGCAATTGCCTGAAGGAGAAATGGGAAATATGGGAAAGTTAAAGAGAATGACAGGATCAAGAGAGGCTTGGGTTTGGATGGGAAATAAATAGCATGCTGGCAGGCTAAAAGGAAGGGACTTGTGAACAGAGAGCTATTAACAAATATTAGTGGGGGTGGGTTGGGGGCCAGTTAATGGACTCCGCAGTGTTTCAGGATGGGAACAAGGGATTAAGTAGAAGGATTAGAATGGAATAGGAGGTATGATGTGGAAGTGGGGGAGAAGTTGGATAAAGATGCAGGGAAATTTTGAGAATAGGAAGTAAGAAGGAAAGCCGAGGGAGTTTGGTCTCTGACATTCCTTTTTTAATCCACCCACAAGAACAAGGCTTTCTACAGTATTCCCTATAGTGTTCTATATGTTCTTGGCAAACTGACATTCAGCTTATGTCTACCAGCACAAAGCAGTTTCATTGCTGTATCAAGGCATGAGAATAATAACGCTGATTTGTGTGTGCTGTTCCCCTCTCAAAACAAAAAATAAAGCAAGCTTTACTAAACCCGTTCCTTTCACTTTCCTCCAACATAAGAATGAAATGTTTACTTTTATATTTATCCACTGACTGTGTTGTCTTAGCATTAAGTAGTAAAGATAAGTGTCGTCATTTGGATTCAATTATTTTTGACTGCTTGTATTATAATTTAGTTGAGTCCACAAGATTAGTTTTTTTAATTTGACAAGTCTTTAGACATTTATCTTTGCGTCAACATTATCGTCTTTTCCTTCAGGCAAGTTCTGCATTTCTTAGTGGCATTGTTAGTAGAGAACATTAATCACACCTAGAAAGATGTGCACAAATATTTTTACCTAAGAAATGGCCAGGCACGGTGGCTCACACCTGTAATCCCAGCATTTTGGGATGCTGAGGAAGGGGAACCTCTTGTGCCCAGGAGTTTGAGACCAGCCTGGGCAACATGGCAAAACCCAGTCTCTACAAAATATAAAACAATTAGTTGGGTGTGGCGGCACACTTTTGTAGTCCCAGCTACTCTAGAGGCTGAGGTGAGAGGATCACCTGAGCCTGGGAGGTCAAGGCTGCAGTGAACTGTGATCGAGCTATTGCATTCCAGCCTGGGTGAGAGTGAGACCCTGTCTCAAAAAATAATAATAATGATGACACCAAATAAGAAAACACTATCAAGCAGGTGCTAAAGTAGAAACTGAAAAAGAAAAATGCACTTTTGTGTACCATATTTTCAGGCCTTTGAACAGCATGCACCTCAGCTACGATGTTTATCCATTATAAAGGCCAGATGGAGAGATGGTCATTTACTTTTTCACAGTATTACAATAAAAATAATAAAATTAGTATAGAAGGTTAATTTCCATGTATTTGATGGTTAAAACTGCAGAATGTCGCTTATGGGTCCATTAGATGTTAGTAATATGTCCTCATATAAACTCACAATCAGACCAGTGGCTTCCGAAACTATGAAGTTGACTATAGCAGGAGAGCTCAGTTAGAAAACTCAAAATGATAAAGTAGAAGAAGATGCAATATTCTTAAGTGGAGTAGGATTTGAAGTCAGAATACCTATGGTTCACTTGTGTGAGTTTTCTCTGTGTTTTACTTTTCTTGTCTGTCTACAGGGACTTATTTGTGTGATTAAGCTGTAGCTTATTTAGAAGCATTTTCTTTAAATTGTATGAATTCCATTTGGTCATTCATTTACTGACTCATTCAACAACTATTTTCTGAGGAACTAGTAAGGGCCAGGTCCTGGGCTAGGCTCTGAAGTGGTCAACAGGTTGATAAGAGCAAGACCTGAAGGGCCTTCCCTAAAAGGCACTGAGGAGCAAGCGATAAGATTTGCCTTTGAGGGAGACTGTCCTGACGTACTGACAACTGCAACCAGAAGACAGACTTCTTTCCTTCATGATGGCATGTGCTCCATTGCATAAAATTTTAAAAATACAATAAAAAAAAAAGTATTTAGTATCTAGTTGTATCCCCTGGGGCAGCCATGTGTCCTGGGTTTTCTGGGATAGACCTGATTTCAAGTACCATGTCCCATTATTCCTAAAAGTATACTTGTACCTATCAGACTTGTCCAACGATGCCAACTGAACTTCTTCAAATGCCCAAAGAGAAGGGGAGACCTTGTCAGCTTGAAGTTCCTTGTAGGCAGACTCCATGTCTTATTCCAAAAAGAGAGGCAAGAATTGTAAGAGTAAAGCAATCATGGGAAGAAGCACAGTGGGTGGGTTGCTGGAGAACAAAGGGTAAAATGAGGGGCTGGTAAGATCCCACCATGGGGGCATCTGTAGCCAGAACACCAGTGATTTTCTGCCATAAAGTTGAAAAGTACTGTTTGGCCCAATCAATGGTGAGATGAAAGTAATATATCAATGGTAATCATGTAAATGACTTACTTGATTACATAAATTATTCAGTTAACTGAATGGAGAGAAAGGAGTGGAGATATAGCCAGTGCGCACATCACCTGGGCACCCAAATAAGTCATTGTTCCACAGCGTACTCAGCCATGACATGCTTGGGCAGAAATATTGAGAACCACTGCTGAGGTGACAAAGGACAAGAAGGATTTTTTAATGCAGAGAGAGATGGTGAAATTTGCATTTCAGAATGGTCACTCAGATATTAGAGGAGGGCAAGACCTGTTAGGAGGCAGCTGAAATAGTCACATGAGAGACGAGGGATGATAAAGAGCTGAATTAACGCAGTGGTAGCTGATATGAAATGTAAAGGACAGATAGGAAAAATAGGAAGTGTCCCGCCTCCGACTTCATGTCCACCCAGAACCCATGAATGTGATGCTATTTATAAATAGCATCTTTGCAGATGTAATAAAGTTAAGATGAGGTCATACTGGATTGGGTTGGGCCCTAAATCCAATATGACTGTTGTTGTTCTTCTAAGAAGATGGAAATTTGGACACAGAGACAAGGACCCAGAGAAGAAAGCTACGGGTCAACAGAGGCAGAGATTGAAATGCTGCGGCTGCAAGTCAAGGAAAGCCAAGGATTGCCGGTAACCACTTGCAGCTAGGAGCAAGCAAAGGAAACCCCTCCCCTATGGCCTTCACAGAGAGCATGGCCCTGCTGATGCCTTGATTTTGAACTTCTAGCCTCCAGTGAAGAAATACATTTGTGCTGTGAAAAGTTACCAAGTTCATTTTAATTAATTACAGCAGCCCTAGGAAACTAACATAGGAAGTAAAATAGCTAAGACTTAGTGATTGTTTAGATAGGAATGGAGAGGGAGAATATTGAATATGGGGAATGAATGGATGTGGTGAAATCCACTGAGCAAGAGCATGGAGTGGGGATCAGCAAACTACAGCCCTCATTTCAAATCTGCCCTCTACCCACCTGCCCTTCACATTTTTGTTGAAGTTTTATTGGAACACAGCCACATCCACTAGTTTATGTATTCTCATAGCTGTTTTCCTGCTACAATACAGAATTAAGTAGTTGTGGCTGAAACCTCATGGCTTGAAAAGCCTCAAATATTTATCATCTGGTCCCCTGCATAAAAAGAATTTCTAGCTCCTTAACATAGAAGACAAGAAGGTTTAGGGCTCTGATAAATTCAAGGTCTCTACTAAGACAACTGGGTAAATATGTTGTGGCATCAACTGGAAATAAACTCATGGAAATATTTTAGGAAGTCCTACATTGTTTTGACATATCACTGGAAAAACAAATCTACAAAATAAAAATGGCACTAGTGACATTATTAGTCACTGCCCCAGAACAGTTGATATTTGCTTCATTGAAGATGGGAAGGGAAGGGATAAACCAGGATGTACCTCCCTCCTCCAAAAGCAAACAAAGCACTTCAAGTCCTTCTGGTACCATTTAATTTCTACCATATTTTTCTTCCCTAAAAGGCAACCATTGTAGAGCCTCACTGTTGCCTGCAGCAAAAAAAGCATTCCATGATGTTGGGCTGGCCAGTCTAATTATAATTTTCTTATTTTCTTTCTCCTTCCTTCCTTTCTTCTTTTTTTGAGACAGGGTCTTGTTCTGTCACTGGGGTTGGAGTGCAGTGGCAAGATCATGGCTCACTTCAGCCTCAACCTCCCTGGCTCAAGGGATCCTCCCACTTCAGCCTACAGGCACATGCCACCACAGCTGGCTAATTTTTGTATTTTTGTGGAGACATGGTTTCACCACCTTGTCCAGGCTGGTCTCCAACTTCTGAGCTCAAACAACCCACCCGCCTTGGCCTCCCTAAATGCTGGGACTATGAGTGTGTAGCACTGCACCAAGCCCAGTCTAATGATAATTTTCTAAACTGTGAAGTGGCCATTCACTTCTAAGTCTGTGAACACATTAAGATTTCTTCTCCCTACTACTCTAGTATAAAGCAGCGCTCCTCAGCCTTTCCCACTAAGTATCTCCAGTGGCAGAGAGGGCCACATGGATCTCAAGCCTGGAGCATGGCCAGAAGTGATGCACAGCAGGCTCAGAATTTCTTTGAAATCTCATGTTTCATATTTAAAATATTTTTTAAATTGTGGTTCTATTCTGTAATAATTTTGTTTTAATATAAAACCATTTATAAATGAAAATTGATGTCCAGTGAAGGTCTTCTATGTAAAAATCTATGGCTTTGGACATTACCAAGTAAATTTAGGAGGGCCGTAGCACTGGTGCATTGGAAATATGTTTTTCTACACAATGCTAGAAAAATGAATGTAACTTATTATTCAAGAGAAATCGCAGACAGACTAGAATCACAGACCCAAACACAGGTTGACAAAACTATTTTTGTCAGAATAAGAAAGTTTTACAATTACTTCTAAGGCCTTGTCTTGAAATTCATAGTAACCAAAAATTGTATCTGGATTATCCCAAACTGTCTGCTGTATCTTTGACTAAGGACTTCTGACTGCATAACCACCCACAACTCTAAAGAACAATGACAAATACAAATGCGCTGGATCAATCTGCCACTAAAAAGTCAAGATCATGCTGGACCACAGTCATGGACATGTTAATATTAAAATAAACTCTCTTCTATCTCTGTGGCAAACCATGTCACATAATTATTCAAGATTTGAGATATGTATCTTAAATTTTTTATGGAGAAACTGCCAGAGAGGCTAAAGCTATCCCAAATAATAAGCATGAGTTACTATGGCCACAAAAAAATTCCATTGCAGACAAACTGCATTGACTGAAGGTGACTATTGCATTATCTTGGTATCTGGAATTTCTCAGCTTAAAAGGAAAGACAGAAAGCATCATTACTTTATCAAAGGCATATTCGTTTCCATGAGAGTGAATTAAGACTCCATATGAGTTTTGCAGAAGGAATTTGTGATTCTGATAAATAGTTTAAAGTGGTTCATAGAGTTTCTCCTTCCATCTCAGACTTAAGATACTAAAATGAAGTCATGGGCCACTTATCCACAACATACAGATTCCCAGGCACATTGTCTTTGACCATCATCAACTGAATTTCAGGACTTTGTGGGTAGAAACTTACCTCGGTTGTCACCATCATAACTTACCTTTGTGGAGCAAATAATTAGCCAGCTGAGACAATGCTACAGACTTACGGATACTGTGAAGACAATTATAAGAAATTGATGCTACATCTCTCTATATGTGAATGGAAAAAAAAATTTTGCTGGGATTTATATAAGCAAATTCCTTGCTTGGTTAACACTGCAGATTTATGGGAGGCTGAGAGTATAAAACAAGAACATATCTTAGCTGCTGCTTTATTCACTAAGTTTGCCCCTTTCAACTACAAAAAAAGGTTTTGCTAACAACTATGGAACTACAGGGGTGTGTGCCACTATCGTTGAAATTAAATTCTTTGCTGTAATTTTTGCTCAGGAAAATAATTTTCTAGATGGAAGTGCTCGAGAAAGAAGTGAGATTTGCCCTGACTGAGTCAGGAAAAGACAAAATAGCATATTCTTCATGCCAACAAGAAGCTATAGAAAATAAGAAGGCCCCTTATGTAGAAGCTCGCTGCAGTATCTCAACCTGGACTCAAGATGAAGCAGTGGTCTGGCTGCGGGAGCAGTCTAACCTCAGGGACAATGAAGGTTCTAGGACCTAGAGAGAAAAGGAATCTTTGATATAGGACTTAGTAAGAAATTATTTAGGCAGCTAGTAAGCGTAAAAGAGTTCTCAGTGGAATTTCCTTTAATAAAAAGCAGCCCCCAAATCATTTCTTTTCTAATAAAAAGCAGCCTGAAAAATCAAGCTGCAAGCATAGATAAGGAAGCTGGAAGCTTGCATAAGTAAATGCTGGCAGCTGTACTTGGAAGCCACACACATCCAACATGGAGGACATCTCCTCCCTTTTCTTTGTAGCAATGTATGCGGTTGTTCGCTGGGCTGGAAACTCCATTTACATAATAAAAGATTCGCGGGCTATGTAAATGGGACACCTGGTCAAACCGATCCCCTATGCCCTATGTAAATCAAATACCACCTCCTCCTCAAGCCCCTCTGTAAAATAGACCGCATCTTGTCCCAAACCCTGAAGCCCCCTTGAGTGCTCTGCTTTCTCTGCACGAGGAAGCTTACTCTCTCTCTCCTTTCTTTTGCCTATTACACTTTACGTTCCTAAACCCAGTCTGTGTGTGTGTCCGCATGTCCTTAATCTTCTTAGCACCAGACAAGGAACCTCGGGGATTTCCCCAGACAACAAAGCCAATTCATTTTCACAGAGCATCAGTATCTTCTTCATATGCTGAGTACATGTTGAATGAACAAATTACTTAATCTAACAGAACATCCTAGCCATTCACAAAACATGAAAGAATATGATTGTGGTTTTGATGTTTGCATGGACATGCATTAGGGAATATGAGATTGAATCCTGCCCAGAAGCAAAGCTGCTCTCCCTCTAACCAGCATGAGAAATGCACAGAAAAGTACCTACCGTGTGTGAGGAACAAAGCTCACCTAATCTTGAAAAACAAGATTTTACAGAGGAATAAATTAAGACTCTCCAAAACTCATTCATTCACCAGTTACTTACTGAGTGCTTATTATGTGACCACAGCAAAGGCCCTGCTCTCATGGACCTTACATTTTGACTGGTAGAAACTGCTAGGACACAAATATATAAAGCATATATCCAGTTGAGATCAGTGCTCTAAAGAAGAATGAAGCAGAAGGAGTAGAGACTGGAAGGAAGGAGAAAGGAGGTCAAGGAAGGCTTCTTTGATATGGTGATATTTGGAAAGGTGGTAAATATTCTCTCCAAAGCAGCAATAAAGTGGCTGACCTAGGACAGGAAGTCAGGATCACCTGATTCCAAAGTTCTAAACTTTGGGCTTCATTGCTGATAATTGAATTTATATTTCCTGAACATCCTTGACTGCCTTGCAACAATCCATCTGGGCTCTTAAGAGCTGATCATCTCCAAAGGGAGCCAATTCCTGGCCTCCCTTCTGCCCAGGCATGGGTCTGTTTCCAGATTGCAGAGGAGCATTGAGGCACCATCATAGTGGTCTTTGATTGTAGGTCAAGCTGTGGCATTCAGCAGCTATCTGGTAAACATCATTCTTTGCTAGAGTTCCTGTTGCAATATACTACAGATAATTAGCGTAGCAGCAATGGCCTATTGACACAGTAAATTCGAATTTAAATGCTATTAAAATAAAGCTTTGTCTAGCCTTTCCTTTGAAAGTTTGTACAACAATCTCTTAAAACTCTTTCGATGGACTGAAATCACACTTTCCTCCTGCAACAAACAGGAAAAATCCTCATCTATTCATATAATTATAATTGAATCTTCTGTCTCATTCCAGGAGAGCCACTTTTGCCAATGGTCAACCAGCAAATGGACATTTTGGTCAATTATATTTAGGGACAAATAATAATTATGCACTAGTCAAATGAATTATTTTTGACATCCAGTTGATAATATAAAACAATTTCATTCAATATGTTGATGTATTCATTACTTAAGAGTGGATTTGGAGGCCAGTTTATTCTAGTGGATGCATCAGGATGAAGCCTGAGAAAAATGAAATGTTCCTGGGATGTTTCTTGGAGAAGCAGAGACTTGCTAGTGCCTAGGCTAAAAATCTCACTGACTAAGGTTATTTCTTTCATACTTTAAAGTGCAGAAACTTGGGGTTTCAGTGAAGTGCTCATTTGAACATTGCATGAACCCAAAACTTCTATTTCAGAAAGGTTTGATTGCCAGCAGTTATAAAGTAAAATAATTAACCTTCATAAATGTTTATGCAAATAAACAAGGCTGGAATGAAACTCAGAAATTATAGATTTAAAGTATCAGATTTTGTGGTGTGTAAAAATTTTGGTAAGTTTTCCCAGTAAATTATTTACATATATACCAGTTAATACCCAATTTACAAGCTGGTTGTGTTCCCAAGTAATATTTGTAAATTGATACAAAGTCAATATGCATTTCCAAAAAACAATGGTGTTTAAAACATGGAAATTAGCTTATTTAACATTTATTTAATCAATGTTGAGACTAGGTTAGCTTGTTTAATCCATATGGAGACTAAAATAATTTTTTTTGTAATTTTTTTAAAGTTTATAATATATGCTATTTGGGGTTTTGTATCAAATGATATGTTACTCTATTAGTCCATTTTCATACTGCTAATAAAAATATACCCGAGACTGGATAATTTATAAAGGAAAGAGGTTTAATTAACTCACACTTCAGCATGGCTAGGGAGGCCTTAGGAAACTTACAATCATGGCAGAAGGGGAAGCAAACAGGTGCTTCTTCTCATGGCGGCAGCAAGGAGAAGTGCAGAGCTAAGTGGTTGGGAGGAAGCTCCTTATAAAACCATCATATCTCGCGAGAACTCACTCGCTATCACAAGAACAGAACTACAACTCGTAGGGATTATGGGAACTACAATTCAAGATGAGATTTGGGTGGATGCACAAGAAAACCATATCAGTTACTAACAAGCTCTAGGGTCAAATTGCTAGAAGATGGATTCTAGCTGCTAGTTACCAGTGATACGACCTTAGGCAAGCACTTATCTTGCTATGCCTCATGTCTATGACTGTAAAATGAGGAAAATAATAACATCCATTTAGAGATTCTGAGTTTTCATTGCCATAGGCCCAGTGCCTAGTGTATATCAACAGTCAATAAATAACTAAAATGGGACAAAGTATATAATCTCATAGACCACTGTAATCTTCCTCCTATCACGATACTACCATGAGAAATTAGAATCAGGAAGGGGCTCCCATAGCATTTTTAATGAACCAGTGTAAAGAACTAAACATCTGTTTGCTTTTGGCAAAGTAGCCTCCCTGAGAGAAGACAGCATGTTATCAAAGGATCTAGAAACATGGTTTCCTTCTCTTCCCCTTCCCTCTGGAAGGCAGTATGGAAACCACTAGGAGGAAATGGTGGATGGGCTGGGCAGGAGCAGAGGATCCCCCAGCCCTTTCAAGTCACGCAGGATTAAGTGACAGGCCACCCCAAGTCCTGTCTTCTGTGCCTAAGTATTTCTTCTGCAGTGACTTTGTGTCTGTTCCAAGTCCATCCAGCATCTATCGCCCATGGGCTCCTTGCTGGCTCCCAGCTCTTTGAGATGAGCTCTTGCTGTCCCCATCTGCCTTAGGTCAACATCAGGACCTCCTGCTACCATCACCACCACCACTGACCCATTTGCTTCACTCAGCCGAGTAGTGGATCCAGGGCACAGCAAGAGGACAAAGGGGCTGTGAGGAGCACAGTGGTGGGGAGGAGGAGGAAGAGGATTTTCTGAGTAAGGTGGGTGATTCACACAGGTACTTGTTTCCCCTTCCATAGCTACCCTCCATCTCAGTCATAGGGACCTTCCTAGTCCTTTGGAGCATATCCTTCTTCTTTCCCAACCATCTGTCTTCTTGGCTTCCTCCTTCAGAAACCACCATGATAGCATATGAGCAAGGAGAAAACATCATGGCTTGAGGAAGCCTATTCACTTTCATGTGTCTCATGGGCGATCCCCTCCCCCGAGGCATGGCCTGGGGGAACCTTTAAGAAGTCAGTTCAGGGGAGACAAGATAGATGATAAAATAAGTAGATTATGTTACATATTCACTCTCTCTCTCTCCATATATATATATATATAATACATATTTTATATATGTAATGATTTTACGCACTCATTATATTTTTCTAGAGGAAACAGAAGCCCCAGTGGGTTGAGTATCTATTGCTTCACCTCCAAAAAATGGCATAAATCTTTGGTAAAATGTTACTAAATGTGTCACACACTTATTGAGAGAAAGGGAATGTGAGAACCTTGCTCAAACAACAAAAAACAAACATCGGATGCATAAGAGAATGTTGGTTCTTATGCCCAGCCCTGTGAATTATAAGGATAAGAAACAATCTAGTAGGTTTGAGAGATGAAAAAATAACCTGGTCAAGTCAGCCATCCGCCCTTGTGGTTATAAAGCAGAGTTTTTCAAGCTCTGCCTATGGTTTGCGAAAGGAACTAGGTGGTGTGGCACAGGGGAAGGGAAGAAGATCAGGAAAGGACAGCTGAACTGTGCTGGTGACTTCCCTGCTGCTCGTCCTCACTGTGTGGCTGTAGACCAAGCCGGTGCTCTAAAGATGAAATTTTCGTTATTCACAGAACAGATTCTTTGCAATATTTGGATGTCTGGAAGGAGCACATTGTCAATGATCAGGTTTTTCTGGATGGAACGTAGATTCTGAACAGATTTTTAATTTAATTTTTATTTCTAAATTTAATTTAGTACTGCGATGTCTACCCCTAATATCCTTGTCCCAGCTCTCCTGTGACCAGGGCTGCCTGTGCACCACAGACCCCTTGGGCAACGTGCCGCTAAGCTAATCACTGGGTGGCACCCAAGAGCCAGAAAAAAGATGGATTGAATTGCAGACACTCTCTAATACACATATTTTAACAATTTCCTCTGTCCTCAGTGAAATTATGCTAATATTTTAGTTGAGTTTCCTCAAGTCTGGAACTCAAATTAAGTCTGTCTGTTTCATTTTTATGATAGTGCTTGAAATCACTTGCAGACAAGGGGTTGTTGGGCCATGAGATTTATAGTGGCAGTGCCACAAAGGTCAAACACATCCTGAGGAAGAGGAAAGCAATCTGTAGAACCAGTGTTTTCACTGCAATAAAGTTTATGGCAGCATTAAGGGAGTAGTTACAAATCAGTCAGGTGGTGTTGATTTCATTGAGAATAAGTATATTTACACTTGTAAGCTTTCTCTTAATAATATTCTGAATGTTTTACACAATGGGGTTAGTGAAGGTTGTATCTGGGCATATTTCACGAGTGACAAAATTTGTTTTTCTTTTTTCCACCCATCCTTCTACTGGTTACTTTCACAAAATAGGTTTATAATGGCTCTGTAGGGGCTGAGTAAAGGTTCAGCAATTTTCTGACATTTCCAACAAGGTCAAAGATGCTGCAGAAACTAAAACTAAAATGATCGTGTATACGTATGTGATTAAAGATGAGAGGAGTCTAAAGAAAAAAATGATGTCACTAATACTAAAAAGTGCTTCTTTCTAGGTAATTAGTTATTCATATTGCAGCTAATTTTGTATTATTAGAATTTCTGATTGAATGTTCAATTCCTATATTAAAGGAGTAAGACATAAACACCCCAACCTATGTAAGACCTACAATAAATAATGTTTACGCTTAACCCAATCTACTTCATAGCACTAAACACTATTACTTTTTGCAAAACTAATTGTAAAATAGTTTTGTGATTATGCTGTTGTTTGAATTAATTGGGTAATTATTTTACCTATTGCTTCGTTATTTATTGTCTGTCTTGTCCACTGGACTGTAGGCTCCACAAGGACAGAGACCTTGTCTTATTCCTGATCCTTTTCCAAGGTCCTACTATATAATTACACAATGGAGTTAGTGAAGGTTGGATCTGAACATATTTTACAAGTGACAAAATTTGTTTTTCCTTTTTTCCACCTTAAAAATGTTTATTGAATGAACGAATGAATGTTTCTACCATTCTCAGGATTCTTCTACATAGTGAAAACACTTTCTCACTAAGTCAGGTCTACACAAAGTTAATGTTTCCTAACACTATTAGATAGTTTCTAGAACCTTCTATTTCTGTCTCATGTTTTTGTCCCTGAGGAACTGGTGTGGCTCTATCTAACAAATATGGAGGGAAAGGAAGAGTCAGAACTTATCCACGTCCTATAAATGAGAAAACTGGGACTTTGGCCTATAAATCTGGTAAGTATAATTTGTTGACAAGACATCATAAAGCATGTCCTGAAACAATTTTCTTTGAACGAGAGCACAGTTGCCTTCGTGCAAACAATGAAAACCTGTGGGACTTTTTGTGGATACATTTTCTTTTCCCACGATGCCTCATGTATGTTTGTTAATGTTTAAATATTTTTCATCATCTATCTCAATAAAATCTCATTCAACCATTTTAAGGCCTTATGAAGTTTTTTCCACTTAAAAAACAAGTAGACCATAGAATAATATGCTAAATCATTCATTTTATTTGGCCATTAAGTTTGACTGACCATTTATATAGTTTTATTCTCTTGTAAAACACATTTTTCTGGGTTTTATTTCTGATCCTAAAAGTAAAACATATTGTTCTATTGAAAACTATAGAAAAGCATAGGAGAGGAAAACTAAAATTATGTTTCTGTCCTTTTTACAGCCAGGTAACTGTATCTATTTCACCTGGAGGAGATCGTGCTACCTATTTACCTGGATGAGATTTGCATATATGTTAATGAAGAGACTATATTGGTTGTTCATCAGTGTAACATCTCATTGGATATTCAACAGCTGACAACCATGATGACTTAGAAACCCATGGGAATGAACTGTATCGTATGTTACCAAACCATTGCAGAAACAGTAAATAATCATACATATCAATTTTTTTCTTTAATTGTAAAGATGGTTGAATATAGATATTAACCTGTTCATATTTAGTTATGGGTGTACTTGAGGGGGGAAATCCAAATGGGTTAAACAAGGTTATACTATTAATATTACAAATACAATTAAACATTTAAAGCTTTTAAAGACATAAAGGAAAATAGTTCTGGATAATAGCAATATAACTTTTATTGTTGGTAAAGAGGATATTAATTATATTTTTAAGGGAAGGTGCATGAACATTTATTGCAGATAACTTACTTTAGAAGAAAATTTTTACAACAGATCCCAATAGGAGGATTATTCAATAGAACTAACACTAATGCAGATTCTAGAACACAGATGCCCATAGAATTATTTCAAAAAGAATTGTGTTAACACAAACTTCAATTAACTGATTTGTATCACTTTTTATTCTAGAAAAAAAATTTCTTAGAGAGGTGCCATGATGTAAAACAAGTGTAAGTCAAGTTTCATCGCCACTTGCTGTGTAGGCCAGCCCTGTGGTTTTAGTCCCATAGAACATGGTGTGGAAGGAGCAGGGTGGTTTCTGAGGCATACGTGTGCATATGTCTGGGACTGCAAAGGCGCATGAAACCCATCTTGTCACCTAGTGACCCAACGTCCTTCTTGGTCAACCCTATGTTACCATAATATGAAGTGGAATAGAAGGGGTAGGTGAATTTCGGAGTTGGGGCTTCCCATCTGCTATCAGCTAAATTACAACATCCCTGCCATCCCTGCCTGCTGCCACATATTTATCTGTTGAAGCCCTAACTCCCAGTACCACAGAATACGATTATATTTGGAGATAGGGTTTTAAAGGAGATAATTAAGTTAAAATGAGGTCATTAGGGTGGGCTCTAACCCAAGAAGACTGGTGTTCTTATAATAAGACAGGATTAGGACACTGGCAGGTACAAAATGAAGACACAGAGAGAAGACAGTCATCTGCAAGCCAAGGAGAGATGCCTCAGAAGAAAGCAACCCTGCCAACACCTCAGTCTTTCACTTCTAGCCTCCAGAACTGTGAGAAGTTGATTTCTGGTTAAGGCACCCAGTCTGTGGTACTTTGTTATGACAGTCCTGGCTGCCTGATATACCGTCTAATTTATTTCAAAGGATGGCATGGCATGGGAGTGGCTGGATACAGAATGTGCATCAGAGGCCTCAAATGCCCCTTTGCCTGTGTGATGAAAATCCCCCAATAGGTGTGCATTACTCACTACTTTACCCTTAGACATAGCCAGCAGGAGGCCCTGGTAAGTACAAAAACTTGTGGGGAGGAGCCACGCCCTCCCATTTTCACCTGCAACCCTGTGGTCTGCTGAAGGAAACTAAAGGCCTGGGACATGAGATTAAGGGTATGGTGATGTGGACAGGAAGCAGTGTATGGGGTTTGTCCAGGTTAGGAAAGTGCTAGAATGTGGAAACTCCAGAAGGAAAGCAGATCCGTGGAGGGTTGTCAGGAAGGAGTTGAGAGCCGGAAGGAAGAGCGGCCAGGAAGGACACACTGCAGGGCTCCAGGCAGGGGCTTTCTGGCTCCACACCTTCTGCTGTAGCTTGAAAGCCAAGCTCACCTTGAAACCTTAAGGCACCAAGCCAAATGATTAAAAGATACAACAAATTTGAATCTGGTAAGAGTGGCTGACCCCTAATTCTTAAAAACACTCATGCATGTGGCGTGTTTTGTGTGTGCCAGTTTTGTGTAAAGGGTGTGTACTAATAGGAAGTCATCAACCAAGTTCAAGAGAAAGGAAACCAAGATGTTTGGAGTAACTTTTACTGCATTCAGTGCTAAGAAATGATCTCTACAGGCACGTCTGACACTACCTTGCTGTGTGTCTTTGGATAAACTGCTTAACATCTCACCACCTTCTGTTTCTAAGGTTCTGCATCTAAAAGCTAGAATGATGGAAAAGGAGAATGTTGGCTGATCTACTTTCAGAACTAGCTGAGCAGGCACTTGAGTGATAGTCAGTATTGAAATGAACTGCTCCAGCTTGCCTCTAGAATGTGAGGCCCCTGAGAGCAAGACCACTTGTGCCTTCACTTCTGCAGGAGACAGCAGCAGGTGGCCACACTGGTTCCAAAGATACAGTCTCTGAGCATGCATAATTCTGAAATCTGAACTTTGGGTTCTATGTCATCATGAAACATTTCTGGGTTTTCTTGTTCTGGTACAAGTTAAAAATGATTCTTGGTGAAGGTGCAGGTAAAAAAGTTTGCAAGAACTCTATTCTATGTGCCGTTTCAACAAGCACTGGCCATTCTTGGTGCTGCTCCCTGTGTAGAACATCAAGGATATGAAGAGGAATAAGAATGTGGCTTACATGCTAGTGGGGGAAATGGCTATCAGTCACAGCTAAATACATTTCAATATTGTACCTCCTACACTGTATGAGCAATGTTAAGTGAAACGAGAAAAAGGATAGCTTCGCTGGGCTGTTGGACATCAGGTGGAAGGGAGGTTGAAAAAGGCCTTTTAGTGACTGTCTTTGGTCAGTGTTTAAAAATGGGTGGATAGAACTTTGCTAAGAGGATGAGTGGAGAGGACATTCAGACAGAGAGCAGCGTAAGCCAAAGTGGGGTAGAAAGCTGAGGGGGCTGAAAATATGCCAGATTCTGAGAAAACTGCAAATATTCAGGGTTGCTTAGAGTACGGATTTGGGGAGGACAACAGTTACGAGCCAATGGACGGGAAAAGGCTCATCAATATGACCAGTGGAGTGAATAAAAGTATACCCTACAAAATATTAGAAAATCAGGACATTTCAAGATTCAGTAGCCATCTTTCTGCCTTTTTTTCTTTTTTTATTTTTTTGAGAGTCTCGTTCTGTTGCCCAGGCTGGAGTGCAGTGGCATGATCTCGGCTCACTGCAACCTCCACCTCCCGGGTTCAAGCTATTCTCCTGCCTTAGCCTCCCAAGTAGCTGGGACTACAGGCACACACCACCATGCCCAGCTAATTTTTGTATTTTTAGTAGAGATGAGGTTTTGTCATGTTGGCCAGGATGGTCTTGAACTCCTGACGTCGTGATCTGCCCTCCTCGGCCTCCCAAAGTGCTGAGATTACAGGCCTGAGCCACTGCGCCCAGCCTCTTTCTGCCTTTTCTTAATGTAAAGCAGGGGAGTTGGCAACATCAGACCCCCTCCTTCCAGCAGAGCAACGCTAGGTGGAGCTGAGTAGCAGCACCCCTTAGACAGTGTGGACCTTCCCAGTTCTCCACAGCCATCACCCAAACAACAAGCATATGTTCATTTCCCTGGACCAGTTCACCCATGGGTGTTACCTGGCAAGCCCACCAGCCTGCAAATTTGCCACTTGTGGTGCAGAGTGGGGATAGATGGAGGCAGATGGGGCAAAGAGTTACATTGGAGAGCTAAGTAAGAGTCAGATTTGAACTTTATTCTGTGATCTGTATAGCCCCATCAAAGGTCTGTTCAAGTGTGATAGTGACATGAACAAAAATCATTCCCAACCATTGAAAGGCAACCTCTCTCTTTAAGCTGGCCAATAGGGTATTTCCTTTACCTCTTCAAGACTAAGCAAGCACTTGTGGAACATACACTGTGTCAATAATATACTGGATGATGTGCATGCTTTGGGGTTGTTTTGGAGTATTTGCACGAGTAACAGGCTGGAAGGTACCATACATTCAAAAAAAAAAGAAAACAATAATTTTCCACATAATGCAATCCTTTTTGTAATTTAATTATCATAAGAAAAGTTTTATCTTGACAAATATCTTTGAACAAATATTCTATTTTCAAAAATGAAATAAAATATAAAAACATGTACTAAAATAATTTAAAATTTAATAGTGTGTCAAGGTCCTTTTTTATGCTACAAAGAACACTATTTTGTGCTCAGAACATTAGGATTACTTTCTCAACTTATAGGGTACTCTTGGCCAGATTTGACCTCAAATACACATGGGTTACAATGGTGATGTGTAGAGGGAAGTAGAGGTAAAGGCCATAGTTGGAAAACTTGCAGAAGTCAGAATAGGAATCAAGAGGACAGGATTCACTGTTGATGGCTATTTGTGTATGATTTCTGAACTCTAAACTCTGCTCAGTCCTGGAAAATTCACCTACAGTTGGCTTCTTCACCTTCAAAATGAAGATAATGTACGTAAAAATAGATCCCCCAAATCTCTGCCTCAAGTTGCAGTTCGGATCCAGGACTCTCAGGATTATCAAGTGAAAGAACTCATTGATACGTATGTTTCAGAGAAAAAAAAAAAATCAAAGGAAGAAAAAACAGTAACAGGAAAGGAAAAGCTTGTTGGGGGTGAGCAGACACTAAAGGCAGTAACCCCAGTTTTTCCTCAGGAAATTGCCTCACAAAGGAAAAACTAAGATGATGAAAAAATCAAATGAAAGGTGGGAAAGCTGAAAACCAGAGTATACCCAAGCTTCCCTAATTAAGGTCTCCCTATCTGCCCAGCAAATCTGCAGTTCCCAAATAGTGTGTAGCTACCAGGCACCCCAACAAGGAGTTTGAATGATAAGACATTTTAGCAACTATGGAATGTTATTGTCAGGCACATATCCAGTAAAATAAACTCATTAGAATTGTTAAATGGATAGACATCCCAATTAGAGGTCCCAATACTGAAATACCTGAGTTTTAAACAGTTGATAGAATTGGGTAATGCCAAGTAATTTTGGAGAAGTTTCCACTGCCTGTTAGATGTTGACTTCTAAAAAATGTGTAAGAAATAAGGCTTTGGTTTTGTCTAAGAATGAAATATAGTGTGCTGAAAATTGCTTCAGCCAATTTCAAGAACTCCCATAATTTTTTCTATGGTGTCTCTGTTATTGGACTGTCAACAGTAATAACAGTTCGTATTCAAGATATATTCCCCCTTTGTTGAATTTATCAATTTAGTAGTTTCCCTTTCCCAATTATAGATGAAGTGTGAATGAAATAAGGAAGGCAGTTTTCAGAAAAATCAATAAGGAGGAAGTATTCATTACTCCAGTAATGCTGCTTTGTAAATAATAATTTGATTTTTAAATCTACACAAAAGTCATGAAAAGATAGCAACTTGTATTTTGTGAGCAATAATTTCCCATAGCATAAGAGAGAAGGGAAGCCATTTTATCAGTATCTTCTAATGCCTTATTTGAAATTTTGCATGAATTTTCAGATACAGGCATTTATTTTGGTGTGTTTCTCAAAAATATAAGCTTTAATAGGCCAAAGATTATGTCCATCTTGTCTACCACTGTGCCTTGCATATACTTTATACTAATAGTTTTGAATAAATAAGTTAAAATGCTAAATGTAGACCTTTTTACAATTCTTTTATTCATTTGTTGATACAAACCATGCATTTATGTTTTGTTATAAAAGTACTAAAACCATGATAAAATGATGCAATTTTTTATCCCTTCTGCTCCATCCATTGTTCAAGTCCTAACTGACCTTTGCTTGCAATCAATCCCAAAGGAGAAATATTACATTCCACTGATTTATTAATGTACGAAATACAAAACTACATCATCAGAATTCACAAATTCTAAATTTGTGATTTACAATGAAGAAATTAATTGCCTGGACTTGTAACTGTGTCTCATGAGCTGTTTGAGTATGGCTTCTTTAGTTGGCTGTCCCTCAAATTTTCATTTCTATGTTAAGCCAAAAACAATCTTGAAAAGACTCCTGATTTCTCCTTTTCTGCACTTTCTGTGTAATTTGTTACTAAGGCTATTAATTTTTCTACTTGGATTTGTCCCTTCTTCATTTTATTGTGAAGAAGAAAGTGTCCCCCATCACAGTCATCAATTGACGTCTATCGCCAACACTTCTGTACTCTGAATAGGATGTTCTGTGGATCACAGTGCCATGCTGATTTCACTCCATTTTATACTATCATTTTCAATATGCCCCAGTCCCTTATTCATTACACAGGCTTCAATTTTTCCAAAGTTTTGCTCAAGTTCTATTTTGTTTTTAATGGAGCCATCCCCAAATGCCAAATCGCTCATGTATTCATTTATTCAGCACATTTTTTAAGAGTTTCAACTTGGTGAATACTACTGTCTTGGCAGATATTTCCATAACTAAATCCAACATGATGTCATTTATTTGTTTTTCGTTTATGTGCTTAAGCCTTCTGCTTGCTCCCAAAAGAATTTAAGGTAGCTTACATAAACATGAGACAAAAACAAACAAAAACAAGTAAATAAGGAAAACGCAGTTTATCCAGAAAATGCATGGTGTAAGTCTATATACATTTGATAAAGCTAGAGCACAGATTTGATTCTAAGATTTTCAGTATCCAAATAGAAAGCCAAGAAGAAAGATACATTTCCCTACAGGATTCACAATGTGTGTAATATTAAACTTGGACAATAATCAAAATCTGTTGCTCAGGAGAGTACAATTAATTTCAAATTGAGATCAGAAAGATATTTCTTCGGTAGGTCCTTCCCAAGAGAACAAATGTGCTATAACACCAATACCCTCAACAACATCCTTACAATAATGGAGCAGCTGCTTTCAATAGGACTGTTTCCAGGAAAGCACCTCAGGGTTTGAGAACTGTCTAACACAAAATGGAGATTGAATATGGTTAACTATGTAAGTTTTCAAAACTTATTATATATACAGCTTAACAGTGATATTGATAGCAATGACAATTACAGCTGTTGGAGTATTTATTAGACATGGTACACTGCACAGCACTTTACATACATTGTTATTTAATCCTTACAATAACCGCTTGAAGTAGACATAATCCCATTACACAAGTAAAATTTAAAGTGTTTAAGGAGCTCCATAATGAATATCAGTAATATTGGTCAAGAAACCAAACCCTGCCACCACTTTAGAATCCCCTCAAGCCTGATCAGTCAGTCCTCTCTTCCTCAAAGTAACCACTCTCCTGACTTCTAGCATAATGGATTAGTCTGCCTGTGTTAAATTTAATATAAATGAGGCCGGGCACGGTGGCTCACACCTGTAATCCCAGCACTTTGGAAGGCCGTGGTGGGCAGATCACTTGAGGCCAGGAGTTCAAGACCAGCCTGGCCAACATGGTGAAACCCCCATATCTACTGAAAACACAAAACTTAGTTGGGCGTGGTGGCAGGTACCTGTAGTCCCAGCTACTGGGGAGGCTGAAGTGGGAGAATAGCTTGAACCTGAAAAGCAGAGGTTGCAGTGAGCCAAGATTGTGCCACTGCACTCCAGCCTGGGCAACAGAGCGAGACTCCATCTCAAAAAAAAAACATTTAATGTAAATGAAATCATATGGGATATTATTTGGTGTCTGGTATCTTTCACTCAATATTATCTGTGGAATTCGTTCATGTTGCTGTGTACAGTTTTAGTTTGTTCATTTTCAATGTTGTGTAGTTTTCCATGCTACGAGTATACCACATTTATCATTGTATATGGTCAATGAACATTTTTGTTGTTTCCAGTTTTTTTTTTTTTTTTTTACTATTATGCATATTGCTGTAAGGTTTTTTCATATCTAGTTCTCAGGGCACATGAGTACACATTGTTGCAGTATATACACCACTGCACTTCAGAGTAGAATTGTTGGATCATAAATTTGAATGTCTTCAGCTCTAGTAGATAAAGCTACACTTTCTCTGTGTGGTTGTCCTCTGTTCCTTTCTCCTCATAACTTCATACTTCACCTACATCAGAAAAATAGCTCAAATCAATGAAAGCCATTTACTAATGAAAAGATTATAAAACAAACCCTACAAAAGCTTTCCATTTCTAAATAAACTTGCAAGTAATGACTAAATTTTCTTTGAAATATTTAGGATCCAAAACAAATATGAGTGAAGTTTTATTCTACTTTAATTATAGGATGTGGTAAATGAGCTGCTGCACGCCTATTGCTGTAGGCAGGAAGCCCTTTCAAGGGCTCCTTGACACCACCTATCAGACCAAAGCATTAAAATTTCTTTGAACTTGAATTTTAAGTGCCTTGAAATACTGTAATCTTAATTAGCTATGACACATAAATTACTTCATTTTACACCCACGACCATTAGTATTCAGAATTCCCAGTCAAAGTTTCTAAGTTCTCAGATTAATGTTTATGCCAAGAAAAGCTATTATTACCCTGGGAAGGAAATATCTCTTGCCTTCAGTAAAAAGGTATAGAACAGAAAATGATGCTTTCCACTTGGTAGATCTTAGTGAATTTACCAGGAAAATTGCTTAACTGTTATCTGAACACTATTCTCTGGCATGTTCAGAAATAATTATCCAGTTTTAACAAAGAAATATTAAAGCTTCTCAACTGAGATCCATGTAGCTCATCTAGGACATTTGCAAAATTTCCATGAAAATATTTTAATTCTGTGTTTTCATCGACTTAGCTGATTATAGAGAAAGTTAATGAAGAACTTTCTGGATCACTTAGAGGACCACCTTTCACTGGGCATTTGCAGTACTCAGTGTCTGTGTTCCTGTTTGCCTTCATTTGTACAACAGCATCAGTACCCATTGTATTAAAACTAAACTTCAGGCTAATGAGAAAAAAAAGAAAAGTTGTATGCTAAAGCGGTGTTCAGACATGCAGTTTAAAAATAATTCAGATTTTAAATATGAAAGAACTGAGGTATCATGCAGCATATGGTAATTAAAGCATGCCAAACTCAAAACATGTCAAAAGAATTGGTGCTATGGCACCCAGTACCATTTTGAACAAACAACATTAAATTAATATCATCTATTTGAATTGCACTGTTTTTGGGGCTTTGAATTTAATCTATAAACACATTTTTATTTATAGATGTTTAACAGCTATAGAAATACAGAATTTATATCTACTTTTATTTTTGTACCTATTTGAGAAGTATAAAAATAATATAAATAAAAACTTGGAGTCTGTCAGAATTGTTTTTCTTTAAAATTCATCTTTATATATTTTATATAAGAAGTTTGAAAACACTGCTCTAACAGGTTAGTGATGAGACTAACCTATGTTTATTGTGAACTCTACCTGCATTATCTTTTTAAATTCTTCCCAGCACCCAATATCATAAGTGCTATCTCTGGCCCATGTTACTGATAGGAAACTGACGTTTAGACAAGTTGGGCCCACAATTCAGAAGGGGCTGCCCTGAGATTCACACACTTAATTATTACACATGAGGTATGAGGAATTAGAATGCATCACCAAGAGGAGAAAGTTTTTCCTCAAAGCACAGGAAGACAAAGGGAGGTACTTTCAGAGCAGTAACCATTCAGAGAGATAAGTGAACCTCACAAAGTCTCAGGTGATTTCCTGGGCAGCATTACATCTGTGCATCATTTAGACCTGGGCCTCATCTATGTAGGTTTAGGTTCCACTTCTGCCACTTATCTGCTACTGGTATCATTTATCCTCAAGGGTTTCACCTTGGAGAACTGTTCCTTTAACTGTCAAAATCAGCTGCATTGAAAACTTTGTTTCTTTCTTTTTAAAGACAGAGTCTTACTCTGTCATGCAGGCTGGAGTGCAGTGGCACCATCATAGCTCATTGCAGCCTCAAAATCCTGAGCTCAATAGATCCTCTCACCTCAGCCTCCCAAGTAGCTGGGACTACAGGTGCAGACCACCACACCCAGCTATTTTTTTTTTAAGAAATGGGGCTTTGCTGTGTTGCCCAAGCTGGTTTCAAACTCCTGGGCTCAAAAAAATCCTCCAAACTTGGCCTCCCAAAGTGCTGGGATTATTAGCAGAACTACTTTTGATGAGGCCTCTCACCATCACTGTTTCTTCAGACACTAGTTATACACTTGGTGACCACAGAAGGCCAAGAAGACTTATCCCATCAAACCATGAGAAGCCCAAACTACAGCAAGGACTTCCAATTTTGCTTAACTTAGGGAAGGTGGAAGCCACGTAGGCAATGGACAGAGCAGAAAAAAAAGACAGAAACAAATCAAGGGATATTTATGTGGACACTTTTGCCTCTCTGTGAAGAAAGAGATGGCATTTAATTGGAAACAATAATTGCCTGGTATGGTTATGCCTCAATTCTCCCAGCTGCAGCAGCCTCAGGATTCACTCGGCAACAGAGGCCAGGAGAGCTTTAGCTAAGAGAGTAGAGTAAATGCCACTGATTTGATTTGAAAGAATAATGAGTGATATTTCAGTTGCTCTTCTTACAAACAATAAAATGTTATAAGATGCCTTAAGATGATGATTCAATAAGATTTATAGAATAAGTTCCTGACAGTAAGTATAAATAAACACTGGAAGAAAAGCTAAGAAAGATCTAAAACAGCAACTCCAAAAACAAACAAACCTTGTCAAGTTTAATAACTTCATTCAGGACTAAAAATATTCTTTTTTCCCCAACTGTAATTCTGAATGCTTTCCTTATAAAATGAGCTGTCCATGCTCTAATAATCTTTGCATGATTATTTTTCTCTGAAGTGTATCTGTAGTTTTTCTCTTTTAATATTTATTATAAAATATTTTTTCTGACAAAGTTTTTTTAATTAATGTGCTTAGACCATTTGCATTTCATCTATCTTTAAAATTTTATTTTATTATTAGTTGGCAAATATTCATTTTATATATTTATGAGATATAATGTGATGTTATGATATATGCATACATTGTAAAATGATGAAATATTTTAAAACACGAGAATAAAGAAATTTCTGTATATATCTATATACAAAAAAAGAAAGAAAAAAATCTATGTATATACTACCTACCTTAAGAGAAAAGATTTCTCATAATATTTGAATCTCTTTCAGTACCCTTCCTTGATAGCATTCAACTTTGTCTCTTCCAAGAAAATATTATCATGCAATTTTATCATTCCTTTGCTTTACTTCATAGTTTTATAATGTGTATATATGTATCTCAAAATAATATATTATGATTACTGACATATTTTGATTTATTTCTACTGGAGTTTTTAAATCTATCCTACTTTTAAGTTCTTCTCTGATGTAGGTTGAGTTTTTACATTTTGTATTTCATTTTTTTGCTGCATTAGTATACAAGTTTCATATTCTAGTACAATTTTTTCAGTGGTTATTCTTAAAATTCTAACAAGAACACTGACTTTAATATAAAATTAATCAAAATCTTTTTCCTCGCACCAAATAATGCAAAGATTTTAGGATGGGTTAACTCTGACCATCTACATCCCAGCATACATGTTATTACATAAATCTTTTCGTTCTCACATATTTTCTTAATCCTCCCATATTGAACATTATTCTTATTGTGTATGCAGTTAATGTTTGTTTAGATTTGCACATATCTTTGCCATTTTCTTTGCCAAGAAAAAAAGTATTTAGAAGAGCTTCATACTGCATCTTTTCCAACTGCTGGTTTCTCCAACACCATAGGGACTTTAAAATTGTATGGTCTAAGGCAGGAGGCTGATTATACCACAGCCTAGAGCTGCTACAGCACCTTATGTTTTGTGCTCCGCTCAAAAATGGGAGCCTCCAAGTCACCCAGTATATGGGCCAGAGTATATATTGACCCTTTATGTCATTAAATTATAGCATATGTTAGATAATAGCATATATTAAATAAAAACATCAACTATCATCTAATAATATTGTTATTACCTTCCTTTTCCATTCTTTTGTATGTGTTTTTCATATATAACTGACAAAAGAATAACAGTAGTGATATATTGAAATGGTCCTCTCCATGACTGTCCTCACCTTAAACTCTTACTTAGACTTTTTGCACTGTTTTTTTCACTCAATTTCTTTTTGCATTTATGCAAAAAAATGCATGTATACTTAATTTTTCAATAAATTTATTATATCCTAATGTAAATTATTTTTTGCATAGCTGCTAGTAATTAATTGCAGTTTAAAATTATACAATGTCAGAGATTTGTGTTCATGCCTTTGTGTTCATTTCTACATTTCTACACATGGTCTGTAGACAGATTGTCAATATCGACAACCCTGTGTTGACTGATTCTTTGTGTAATTGGTCCACAAGATTTAAACATCAGCAAATCACATCACGTCTCCCAATTCCTTCATATGTTTTAAGCTGACTTCTTTTAAATTCAATTCAGTTAAGCCCATATATATAAGAGTAGGAGACAGATGAAATGTTTATCACATACCTATGAATAACTTTATTTTAGGGATATAGACAACTTAGTTATCTATATAATTAGCCACCTGAAAGAAGATAGTTGTACAATATACATTAAGTCATCTATGGCATGTATGTATTAATACTTACCAACAGTGTCACGGGAAGTCAGGGACCCCAAACGGAGGGACCGGCTGAAGCCATAGCAGAAAAACATGGATTGTGAAGATTTCATGGACATTTATTAGTTCCCCAAATTAATACTTTTATAATTTCTTATGCCTGTCTTTACTGCAATCTCTGAACATAAATTGTGAAGATTTCATGGACACTTATCACTTCCCCAATCAATACCCTTGTGATTTCCTATGTCTGTCTTTACTTTAATCTCTTAATCCTGTCATCTCATAAACTGAGGAGGATGTATGTTGCCTCAGGACCCCATGATGATTGCGTTAACTGCACAAATTGTAGAGCATGTGTGTTTGAACAATATGAAATCTGGGCACCTTGAAAAAAGAACAGGGTAACAGCAATGTTCAGGGAACAAGAGAGATAACCTTAAACTCTGGCCGCCAATGAGCCTGGCAGAACAGAGCCATATTTCTCTTCTTTCAAAAGCAAATGGAAATATCACTGAATTCTTTTTCTCAGCAAGGAACATCCCTGAGAAAGAGAATGTGCCCCTGAGGGTAGGCCTCTAAAATGGCCCCTTTGGGTGTGGCCATCTTCTGTGGTTGAAACTGTAGGGATGAAATAAGCCCCAGTCTCCTGTAGGGCTCCCAGGCTTATTAGGACGAGGAAATTCCCACCTAATAAATTTTGGTCAGACCGGTTACTCTCAAACCCTGCCTCCTGATAAGATGTTATCAATGACAATGGTGCCTGAAACTTCATTAGCAATTTTAATTTCGCCCTGGTCCTGTGGTCCTGTGATCTCGCCCTGCCTCCATTTGCCTTGTGATAGTCTATTACCTTGTGATGTACGTGATCTCTGTGACCCACACCCTATTCGTACACTCCCTCCCCTTTTGAAAATCCCTAATAAAAACTTTCTGGTTTTACGGCTTGTGGGGCATCACAGAACCTACTGACATGTGATGTCTCCCCCAGATGCCCAGCTTTAAAATTTCTCTCTTTTGTACTCTGTCCCCTTATTTCTCAACCCGGCCGACGCTAAGGGAAAATAGAAAAGAAACTACATGACTATCGGGGGCAGGTTCCCTGATACAACAGTACTCAAAAAAGTGTTTTCTAAATTTTTATTCCATATAATAAAGAAAATGGGATGATAAAGTATATGTGCTTTTATGGTAATAAATGTAAATTAAATCTATATTGTATGTTATTTTCTGCTTGAAATCAAAACACAGGCTATAAAGTTTCTACTTAAATTGCCAGAAGATTAAAAGTATTATCCACTTTGGATCTACTTAAACTTGTCATGTTTAGTGTATACAACAGAACAGAATAGCTTAGAAATATAAACTCTTCTGTACTCAATTTATCTCATCCATACAGCTACTTTGGATGAGGTCTGTACTATGCAATTTCTGTTTAAAAGAGACACCCAGACTTAACAGCAGATATTCTGAGCACCTTGGACCCTTCAAAAGTGGATAAAACACAGTCAATAAAAATTTTAAATAAATACTTGTCTGTCAGTTGATCTTCATAATAACATGCAGGATACTTATTATAAATTAGGGATCATTCACATTTATTTTGTTTAGGTCTTATTTGATATTACCATTTTCCAATCAGTGAAGTAATATTGAAACATATACCTTATGTCCAAAAAAACATCATTTTTTGGGATATGGAAATACATTGTCCATTTAGAGTTCTTTTACAGCAAGCAGGTGGTCAAGGAAAATAACCTGATAAGATTAATGAAGGCGATATTAAACTATGCATGAAAATCAGAATTATAAACATGTACTACTTAACAGAAGATCTTAACTCATAAGATTTCACTACAGTGTAACCTTTCTTTTTCCTAACCCTGGCCACTAAATATGCCCAGAATAGTAATTGCTTAGCTATCAAAAGCAATTTTGCTGAAATCAGACCCAAGAACATGCTGTTGACTTATGTATATCTTGAACAAGTTGAAATATTTGTCTCTAGATCAATTTGTCTTTTAGCCTCTCACAGTTCTCCCCATTCTTGTCACACAGGACTTACATCTGTTCTTACTGCCCTCTACAACCAGTTCTACAATAAAACCAACCCCTCTCATTGGAGGATGGCTAAGAAACTACCAGTCATTTATGGAAGCTCTTTTTAGTGCTCATTACATGTCAGTGCATATCAATATAGTACAAGGCATCAGGAGATCAAAATGTAAATAACACAACTCTTGCTTTTAAGGAGCACCAGTTGAGCAGAAAAAATTCCCCATCTCAATGTTGGTTCAGGAAGAGGCTTGGGTTCAAGATTTGATGAGGAGCCTGCAGGAAGAGAACTATGCCAATGGGTAAGGGAGGAAATATGTAAGATCTGGTTTGAGAGATGAGTAAGAATTGTGGTTACAGACAAGGGGAAGAAGGATGAGGAACTCCCAGCGAGTGGCTACTGCATGTGGAACTACACAGAGGTGTCAAACAGCTTGAATGTGCAGGTTTGGCATGGGTGGAATACAGGGGCGAGGGAGGGAATGGGTGAAATATGCATGTAGAGGTAGACAGGGAATTGTGTATAGCAGTAGAGTGTGGCAATATATTGTATTTCATCAATTCTAAGATGCACGCATTTTCACATCCCTGAGATTGGGATATATCTTTCCCATGATGGGATCTTGCAGTCACTGTCGCATGGGATGTTGTTATTACCAGCATATGTAAAAACTTTGTCATAGCTATTCCAGGCTTCAGGTGAGCTATGTGCAACATGTTGGGCTAGTGCTATTAAAACATCTTTAAAAGCTTACACATAATTCAGTATCGAAACAAAGAAAGGATTCTTGTTTATGGAGAAAGGTAAGGAAACAGAGCATCAGGGCTTATGCTTTATGCTATAGAAACAATAAATCTAAAAATATTCTTTCAATAAATATAAATTTAAAATGATAAATGATAAAAAGCATTGTGCCATAGTAGTACATAAAATAATGATGCGTCTTATAATCAACCATAGGCTTGGTGAAATGCCTTTTTTTACTCATTTTTTGTTTTGTTTGTTTGTTAAGAATAAAATCCTGTGAAATACTTTTCTCTCCTTAAAACACAGGTAGTCAGGCCTTGTGCTGTTTATTCTGGGACTCTGTGCCCTATAGGAAAATGTTAGTAGATGTGGCATTCAGATAAGATGGGCAACCCTGAGGACATGGACACACACACAAATGCACAGACGTCTTGACTTCATGACTTCAGGGCAAGTAGGACCTATGAACTTCCTAGACACAAAACAGACAGAGAATGAAGGGTCCTGTGAAAGGTGGTATCCTGCTTCCAGGCCATTTGCAGTGTTGTGGACAGGTCAGACTTCCTATAGGTGTAGAAGCACAAGTCCATATGGAGTCTGGGTCTGAGCTCCAAGGCCTCATTTAATGCCCTAGAGGCCATGCTCAATGTAGAGTGAATGACTTACCAGTTCTCCAATAGACTATATAGACCTAGACAACAGTGTTTTCACCATGACCAGGAGGATTGATGTTCACAGGCCTCTTCCCCCTTGTGCTTTAAATGATTTAAGTTAAGTCCTGGAATCCTATCATAATGGAAGATGGGAGGCATGAACTGTGAAGCACGAAAAATTACGGACATTGAATTTCTCAACAACCTTGGTCAGTTGGAAGAGCAGGGGGTGCTCAGAGATTGATGTGATTTGATTTTTAAAAGAAATAAATGAGGCATCTCATCTGCCACAAGAATTTAACAGAAATGTATTTCTGTCACATCAGGCCAAAAAATGTTGAAAGCAGAGGAGAACCACTGATTGGAGCTTAAAGAAGGAGAGTAGATTTATTATATCTTTATATCTTCAATATTGTTTTGGCAGCACTCAAAATAATAGAAATGGGGGAAAGTAGGAATGGAGACATCACCATTCGAGTAGGATATATATTTTGCAACAGACATTGGAGAGTTAAGCATCGGAAAGAGCTTGGTGTAAGGAGGGGGTGTTTTAAGTTAGGAAGTCCTCACAAAATCTCAGAATCACAGTAAGGAATGAGCTGATTGTTGTGATGATATATGATCTACACTTAAAGCAAGTTATTAGTTTGTCTAATAAAGCTTGATATTAGTTACTGGCTGAAACACACTGCTTTTCCTGTCTTGTGACCCAGTCAGAATTCCAAGTAACCTGGAGAGTATATAAAGAAGGAATGGGTGTTGAGCGAAGCCTAACCATCAGTTAAGACAGATGTTAAGGAAAATGACTGTCCTCTCAGGCCTGGCCCTTTGATTCAGGATGGTGCAGCTGCACATCATACAATTGTATATTAGAAGAAAAAAAAATCACATCTTGCAAGTTTGAACTCCTGACTTTGCAGCCCTATGTCTTGGCTTTGGTTTTCTTCTACAGGTTTAGCTTGTTCTAACTTTTGGTTCCAGGTAAGAGATAAGGATCTTTTACTTGTGTATATTCTCCTCCATCTTAGGCTCAGTCCATTGGAAGACAATCCATGTTCTAACCACATGCCTATAGCCAGCTAAGCAATTCTAATACCTCCAACTCCACCCTCAAGATGGGAGGAGAAAAAAAGAGATAGACCCTAAATCAGCAACATGCCCACCAAAAGACGAATTTCCAGGCAAAATCTGGCCTCCCAGGCAATGACAGCTTATGTTCAGGTGAGCAGGAGTAAGCAGTTTTTACACACAGTATCTTGATGTCCCAATAAGTAGACAGAGTCCCCAAAAAGATTATGGGAGTAGTCAGTATCAGAAATCCAGATAAGTAGTCAGCATCAAGAAAATGTCAGTTCATGAATTTGTTGAATTCAGAGAAGAGGACTGGAAACAGTAAGTCAGGGAGGGACCTTGTCCTAGGGAAAAGGGGGGGCTCTCAACCAGGGGTAGGATTAGGGACTCAGGAAGAGAACCCAGGTCAGCAAATCAGGTAAAAGGACTAGGTACTGCATCTCAGGAATAAGATCAAAATACAGTATCCCACCAGGGTAAAAGGTGGTACTAATTATCAAGGGTGACTTGACCTTAGACCAGAATAAGGGGCTAAAACCACTGAAGTCTCTACTAATACAACATCTTCATCATCATTAAGCTTTTATCATGTGCTAGGCATCATGCTAAGTACTATACCTACATTGTCTCATATAATCCATACAATAAATCTATGAGGCAAGTACTATTAGCACACTGATTTTACAGCTGAGGAAACTGAGTTACAGAGAGGTTAAAAAAAAAACTTCTAAATGGAATAACTGGATAGTATATAAAAAAGTAAATTTGGATCCATTTTTTGTAGTATACTCTATGCTGGGTAAATTCTAAATATTTCAGATATTTAAATATAAAAGTAAAACTATAAAAATACTAGAAAAAAACTAGGTGAATCCATCAGTAACCTGAAGAGACTCAAAATCCAGAAGAAATAAAGGAAAAATAGATGTTTTATTACATAAAAATATAAATTATTGAAAGGCAAAAGATACAGCCAGCAAAGTAAAAAGACAAGATCAATATTTGCAACTTATAACACAGAACAGGGGATATCTTATTTTCTAAAGTGTTCTCAAAAAAGGAGAAAAAGATTAAAATCCTATAGAAAAATGTGTTTGAAATGAAAACATAGAACACACAGAAAATAAAATCCAAGTGCACTTTAGCCATACAAAAATAAGTACAACTTACCCATAGTAAGAAAATTGAAATTAAAAGTATACTGATATTGGTAAAAATTCAAAAGTTTGAAAATACATTCAAATGTTGGTGCACTCTCATATGTTCATAGATGAATGTAAAATGATATAACCATTTGGAAGGAAACTTGTAGCCTCTAAAAAAATTACATACTTTACTCTAATTAGCAAAGCCATTTTTAGAAATCTATCCTACGGACACAGTGGGAAAATACAAAAAGATAAATGTACATGGCTATTTATTACCGAATATGTGAAACAGCAATGACTAGAAACAGACTCAAGTGTCCATTACTGGGGGCTGGTTGAATATATTAAGGTCTATTCTCATGGTAGAATACTATGTGGTGGTAAAGCAAGCTTGTCCACCCCACCTTATTTTGTTGTTGTTGTTGTTGTTGTTCTGTTCTATTTTGTTTTGTTTTAGACTTTTAGCAGCCTCAAGCCAAGATTTTTAGTTTCTGTCTCTAGTGGTAAGCAGAAAAGAGGGATGAGGAAGGGGCTTTACTGACACAAACAGAAACAGAAACTAAGAATCCATGACTGTATTTCTCCAAGAGTGAGGATGAGGGAGGTATATCCATATGCTACTATGGAGTGAATATAGTACTAAGTGCAAAGAGCAAGGTGGAGAAAATGTGAATAGTATGTACCTAATATCTAAGAAAGTGGGGAATTATGGCAGGCCAAATTTTGGTCCCTTGAATATGTCCCAGTTCTAATTCCTGCCATTTGAAGTAGTTACTTACACACCAAAAGGGCCTTTTTAGATCTCATTAAATTAAGGACCTTGAGATGGGAGATTCTCCTGGATTATTTAGGTAAACCCAAGGTGATCTCAAGGGTCAAGATGGAAGCAGAAGAGGGGAGTCAGCAGATGTGTCTAGGTAAGAGTGGTCAGAGAGATGCAATGCAATATTGCTGACTTTGAAGATGGAGAAAGGGGTCCATTAGCCAAGGAATGTGGGTGGCCTCTAAAAGCCGCAAAAAGCAAGGCAATGGAGTTTTCCCCGGAGTCTCCAGAAAGGCACACAGCCCTGCCAACATGCTGATTTTAGCCCAGTCAGAACCACGTCAGGACTCCTAACCTACAGAACCGTAAATAACAAATGTGTGTTGTATTGAAGCCACTAATTTTGTAGTAATTTGCAATGACAGAAATAGAAAAGTATACAAAAAAGAAAACATAAAATGAAGAGTGGTTATATATAGGGGGAGGGAGAAAATAGAGTAGTCAGGGATAGAAACTAGACTTGTTTTACAGACTTGACATGGACCATGTAAATATTTTACATACTCACTAAAAAATTAAGGTAAAAATCTATAAAAATAAAAAATAAAATTAAATAAGGGAATTGGTACCATAATCACACAGAGATTCAAAGTGACTTAAAAACACAGTAATTTGCCAATGATTCCTAATATAATATATCCTAAAAATGAAAAAATCTGCAAGATAATACCTTACACCAAGCTTGTCCAATCCACAGCCCACAGGCTGCATGTAACCCAGAACAGCCTCGAATGGAGTCCAACAGAAATTCATAAGCTTCCTTAAAACATTATGAGATTTTTTTCATAATTGTTAGAATTTCATCAGTTATCATTAGTGTTAGTGTATTTTATGTGTGGCTCAAGACAATTCTTCTTCTTCCAATATGGCCCAGAGAAGCCAAAAAATTGTCTTATACTATTTTTGCCAACCATTTAGTTGGTGGTAATTTTGTTTATTATTATTCTGAGAATATTGTAGGTATATTGTGAGATAAAGCAAATGAGGAATATTTGATATTCTATTTTTCTGTGTCAGATTCTCAGCATGAGAAAAAGGAGATTCAGATTAAAGATCAAAGAGGTTAAATTAAAAATGCTATTGTCTTCAATTTGAACTGGAAGTATCAATCTAAACTTATGATAAATTCTATTTAAAACAATTTTTTTCTAACTGTGTTTACTGAAAACACCCAGGAATAATGGCAAACCCAGTAGTAATGAATATTCTTAGTGCCCAGATTAAAACCTCCAGTAAAATTTTCCATTAACAGGGCCCAGAATTTCCTGGAGATTTCAATGATTTCCAGGTCTCAGCAAGAATTGTACATAATGAGTCTGGATAAATGTATCATGCTACATAGAAATGAAGCTATAAAAGATGACTAAAGTTACATCCAAGAACATAGGGATAAACTCAAAGAGTCACCCACTGGGCAAAAATTGGTAAGTATAAATAAGGAGAATAATTACAAGAGGGTTGAAGTACTTCAAGTACATTTAAATATAGGAGTTTCTAAAGATAAACTTATGGCCATTGCTAAATGATGTTCAGATATCAACTCTTTATTTTGGACACTGATTTTTTTCTATGCAAACCGTATCTTTGGATAACCCAATTGCAGATGAGAGAAAGTTTCTCTTTACATAGCTATTTCAGCTAATAATTGAGGAGGTAATGATAGTCTAGTATATTACAATTTTTATCCATTGTGAATTAGTGGGCTAACCATAATCATCAGTGGCTGTTAATATCACCAAAGACAGAGAACCAGAAATGTGTCTGTTGATGGGAGAACACAGCACTACCTAGGAAGTACTTTTGCCAAAAATCAAACTTGAATCTGATCAAGCCTGTATATACAATGCAATGTACCAGGGAATTGGATAAAGAAACATGTTAAGTGATACCACAGTTCTGCATTAAGCAAAATTCAGATGATGGAAAACTACAGGACAAACAATTCAGTTTCTTCAAAAAATAAATTCCAAAAAACATGTAATGGGGGAGAATATAAATTATAAGACACTTAAGATATTTTAGTAATTACAAAGTATAGATTTTATTTAGATCCTTATTCAAGAAAATATAATATAAAGAAATCAAGAGATAATTGAAAATTTGAACATTTACTGGATATTGATCAAATTAGAGAATTCTAAACTTTGTCAGGCAAGATATTATGGTTAGCTTTTTGTTTTTAAAAACTTTGTCTTTTAGAGATATACTAAAAGATTTATTGATGAACTTGTTTGATACCCAACATTTGCTTCTAAATAATACAGGAAAGGGAATGGATGAAAGTAGAAATGAAACAAGACTGGCCATGAGCTGATAATTGTTCAAGAACAGTTATGAAAACATAAGTATTTTAGGGTTTGTTATATTGTTAGCTACACATTTTTAAAATATTTATATTACAAGAATGTTTTCCTTTTAAAAAGAATATATATACACACACATACGTCTACGTGCATGTATATAATAACTTGTATAAGTTCTCATAGTAAGGAATGAAGCTGAAATTCAAATTATGATCTAATTCCAGATTCCCTGCTCTCGACATTGAATACAACATACTGCCTCTAAGCATGGATGATAAATTTTCCTTCAGTGTCTGTCAGCTCATTCCAACTCACCAACCTATCAGTGGCAGACTCTAAAAGATACAGGACGTCTTCCCTGATGGAATTTCTGATCCAAGTCGCAGAGGATGCAGGTAGTGTCTATGGCTCTGTGTCATACCACCCACAGCTGCCTCAAATCAGGTGATGTCTTTCTAGAGACAATGCATTCTTGACCCCTGTGGTTCCCCAATAGCTGGTCTACTGTGGCCCGGATCTTCCAGCAACACTATCTAGACAGCTGTATCAGGACATAACCAGTAGGTTCCTGCAGCTGGCATAAAGGGTCTGAGAAAAAGGGTCTTAGATGTCAAGAGGGAGGCTGGGGAAGGTTTAGAGTCTATAGTGATAAGTAGCCAATTGTAGGCTTTGAACTGGAGATGGCTGTGGTCAAGGTAGGCAAGGGCACAGCTGTGGGGCTGTAGACGGGACACCACCAGAGAGAAGTGAGGAGATGGATAAGCCTGATTTACAGAGAGGAGATAGTTGCCCTCTCATTTCTTCTTTCCACGTGTTAGGGATAGTTGGGACCAGCAGAAGGTGGGGCACAAGGGCCTGATGAAATCAGAGGAACAGTCAGGGGATAATAAGATCAACACATTTCTGATTAAAGCAGAGATAAGGGAGTCAGATTTGCCTATGGGGCTCTTTTAACACCAGAAGCCTTTTTGAAATTCTGGCTGGTTGATGATAGTACAGAGGGGTGAACTGCTAACTACAAACCTAGATTAGTGAGCAAGTAAAACAGTCCATGATAGGCCAGATTAATGGGGAGAAAATGGCTAATTACTCAGTCTGTTCTTATACAAGGCCAGTATATCTAATTCAAAATGTTAAAGATGAATAGTCAGTGATTCACATACTTGCTCTACATGGCATCCAAATGTTTGCCATGGGATAGACCAAACATCTGGATAATTAAAAAACTCTATTTCTCTATTAGTTGTTTTGGTCCCTTGGAAGACACAAGATCACTAAATCGTACAGTCAATAATTGCAAGGCAAAGTAGAACATGACTTACAAAAATCAGAAACAGACTATATCACAAAACACACCACAAGAGGGAAAAGAGGTTCTTGATTTTCAAAATATAGTTCATGACCCCACAGCCTGGGCATCCCCTAGGAGCTTGTTAGATATACAGATCTCAGGCCCATCACTAGACCTACTGCATAAAAACCCATTCAACCACCCCTGCCAGGCAATTAATCAGCAATTAAGGCATAAAAGCTCTCCTAGAGCTTTCATCATCACCAGCCTCATAGCTACCATTTATTTCGCACTTACCATGGGCTAATACTATGCTTTACATGAATTATCTGATTGCAACCATGTAAATAAATCACTATTATTATTCCTATTAAATTAACTAATTAATTAATTTTTAATTTTTATTTTTATTTCTTGAGATGGAGTCTCACTGTCACCCGGACTGGGCTGCAGTGGCGCAATCTTGGCTCACTGCGACCTCCGCCTCCCAGGTTCAAGTGATCCTCTCACCTCAAGCCACCCAAGTAGCTGGGATTACAGACGCACATCACTATGTGCAGCTAATTTTTGTATTTTTAGTAGAGATGAGGATTCATCATGATGGCCAGGCTGGTCTCGAACTCCTGACTTTAAATGATCTGCCTGCCTTGGCCTTCCAAAGTGTTTGGATTACAGGTGTGAGCCACCATGCCCGGCCCTATTATTCCCATTTAAGAGATGAAACAGCTAATTACTCAAAATTTAAAGCATGGAAAAATTACATGGCTTACAGGTGGTAGAAATGGGATTCAAACCCAGGTCCTTAGAATGATAAAATATGAGTTGTTAATTACAATTTTCTTATTCTCAGAAATAGTAGAAACACCACTGGTAGCATTATGTTTAATGATGAAGAATGAATATGTTATGGAGACAAATGGAAAGAAGATTTATCATCACCATCAAAGAATTTTCAAAGGGAGTTAAGACCAGATTTAAAACTGTGAAGTAAGGCAGAAAAGGCGAGACACAAAAAGAACTGTCAAGAGTCTTTCTTCACTGATTATTTTAACATTAAAAGATTCCATGTTCCACAGAAATATTTATCTGAGAGAAAAATAGAATTAACAATTTATGTTTCATCTGTTTTGACAAATACATAATTGCCCTTAGCCTGGTAAGGATTTTCCCTGTTGTCCCAAATGAAAACTGACTAAATGTGACATGAGTTTAGAATTAATCCCTACTGTACTTGGGATTTGCTACAAAGCAGCTGTTTCTTATTCTTATTTCTTGAGGATCATGTGCTGATTATGATGGACTTATTAAATGTCTTCAGAAGGCTATCTGTGAAGCTGTTTTTGGCTGTTCATGAATAGTTCCTGAGTTTTATCACAAAATTTCTGACTGATTCTCTTGATCTAGGAGTGGTTTATATTAAGTAACTGAGAGATAATAATCAGAAAGAAATAGCATGTCTTAAAATCTAAAACAGGGCGATTTTAATCAGTGTCTTTTAATTTAAATTACTTTTAGCTTACTTTTCAAAGGAAAATTCCAGATTTCTAGCGTTCATAATTCTTTCCTTTTAAAATATTACTTTGAAGTGTGCACAAAACACAGACCGTGGCTACAGCAGCATGACACAATCACAGGTTAAAAAAAAGAAGATGTTCTGTCAAAATGACTTCCTGCCAAAGTCCAAGGCAACCTAAAGCCTTCTGAACAGGTCTATTCTCATTCACAAGCTCAGCTGTAAGGGGACTTTTAAAGCACCTTTCCACTAAGAGCCAGGCAATTTCTTACTTCGGGTCCTAAAACATCTTATCTCCATTTTTTCCTAACTCTCTGTTGCTAATATTTCACTTTAACTCTTCTTGCTCTCTACCCTATGTGGAAGACTTAATCCAGGCAGTCTCTACTTTGCCCAGGATATGGACTCTGGACTTCCCTGTATACTACTGTGTTTATTCACCATTTTTCTGCCATGGTAGTCTTTTTACATAAAAAAGGTGAAGGAACTTTTTCCCCAAAAGGATTGAAGGAAGTTGTTTTGTTCTTGGAGACCACTATGACAGTCCAGTGGCTTCCTTCTAGCTGGGCTGACCACAATCCAAGTTGCCCTGGCTGAAACCTCTGTCCCCACATCAGTGCATCAGCATACATACTTTTTCTGATAGAGTGGTCTCCACAAAGATCAGCTAGCCCAGTGGAAAATGAGAATTATTTGCTTTGAAGAGGACCTTGTCCCTTTGAAGTTTCCCATAATTTAAGGGTAATATGTTTCCGCCACTGCAGACAATTGAGCTAGAAACTACCTAGAAACTCAGTTGATTACAGACAGGTGGTGGATCTCTCCTTTATTTGCAAATTACTATTTTTAAAAATTTTGAAGAGGTATAGTTTAAATATAGTAAAATGCACGGATCTTACATTTACATGTTGATGAAGTTTGACAAATTATGTACCCAGGAAACTACCATCCAAATCAAGATACAGAACATTTTCATCATCTTATAAATGTTGCCCTGGGGACAACCATTGTTCCCATTTCTATATAAACGGAGTCCCACAGAATGTGTTTTTTTTTTGGGTTTCTTTTGCTCAACATGATGTTTTGGAGACTCACCCATGTTTGTGTGTAAAGGTAGTTTGCTTTTTTATTGCTGATTAGTATTCCATGGTGTAAATATATCATCATTTGTTGATCCATTCAGCTACTGATGGATACCTGGGCTGTTTCTAATTTTTTACTACTATAAATTATGCTGGATATACATGGATATTCATGTATAAATCCTTTTGTAGACATCTGCTTTCATTTCTCTTGGGTAAATACCTACGAGTAAAATTGTTGAGTCACACAATAGCTGTAGGTTATCTTTATTAAAAACTGCCAAACTAAATTATACCTCCAACAAAAATCTAATATCCAGAATCCACAGGTAGCTTAAACAGTCAACGAGCAAAAAACAACTCCATTAAAAAATGGGAAAAGGACGTGAACTGACACTTTTCAAAAGAAGATGTACAAGTAGCCAACAAACATATGAAAAAAATGCTCAGCATCACTAATTATCAGAGAAATGCAAATCCAAACCACAATGAGACACCATGTCACATCAGTAAGAATGTCTATTATTAAAAAATCAAAAAACAACAGCATTGTAACACTGTCCTTGCCTTCTTGGAGCTTACAATCTAGTAGAAAAGTTAGAAATTAAACAAATTAACCACAAAGATAATAAACATTTCAAAGGCAACAGAAGTAAGGGATATTGGAAGTTCACATAGGAAGACAGCTTCACATTCTGGGTTGACAGGGAGCAGGAGGAACAGTGTCAGAGACTGCTTCCTTGAGAAAAGTACATTTTAGATGAGTCCAAAAGGATGAATCCCACTCATCCTTAGGCAATAGGTAGAGAACGTGTGTTCCATTCAGATTGAGGAAAGTGTTGGAGAGGTACATTTCAGGTGGAATTACCTGTGTCCACATTTTGCACTATACAACGGGACCACTCCAGCTTGCTACTATGGCCCATTCAAGAAATTGAGTAGGGGCCCAGGGACCTCTAGTAGTCTTGTAATTTTTTTTTGTTGTTCTGCAACTACCTGAGACCATTTTCAGCATCCTCAAAAAAAATACTGTATTTTCTTTCTATCTCAAATACCCTTGAAACATCATACCCTTGATTTGTATATTTTACTTATCTTTTCAAACTGATAAAATACCAGCCTGGTGATGGCAGATAAATTGTCCAAAAGGGCAGGCTTCATCCCTTGCACTGGGTCCCTCTTTTTACAAGTAACTGCCAGCCTACTTATTAATACAATTTTTGACTCGCACTGAGTACTTAGCCACAGCTTTCAATTATTCTCCAAGATTAAGAACTCTAATAGAAATCTTTTCAACTTTACAGTCATCTATATAACACCATCATCCACAGAGTGTCAGTGAAACAGAACAGCAGGCTCTTAAATTACTTTGATGTTGCTACATATTGTACCAACAGCCAAGTAAGTCTAACCCTAGAGTTTTGGTATATCAACATGCTTTATTCCTCTACATGGAACACACTATACCATTGCCATTATTGTTTCTACTTTCACTATTTACTTGATTCCTTTACAACACTGATATCCTGGATTGAAGTCAGTACATAAGCCAACTACAGAACTCCAATCAGATTTTAAGGATACCATCCAGTGTATTAGGGACCAGAAAAATGAGCAACTTATGATGGCAAGAAAAAATATTTGAGAGGGAGATGCCATACGGCTATTCTAAAACATACATAGAATGTGCTGGTGGTGGAAGCTGAAAGTGTAACACTTAGAGACTTTCAAGTTGGCAGAAGTGATCATGCTAACAACCCTCCAAGACAATTTACCCTCTCTTCTATTTGCATCTGTTCTATATGTCTAATGGAAACTTAGCCTGCCCTCCTTATTAGACCACATATTCCCTGACTAGGGAATCCACCACATAGAGAAGGAATATATTGTACAGGAGATATTGAAGTCTCATCTGCAATTTGTGGTGAAAGCCACAGCCCTAGTAGTAGTAATGGAAATATGTCTCTTTCCTGTAGAACACTCTAAGGCTTTCCACTAGGAAAACACAGGAAACATCTAATCAAGACTTTAATTTTCTATTTCCCCTGCCTGCACTTGAGGACCAATCTCATCAACTCCCCTATCTATTTCTGGCTCCTAGTCCAAACCTGTTAGTGTGACAGGATTGAAGAGAAAATTTGTGAACAAAGAATGGAAGAAATCCTAAACCATGCAGAACATAGGTAGAATGAGACTAAGGTAATATTCAATGAGATAAATGTCTAAAATTTGTCAGAACTGAATCAGGGTAGAAGCCCTTAGATTGAAAGGGTAAACTAGTTGGATAACAGAATAAAGAATAAAAACTTACAACCAGACACAATATATTGAAAATGCAGAATCTTAAGGATAAAGAGAAAAATCTTAAAGGCTGCTAAAGAGAAAAGGCAAATGACATACACATGCATAATAATAATATTGGTAGTGTTCTGGCAACCTAAAATGGAATTATATATAACTAAACCATAGTTCAGGTGCAAAAGTCTGTTATACATAAGCCCTCAAGGAAATAATTTTTAAAGGATGATTTTAGCAAAAAGAAAATGAACCCAAGTGCAAGACCTAATAGCGAGCAAAGAAATGTGTAAATCTAAGTATTGACTGCAGAAAAATAATGTTATATCCATTAAGATAACAAAAATATTGAAACCAATAGTGAGGAATAAAAGGGAATCATGACTATTTAAATAATTCAATAGAAGGCAGGAAATAGAAACAAAAGAAAAGGTCAATAAAGGTATATAAATAGAAAGCACAAATGAGATTGCAGAAACAAATCCAAATATATTAACAATCCCAGTGAAAGTAGACAAGTTACATTTGTTTGATAAAAGACAATGGAGTCACAGATGGAATTTTTCAAAAATGTAGTTATATATATATATATATATTTTAAGAGACAAGCTAAAAGATAAGGGCAAAAAAGATAAGAATAAAAAAATTAGGATTATTACATTTTGGGTTAAATGCCCAAATATATATACTATGTATGTTTATCCTGTATATATATACATACACACTATATACACACACACTATACACTGTATGGACACTATGTAAGTATGTTGTGAAATGAACATTCTTCTATAAAGTTAGTAAGAACACAGTATAGTACAACTGTAAGTTGGCAAAATCAAGTAAAGCTAAAAATGTTGACACTCAAGGATTCAGAAATTCCACTTCTTGGTATGCAGCATCAAGAGATTGTTGAAGATGTACAAGGAGACTTATACAAGGATTTTCTTTGCAACAAGGTAGCAATGACAATTTGAGAATAAATCAATATCTATCAATAAGGTAAGGAGTAAATAAATTGGAAAACATTTATAAAATGATACAGAGCAATCTATATCTATACTAGTGTCTTCTAACCAAGGAGATATAAGATATCTATACTTATATCTATACAACAAACCTTTAAGGATGAGTGAAATTAAAAGCAAAATGTAGAAAGAATTAAATTATTTAGGTAAAATTTTAAATAAAATAATAATATACAGGGTTGGCAAATGCATACATATAAAGTGCAATTATGAAAATATGAGTGAGTGGTAACCATGATTTGAGTAGAAGGGAGAAGATGGATTTAGGGAGAGATGAAAACAGGGTTCAATTACTATTTCCTTTAAAAAAATCAAAAGCAAATATGTTTAATTAATAATGCAAAATTTTTATCTAGGTAGTAGGAGTATACTAGACTTTTATCCCTCTGTAATGTTATACCAGTGGTCCTCAACCTTTTTGGCACCAAGGACTGGTTTCATGGAAGACAATTTTTCAACAGAGAGGTTGGGTAGGGGTGGTTTGGGGATGAAACTGTTCCACCTCAGGCATTAGTTTCTCACAAGGAGCACACAACCTAGATCCCTTGCGTGTGCAGTTAACAAAAGTGTTCACACTCCTATGAGAAACTAATGCCTCCACTGATCTGACAGGAGGCGGAGCTCAGGCAGTAAAGCTTGCTCACCCAATCAGGCAGTAATGCTCACCCACTGCTAACCTCCTGCTGTGCAGCCCAGTTCCTAACAGGCCTCAGACCAGTACCTGTCTGCGGCCAGGGGGTTGGGGACCCCAATCCATATGATGTGAATTTCATGATGAAAAGTAATAGGAATAAAATCCCATTTGGAATAGCAAAAAACATATCACTAAACAATACGGTGACTGAAAGATGTGTGTTGAACATTGTTGATGCTCTATAAACAAAGAATCCCCTTGAAACAAACCTCTTATAAAATTTGTATCTTACAAATAAAAAGAGAAACAGTCTAAATGTGGTTAACAAAGGGTTAAAATTTTTTAAAGAAATTCAGGTGAATGATAGGTGAGAAAAATAAACTAGATATATGTTTCATGCGCGTCCGTGTGAAGAGAACACCAAACAGGCTTTGTGTAAGCAACATGGCTGTTTATTTCACCTGGGTGCAGGCGGGCTGAGTCCGAAAAGAGAGTCAATGAAGGGAGATGGGGAGGGGGGGGCGTTTTATAGGATTTGTAAAGGAAAATTACAGTCAAAGGGTGTTTGTTCTCTGGCGGGCAGGAGTGGGGGTCGCAAGGTGCTCAGTGGGGGTGCTTTTTGAGCCAGGATGAGCCAGGAAAAGGACTTTCACAAGGTAATGTCATCACTTAAGGCAAGGACAGGCCATTTACACTTCTTTTGTAGTGGAATGACATCAGTTAAGGTGGGGCAGGGCATATTCACTTCTTTTGTGATTCTTCAGTTACTTCAGGCCATCTGGGTGTATACGTGCAAGTCACAGGGGATGCGATGGCTTGGCTTGGGCTCAGAGGCCTGACATTCCTGACTTCTTATATTAATAAGAAAAATAAAACAAAATAGTGTTGAAGTGTTGGGCCAGCGAAAATTTTTGGGGGGTGGTATGGAGAGAGAATGGGCAATGTTTCTCAGGGCTGCTTCAAGCGGGATTAGGGGTGCTGTGGGAACCTAGAGTGGGAGAGATTAAGCTGAAGGGAGGTCTTGTGGTAAGGGGTGATATTGTGGGGATGTTAGAAGAAACATTTGTTGTATAGAATGATTAGTGATGGCCTGGATACGGTTTTGTATGAATTGAGAAACTAAATGGAATAACAGAAGAAGAAAAACAGGTATAAAAGGTCTAAGAGTTGGCATGACTCAGGATATCTGATTAGAGAGTGCCTAAGGAGATTCAGCATAGTCCTGCCAGCAAAGATTATTTATTTACTTCAAGAGTTAAGAGTGGCAGTTTGGGGATAATACCAGGAGATATCAGATGTGACGGCTTGGAAAAACAGTGTAAACTGGCAGTGTAAATAAGAGCAGGGCATGTGTGAGTAGTTGAGAATGGTGAATAGCAGTATGACTAGATAGAAGATAGTAGGGATGACAAGTTTTTTGGGGGGCACAGTCTAAGTTGGTCTGGTGTCTGGAATGAGACTGGGGCCTAATAAAAAGGAGCGTCTATACAGGAGCTTAAATGGGCTGTACCCTGTAGCATTCTGAGGACAGGCCTGAATTCTGAGAAGGGAAAGTGGTAAAAGTATTGCCCAGTCCTTTTTAAGTTGGTGGCTGAGCTTGGTGAGGTATGTTTTTAAAAGACCTTTAGTCCATTCTACTTTTCTTGAAGATGGAGGACCATAAGGGATATAAAGGTTTCACTGAATACTAAGAGCCTGAAAAACTGCTTGGCTGATTTGACTAATAAAGGCTGGTCTGTTATCAGACTGTATAGAGGTGGGAAGGCTAAACTGAGGAATTATGTCTGACAGAACAGAAGAAATGACTGCGGTGGCCTTCTCAGACCCTGTAGGAAAGGCCTGTACCTATCCAGTGAAAGTGTCTACCCAGACTAAGAGGTATTTTAGTTGTCTGACTCAGGCCATGTTGAGTAAAGCTAATTTGCCAGTCCTGGGTCGGGCAAATCCTCGAACTTGATGTGTAGGGAAGGGAAGGGGCCTGAATAATCCCTGAGGAGTAGTAGAATAGCAGATGGAATGCTGAGAAGTTATTTCCTTGAGGATAGATTTCCACGATGGAAAGGAAATGAGAGGTTCTAAGAGGCGGGCTAGTGGCTTGTACTATAGCATAACCTGCCTTTGCTGGTGTGTGGCAATTAGGCCTGGTGGAACCGCCATCAATAAATCAAGCGTGATCAGGGTGAGGCACAGGAAAGAAGGAAATCTGGGGAAATGGGGTGAATGTCAGGTGGATCAGAGAGATAGAGTCATGGGGGTCAGGTGTGGTATCAGGAATAATATGGGAGGCCGGATTGAAGTCTGGGCCAGGAACAACGGTAATTGTGGGAGACTCAACAAAGAGTGAGTACAGCTGAAGGAGCCGGGGAGCAGAAAGTATATGCGTCAGGTATGAGGAAGAAAATAGATTTTGGAAGTTATGAGAACTGTAGAGAGTGAGTTGAGCACAGTTTGTGATTTTGAGGGCCTCTAAAAGTATTAAAGCAGCGGCAGCCACTGCACGCAGACATGAGGGCTAGGCTAAAACAGTAAGGTCAAGTTGTTTGGACAGAAAGGCTACAGGGTGTGGTCCTGGCTCTTGTGTAAGAATTCTGACCGTGCTAACCATGCCTAGGAAGGAAAGGAGTTGTTGTTTTGTAGAAGGTGCTTAGGTTTGAGAGATCAGTCAGACACAATTGGCAGGGAGAGCATGTGTGTTTTTATGAGAATTATGCCGAGATAGGTAACAGATGAGGAAGAAATTTGGGCTTGATTGAAGTAATGGGGGCTGTCTGTGAAGCTTTGCGGCAGTACAGCCTAGGTAATTTGCTGAGCTTGATGGGTGTCAGGGTCAGTCCAAGTGAAAGCGAAGAGAGGCTGGGATGAAGGGTGCAAAGGAATAGTAAAGAAAGCACGTTTGAGATCCAGAACAGAATAATGGGTAGTAGAGGCAGGTATTGAGGATAGGAGAGTATATGGGTTTGGCACCACGGGGTGGATAGGCAAAACAATTTGGTTGATAAGGCGCAGATCCTGAACTAAATTGTAAGGCTTGTCTGGTTTTAGGACAGGTAAAATGGGGGAAATGTAAGGAAAGTTTATAGGTTTTAAAAGGCCATGCTGTAGCAGGTGAGTGATAACAGGCTTTAATCTTTTTAAAGCGTGCTGTGGGATGGGATATTGGCGTTGAGTGGGGTAAGGGTGATTAGGTTTTAATGAGATGGTAAGGGGTGCATGATCGGTCGCCAAGGAGGGAGTAGAGGTATCTTATACTTGTGGGTTAAGGTGGGGGGATACAAGAGGAGGACGCAAAGGAGGCTTTGGATTGGGAAGAAGGGCAGCAATGAGATATAGCTGTAGTCCAGGAATAGTCAGGGACGCAGATAATTTAGTTAAAGTGTCTCAGCCTAATAAGGGAACTGGGCAGGTGGGGATAACTAAAAAAGAGTGCTTAAAAGAGTATTGTCTAAGTTGGCACCAGAGTTGGGGAGTTTTAAGAGGTTTAGAAGCCTGGCCGTCAATACCCACAACAGTTATGGAGGCAAGGGAAACAGGCCCTTGAAAAGAAGGTAATGTGGAGTGGGTAGCCTCCATATTGATTAAGAAGGGGACGGGCCTACCTTCCACTGAGAGAGTTACCCAAAGCTCGGCGTCCGTGATGGTCTAGGGGGCTTCTGAGGCGATCGGGCAGTGTCGGTCTTCAGCCGCTAAGCCGAGAAGATCTGGGAAGGAGTCAGAGAGCCTTGGGCCAGAGTTCCAGGGGCTCTGGGAGTGGCTGCCAGGTGAGTTGAACAGTCCGATTTTCTGTGTGGGGTCCCACACAGATGGGACGCAGCTTAGGAGGAATCCTGGGCTGCGGGCATTCCTTGGCCCAGTGGCCAGATTTCCGGCGCGTGTAGCAAGCTCCTGGGGGAGGAGGTTCTGGAGGAACTCCTGGCTGCTGTGGTTCAGGCGTTTGGAAGTTCTTGTGTGCTGGAGATGTGGCTGGGGTTTGTCTCACAGTGGAGGCAAGGAATTGCAACTTTTTTCTGTTATTGTACACCTTGAAGGTGAGGTTAGTTAAGTCCTGTTGTGGGGTTTGAGGGCCAGATTCCAATTTTTGGAGTTTTATTTAATGTCGGGAGCAGATTGGGTAATAAAATGTATATTGAGAACAAGACAGCCTTTTGACCTTTTAGGGTCTAGGGCTGTAAAGTGTCTCAGGGTTGCTGCCAAACGAGCCATGAACTGGGCTGGGTTTTTATATTTGATGAAAAAGAGCCTAAACACTTCTGATTTGGGATAAAGAAAAAGGAGCATTAACCTTGACTATGCCTTTGGCTCCAGCCACCTTTTTAAGAGTAAATTGCAGGGCAGGTGGGGGAGGGCTAGTCACGGAACGAAACTGTAAGCCGGACCAGGTGTGAGGAGGGGAGGTGATAAAAAGATTATAGGGTGGAGGAGCAGAGGCTGAGGAAGAATTGGGACCTGGCTCGGCCTGGCGAGGAGCAGCCTGGGGAGGAGGGGAGAGGTCAGGTGGGTCTGTAGAAAAGGAAGATTAGAAAGACTCAGCGATGCTTGGGGTTGGGACTGAGGGGACAGGCGGGAGGGAAAGAAGGAAGATTTGGGACGAGTTGCACTGGGCACAGAGACTAGGAAGGGACTGATGTGTAAAAGAATGCCTGGACATCAGGCACCTCAGACCGTTTGCCTATTTTACGACAAGAATTATTTAGATTTTGCAGGATGGAAAAATTCAAAGTGCCATTTTCTGGCTATTTGGAACTACTGTCGAGTTTGTATTGGGGTCAAGCAGCATTGCAGAAGAAAATAAGGCATTTAGGTTTTAGGTCAGGTGTGAGTTGAAGAGGTTTTAAGTTTTTGAGAACACAGGCCAAGGGAGTAGAAGGAGGAATGGAGGGTGGAAGGTTGCCCATAGTGAAGGAAGCAAGCCTAGAGAAAAGAGAGAGTAGAGAAATGGAGTTGGGGGTTCTTACCTTCCAGAAAAGTGGGAAAAGGGGTTGGGGCACAGAGATAAGAGGTCAGGGTGTGGAAATAAGAGATTGGGGCACAGAGATATAACAGGTTGGGGCGCAGAAATAAGGGATTGGGGCACAGAGATACGAGGTCTGGGCACGGAAATAAGGGATTGGGACACAGAGATAAGAGGTCAGGGTGCAGAAATAAGGGATTGGGGCACAGAGATAAGAGGTTGGGGCATGGAAATAAGGGATTGGGGGTTCTTGCCCTGTAGAAAAGCGGGACTTGCCACTAAGGGTGAAGGACCAAGGCAGGCGTCCCTGCATAGTCTGACACCCTTGAAACGTGAGTGTATAATCAGAGAGGCATCCCTGCAATGATTAAACACCAAGGGAAGGCTGCCTTCCCAGTCCGTCACCGGCGCCAGAGTTTTGGGTCCACGGATAAAATGTGTCTCCTTTGTCTCTCCCAGAAAATGAAAGGAATTGAAATTAAGAGAAGGGAGAGACTGAAGAGTGGAAAGGAGAAAGTGGTTGAGGGACAGTGAGAGAGGTTGGAGAAGAGAGTAAGAAGAGGCCGCTTACCTGATTTACAATTGGTGAGATGTTCCTTGGGCTGGTCGGTCTGAGGACCTGAGGTCATAGGTGGATCTTTGTCATGGAGCAAAGAACAGGAGTACAGGGGATTGATCTCCCAAGGGAGGTCCCCCGATCTGAGTCACAGCACCAAATTTCATGTGCATCCATGTGAAGAGATCACCAAACAGGCTTTGTGTGAGCAACATGGCTGTTTATTTCACCTGGGTGCAGGGGGGCTGAGTCCGAAAAGAGAGTCAGTGAAGGGAGATAGGGGTGGAGCTGTTTTATAGGATTTGGGTAGGTAAAGGAAAATTACAGTCAAAGGGGGTTTGTTCTCTGGCGGGCAGGAGTGGGGGTCGCAAGGTGCTCAGTGGGGGTGCTTTTTGAGCCAGGATGAGCTAGGAAAAGGACTTTCACAAGGTAATGTCATCACTTAAGGCAAGGACCAGCCATTTACACTTCTTTTGTAGTGGAATGTCATCAGTTAAGGTGGGGCAGGGCATATTCACTTCTTTTGTGATTCTTCAGTTACTTCAGGCCATCTGGGCGTATACGTGCAAGTCACAGGGGATGCGATGGCTTGGCTTGGGCTCAGAGGCCTGACAATATGTATCACCATGGATCCATGTCAAAAATATACCATATTGAGTAAAAAAAGTAAGTTGCAGAAATCATGATATAATTGATATGAACATAATACAAAGACAATAATGTACATTGTTTTGGGGTATGTGCATTAACATAAAATGGTGAAAAAAAATGATGTAAGGAATACATCCCAAACTCAGCACAGTGTTTGTCTTTGGGTAGAAGGAACATGAAGGTTGCATATGAGACACGAAAAGGACTTAAGCTCTGTAATTTCTTTAGGAAAAATAATTTTAAAAATTAGTGATTATTTGTTTTGATTAGCAGATGCAAGGATGTTGTATTTCTCTTTTCTGTGCTTTTAAAATTCCTCATTATTTAGAAAAAGTTTTTAAAAGGAAAGAAAAAGGAAAGCAAAGAAAAAAATAAACTACCAAAATAATCTCCAGAAGAAATCGCCATGTGTGTCTCTCTATGATTGCATCATCTTTGTATATAAAGTTATAGATATGTTTTATAAATATAAATTAATTTTCATAACCTGCATTTTTACTATTAAAAATGTCAAATATTTCCTATGTTATTACATAATCTTCTACATTACAATCTTAATGACTACATATTAACTCATTGTATGGGTGAGCTAACATGTAATTGAGTTCCTATTATTAGAAATTTTGATGTTTTCAAATTTGTACTGTTAGAAAGAGTGCTCTGATGAATGTTTGTGTAGATAACAGCCACAGGATCATTTTCATAGGCCAAGTTTTAAAATGTATCATACTACTTCAATGTACATTCACAATTTTAGGAGATTAGTTACATATTGCCAGTTTGAAATGGAGAAAGATCCCATCAGATTCACTTTATCAGCAGTCCTGTTTCCTGGAATTTTCACTAGCCATGGGTGTCATTTTTTTTCTTTTTAAAAAATTTTCTTTTCTATTTTCTTTCTTTCATGTTTTTCAGGCTTTCATTATTTTAACCTTTCTCATTTATTTATTGGCCATGTGTAATCTTTGAACAATTGTCTGTGACAATTTATTAGTTTTTTCCATTGGATTGTTTCTTTTTAATTTTTTATGGCTAATACATTGTTACAACTAAAGAGTCTACCCTTTAAGTGACGACAAACTATAGAGGTCATACCTGTAAACTATGGAGACAGGATTCATGTCAGTGCTCATAACAGGAATTCTCAGTTTATCCCATCTTGCCCATTTCCTGGATAACCATGCAACCCACAGGGTAGTGGGATGCGGTTTCTGTAGAAAGGGAGAGAGCTTCTTTTCCTCTCCAGTTTCCCTGTGTCTCACTGGCTGCCTCATCTGCCTGGCAGACGCAATCCCGAAGTGGACCCTCAATGTTAGGTTGTATACCTCACAGATCCTGACTTTAGGGATGGCCTGGAGCCTGTAAGGACTCTTTAAGGACATGGATTTTTAGTTAAATAAAGATATTATTAGTTAACTAATTTGTTAAGTAAATTAATTAGTTGAATAAATTCAGATATTTAACTGAATTTTTTATTTAGGCATTTTTATGTTTTCTCAGTATAGAATCAAACTATCTGATTTTTAACAGATATTTTTGTCTACCTTTATCTAGCTGTAGCATCAATTCCAGTAGCTGGATTAGAAAGCTGGCTTAAAGGAGAGTTCCATGGTGGGCCGGCAGACAATCAGATTGTATCTCCTGCTTTCACAGGAGCTCCACTTTTTGAAATAAGAGGGGTTATGATATAGGTCTGCTTGGGATTTTGTTCTTCCAGTCAAAATCCTGACTGCTTTGATTACTAATTCTCCAATCAATATTCATGTGTTCCTTATGCATTGACCAGTAAAAAGCCTGTGTGGTTTTCTCACAGATGTTTTATGTATTGCATTTTGAGTTGCTTAAGAATATAAAGCAATCTATCAATCGAAAAAGCAATTACATTATCACTTTTCCAAGACAGATGGGGGGAAGAGTATAAATAAAATATTAGTAAAAGTTTGACTCAAAAGAAAAATAAATATATATGTAAATAAAGATAATTCTAAGTTGATCTATCTCATAAATAAATAAAATTAAAACTACATGAATTGAGTAAGAATATACAAAACACAGTCATATAAAAGCATTCACAGACTTCATAATTGCTTGGTTTTTGTTTTGGGTGTTTTTGTTTTGTTTTGTTTTTAATCTAGCCCTGTCTGCTTAATGGGAAAATGTCATTTGGGGAAGGAATCAGTAGAGGACAGCGTGGATGGTCGAGTATTAGCAATGAAATTGGATTCATCTGGTGAACAGTTTAGCAAAAGCTTTGTTTTAAATGAGTGTCTCCTTTTAAATTGGGTAGCAAGATTTCTCCAAAGTAGTTAATAAAGGTCCTTTTAGAATAACAAACGCTTTCTCAGACCCAAGTTCCCATCTCTATTATTGTGCAGACACCTTACTTTGCAAGTTGCTTAGATAAAGCTCCCCTTACATAGAGGTGTCAGCTTTCAGCAAGCCATAATCCAATTCAAAGAAGTCATGAATTAATTTAATAGAGACCAGGCACTATGTGAGGCACTTCCACACACTTTATCTAATTTAAACCTCTTGTTACTCCCTGTAATAATTTTAACATCGTGTCCTCAAACTGGCATAGAAGAAAAAGCAGGAATCTGCGGAATGAACAATAAGGCAATTGCACCTCTTTAAGGCTGCCTTTGCCTGAGAAATTCTGGGGGGATAAAAAGAGGGAGAGGAATTTACATGTACGAGAGATGTACTGTGTGTCAGGCTCTGTGTTGAGCAGACACTAGCTGTGTTTTATTTAACCCCCTCAACTGCCATGTACAGTGAGCATGGGCTTTCCTTTATTTTTTTGAGACGGAGTCTTGCTCTGTCGCTAGGCTGGAGTGCAGTGGCGCGATGTTGGCTCACTGCAACCTCCATCTCCTGGGTTCAAGTAATTCTCTGCCTCAGCCTCCCGAGTAGGTGGGATGACAGTTGCCCGTCACAACGCAAGCATAGGCATTTCTACCGCAAAGTTGGTAAAGCTGAAGTCTCAAGGCCTCTCTTTCCACCGGCCTTTGCCAAGGCTCCGTGAGATGTCCTACTAATGTGTTCACATGGCCACAAGCGTTCTGAGGTTTGTGATATTTGTCAGTTATTGTTTAAATGTATCATCTGTTTGATTTATTTTCTCTTCCTACATAAATATTAACTTTCATACCTAATCTTAAATACATATTTCATATTCTTTTTCTTAAGGAAGGCTTTCATAGTTTTAAAAGCTTTGGGCCCTGCAAAATGCAAATAACTTTCTAGAAATGAGTATTATCTCCATTTTTACAGATTAAAAAATACCTCGAGTTAAACAGGTTAAGTAACCAGTCCTAGACACAGACTAGTAAAAGGGAGAACTGGGATTTGAACAGCTTGACCTCTAGATCATAGATCATACTTTTGTCTGCTGACTTATTTTGGTCCATAAAAAAAATTTTATGTAATATGTACATACAATTACATTAAAAGATGCAAAAAAAAAGAAAAGAAAAGGGAAAGACATTAAAGCAAACTAAAAATGTCTCTGCCCACTGCCCCGTCCAGGCTCCCCTGCACCACTCTCTTCGCAGAAGTTTGCTAATTATTTAATCCGTGCATTGTCAGAGATTCTGCAGAAACAGAGTGCCTCTGGTGGAAAATCAGATCCTAACTGGAGAAACAAACATCCTACATACCTGCATGCACACATGGTTCTAAGACCATGTTTGGAAGGTGACATAAAACACTTGGGGGAACTGGTTTAGAGAGATGATCAAAGCTGCATAAGGGTAATCATAGAAATCATCCTGATATCAAAAAAGAATTGTAATGGGAGGAAAGGTTAGACATTTTAGATGGCCCCTTAATTTTGTTGTTTTTTTTTTAGTTCTTAAAGTCAGTTTCAATGACTCTCTAGGATTATTACTCACCTGTTGAAAAATTCACTCCTGTAATGTGCTCACTGTTCACACAACAGGCCAGCTGCAGGGCATGCGAGCTGCAACACGCGTGTGTATTGTAAGGGACAGCATCTCAAGATAAAACCCTCACTCTCTGAGACTTAGTACAAGTTAAGCCACCTTCTCTGTGCCCATCTTCTCTGCCTACCACAAAGGATAGTCTCAAGACCAAATAATAGTTTGAATGAAGGACTTCTTAAACTCTAAAGGTGGTTGCATTTCCAAGATTTCATCTCAAGCTTAACCTGTGATTGAGTCAATCTGGGCCATCATGATCCTGGTTGGGGCAGCGCTACCAACCAAGGAGCTGATGGGCATGAGGCTTGGCATGAGGACGTGGGGGTGTTGAGCCTTCAGTATAGCTGCCATGTTAATGCCTTAAGGTAAATCTCAACACATGGTTATATCCCAAAGCACCTCCCCCTTCCACACACACAAATCTGACTACAAAATCTTTGAAGATATTTCCTAAGGGTGTCAAAAAACACTGAGAGATTTATATATCTATATATCTCATATATATATCTTTCATACGCGTCCAAGTGGAGAGACCACCAAACAGGCTTCGTGTGAGCAATAAAGCTTTTTAATCACCTGGGTGCAGGCGGGCTGAATCTGAAAAGAGAGTCAGTGAAGGGAGATAGGGGTGGGGCTGTTTTATAGGATTTGGGTAGGTAATGGAAAATTACAGTCTAAGGGGGTTGTTCTTTGGCGGACAGGGGCGGGGGTCACAAGGTACTCAGTGGGGGAGCTTCTGAGCCAGAAGGAATTTCACAAGGTAATGTCATCAGTTAAGGCAGGAACCAGCCATTTTCACTTCTTTTGTGATTCTTCACTTGCTTCAGGCCATCTGGTTGTACAAGTGCAGGCTTGGGCTCAGAGGCCTGACATTCCTGTCTTCTTATATTAATAAGAAAAATAAAATAAAATAGTATTGAAATGTTGGGGCAGCGAAAATTTTTGGGGGGTGGTATGGAGAGATAATCGGGATGTTTCTCAGGGCTGCTTTGAGTGGGATTAGGGGTGGCATGGGAACCTAGAGTGGGAGAGATTAAGCTGAAGGAAGATTTTGTGGGAAGGTGTGATATTGTGGGGTTGTTAGAAGGAGCGTTTCTTGTATAGAATGATTGGTGATGGCCTGGATGCGGTTTTGTATGAATTGAAAAATGAAATGGAAGACACAAGGTCCAAATAAGAGAAGGAGAAAAACAGATATTAAAGGACTAAGAATTGGGAGGACCCAGGACATCCAATTAGAGCGTGCCCAAGGGGGTTCAGCGTTATTACTTGCTTGGTCGGTGAATTTTGGAGCTCTATCCTTGATAGAGTCCTCCTTTTTAAGTTAGAGGCTGAGTTTGGTGAGGTGTGTTTTTAAAAGACCATTAGTCTGTTCTACCTTTCCTGAAGATTGAAGATGGTAAGGGGTATGAAGATTCCACTGAATACCAAGAGCCTGAAAAACTGCTTGGGTGATTTGACTAATAAAGGCCGGTCCATTATTGGATTGTATAGAAGTGGGAAGGCCAAACCAAGGAATTATGTCTAACAGAAGGGAAGCAATGACTGTGGTGGCCTTTTCAGACCCTGTGGGAAAGGCCTCTACCTATAAAGCGAAAGTGTCTATCCAGACCAAGAGGTATTTTAGTTTCCTGACTGGGGCATGTAAGTAAAGTCAATTTGCCAGTCCTGGGCAGGGGCAAATCTCCGAGCTTGGTGTGTAGGGAAGGGAGGGGGCCTGAACACTCCCTGAGGATTAGTAGAATAGCAGATGGAACACTGAGAACTGATTTCCTTGAGGATAGATTTCCATGATGGAAAAGAAATGAGAGGTTCTAAGAGACAGGCTAGTGGCTTGTAACCTACATGGAAGATGTTATGAAATGATGACAGAACAGAATGGGCCTATGAGGCTGGAAGGAGATATTTTCCTTGGTCCAAGAACCATTTGCTTTGTGTGGGAAGAGATTGATAGGTGGAAGTTTCAGTGGGAGAGTAGGTGGGAGTGACCCATAAAAAGGAGAAAAACTGGCCGTGAGGGACTGAAGTTGGAAGTCTAGCTGGTTTTTAGCTACCTTCTCAGCATAAGCATTGCCCTGAGGGATGGGATCTGATGCCTTTTGATGGCCCTTGCAGTGAATGACTCCAGCTTTCTTTGGAAGTAAAGTGGCCTTGAGAAGAATTTTTATTAAAGAGGCATTAATGATGGAGGACCCTTACTTACGGAGAAAACCTTTTTCAGCCCATGTAACAGCATGGTGTGCAGGATAAGGAAGGCATATTTAGTCAGTGTAAATATTGACACGTCATCCCTTTGCAAGAGTGAGGGCTCAAGTTAAGGCAATGTGTTCGGCTTGCTGAGAGGTAGTGCAGTGGGGCAGACTGGTAGCCTCAATGACAGATGTGGAAGATACTATAGCATAGCCTGCCTTTGCCGGTGAGCAACGATTAAGCCTGGTGGAACTGCCATCAATAAACCAAGTGTGATCAGGGTGAGGAACAGGAAAGAAGGAAATAAGAGGAAATGGAGTGAATGTCAGGTGGATTAGAGAGATACAGTCATGGGGGTCAGGTGTGGTATCCAGAATAATATGGGAGGCTGGATTGAAGTCTGGGCCAGGAACAATGGTAATTGTGGGAGACTCAATAAAGAGTGAGTATAGCTGAAGGAGCTGGGGAGCAGAAAGTGTATGTGTCAGGTGTGAGGAAGAAAATAGATTTTGGAAGAAATGAGAACTGTAGAAAGTGAGTTGAGCATACTTTGTGATTTTGAGGGCCTCTAAAAGTATTAAGGCAGCGGCAGCCGCCGCACACAGACATGAGGGCTAGGCTAAAACAGTAGGGTCAAGTTGTTTGGATTAAAAGGCCACAGGGAGCGGTCCCGGTCCTTGTGTAAGAATTTTGACCCCACAGCCCTGCACTTTGGCTGTGTGTAATGAAAAAGGTTGGGATGGTCAGGTGCGTTGGCTCACGCCTGTAATCCCAGTACTTTGGGAGCCCAAGGCGGGGGCAGATCACAAGGTCAGGAGATTGGGACCATCCTGGCTAATACAGTGAAACCCCGTCTCCACTAAAAATACAAAAATTAGCTGGGTGTGGTGGTGTGCACCTATAGTCCTAGCTGCTGGGGAGGCTGAGGCAGGAGAATGGTGTGAACCCAGGAGGCGGAACTTGCAGTGAGCCGAGATCACGCCACTGCACTCCAGCCTGGGCAACAGAGTGAGACTCCTTCTCAAAAAAAAAGAAAAGAAAAGAAATAAAAAAGAAAAAGGTTGGGATGAGTTAGGGAGAGCTAGTATGGGAGCAGCTTTTAGGGCTGTTTTTTAAGGAATGGAAAGGTGAATGAGGAAAGGATTTAGGATTTATGGGGTCAGCTAGGTTTATCTAGAACAGATGGGTTGTGGAGGGAGGTATCGAGGATAGGAGAGTATATGGGTTTGGCACGATGGGGTGGATAGACAAAACAATTTGGTTGATAAGGCGCAGATCCTGAACTAACCTGTAAGGCTTGTCTGGTTTTAGGACAGGTAAAATGAGGAAATTGTAAGGAGAGTTTATAGCCTTTAAAAGGCCTTGCTGTAACAGGCAAGTGATAACAGGCTTTAATCCTTTTAAACTGTGCTGTGGGATGGGATATTGGCATTGAATGGGGATTAGGTTTTAATGGGATGGTAAGGGGTGCATGATGGGTCACCAAGGAGGGAGTAGAGGTGTCCTATACTTGTGGATTAAGGTGGGGAGATACAAGGGGAGGATGTGAAGGAGGCTTTGAACTGGGGAAAAGGGTGGCAATGAGGTGTGGCTGTAGCCTAGGAATAGTCAGGGAAGCAGATAATTTAGTTAAAGTGTCTCAGCCTAATAAGGGAACCGGACAGGTGGGGATAACTAAAAAGGAGTGCATAAAAGAATATTGTCCAAGTTGGCACCAGAGTTGGGGAGTTTTAAGAGGTTTAGAAGCCTGGCCGTCAATACCCACAACTGTTATGGAGGGAGGGGAAACAGGCCCTTGAAAAGAAGGTAATGTGGAGTGGGTAGCCTCTGTATTGATTAAGAAGGGGACAGACTTACCCTCCACTGTAAGAGTTACCCAAAGCATCTGTGATTGTCCAGGAGGCTTCTGAGGTGATCGGGCAGCGTCAGACTTCAGCCGCTAAGCCGAGAAGATCTGAGAAGGAGTCAGTCAGAGCCTTGGGCCAGTTGGACAGTCCAATTTCCACTGGGGTCCCACACAGATGGGACACAGCTTAGGAGGAATCCTGGGCTGCGGGCATTCCTTGGCCCAGTAGCCAGATTTCCAGCACTTGAAGCAAGATCTTGGGGGAGGAAGTCCTGAAGGAATGCCTGACCACTGTGGCTTAGGTGTTTTGAAGTTCTTTTGTGCTGGAGATGTGGCTGGGGTTTCTCTCACAGCAGAGGCACATAATTGCAACTCTTCTCTATTATCGTACACCTTGAAGGCGAGGTTAATTAAGTCCTGTTGTGGGGTTTGGGGGCCAGAATTTAATTTTTGGAGCTTTACTTAAAGTTGGGAGCGGATTGGGTAATAAAATGCATATTGAGAATAAGACAGCCTTCTGACCCTTCAGGGTCTAGGGCTATAAAGCGTCTAACGGTTGTTGCCAAATGGGCCATGAACTGGGCTGGGTTTTTATATTTGATGAAAAAGAGCCTACACGCTAACTGATTTGAGAGAGGTCAAAGAGAGAGATGAAGAAAAAGGAGCATTAACCTTGACTAATGCCTTTAGCTCTAGCCACCTTTTTAAAAGGAAATTGCTGGGCAGGTGGGGGAGGGCTAGTTGTGGAACAAAACTGTAAGCCAGACCGTGTGTGAGGAGGGGAGGTGATAGAAGGATTACAGGGTGGGGTAGTGGAGGCTGAGGAAGAATTGGAGCCTGATTCAGCCTGGCACGGAGCAACCTGAGGAGAAGCAGTCTGGGGAGAAGGGGAGAGTTCAGATGGGTCGGTGAAAAGGGAAGATTGAAAAGACTCAGCAACACTTGAGGTTGGAACTGAGGGTACAGGAGGGAGGGAAAGAAGGAAGATTTGGGATGAGTTGCATTCAGAGCAGAGACTAGGGAGGGACTGATGTGTAAAAGGATGCCTAGATGTCAGGCACCTCAGACCATTTGTCCATTTTATGACAAGAATTATCTAGATCTTGTAGGATGGAAAAATTGAAAGTGTCATTTTCTGACTATTTGGAACCATTGTCAAGTTTGTTTTGTGGTTAAGTGGCATTGCAGAAGAAAATAGGGTGTTTAGGTTTTAGGTCAGGTGTGAGTTCAGGTTTTACGTTTTTGGGAACCCAGGCTAAGGGAGAAGAGGGAGGAATGGAGGGTAGAAGGTTACCCATAGTGAAGGAGGCAAGCCCAGAGAAAAGAGAGGATAGAGACACGGAGAGAAGGGGTGGGGGGTGCTTGCCCCCCCCAGGAAAGTGGAGAGAAAAGAGAGGGTAGAGACATGGAGAGAAAGGGTGGGGGGTGCTTGCCCCAAGGGTGAAGGATCAAGGCAGGCATCCCCGTAGTGATCAGACACCACTGAAATGTGGGTGAGTAATCAAGCAGGCGTCCCCACAGTGATTAAGTGATTAAACACCAAGGGAAGACAGTTTTCCTGAGTTCGTGACCGGCACTGGAGTTTTGGGTTCACGGATAAAACGCGTCTCCTCTGTCTCTACCAGAAAAGGAAAGGAACTGAAATTAAGAGAAGAGAGAGATTGAAGGATGGCGCCAAGACTGAAAGGAAAAAGAAGTTGAGGGATAGTGAGAGAGGTTGGAGAAGAGAGTAAAGAGAGGCCACTTACCCGATTTAAAATCGGTGAGATATTTCTTGGGCTGGTTGGTCTGAGGACCCAAGGTCATAAGTGGACCTTTCTCACAGAACAAAGAGCAGGAGGACAGGGGATTGATCTCCCAAGGGAGGTCCCCAGATCCGAGTCACGGCACCAAATTTCACAGGCATCCATATGAAGAGACCACTAAACAGGCTTTGTGTGAGCAATAAAGTTTTTTAATCACCTGGGTGCAGGCAGGCTGAGTTGGAAAAGAGAGTCAGCGAAGGGTGATGGGGTGTGGCTGTTTTATAGGATTTGGGTAGGTAATGGAAAATTAGTCAAAGGGGGTTGTTCTTTGGTGGGCAGGGGCGGAGGTCACAGGGTGCTTAGTGGGGGAGCTTCTGAGCCAAGAGAAGTCATTTCACAAGGTAATGTCATCAGTTAAGGCAGGATCCAGCCATGTTCACTTCTTTTGTGATTCTTCATTTGCTTCAGGCCATCTGGATGTATACGTGCAGGCTTGGGCTCAGAGGCCTGACAATATCACATTGTGTGTGTGTGTGTGTGTGTGTGTGTGTGTGTGTGTGTAAAATACAAATTTAATAGCCCCCATAATAATCTGTCTCTCTTGCTCTTTCTATCTCTCTCTCTCTGGCAGTGACTCCAGCCTTCTGGCTCTCTTCCTCATTACTTCTTTCCCTCTCCTCTCCATACATCACCCAACCCTGCAAAAAAAAAAAAAAAAAAGTCCTAATGGCTGGGCAAAGGCTCCTTCTTTGGGTGGGGTATGTAGGTCTTGAAAGTGAAAACATAACAGGAAGGGACTTACCTTACCTTAGAGAGCTTGGTAGGTGATAAGTGTAGATCAGTATACCTCACTCTTTTTTATTGCAGGTGAAAGAGAATGCAAGAGCACATTTATGTGCGTAGGCACCCAGGGAGAGGGACAGAGTAAAGAAAACCTGAGATTTGTCTTCACTAAACCCTTCAAATGGCACCAGGGTCTGAGGGGTCAAAAAGCAGCAGGTGGAGCTGAGGGTGTGGTTTTCAGTGTGGCTGGAGGAGGGTGGGATGGTACCTAATTCCTTTCTAGTTCAAGTGACAGAGCATGGTGGAGTTGGAGACAGTAGCATCTCCCCACCATATACACCGGTCCCCAGTGCCATCTCCCAGTGCAATAGAGTGCAACTTCACTGCAGTGAAGACTTCAAGAATGTAATATATTGTGGGTTGAGTTGTATCCCCACTAAAATTCATAGGTTGAAGTCCTAACCCCCAGTACCTTAGAATGTGGCCTACTTTGGAAATAGGTCATTGCATATGCAATTAGTTAAGATGAGGTGATCTTGAGCCTTAATCCAATAGAACCTGTGTCCTCATAAAAAGGGTAAATTTGGACACAGACATGCACACAAGGAGAACACCATGGGAAGATCAAGGCAAAGATTGCTTGATGCTTTTATGCACCAAGAAATGCAAGTCACAGGAAGCTAGAAGGGAAGCCTAGAACAGATTCTCTCTCCCAGCTCCCAAAAGGAACCAACCTTACTAAAACCTTGTCCTTGGACTTCCAGCATCCAGGACTGTGAGACAAGACATTTCTGCTGTTCAAGTCACCTAGTTTGTGATACTTTGATACAGCAATCCTGGCATAGGGGTTTGTACTTGTCAGAGTCCCAGGAGACAGATGTTGTTACCAACATCAGCAATAGTGATGAGAATTTTTAAATGGTCTCTGAAACCAGAACATCAAAGAGAAGAACCTAGGCAGAAAAACACAAGTGAGAGACATTTTTTAAAGTCTCTTGCTTGCACCATTGCAGAAAATAATTAGAGGTGTAACTGTTTTACTACTGGCTTGCTGTTTTAGCTGGCAACTTTGACAACTGACCACTTATCTCCACTCTCCAGACCAACTGAGTTCCTGACAGGATGGGGAAAAGGGACCAGTCCTTACATGCTCACATCAGCCCGTCACTGGTTGTGGGCCACTCTCTGGGGAGGCATATAGCCTTGGGTGGGCAGTTCCCTGTTCCCAAGGTCAATGCCTGGTGAGGGACACAGCTGTGAGAAACCAGCAGGTAATATTCACAGAAGCTGAGAATAGCTCTGGTGCTGAGGAAGGATTCGTCTTTGCGGAGCACCATGGTATCAACTATGGCCCTCCTCTTATACTGCTCAGATCCATGCTCTTATTGTAAATATTTCCACCTGTGAACAGCACTCCAGAATTTTTGCTGGCCTTATTTCCTGGGTATCTCAGAGTTAAAAGGGTAAAAAATGGCCCTCTCAGTAGTCTACCCAAGCTGCAACTGGCACCCATTCACCCCTCCTCACCACCCACTCTGGACTATCCCTGCCCTCAGCAAATCTTACCTCCAGGCAGCTCATGGGTGTGATCCCAACTCTCACTCCTGAGGGGTTAAAGCCCTTCGTTCCCAAGTACCCAACAGGCTGTGGCAGCTGTGCTTGTCCATTGAACATTAGACTTAAGCACAGCAGTGGCAAGAGATACACTTGTGTGTTTCACTCAGTGCCAATCATCCTCTCGGTTCTGTATGTCTGAAGGCCAATTCTCAATGAGGAGCACATCCGTGATTCTTAGAAGCTCATGCTCCCAGAACTAGGAGATGCATTATTGCCCCTGATATGGGGATCTAGGTGTAGTGCCATAGTATCTACCAGAAAAAAGAAATAATTATTTCTAGAATTTTTATGACTCCCCCAAATCTTAAGTTATCCTGTATTTTTATAAACTTTATGGGTTTAAAAAAAAGATTTCCACTTCTGGCCAAGATGGGATAACATGAACCATAATTATCCTCCTGCCTAAAATAACTCCCCCAAAATAAAACAAAATATCTAAAACAATTGTCATCAAAACACTGGATGCTAGGCAACAAAGGATCTGCAGAGTGTCCCCCCCAAATATTGAGCAGAGTTCTAGTTAGCACATTTGTGTGAGGAAAGCACTTGAAGCTGGCGAAAGAACCACCTGAAAAGGTTAAAGGGAATAGCACCCAGCACTCAAAGAGGGTGAGGAATAGTGCCTGCCTCTAACAGGCTTGAAAACCTTATGATGTGTGGGCCATTGGGTAGAGTACTCAAAAGGGTTTGTTTGCCTCAGTAGTGGGGAAAAAAATTAGTTCTGGAATAAACACTTCTCTGGTCCTGTCTCATGTATCTTAAATCCAAGAACTCAAAGGATCATGCTGTTAGAAAGTAATTTGTGTCTCAGAACAAACCTCAAGAATATTTATAGGAACACAAAATATCCAGCTCCCAACAAGGTAAAACTCACAATATATGTTAGCCAATCAAAAATTACCAGGCATGCAAAGAAGCAGGAAAATAAGATCCATAATAGGGAATAAAATTAATCTAAATCAAACCAGAATAAACACAAATGTTAAAAATTAGCAGACAAGTATATTAAAGTGGTTATTATAACTATGATCAACATATTCTAAAGGTCAAGAAAGGAACATGAATGATATTTTTTAAACTCAAATCTAACTTCTAGAGATGAAGACGATAATGTGTGAGATGAGAAATACATTGATATTAAGGGCAGATGAGACTTTGCAGAAGAAAGAAATCAGTGAACTTCAAAACAGCAAAAGAAACTCTCCAAAATGAAATAAAGAAAGAAAAGAATTTTTATTGTGAACAGAGCATCAGTGAGTTGTGGGACAACCTGAAATAGCCATGTAATTCAATTAGGGATCCTCACCTGTGAAATGAAGTGGACACAATCAGAATTCAGCCACAGGAGGCTAATGACAGTGCAGATCGGGCAAAGCCTCAACCCACCGAAGCCTCAACCCGCTCAGCATGGAGTGCTGGGTAGAATATGCCCAACACAGTGTCCCTGGATCAGGCTAAAGTGGCCAGACCTTCACAACCTCACATTGCTCCATCACATTGCTCCAGGCTTCCTCTGGAAGGGTATGACCCTGGCTAAGAGACATCTCTGCAGCTGAAGGAGACCTTCTCCAAGCTCAGAGCTGGAGGGGATTTACCCCCTACACTCACTGCAGCTGGACCTTCCTTGACGAGTGATCTAGAGGCACATATTCATGTCTACCATGAAGAGCGTGGGCTTCAGAGCCACACTGCCTGTGTTCAAATCCCAACTCTGCCACTTTAGGTAAGTTCATTAACTTCTCTATGTCTTGGTTTCCCCAAGTGTATGATGAAGTTAGTAACAATAGTACCTACCTTACACGGCTATGTGGAAATTAAATGAGGTGATGAACGTTAAGCACTTAGAACCCCACCTGGCCCATTGTAAGTGTTCTATAAATATTTGCATTATTGTACTCATTACCTCATTTAATATTCCCACTGACCCTACAAAGTAGGTATTCTTGTCTCCATTTTGCAAATCAGAAAATTGATACTTTAAAAGGTCAGGCAACTCCCCTAAGATCACACACGTAGGAGAGGGCAGGACTGGAATTCAAACCTGGGTCTGTTTGTATGCAAAGGTCATCTGAATAATTAAATAGATTTTTTTGTTGTTATTACTGTAATTTGTTTGTTGCCCTGTGAATTATCTATGTAGACATTAAATCCTTTGGGTCATTTTTTTTTTTTTGAGATGGAGTCTTGCTTTGTAAACCAGGCTGGAGTGCAATGGCACAATCTTGGCTCACTGCAATCTCTGCCTCCTGGGTTCAAGCGATTCTCCTGCCTCAGCCTCGCAAGTAGCTGGGACTACAGGCACGTGCCACCACGCCCGGCTAATTTTTCTGTATTTTTAGTAGACATGGGGTTTCACTGTGTTAGCCAGGATGGTCTTGATCTCCTGACCTCGTGATCCACCCACCTCGGCCTCCCAAAGTGCTGGGATGACAGGCATGAGCCACTGCCCCTGGCCCTTTGGGTTTTTTTTACCTCCAAGACCCAGCACAACATCTAGCACAGAGTAGGCATTTGATAAGTGTGTGATGACTGGAAAGATAAACAGCTGATGGCTTCCTCCATTTAAAGAGACCTTGCCTGTTGCTGTGTTGCATAATTGGTATGTCTTTGATCTAATTTTGTTGTTGTTCTAATTTCTCAAGGGCTGAATATTCTACATTGATATTATATCCCACACAAAGAAAACCATTAAGTAAAGTTAGATGAGATGCAAGCATTTCTGGAAATTTGCTCTCCCTGAAGAACTTCAAGCACATAATGTAACTAAATTGATCTGCCTACTTGTCATAAATCCATGTTTCTATTTCTTTTTTATTTTTAATTCAACAAATTTTTTGTTTTTGTCATTGGAAGGAGACCTATTATTGATATTTTTTTCCATTTCTTTTTTTGAGACTGTGTCTTACTCTTTCACCCAGGCTGGTGTGCAGTGGTATAATCGTGGCTCACTGCAACCTCCAACTCCTAGGCTCAAGCAATCCTCCTGCTTCAACCTCTTGAGTAGCTGAGACTATGGGTGTGCCACCATGGCTGGCTTGCTTATTTATTTATTTATTTATTTATTTATTTATTTAGTAGAAACAGGGTCTCGCTGTGTTGCCCAGGTTGGTTTTGAACTCCTGGCCTCAAGTGATCCTCCTGCCTCAGCCTCCCAAAGTGCTAGGATTATAGGTGTGAACCACCATACCTGGCCTATTTCTTATTTTTAAAATATACTTTGTTGATTTGTAATAGGATAAAAAAGGGATCAAAGGATTTCAGACAGGTAGTTACTAATTCCCATTTTTCCCCCACCCCAAACCTCCATGGCTAGAACAAAGTGATGAAAATATTTTAAATATAACCTGGAGATTTTGCAAACATCATACGAAATATGAAATATTTTAGCAAAGTTATAGAATAATGTGCAGTTAAGTATTTAAATAAGCTAACATTGGCACAGCTATACTGTTAGAAAACAAAATTTGGTCTATATCATTCATTAACATCACTGTAGAGTTTTCATTAATAAATTCATCAGGGGTTCATGTAAATAATCAAGACCAGGATTTTCTTTTCTAGCTGGCTCACTGATCAATCTTAACTTTTAAGCAGCAATCAAATTTCCTGGAAAAACAAGGTCCAATAAATGATCTGGTTGAGTGAAATATTGTAGCAGGCATCTGTGAATTTTGCTTGTCCCTTTTTGATAACAGATTTCCCCTTCAAAATACCCATTCCCTATTCTTGGCCTCTGTGGTTTGAGTGGAGTTATGCCCAGAGGTGGGCATGTGACTTAGACAAGGTTCAAACAAAACCTGGTGTGCCCCTGGGCCCAGGGAGTGGTTTGGAGGTGGGCACATGGACCAGTTAGAACAAGCTAGACTCAGTAGCAAGGCTTTTGTTGGTCCTGTTAAAAATCAGATATCCCTTTCTGCTGGGTTGGTGAGTGGAGAGGCTATAAGGTAGTTGCTTCTGGCAGCCATCTGGTGTCATCATAAGGAAGTTGACTGCCAGAGTAAATATGGAGTCAGCATGGCAGATAAGTCAACATAAGAGAGAAATATGAAGTGTGTGTGTGTGTGTGTGTGTGTGTGTGTGTGTGTGTGTGTGTGTGCGCGCGCGCGCATATGAGAGAGAGAGACCTGATAACATTATTTAGCCCTTGGATCCAGCTGTGCTTAAGCTCATCCTAGTATTTTTCAGTTACACGAACTAATATATTTTCTTTTTAAGCAAGTTTGAGTGAAATTTTGCATCATATACAGTTGAAAGGGTCCTAATATAATAGTTATTACCTTATAAAAGCATCAGTTTTCATTATATTCTTAAGTATTTGAGTCCTAGATGGTAGCAAATACATTTTCTATGTACTTAAGGTTATTTTCCACACAACCCAAAACACCAATTGGAAAGTGATATATTCAATGGGTCTATTAGGATGACTTATATTTCAATGTGATTAATAAACTATTTAGTGCTGTGGGATCACAGTCACAATTTATGCTCTCTTGATTTTTTGTTTTTGTTATTAAAATTAAGATATACTCTATTAGACTGATAAACATAGTAACAATTAAATTAAAATGGCATTAAATAATAGTGAAATCAAAATTTTAACACATGGGAAATCAGAGAGAGAAAGGAGAGATCGTTGTTTGGGGAATGGGCATAACATGCTTCTGATACTGTCGTTAAACAATAAATGTTAAGTGTGAACTTTCTGGCAACCAAGGCAAAAGAAAATTAGAAGGAATTTCATAGTTTCCATTTTATGATGAAACGGAGCTCATCTGTTACGCAAAAGAGACAAACTTCTTAGTAAATCTTTTTCTGTCCTTTAAATTTTCCTCAGAACCAAGAGTCATGAGTTTTTAAATTTATTTAGGAATCTAGGCTTTTAATAGAGATGTCTAATTTTGTTTGCTTTGTTTTTATTTTTATTTTTTGGCCGTTCATCATGTGACTTTCTAGCGACTTTAATAAAATGCTATAACATTTTCATAGCTTGCCTAATACCTAATGATTAGAGAAGAAGAGATAGAAACCAGCTGGTTTAGCCTTTAGTCAGGCCAAGACTGAAGCGATGTATCTTATCAGACAATTGAAACCACGTGCTCCAGCCTCGACCCCTGCTTGCAAGGTCAAGGAGGTAATGTGCAAATTTGGGATGCTTCTGAAAGTCTTTTAAAAGGACTTGCTGGGTGGTAAAAGATTGGTTGAAATGACTTCTTCATGTTCCCTGGAAACTCAAACCCAGCATTCTTGCACAGAGTCTGGGCAAAAGTGGTTGAATTTGACCTTATTACTTCAAAGCTTCTATTGCACTCTTAAAGATAAAGGAAAACATCACTGCCTCAAAACAAATGGACTACTGGCTCCAAGCAATCATTTGAGGGTACTTAAACAGTCAGGAGCCATTAATGTGATTACAAAAGTTGAACCCCTCTTCTTGAGAATCTTGGAACTACAATTCAGTTTCCTTTGTTGGCATATATGTTTGGCTCCATTTCCCTTTCTTCAGTCACAAGTCTCTTGTCTTTAAATTAAGTGCTCCATCAAACAGTTTATGGGACTCAATTAGTCCCTTTCTGTTCTACTAGAAGTCTGTATCCTCTGTGAGATCCCAACTTAATCAATTTTTCCCTAAGCTTTTTAAGGCTTTGCCTACTTAATCCTTCATTGATAATTTATATGTATCCTCAAGGGCTGAATCATTTGGGCCATTTATTAATCATTTCATCAAAAAAGTCTCTTGAGATGAAGTGTTTCAATCTCAAGGAAGCCTTCAAAGGCAAAAATACAGGAAGCAAAGACAATATAAGTAAATTTAAATTACATGCAGTCACATTTTCTCAAAACAGATTTAAGTTTTTGCTCAGGAATTCCAGTGTTTTGTGTTGCATGTAATATTGCCCTCTGCAGTGTTCTTTCAATCTTAGCAGTAAGTTTCATACTATGGTATTATATTGTAATAGAAGCCTCATTCCCCAAAGCACACAACTGCAGCCACCGGATTGGTTGGTGGCACAGATGTATCTTATAGTTTACTGTTTATCAGTGATTTCTAGAAATAAATTTGGAAGACTGTGGAAGAAGAGAACCAAGATTAGCTTCTACAGGTGACAGAGACAGTTGTGTGGGGAATGTGAATAGCAGAAAAATCCCTTTATCTAGCTTTTTACACTTGGATATACATTTGCTTATGAAAATTATGCTTATTTCTATTGATGAATGCTCATCCGAAGTTTTAGTATTTAATATTTAACAGTGTATCTAATATCCTTGCGCTTGTAAAGTTAGTGGCAAGTATACGATGTATATTACACAATAGTATTCTGATAGCATCCGTTATGTCACAGACATAACGAGATAGTCATCACAATCTTCCCGACAGGCATGTATTAACTAAACACAAAGGCATCTCAAAATTTCTATATGTAAGGAGCTTAGCAGCCACAAATTTGGACTGGAAAAGATGACTAGAAGAATTCTCCAGGAAGCATGTTACTGTTCCCTGGATTATATGTTTATTTGGTGTGGATTTGAAAGGTGATAGATGGAGACGGGTGGGATTCCAGAGCCTCCATTCCTGCCAAGTAGTTCCTTGAGACTTTGTTTGTAACTTAGCTAAAAATGTAGGTACCAAAAAGAAATGAGCTGACAAATATTTACTGGAATAAACAGTAAGATCACAGAGCTTTGAGTTTTTAAATATCTTACTTGACTGCCCATATGGACATCTGAGTGTGATGGATATAAGGTTTTACCCCCATTCAAATGAGTACACTCTGATTTGTCATTTCTTCAAACCCTAACTATAACTTAACTTCAGGATAGGATTTAACCATTATTGTACACTACTTATTGTACACTACTTATTGTACATTATTGTGAACTACTTAGGAATACATTTAACCAAGGAGGTCAAAGATCTCCATAATGAAAATTATAAAACAAACCATCCCACTTCTCATGTGTTCCTGCCCAGAAAATGTCTTCATTCCAGTTCAGGTCATGAGACATTCTTCTCCATGAAAATCATTTATTTCAAATATCAGGAACTCATTTGCAGTTGGGAAAGTATCAAAGTTAACAAACTTCTAGTACATATAAAACAGACACAAATTCTTCTGTAATTATTAAATCGAGTCTTTAATTATTTGATAATTTAATAAGCACTTAAATTTTGTGTCTGTATTTGTTTGTATCTATCTCTGAGGGAATCAGACACCTCTGTGCTGGAGCCTGCTGTTTCTATGCAGCATCCATGACTCGATCCTCCCTTCCTGAGGGGGGTGGCTTCTGTTTTGGTGCCTGCTCCTCTCCCATGTAGGACTGCTCCTTAGGGAGATAGCCTCACCCCTTTGGCATGTGACAATGAGATATTTAGGAAAGTTCTCCTGGAGGGTTTATAGGGAGAATCTCTACACTAGTACAGTAGGTCATGAGCGGGAATATTTCCATTTGTTTCCATGGATGTTGTTTTGCTGACTGTGACTCCTAGGATGCTACAGTGGGCTCCCTCTCAGCTCAAGAACAGCAGAACTGGCTGGGCGGGGTGGCTCATGCCTGTAATCACAGCACTTTGGGAGGCTGAGGCGGGTGGATCATGAGGTCAAGAGATCGAGACCATCCTGGCCAACGTGGTGAAACCCTATCTCTACTAAAAATATAAAAATTAGTTGGCTGTAGTGGCGCGTGCCTGTAGTCCCAACTACTCGGTGGCTGAGGCAGGAAAATTGCTTGAACCTGGGAGGCAGAGGTTGCAATGAGCCAAGATCACACAACTGCACTCCAGCCTGGTGACTGGTGACAGAGTGAGACTCTGTCTTAAAAAAAAAAAAAGAACTTCAGTAGAAAAAGACAGGTCCTCATGACCAATGCCCTGAATTAATTGACCTATAAGACTGCATTTATCAGGACCTATTATGTGAGATCAATATTTTCTTTGTGTTGAACTTCAAGCCTTTTCGAGTTGGAGTTCCTGAAATCTGTAGCCAAAAGGCATCCTGGTAGAACTTCTGAATTTCAGTATAACCTCCAATCCCTTCTCCTTGGTTGTGTTAGTTCCCTAGTCCTGAATGTTATTAAATTGATTCAGGTTAGATGTCAGTCTTACTCTTCTTTCCTGTTGACTTCCTGGGTCCTTCTCATAAATGTCTCTTCTTCATGCCACAGACTTTTATTGAGCAGCTTCTCGGTGCCAAGTCCTATTCTAGGCAATGTGGATGCCTAGACAGTTGGGGGAGACATAGGCCTGCCTGACGCAGTTGAGAATGGCTCCCTTGAGCTGCTATGCACTTTGGAGCTTTGCCATACCCACTCATCGCTGTTATTTCCAGGGCTGAAATTGCTGTTATGTTTAAGTCCACGTTACTCTTCCATTTTCTAATGTTCTGCTTTCCTTTCCCTCTCTGTTGCTGATGATTCTCTCCATCCTTTCTTGGGTTCTTTTGTGTGTGTGTGTGTGTGTGTGTGTGTGTGTGTGTTTGTGTGTGTGTGTGTTTCCTCTGCCTTGCACGGGAATTTGTGTTTTGTTCTCTTGAGTCTTCATCCTCTGAGAACAATAGAAGAAGTTATTTGATCATCCCCTTAGGCCACTGTGCTTTTGGGAGAAAAAGACCAGTTAGCAGACAATACCGTAAATGCCAGATGCACAGCATCTATTAAGAAACTAACAGTGAGTGTGTGCAGCGCTTCCACAGAGCCCTCTAAGAAACTGTCATGAGAGTCTAGATTGAGGATCCTGACAGCTTAGATTCCGATCCTAGCTCCACTCCTTACTAGCTGTGTGATCTTGACTCAACCTCTCTGTGCCTCAGTTTCCCACAAAATGGAGATGATGATAATTAGTGCTACTACTCAGAGGGTTGCGTTGCATGTCAGTATGTCCATATATAACAAGTGCTGAAAACAGCTCCTGGCCATAAGTGCTCATGCTAATAAGGTGGTCATTATCATGAGACTGTTCTCTCCTCACTTGTGCTGTGAGGTCTTTTATAGCCCTTTCCAGGGAGTGCTTGAATGCTGAGCCCCAGAGGAAGGGCTGGCAATGAAAGCATGGAGAGAAGCATGGACAAGTCACAGCTCCTGGGTGGGTGCCTCAGTTATGTGATTTGGCCCAGAGCAAATTTGTCTTACCACAAAGAGGAAAGGGCTTGTTCAGTGCAGCACTGGCTTTCCCCTGGAGCCCACTGCAGGCAGGAAACCTCCTGCCTTGTGACCTCCCGCGTTTCCTTCAGAGACTTCTAGAGAAACTGTGCTGGTAAGCTGCAAACTACAACATCAATGCAAGTATCACACCCCTTCAGATTAGATAACAAAAGCATATACATCAGTTATGTCATAGACTGATTTCTGATACTTCACATAAACCACAATATAGAATTTAAACCATCTGGATAAGTTCAATATGCTAAAACTTATAACTTCTCTGTAAGAAAACAGAATTAAGTTAACCAAAGTCCTATCTCTTCCAAGTCTCCCCTCGTCTACACACCCTATCCCTGCAACATGGACAGTAATAAAGGTAAATCTAGCACTGGCATCTCAACCTAATCCCGCCCGCCTGCCTTACCTGCCTCCCTTCATTCATTCCTTTCACCCTTCCTTAGTGACCAGTTAGAGAAAAGTATAGATCCATCTTTGGTAACACCGAGTCAGGAAGGATGTGGGGAAAAGGACACTCTCATATGTTGTTACTAAAAGATGAATCAGTATATCTACCAAGAACAGCTATGGATTACAAATGCACATCCTCTTTGACCTAGCACTTTGAATTTCAGGAATTTGTTCTACAGATATACTCACAGAATATAAATAAAGGAGGTCATAAATAAACAAAAGTTACTGCAGTATTATTTGTAACAGCCAAAGACTAAAACAATTTAAATGCTTGTTAATATACTGTACACTATATCAACCCAACTGAAATCTCTATAACCCAAAAGAGAATGAGGATGTTTTTCATGTATTGATATTTCCCAAGCCACACATACACGCACGTGCATGTACACACACACACACACACACGCTTGTATATGCTACCAGCTAAAATATCTCCAGACATTTTATGCAGAAACAGCTCAGGGAAGGAAGGTTTGTGATCTGAGTAAAAGGGAGGCTTTCTACTGTTAATCTGAATTAGTTCACATTAGAGTTGGCTGAATTCAACAGAAAAATCAAAGTAACAAGGGCTTAAACAAGAGAAAAATGTATTTGTCTTTCCCATGAAGGAAGTACAGAGGTAGATAATCCAGGGCTGGACTACAGCTCCGTAACCCACCACCCAGGCTCTCCACTCCACTCTTAGGTGTGACCTGTGTCCAGGAAGCGGGATGGAAGGGGGAAGACCCACACTCCCCCCGCAGACCACTGACTGCCTTAGGCATGTGGCCACACCAGTTTTCAAGGTGGCTTCCAGGAAATGTTGTTTTATGGCTGAAGTAAGGAAGAAAGTAAGAACATATATTGGGAGGTGACTATGGGCCCTTTTATCCTTTTAAACCATGTAAATGAATCACCTATTTAAAAGCTAAATAGAAATCACATTTAAAAAGCTAAAGAAAAAATGCAACCTACACAGTTATACAATTAACTGTGTAGGCCTGCCTCCTTTGAGGGTTTAATCTATCTCTGATCCCATTTCCTGGCCAACCCACTGAGGAGCTGCCCTTTCCTCAGGTCCCTGCCCTTCCCAGCTGGGCCCAGGGAGCTACCCTGAGTCTCTCAACCTCCCTTGAATGTAGCGCCCCCTAGTGGCTGCCTCGGTAGCATAGGATTCTGGGAGCGCTTACAGGGTTTCCATGACATGGTATCTTCACGTGATCTCCCAAAGGTTATTTGCAGAATTTTCAGTCCCCAAGGTGAATTCAGAACCATTGCTTATAGAGTATTATTTTTAAATAATGTCTTGATTTTATTGATGAAAAAAAAATTGTTGCCACATAACTAACCACAATTTCCCCATTACCCGCCTTAAAGTAGCTTTATATATTCCTATAATAGGAACACAAGACTTTCAATTTCAAGCTCTATTTAATGTGCTTCAGACAGAGGAGTACTAAAGAGAGAACATTTTTAGCTTGATCTTGGCATTCCGAATACTAGAGAAGACTCCTTTGTATTATTTTAAACTGCATTTATTAATATACTTGAGTTATATTCAATATAGATGTTCGCTTACTCTCCTTTACTATAATAGTCAGCTCATTAAACAAACTTATTTAATACTTTATAATTTTATAACTGAAACCAATCACCTTTGATATCCTTCAGAAGCTGCAGTCATTAAAACAATGAATTAACGTTAAAAATTTCCCAGTCGGCACATTTTCTTTTATGTGCTGACAATGTCAATGGTGAATAATAAGCAGTAAAAGGCACTGTATCCTATAACAATGATGATGATTGGGGGAACATTTGCTTCATTAAGTGTAATCATCCACCCACAGATATTTAGGCTTGGTATTCACTATTCATGTTTCCTAACTATTCACAAGGTGGGACTATCTAGCAGAGTTTGTGGTGTGGGAAACAGAGAATAGAAAATATTATTTAACACTGTAGCCTATTGTATCCTATTAGCAACATATGAGCAGTTTGTAGACTCTGTGTTTGGACAGATGGGTTCTTTTGGGGGGAATCCCTTAATATCTGGTTCTTAGTTTTCCGTCTAAGAGGGGCTTCCCAGGAAGAGGCAATAGTGCAGTAAGACTTGATCTTGAGATCCTTATAAATCAAAGTGGGTTATTTTGCTTCAAAAGCAGAAAGCAGGCCTCCCTCTGTATCCCACATTTTTGCACACATGGGCCAGGGCCCGGTCTCTCCTGCACTCTCTTGCACTGCCCATTCCGCCCAGTGGCCTCACCCCATGGCACCAGGTGCAGGGGTCAAGGGTGCAGGGCTGCTTAGGGACCCAGCTCCCCAGCTCCCCAGCAGAGGCTCTCACCACCCAGCTAACAGAGGAGAAGTAGTGCCTCCCCCCTTCTATAACTGAACCATTACTCCCAGAGGCCTAAATAAAGCTTACCTTTTGTGGCTGATATCTACTGAGGAAAATCCACAGGTGGTTCCCTAAATCTGCCTCCTTAACCTCTGGTTTAACCCATTTTAGTAACTGGCACAATCATTCACCTTGTGTCCTAGAAACCTGGGAAGTTATCTTTGACTTGTCCCTTTTCCTCACTCCCAACATTAGTTGAAAAGCAGGTCCTGTTGACTACCTCCAAAATATATGCTAAATGAACACACTTTCCCCCTCTGCATCCCTCAAGCATCTCTAGCCAGACAGTCACAATAGCCTCCTATCTGGTCACCCAACTTCAACGCCCATTTCCCAGCAGCTAGAGTAGCATGCACATCAAACTGTATTGGTGTCCCTGGCCATCCAACGGCTTCTTACTGAATGGGGAATAAAACCCAAGCTCCTTTCTGTGTCCTACAAGTTTTGTACACTGCAGCCACAGCTACCTTTCTAACCTAATCTCATCAGGTTTTCCCTATTTGTAAGCAGGCTCCTGGCCCTGGGGCCTTCTGTCCATCCCCACGGCATCTCCTGCTTGGTCCTGCCCAGATTCTTTGTCTGAAATGTTCCTCCTTCCCCTCTTTGCAGGGTTGGAGCCCTCTCATCTTTGAGGAGACAGCTTTGAGGTGTCACTCCCCAAAGAGGCCTTCTTGGGTCATCGTTCCTTTACTTCCTCCAGAAAGTTTCCCCCCATTTGATGTTATCAACAAACCCCATTTATTTTCCTCTTAGTGCTATCAACAATGTATTATTATTATTACTACTACTATCTATTCTCATTATTATTTTATTATATGACCCCAAAGTAAAGCAGAATTGTTCCCTGTTTTGTTTGCCACTCTATCGCTGAAACATAGTATTGCCTCTACCACACTGCAGCAGCCTGATATATGTTTAAATAACTGAATAAACAAGTAAGGCTGCTGTTGATCTATTTGTGCAACACAACATTTTGAGACACTTAATTTGATATTATCCCCTGGACAACATGATCAACAATTTTATTTACCACTGAAGTATTTAACAAAACACCAAGGATGGCCCAAGGAAAGCAGCAGCAACAGTAGAATGGATGGAAGTCAGGGACAAAAGGATCACCATCTTGTGGATCAGTATTTTTAAAATAAGTTGGCCACGCATCTTTTGAGGCCACATTTGCAGTCACAAGTAGGAACCATAGCATCACCAAATACAGTGTCAGGCTTGCTCCTGCTTGGAGCCTTCACTCCCTTCCACTCTGCCTGGGGTGCTCGTCTCCCAGACGCCCATGTTTCTTCTTTCACCTGCCTCAGATAAGGCTGAGATGAGACTTTCTCAGTGAGGCCTTCCCGAACCATCCCATTTAAATTGCAATCCCTCGCCACCCATACAGGCATGAGTAAATACGAATACCAACACACTCTTCCTACCCCTCCTTCCACACCTTATTTTTCTATGACAGTCTTACCCTTTCATGTACTACATATATATTTACTTATTTGCTCATTCTCTGTCACATCTCAGGAACTTTTGTTTGTTTTCTTCATTATTGTATCCCAGCCTCTAAAATGATTCCTTGTATCCTATAAGTGTTCAATAAACATGGATAAATGAGTAACATATAGTAGGAATAAGGAATTCATTGATTTTCCAAAGCCTCCAGTTCTGCCTATGTTGACATTATCTACCATGTGTCAATGTAACCAAAATGTTGTATAAAGTTAAGCCAGTTAAAATGTGCTGTATGCCCCAGGCCTCAGTGTAACGCTGCTCAGGTTGTACACTGCTCAACTCCAGTGAGTAACACAGGGACTCCGTCTGTGGAGTCAGGTACAACCTGCACAGCCAACGTATGCAGAGGCCCTGGGAATCATGAGTTCATGTAGTTGTTTAAAGGGAAGAAAAAGAGAATAATGAAAATAAAATAGTAGGAAAGGTGGAAAAAGAGACTGAAGAGGAGATCAGGAAAAGAGAGTCAGTAGTAGGAGGAAGAGAAAGCTAGAGAAGAAAGGGGGAGAAAAAAGAGCTAAAAAGGCCAAAAGAGGAGACCCTGATACCCCCTCATCCCTCCCCAGCTCTCTTGGACCTTCCTATCACTCTCCAGTGATGTCCCCACTGCAATTTACGGACAAAACTTGAGAGTCAGCCAGTACCTTAGGCCACTCAGTTTCAGGTCCACTGATATTTAATATATATGCAAAAACATATATTCTACACTCTAATTTTAAAAAGGACGTTTCCCACCTACAGCTGACTTCTATTTACGGAATGCCTACTCTTTGTGTTTTAGGGTCACTGAGCCTGGAGCTGCATGAGCGATAAATGGATACCAAGAGAGTAGAAACAGGACCACTGGCTAAGGATTGTTTATGTAATAAAGAAAGGGGCGGTGGTGGAAGCCTGACCTATTTCATAGCAATGACAATTGACATGAGATTCAAGACCAATAGATAGGGGTGAAGAATAGCAAGATGTTATGAAAATCAAATGTAGCAAAAAGAGGAATAACATAGGTTCCCAAGTTTAAGGACCTAAACAATGCAGTTGCACTGTCACAAAACTGACATTTAAAAAGGAGCAATTGGATAGAAGATGGAGAATTTGTCTTTAAACATGTATGGGAGAAATCAATCCTATAGAATTAGACATGAGTCCTATTGAATGGAAAGATTTATTAATAAAAGAATCTAATATAAAGTTATCTACATAAGAAATTTATCTTCATTTTTATCCCTAATTATGTGAGGATAACTCAATTATGTGAGAAAAACGTTTGATTTAAACTGTATCAGTTTTCAATTCCCCTTTCTTAATGAGGTTATACAGGCAAAATAGCCAAATACAAAAATTTGAACATCATTAGGAAGGAAATTTTTAAACTAAACTTTGCTAGTTTCCAGAGATCTTTAAAGAAGGGAAAAAATAAGTTGCATATATTTTCTTTGGCTCATGGCCCAAAAAATTGTACTTGGAGCTTCATAAGAAATCAAAGTGGAGAAAAACCTGGCAAAAGTAAAAATCAGACAGGAATTGGGACATTTTTTCAGAGATACAGCTTGGTTAGAAATAAAAAGCTAAAAAAAGTAACATTTTGTAAGAACTATAATAATAATGAAAAGTTCAAACCTCACTTATAAGAAATAAGTGAAGAAAAGGAAAGATGTGAGTGGTATTGAAAACAGTGAAGTATATGCCCTTACCATGCTCAGCCAGTAAATTTTATTTTATAACTTTGATTTTAGGTTCAGGGGTACATGGATAGGTTTGTTAATCAGGTAAATCGTGTGTCATGGGGGTTTGGTGTACAGATTATTTCATCACCCAGGTAATCATAGGTAAGCATAGGTAAGCATAGGTAGTTTTTCCATCCTCACCCTCCTCCCACTTTCCACCCTCAGGCAGGCCCTGGTGTCTATTGTTCCCTTCTTTGTGTCCATGTGTTCAGCTGGTAAATTTTAAACCAGCTTCTCCACTTATGGATCACTATGTGGCATAGTCAATAATAGCATCAACCACAAAGGTTGTGAAAACTAAGTGAAATAATCCACACAAAGGGCTTAGCACACTGGCTTCCATTCCATGCCTTTGCTAAATCTAAAATGAGATCTCATTTTTGCTGAAAAACTGATACTGACTGTTATAAATTGAATATATCCCCCAAAATTCATATTTTGAAGCCCTAGCCCCTAATGCAATGATTATATTTGGAGGTATAGCCTTTGGGAGGTAATTAGGTTTTGATGAGGTCATCAGGAAGGGATTCCCATGATGGGATTAGTGCCTTTATAGCAACAGGAAGAGAGAACAGAGCTTTCTCTCTCCACCATCTGACGATACAAAGAGAAGGTGGCTGTCTCCAAACCAAGAAGAGGCCCTCGCTAAGAACCAAATCTGCCAGTACCTTGATCTAGGACTTGCAGCCTCCATAACTATGAAAAATAACTACCTGTTGTTTAAGCCACCCAGACTGAGATATTTTGTTACAACAGCCCAAGCAAACTAAGACACTGAATTTTCCTTAGTTTAACTCATTTTTCTTTTAATTCATAGGCAAATACCCTTTTGGCTTTATAGCAGAGGGCAGGATAAAGTATTCAGCTTCCCACCCAATTCTTATTGGTTCTTGAGTGTTTACTAAGAATAGTTGCACTCTTTTAGGATAGAATAGTTTACTCCTCCACTATCTAGTTTTCTGAAGCACCGAACTAAATATTTGCAATAAACCGAATCCAGCAGCACGTAAAAAGTTAATTCACCACAATCAAATAGGCATTATTTCTGGGGTGCAAGGCTGGTTCAATATATGCAAATTAGTAAACGTAATTCAGCACATAAACAGAATTAAAAGGAAAAATGTATGATCATCTCAACAGACGCAGAAAAAGCTTTCAGTAAAACTCAACTTCCTTTCATGGTAAAAACCCTCAACAAACTAGGAATCGAAGGAACATACCTTATAATAATAAGTGCCACCTTGACAAACCTACAGCCAACATGATACCGAACAGGTGAAAGTTGGAAGCATTCCCCAAAGAACTGGGACAAGACAAGGATGCCCACTCTCTCCACTCATATTCAACATTGTACTGGAAGTCCTAGGCAGAGCAATCATTTTTCACAGAATTAGAAAAAAAACTGTTCTAAAATTCATATGGAACCAAAAAAGACCACAAATAGCCAATGCAATCCTAGACAGAAAGAACAAAGTCAGAGGCATCACATTATTACCTAGCTTCAAACTATACAAGCCTACAGTAACCAAAGCAGCATGGTACTGATATAAAAACAGACATATAGACAAATGAAACAGAACAGAGAACCCAGAAATAAAGCTGCACACCTGCAAGCAGCTGATCTTCGACAAAGCAACAAAAATAAGCAATAAGGAAAGGAAACCCTATTCAATAAATGATGCTGGGAAAACTGAATTGCCATATACGAAAGAATGAAACCGGACCCCTACCTGTTACTATATATGAAAATTAACCTAAAATAGGTTAAGACTTAAATGTAAGACCTAAAACTATAAAAATCCTAGAAGAAAACCTAGGAAATACCTTTCTGGATGTTGGCCTTGGCAAATAATTTATGACTAAGTCCTCAAAAGCAATTGCAACAAAAAATTGATAAGCAGGACCTTATTAAACTAATGAGCTCTGCATAGTAAAAGAAACTATCAACAGAGTAAACAGAAAACTTACAGAATGAGAAAAAAATACTCAAACTATGCATCTGACAAAATGAGAAAAAAATACTCAAACTATGCATCTGACAAAGGTCTAACATCCAGAATTTACAAGGAACTTAAATCAATAAGCAAAATATGACCCCTTTAAAAAGTGAACAGAGGATATGAACAAACACTTCTCAGAGGACATACAGGTTGCCAACAAACATAGGAAAAACTGTTCCACATCACTAATCTTTAGAGAAATGCAAATCAAAACCACAAGGAGATACCATCTCACAGAAGTCAGAATGGTGATTATTAGAAAGTTGAAATATAGATGTTGGTGAGGCTGCAGAGAAAAGGGAACACTTATACACTGTTGGTGGGAATATCAATTAGTTCACCACTGTGGGAAGCAGTTTGAAGATTTCTCAAATAGCTAAAAATAGAACTACTGTTTGACCCATCACTCTCATTATTGGGTATATATACAAAAGAAAAGAAATTATTCTACCGAAAAAACACATGCACTTACATGTTCATCACAGCACTATTCACAACAGCAAAGATGTGGAATCAACCTAGGTGCCCATCAATGGTGGACTGGTTAAAGAAAATGTGGTACATGGAATACCACACAGCCGTAAGAAAAGAGTAGAATCATGTTCTCCGCAGCAATATGGATTCAGCTGGAGCCACTATCCTAAGCAAATTAACACAGACAGAAACAGCAAACCAAACTCCGCATGTTCTTGCTTATAAATGGGAGTTAAATACTGGGTACACATGGACATAATGATGATAACAACAGACACTGGGAACTACAAGAGAGGGGAGGGAAAGAGGGGAGAAAGGATTGAAAAACTTCCTATTGGATACTTTTTACCTGGGTAATGGTTTGAATTGTACCCTAAACCTCAGCATCACACGATATACTCTTGTAACAAAGACCTTAGTCTTTCAATAGATACGGACATATTTGGGACTAAGGTGGCCAGGGATAATAATAGTGGAAACCAACACTACTGTGTGCCAGGCCATCTAAGTATTTCATATATTTCCTGAAAACCTCATTTAATCCTCATACCAGCTCAATAAAGTGGATTCCAATATTATCCTCATTTTATAGGTAAGGAAATTGAGGCAGAGATAGTTAAGTTTTTGTGGCAGGAGGTAAGTAGAGCCAGTGCTTAAACCCAAGAAATCTGGTACTGAAGGCCCCCTCTTAACTACTGCACCAGCCTATCTCTCCAGAGAGGGAGTGTAGCACCTGGTGGCTTAGCAATGACAGGCAGCTGTAGGGTATGTCCCTGGAGTACAGGCTGAAGGCCCTGTGCAGAATCAAGAGGGGGTGCAAAGCCCAGGCAGGCTACCAGTTACTTTTTTCAGTATAATCCTCTCTGCCTTTCTACTAGGGAAAATTTTTCTTAGGCCTCCTCCACACGCTTTTAGATTGGATCCTGTGGCCTTCTCTGGAAAATTGGAGAGAGGGTCTGTTTTTCAGTTCCTGGTAGCCACCATTATCTATGTGCTGCTTCTGCTACATGATGTCCTCTCAAATAGGATTTACACTCCCAATCCTGCCATCCACATGCTAGCCACTGATAAAGGCATGGCACAGAGACCCGCACCATGGCTCCTAAGGCCAAAGCTGGGGCGGCCATGGATAGCTGCACAGATTGGATACTGTGTGCCCCAAGGGGCACCATGCTCATTGTTGACATCGCAGATATATTAATACATATTCATTAGGATGTTTTCAGCACATGGCCCTGAATGTATTGTTCTAACAGAATTTGAGCACTATCACAATTTTCTGACAGCCGAAGCAGTGTCTTGGAGAAGAAGAAGTGATTAATAAGATGGGGGTCCTTTTTTTTTTCTTATGCTATACTTACCTAGGAAAAATGAAAAATGAAAGTATTTCTTTAACTAGTTCCCCTACCCCTTTCAATTTTCCCTAGCCTATGTCGGCAATGTTTAGACTTGTCAGACAGGCTTCCCGTGATCTCCAGCTACCTCCAAGACACTCCACAGCCCTGGCCCATTCCCACCCATGCATTTAGACTAAGCACATTTATTATCTCTCCAAGGCTTCAAACTAACCTAGTTTTCCAAGAGAATCTCTACTTCTACCTGGTCCTGAAATACTATTATTATTCTGACCTGAAAATCTGGCTGCCACTTTCTGGGAAGAAAGAGGCAGGGGAACTAACGAAAGAAAGAATTTTATTTGCCATTTTTCCTAGGTAAGTATAGAATAAGAAACAAATAAAAGGACCCCTTTTATTAAACACCCATAGTTAATATCCACATATCCTCTCCTCCAAGGAATCTCCCTATTGGATTAATATTTATTGTCCTCTGGTTTTTAAAAGACGATGAATCCAAAGAAGTTTCCTTTGGATTGGCTGAAAGGTACAGTAGCTGAGGATGCAAATGACATAGACCTCTAGTCATGTGTAGAGCTTGCAAATGGATGGGAAAAATATCTGGGAGGGATCATGGGAGTGGGGTACAGGGAACAAGTTAGAGAGAGATTTGTGTTGATGCAATGAGGCATAGAAATTTTGGGAAAGGGGAAATTGTAAGTTGGATTTTTAGAAAGTTTTGCTGTGCTCCATCCTCCCTGACCCTCTCTTAAATTTCCATAAAAGAACTTTAGAAAAAAAATACACTATTTTGAAAGGCATTTAACACTGAGATGAGCCTTAAGGGAGGAGAAAGAAGATCCAGAAATATTTGTGTTACATTCATTTTTGGTGTTAGTTAGTTTTTCCTGTATTTTTGTTGTTCAGTCTGTCTTTAATGTTATTTTAGAACTTGTTTCTGGAGACATGGATAGCTAACAACAAAGAAAAGCTGTGGTTAAACAAGCGTAGGAAACCTTGCCCTATAGCCTCTTCTTAGAATCTTCTCTATTCCTCTTGGTGTACTAAAGATGTGCAGATGTTTTAGAGAAAACTCTGTAATGCTTATTACCATCCTACAGTGCCCCATGGGCTACCAATTTAGGAAATGTGATAGATTTTTCAACGGAAATTAAAAGTGGCTACATCAGGGGCTACTATCCTGACACCATAAAAAACTGGAAGACACAATTTTTTAAATGTGGGGTAATGCATTTTTTTCAAAATGCTATGGCCAAAGATTATTGACTCAAAATAAAGATGGTACAGCAGGCTGGGCGCGGCAGCTCACGCCTGTAATCCCAGCACTTTGGGAGCCTGAGGTGGGTGGATCATGAGGTCAAGAGATTGAGACCATCCTGGCCAACATGGTGAAACCCCGTCTCTACTAAAAATACAAAACTTAGCCGGGCACGGTGGTTCGCGCCTGTAATCCCAGCTACTCGGGAGACTGAGGCAGGAAATCACTTGAACCTGGGAGGCAGGGACTGCAGTGAGCCAAAATTGTGCCACCACTGCACTCCAGCCAGGTGACAGAGCGAGAGACGCTGTCAAAAAAAAAAAAAAGAAAGATGGTACTGCAAACCAAGAGAAAGTAAATTTGAGAAACTTCAAAGCAACTATTGTATTGAAGAGCAGAAAACAGTGGAGAATTATTGCAAAGTGAGACAAGTTTGGTTTCAACTGAAAATGGTTTCTATTAAATTATCTGTTATTCTCTCAGAGTAATCATAGATGTAATAATCAGGCTTATTTCATTTCATTTAGTAGCAATGCTTTCCCAATAGAACCTTATAAAATTGCTAATAATGCAAAACAGCTCGATGGGTCAGCATTTTATCTAAGATGACAGGTTTTAACACATTTGCTTGTTGATATTGTTTAGTGAGGCATTGCCCTTGGCATTATTAATTTTGAATTTTCTGCAGTGAATAAGATCTATTAAGTTTCTGAGGAATTACCGCAAATTCATGTTTAAGTACAAATGTTTATGTGTCACCTAAATGCATGCATATAGAAGACAAAGGAAGGGGGAAAGGAAGGATAATTACCTTAAGGTTACAGACAACATTTAAGTTCGTTTAAATCCATGGCTCCTGTTTATTTTCCTTAGGGACTGTGGGTTCTATCAGATCTCATCACATCCACACCTGCATTTTCTTGGTTTGTTGACTTTCCACCCCATGAGTGCATTCAATAAACAGTACTCAGAATGAATAACAACAGAGATGGAATGGTGGAGAAAACCCATCAGAAGAAATCCAAACTTTATTCTTAAAACTTAATTTGAGTAAATATAAAATTTCATGATCTTAATTTTGGGTAGTGAGTTGAAATTTTCTATTAACTTCACATAGAAAATAAATGCATTGGAGAGGGTGCTTCTGGGTATTTCTTGCATGTTATCACTGGTTGTTTAATTTTTTAAAATAAAGTATTCCCATGCTTCACTCATCTCAGTAGGAAACTGACATCTGTCACCATGTCATTTCTCAATAGTTTTTTAAAGAAATTTATTTTCATTCATTTCTTGAGGTTTCGTTTCCTGGGATGACTTTGAATTGTTGTTTAGATTAATGTCACACCTCTTCACATCAATGTGGTCATGCAATTGAGAGGCTTCTGTGGATTCTAAGTCTTTACACTGCTGTTGGAAAGCCTTCCTAAAAAAGAAATTCACATCATGCCAACAGGAAACTATTTGGTGATGTCAATCAGCACAAACAGAACATCTGAACCTTCCAGTCACAGAAACTGTGCCTTTGGGAATGCATTGATTTCTGGTTTTCACAGTGTTAAAGCAAGGTTGAAGACACCTCCCCCATTAACCAGTTCTGTGTTTCTCTAAGACTAAGAGGATAAAGAGATTGGGTGACGCCACTGTCTCAGTACCTAACATAGTACCTGGTACATAATTGACAACGAATGGATATTTGCTGACATGGATTGAAATATGATTATGTAAAATCATCACATGTAGAAGATTATAGGATCAGAAAATCTTAGTACCGGAAAAATGATAGCAATCACCTTAACCAGACCCCATTTTATCGATGGTATACTAAAACAGTGAGCAAGAGCAAAGCTACTAAGTCAGCATTCAAAAGCTTTCACTATAATCCCAGCACTTTGGGAGTCCAAGGCAGAAGGATTGCTTGAGCAGAGGTTGAGTCTAGTGTCGGCCATGTAGTGAGATCCTGTCTCTACAGAAAATGAAATCAGCCAGACATGGTGGTACATACCTACTCAGGAGCCTGTGGTGGGAGGATTGCTTGAGTCTGGAGTTTGAGGTTATAGTGAGCTGTGATTGTGCCACTGCATTCCAGCCTGGGCACAGAGCAAGACCCGATATCTTAAAAAAAAGGCCTTCGTCCAGGCACGGTGGCTCATGCCTGTAATCCCAGCATTTCGGGAGGCCAAGGTGGGTGGATCACGAGGTGAGGTGTTTGAGACCAGCCTGACTAACATGGAGAAACCTGGTCTCTACTAAAAATACAAAAATTAGCCAGGCATAGTGGCACATGCCTGTAATCCCAGCTACTCGGGAGGCTGAGGTAAGAGAATTGCTTGAACCCCGGAGGTGGAGGTTGCTGTGAGCCGAGATCCTGCCATTGCACTCTAGCCTGGGCAACAAGAGCAAAACTGCATCAAAAAAAAAAAAAAAAAAAGAAAAGAAAAAAAAGCCTTCAAATACCAATTCAAATAGCAATAGTAAGTAGGCTTTTCGAGTTTACAGAATAATGGTATCTTAGTGGGAACAGGTCAGATGTTAGAGACAGCCTGTGATGCATGAATGTCCTTTACAATATGACCTTTTAAATAAGCCCCCAGATTCTCTTGAACATGTTGCAGTGGAGACTATTTCACCTCTGAAGCAACTTGTTTGATTTCTGAATGGCTAAATTTTTTTTTTATATTGAGTCAAATCTACCTTCCAACAACATTCCCCCATGGTTCTTATACTTCTGTCTGATGTAAAACAAAAAAAAACAAAGTCTCTCTTTAACAGGTAAGTCTCAAATATGTGAAAAACTCTATTATTTCAGTTCAGTAGAATAAACATTCAGTTCCTAATGTGTGTGGGACATAGGTGCTAGAAACTTTGAAAAAGAAGGCTAAGCATCTATAGTTACTTCGGACATTCCTTCCAAACAGCCCATACCAAAAAATCAATGTGGCTTAAATATCCATCAAGATATAGTGAAACAATTTTTTTTTTTTTTTTTTTTTTTTTTTTTTTTTTTTTTGAGACGGAGTCTCGCTCTGTCGCCCAGGCTGGAGTGCAGTGGCGGGATCTCGGCTCACTGCAAGCTCCGCCTCCCGGGTTCACGCCATTCTCCTGCCTCAGCCTCCCAAGTAGCTGGGACTACAGGCGCCCGCCACTACGCCCGGCTAATTTTTTGTATTTTTAGTAGAGACGGGGTTTCACCATTTTAGCCGGGATGGTCTCGATCTCCTGACCTCGTGATCCGCCCGCCTCGGCCTCCCAAAGTGCTGGGATTACAGGCGTGAGCCACCGCGCCCGGCCGATATAGTGAAACTATTACCAGCAATGAGGCCTACCAAATACGGTTTTGTACATAAAGAGGTTGTTCACTATCAAGCTTAACCTTTGCTGAGCAGCTCCACTGCTAACAGAGATTACAGGTCCTGCTGAATGGAAATGAGGAAAATTCGTTTATTAGGCATTATCCAACTCACCCTACTTCTGTCAAAATTCTCAAAGAGGACTAACATAATTTCAGATAAAAGGATATATGTCCATTACAAAAAACAACACAAGTAATTCAATAAAGTACATCTAAAACTACATGAACAGAAGTAGCTGTCATTAACTGAGCATAATTCCAGATTTAGTTTTTATTGTTATGATTACACACACACACACACACACACACACACACACACACACACGGAGGAGTGAAAGAGTGGTGGATGGGGTAGATTGATCAATGTAATTGCATAAAATGAGATTATACAGTGTGTACACTTTTAACAAGAAGTTTTTATTTAGCAGAAATCAAAATAAAATAAACTTGAACAAATTACTGTTCTTAATTAAATATTTCTTTACTACAAGACATAGTCTTAAGCATTCCTACTAAGGTTAAGGAAAAATATTTTGGTAATACACAAATTATAGCCATGTATATATTTTTATTTTAGACAGTATTGATTTATTACCTATAAATCCTGAGATTACAAAATGCTTTCTCAAATAGTTTCTCTAACTCTTCCTCCTTTAGTTCTCAATTTTGTTTGTGATGTTCTCATTAGCATTATTATTATTTGTAAATATATAACACTTCCAGTCTGTCTTATAAGTGTAATTCCAACAGTTACTTTGTCTTAATTTAAGTGGTTTCAATGTCAAGCATGAATAATTTACACAAGCTTCTCTATTTCTGAGTTTATTTTAATTCACTTTCGATTTATGATTAGCTAGGTGTTATTGTCAAGTGGGTTTTCCAAGAGTGACTCCTAGGTGTTATAGCCTCAGAGTTCTTGCATATTTGAAAATGTCAGTTTCCTGTGTAGTTGAATGACAACTTGCCTGAGTACAAAATGTGGATCACACTAAAGACTCTGAGCCACAGTCTCCTGGCATTTGAATATTGGTCATGTTTCTTTATTACGGTTTCTTTGTTCTTAAGTATGGTTGTTATTGCAAAGGATTTTCTAAGTTTCTTTGTTTGCTTTTTAAAACATATCAAGAATGAGATAACATTTTACATGGGAGAGATCTGTGCCAAACAGAAAGAGAAAGGGGACAGGCCAAGCCTTTATGCCTGAGAAATTGTGGGGGAAAATAGAGGGACAGATGAAGTGAGTCGGTAGGGTGCTGGGGTCTCTCTCTTCACACCCATTCTTTTTTCAAGACAACACTTTTTGCAGAGGTTGGGGCTTGGCCTTTAACAACAACCAGATGGGTATCAGGGTGCCTACTAAAACTGGGCCAGGTAACTTGGTTCCCTGAACATAATAGGGGAGATTGCAAGCCTCTAGAAAAAGCTCCATGTGGCCACTTCTAACATTGCACAGGAGCCAAGGTGAGGAGCTGTCAGAGGCAGACAAGTGGATGGGTGAGCCTGAAGCACGTTAGTAGTTCTCATGGGCCCCAGAGAGGGTACAAGAGAGAAATAGAATAAAGTAGGCAGAGAATTTGAGGCCAGTAGGAAATGAATGGACCCCTGAGCTCCAGAAAGTGAACAAAACATTGCTCCCATAATGCCGGATGGGAGTATCCTAATGGGCGCTGGGTCACAGGACCCTATCAGACCATCTGTGGATACCCAGAGGACACAAAAGGGAATCTGAGGACCCTACACTGCTGCTAATATTATGTTATGCAGAACACACATTCACACACACACACACACACACACACACACACACACACAATCACCAAGACACTATCTTGGAAAGAACTAGGGACAGGCGATAAAGATGCTAAGAATCCAAGAGGCTGGGCATTTCACATAAACAGGATAATAAATTTCTGGAGCCAGCCAAGATGAAGTAAGCCCATAACAGCCTATCTCTCCAAGTGATTTCAGCTAACAACTGTGGACAGAATAAAAAAGCAACTACGCGAGTGCTCTCAAAACTAAACAATGGCAGACAGACCAGGAGGGAAGTCAAAACCTGAAGAATGACCAGAATGGCAATGAGTTTACTGGGCTTTGTTCTCTCCCTTGATATTTTGAGTTTGACCTGAGGGCAACTAATGTCCTGGAACTGAGTAGCTGGTGTAGACAGCAAAAGCTCTAAGAGAGAACTCCATGTTCCTGGCCAGAGGACAGTGAAATGGGGACCCAGTGAGATGGAGAGTGTTGGGGAGGGGTGTATATTTTCTCTTTCCTTTTCTGGTCCTTTCCTTGAAATTGCACTGACAGGTGATGTTGGTGGTAAAGGCACCTATAACGTCCAAAAGAAAACCCATCTCTCTGGCCAGAACAGGATAAGGGGAGCCCTGTAGTCTGAAGAGTGTAGGGGAATCTTTGTTATTTTTCTCTTTTCTATTTCACTGCTTAGCATGGAAGGTGATTCTACTGCTGGGAGCTAAATCTCTGACAGAAACCTCAGTTTTCTATGCAGAGAACTAGGAAATGGGACTCTTAAATGTTGAAGATTGGATGGAAAATTCCAGAGAGAAAAGAGCTGGAGAAAGCACCTCTCTATCTGCATATGAATCAGCCCAAGTCCCAGGCTCACTTCTGAGCTACACTGGCAAAGAAATACAGTAAAGCCTTTAAGGTCTGAACTATAATAAAAACCGCCACCCACGTCAGTCTAACCACTGAGTAACACATGTGGAGGGCAGATCCAAAAGGCATATTAAATGCTTGGAAAACTCAGCTGGAGCCACTGACCAAAGAAGGCAAGACAGAATATGTGGGCTAACATACCTGCATTGCAGGAGGTCAAGGTTGCAGTGAGCCTAGATCACCCCTACTACACTCCAGCCTGGGTGACAGAGAAAGACCTTCCCTCTCAAAAAGACAAGGAAAAAAAGAGCACATACCTGGGTTGGTTGGCTCCTAAGACAAATTAACATTCTCTAGAGGAATTTAAAATGTTCCAATGTCTCACACTATAGCACTATAATATCCAAACTGCCCAAGATACAATGAAAAATAACTTGAAAGAAAAAAAAGAGATAGAGACAGAAAGAAAAAAAAGAGAAAGAAATGAATTCTGAAGAGTAAAGATAATCAATAGTTGCTAATGCAAAGAGCTAGATATTAGAATTATCGAACAAAGACTTTGAAAGTGAGATAAAGGTAAACACAGTTAAAATGAGTAAAAAATGCAAATGTCATTTTTCACAGCATTAGAAAAACAACCCTAAAATTCATACAGAACCAAAAAAGAGCCCAAATAACCAACAAAATTCTAAGCAAAAAGAATAAAGCTGGAAACATCACATTACAAGACTTCAAATCGTACAAGGCTATAGTAACCAACACAGCATGGTACTGGTATAAAAATAGATTAATGGAAAAGAAGAATGAACCGCCTGAGGATGGTGGCTCATGCCTGTAATATCAGGACTTGGGGAGGTCTAGACAGGAAGATCACTTGAGCCCAGGAGTTCAAGACCAGCTTGGGCAACATAATGAGGCCCCATCACTACAAACAATTTAAAAAATTAGCTGGATGTAGTGGCACATGCCTGAGTGGTCCCAGCTACTTAGGATGCTGAGGTGCTCCCTCCAGGGATAGCATGAGCCCTGCAATGAGCTGTGATTGCGTCACTGCACTCCAGCACCTGTGCGACAGAACCAGACCCTGTCTCAAAAAAAGAAAAGAAAAGAAAAGAAAAGGACACCCTATTCAATAAATGGTGCTGGGAAAATGGGATTGTTGTATTTAGAAGAATAAAACTAGATCCCTATCTCTCAGCATATACAACTCAAGATGAATTAAAGACTTAAATGTAAGACCTCAAACTACTAAAATACTTAAAAAAAATAAACCTAGGAAAAACTCTTCTGGACATTGGTCTAGGCAAATAATTCATGACTAAGACCTCAAAACACAGTCACCAAAAACAAAAATAGACAAATGGGACTTAACCTAAAAAGCTTCTGCATAACAAAAGAAATAATCAACAGAGTGAATAGACAACCTGCAGAAAGACAGAAAATATCTGCAAATTATGCAGCCAATAGAGGACTAATATTCAGAATTTACAAGTTACTCAACAACAAAAAAATCAAACCCCATTAAAATGTAGGCAAAAATGCGGTGGCTCACACCTGTAATTCCAGCACTTTCGGAGGCCGAGGGGGGCAGATCACTTGAGGTCAGGAGTTCGAGAGCAGCCCGGTCAACATGGTGAAACCCCATCCCTACCAAAAAGTACAAAATTTAGTCAGGTGTGGTGGTGCATGCCTGTAGTCCCAGTTACTTGGGCAGCTGAAGCAGGAGAATCACTTGAAGCCAGCAGGCAGAAGTTGCAGTGAGCCGAGATCATACCACTTCACTCCAGCCTGGGCAACAGAGTGAGAGTCGGTTGGAAAAAAAAATTTTTTTAAAGTGGACAAAGAACAGGAACAGATATTTTTCAAAAGAAGACATGCAAATTGCCAATAGGTATATGAAAAAATCCCCAAGATCTCTAATTATTAGAGAAATGCAAATTAAAACCACATAGGATATCATTTTATACCAGCCAGAATGGCTACTATAAAAATGACAAAAAATAACAGATGTTGGCTAGAATGTAGAGAAAAGGGAACTCTTGTACACTGTTGGTAGGAACATAAATTAGCACAATCTCTATGGAAAACGGTATGGAGACATCTCAAATAACTAAAATATAGCTACCATTTAATCTAGCAATCCCACTACTGATTCTACCCAAAGGAAAATAAATCATTATATCAAAATTATTCCTGCACTTGTGTGTTTATCACAGCACTGTTCACAATAGCAAAGATATGGAATCAACCTAAGTGCCTGTCAACAGATGAATGGATATACAAAATGTGTTATATGTACACAATGGAATACCATTCAGTCATAAAGAGAATGAAATCATGTCTTTTGTAACAACATGGATGGAACTGCAGGCCATCATCTTAAATCAAACAACTCAGACGCAGAAAGACAAATACCACATGTTCTCACTTATAAGTGGGAGCTAAATAATGTTTACAGATGGAGATAGAGTGTGGAATTATAGGCATTGGAAACTTGAAAAGGTAGAGGGTAGGAAGAGAGTGGATGATGAGAAATTAATGGGTACGATGTATGTTATTTGGGTGATGGATACCCACCCTAAAAGCTCTGACTTCACCACAACACAATCTATGCATATAATAAATTTACACTTGTACCCCATCAATTGATACAAATGAAAAAAGTTTTCAACAAAGAAATAGAAAAATATGAAAAAAATGAAAATTTGAGAAATAAAAAATACAAAAGTTAAAATTAGAAAATTCACTGGGTGGATTCAATAACAGAATGGAGGTAACAGGAAATAGCAAACTTTAAGATAGGTCAGCAGAAATAATCTAATCCTAAAAAAAGAGGGAAATATATTTTTAAAAATGAACAGATCCTGAGGACCTGTGGGACGATAATAAAAAGTCTCATATTGGTGTCATTGGAGTCTCAGAAAGGAAAGAGAAAGAGGAGAGGGGCTGAAAAAATATGTGAACAAATATTGGCTGAAAAGTTCTCAAATTTTGTGATTTAGAGATTGAAGAAGCTCAGAAACACCCCATCTCCCCCCAACACACACACACACACACACACACACACACACACACACACACAAATCCTATTAACTCAAAGAAAACTATGCCCAATCATATCATAATCAAACTACTTACTGAAAACCAATAATAAAGACAAATCTTGAAGCAGCTGGAGAATCACAACATTTTACATATAATGAGACTATTTTCTAGTGACTTTGGGTTTCTCATCTGAGGTTATGGAAGCCAGAAGACAGTGGAATAATATCTTTAAAGTCCTAAAGGAAAATGAAGTCAACCCAGAATTCTATATTCAGCAAAAAATATCCTTCAGGAACGAAGGCGAGATAAAGCCATTCTCAGATGAGTGAAAACTAAGAATTCATCACAGCAGATCTAGTCTGAAATAAATGCTAAAGGAAATTCTTTAGGCTGAAGAGAAAAATATGGAGCATCAGGCATGAAGAAAAAGCAACAGAATATAAACAGATATTTGGGTAAATACAACAGAATATTTTCTCCCTTTAAGGTCTTTCAAATATGTATGATTGGTGAAAGCCAAAATTGTAGCACTGTCTGTTGGAGTTCTCACTGATGCAAATATAATACACGTGGCAACTACAGCATTAAAAGGCTGGATATTTACTTAGGGATCTACTTTAATTATTGTGTCAGGACAGCTTTACTGACTTTTCCTCTGCTACCCATAAGAGTTGGGTGCTTTGGAAGAAGATCAAAGCAGTTATAGAGCAAATAAATAAACTTTCCGTGCACAAGTCAGTTGTAACATAAAGTTAATAAGAGACCTTGTGACACATATATTTCCCTTCTTTATTTGAAGAGGGTATGAGGTAAGATAGTTGTGTGATTACAGTGTTGTTTCTTTTTATTTTCATATATCTAGTGGACACCTCAATTCAGGGCTTCTAAAATGTTTGATGCTGGTGGTAAATTCTTCTTGGCATACTTCTCCTTTGTACTTGTTTATCTCTCATGTCAACAATTTGTGAACTAGGAAATTATGATACTGCCTATTATTTTTTAACTTGAGCAATCTTTGTTGAACAACCCAAGCTCTGCTCTCTTCTCTCATTTTGTTAAATGTGCTATGCCATATTCAGTGCCACCTGGACCCCTAATCCAAGTTAAGAGTGTATCTTACCCTCTGGATAGGACAACCTTGCTTTGGATCTAAGTTTAGAGAATGGGCTCCTAAATATTAGTGAACATAGAATGGTAATAACTAGGGGCTGCTACTCAAAAGAAGTTTTCCTCTAGTTTCAAAAATATTATAAGCTTATCTTTTTAATAGACTTCCTTTTACACAGGGATATATATATAAGGGCAAACACTTTGGATTTTCTTGACTTACCTTCTTTCTCTGATACAGTCTTTTGGGGGGCAAAAGAGTGAGATTAGAAACTATACTAAAATATTCTGTTCCTTTCTAGATCTTACATCATTGAGTTTTATCCATTTCCTTATCATTTTGTTGTTGGTAAATTTTTTGCTGGGTTTTTCTCCTTTGGTTTGAGGGGTGGAGATTATAATTTTGTGAGTTACCAGGACAGGAATTATAATGATCTGGTTTTATTCTGCTCTCTTTACTCAGAAGCCTGAGCATGAGATAAAGGTTTTAGCTACAACACAATATATGCATTTCTGAATAATTCCACATCCTGCAGAATTGTACTGAGAATAACAGCTAAATAGAATGGATATAGATCACTCAAAAGAGCATCAACAAAGAAATAACAATTGAATAAAAACACTAGCACAGTTAAAAGACATGTTGAATTTTTTTAAGGAAGTGAATGTAGCTCGATGGAAGGAGAAATAAGGAAAGGTTGAGGTAGTTGAGTTGTGGAGGCCAGAACCAAATCCCTGTGGGGTGGACATCACAAGGAAGTCTAAGACATAGTAGCATGTGGCCAACACTGAGCAAATGGGGAGGCTGGGGGGTGCAAGGGCATCCACACAGTACTGAACTCCTCTGCAGCTTGCATTTAGACGGGCTCGTGTAGTTTGTATTAGTTGCTATTACTTCATGATGTAAAACATTATCATGCTGGAGAAAATTTTGTATAAGAAATGCGTCTGAAAATTCTCAGCATATCCTCAGTGTTTCCTTATTCATTAGTTGGTATGAGCTAGCTTGGATTATTCAAAGACACAATAGACTGAACAGGCTGTCTCTATTCATATGTGGTGATATTTCCTTAGATGATAATTTCAACACAGTCTCTACATACTCATAAATACGTTGCTATATCACATATTTTTTAAAAATCTGTGTTTTAAAATACTAAAACAATTAAAAGCAAGAACAGAAAAAGAATACAATACTGAACAAGTTTACATTATTATTAAATATGGAAAAAATTAGAAATAATCTATACATGCAACAGGAAAGAATTTTATAAACTATGGTACATTAGTTCATTGGAATGTAATGTGGACATTAACAAAGATTTAGAATTACATATATTATCATAGAAATATACTTAAGTAATGTCATTTAATATATATAACTGTGTGTACACATATACATCAAAATATGAGCTACGGTTATCTCAGTGTGATGGGATTCCAGTTGATTTTTATTTTTCCTTTACTCCCTTATCTGTATTTTTTTCTACAGTAAGCTTACATTACACTTGCCATAAGATGAGGGGAAGTGAGTATGAAAACCCACATCTGAAAATATTTTAGCTTTCACCGTATTTTATAGCAGGGAACGGCAAGCAATATAATTTCAAAACCATAGGGAGCTAGTTTTAAAGAGTTTCTTCCGCCCCAGCATACTAAGCTAGTGGAGCCTGTGATGTGTGGATATGGTATGAAACGTAGTGCTGAGGTCTGCAGAGGTTATACCAACATCCACTTCAAGGGCTGTTGGGTTTCATCTTTTGCAACATCCTATGCTTATCAATAAACTTCATTTTCAGAGACCATCTTTCTCTTACGGAAATATCATTTCCTTGGAGAAAGATGCAACACAATCCAGAGTCTTTATTGGGGAAAGGAAAGAGTGACTACAACAACAGGAAGGCAGGTTAATACTACATCATGAATCAAGCCAATAATAAAAGTGCTTTCTTGCACATGCAAATGTGGCCACATTCTGGTTTAGACCGTCAAGAAACAGGGAAGATTCTCTTGGATCTCCCTTATTTCTGAGACCCAGAACATAGGGCTGGGTCCCTATGGCTTTGATATAGTTATGGGTCTTCATGTCAATAACATCTGCATAACCTTAAGCCGACACCTTGACTTCTCTGGTCCTCAGATTTCCTAGTTGTAGAATATTTGTGATGATCTCAGAGACTCTCCTCTGGCTCTGAAATTCTATAGCGTTATAACTTAAGGGAATTCAACTAATATTAAAGCACCTACTATATTCAAGGAATTATGTTAGATGCTTCAGAGGGTACAAAGTTGAATAATATTCATCTCTCTGCTCAGGAAGTTTACAGTCTGATAGGAGATACAGATATACAGATAATATATGGATAATTAGGGCAAAATTAAAGTGCCACTAGAATAGAATATATTCAGTGCCCTGAGAGTTGAGACAGTAACCCTAGGTGGGAGAGTTAGAAAACTGTTTTACACTGTCTTCTTTAGCCATTTTCAATTGTCTGGCCACCTAGCTCTAAAATATGAACAGTTTCTTTTCAAAAACTCCAAACTAAAACTATAACAAGCCATTAAAAATAGGGATCTGGTTTGTTATAAACACCAATGAAATTGATTCTGATAAAATAGAATAAAACATCACTAATTCACACAAAGGAAGATAAGAATATTAAGAATTAATGCAAAATTAATTATAGGATTTGGGCATCACATGATTTTAATGAACTTTTACTTTTACCTTCAAGTGTTTACAGAAACATTGCCTTGAAATCTTTACAAATGGCTTTTATTATATAAAATATAATATTTGAAAGGCCCAACATATCTAACCTAACCTTCTCAGTGTACAGATTGGAAAACTCATGCAAATTGGTTACTCAGGGCCCCAAAGAAAGGAGTCATTTTAAATAACACAGCAAATATTCTCATTTTTTTTATTAAATTGAAATGTCTTAAAAGTGCCTTATCTCCCAATCTTCTCATTTCCTCTAACCTTGTTCAGACTATTAACTTGAACTTTATGTATATGAGAGAAATTTGGTAGCAAAAGTAAGCTTACCTCTATTCATGGCCCTTTCCATTTACCTTAGCTTCAACTAGGCAATTTCTAGCCTTTGATATTAATATTATGTGCATTTAAAGAAGAAGAACGTCAACAAATATTAACCATGTAGTATGTTTCCAGGACAGGGGCCTGACCTTCTGCATTAACAGGTTAGGTAACTATCCATTCTTGGATATTATTTGAGTAGTGTGGTTAAGGTATCTTAACACCCAAAATGTCTCCCCTGCTGAACTACTAAGGCTAAATGACATCATTATGGATTTATTCTTCTGCAATATAGTTTTTGTCACCAGATGTCAGGTGTGAGAGGTAATGCTCTAAGACTTTATCCATAAGATCAAACCCTATGAAATTGCTGCTTTTGTAGATTAAAAAAATTAGCAATTGTATATTGTTGAACCTATGATTTTCAGGATTAACTTATTACATATTAACAATAATCTTAGAAGATAATAGGACTATCAAGAAGAAACACACAGAGAAGTTATATATCGACAGAAAAAAAAGAGTTAGAAACAAAGAACAGGGAATGTTACCAGAAAAGCATATGTGGGTACATCAAAAAGGAAAAAGGATGAAACAGACAAACTTAGTCTACTCTACACTTTCTTCAATGCCATCAGAGATGCAAAACAAGGAGACATGACCCTACTCGAGTTAGCAAAAAAAGAGCATACAAAATAGCTAGAAAGCCCTAGAAAGCCATACAAGCTTATATAAAATTTACAGCTTGGTTGTTTCAGATCACACACTTAAAATAAAATAACTTTTAAGTTCAGGGGTACATTGCAGGATGTGCAGGTTTGTTAAATAGGTAAACTTGTGTTATGGGGGTTTGTTGTACAGATAATGTCATCACCTAGGTACTAAGCCTAGTACCCATTGGTTATTTTTCCTGATCCTCTCCCTCCTCCCACCCTCCACACTCTGACAGAACCCAGGGTGCATTGTTCCCCTCTATGTGTCCATGTGTTCTCATCATTTAGCTCCTGCTTATAAGTGAGAACATGAGGTATTTGGTTTTCTGTTCCTGCATTAGTTTGCTAAGGATAATGTTCTCCAGCTCCATCCATGACCCAGCAAAGGCCATGATCTCATTCTTTTTTTGTATAGCAGCATAGTATTCCGTGGTATATATGTACCACATTTTCTTTATCCAGTCTATCATTGATGGGCATTTAGGTTGATTCCATATTTTTGCTACTGTGAAAAGACACTTTTTATAATAATTCAAAAAGAGGAAGATCACTCTGAGAGGTCAGGCAAGGGTCTGCAGAGTCCATGTCTTCATCTGAGCTTTGAAGAATCTGAGTAAGTAGAGGGAAGTATAACGGACTCTGGCAGATTTGATCTGAAAAGAAAGTCAGCAGCTTCCAATGTGGATACAAAAAGGGGCCTCTGTCCTCAAAACACCTCTACTTTTCTATTTTCCCACCCCTTGTTTGGTGGAGCCTAACGTTTCATTCCATGTGATTAAATTCCATGTGAATTGATTTATTAAGTCTTCACCTTTGGAGTAAGAATGCAGAGTAGAAAAAGAGATGACTAGAGAGCGGGAAACATCTCCGTAAGACGTTACTATGGAATTTCTGCCTCAAGTCACCTATCATAGAGCAAGACAAGTCATGGGAATGAGAAGGTGGCAGAAATCCCATCTCATTAGGCCTGTGAATTCAATTTCAGTTTGGACTGATTGCTAGAAAATACATAAATAGAATGGAAGTGGGACTAAGTCCTCAGCATCAGCATGTTGAGGTTAAAGATGCTAATATTTTTAAGCATTAACAGAATATCCAAAGAACTCACTGGGGGAAGAAAGCAAAAATGCCATGGTTCGCGGTGCATTGGGCTTCCCTATAGGCCATGCGGCAGGGCATCCAGGCAAAGGCAAAGGTGTCCTGAGCAGAGCTCACAGGTGCTTTTACAGGTCTACCTATATTTCTCAGAATATATCAGAGTATTTCTTTAGAACATGTACTTCTAAAGCTAATAGCCCCAGTTTTTAGTATTTGTGACCTTTGGATATAATTTTTAAATTTATACAAACTGAATTGTCTTTGGGATATGCTTTTATGAAGAACTGGATGTGGAAATTGTTAGAGGATATTATGGCAATAAAAATTTATTTTAAAAATAACATCAGAACAGAAGTCCAATAAGCCACATGAACATGGTCTATTACACTGGTTTCTGAATTTTTCACCATACAGCAAAACTTTTATTATTCCTGCTCCCCACTCCAGTATTTCATGTTTTATAAGATAGTTATTATTATCTCATACAAGGCAAACTGAGCAGTATGTACAGTTGTTCTGCAAACTAAAAACTGAATCTTAAAAGGATTTATGGTTGTGTGTTTGAAAAAAACATGTAAAAATACTGGTGGAAAAATTCAGAAGAAAAACTTTAGATCTAATTATCTTCCATCATGAACTGGAATGTGTCTCCCAAAAGTTTTATGTTGAAACCTTAACCCCCAATACCATACACGGGTATACCCATCACCCAGCTTCAACACTTATTAAGATCTGCCATTCTTGTATCAACTCTATCTTTACCCATTTCTTACATTCTTTCATTTGATTATTTTTATATTACTTTAAAATTTCAACATTTATAACATTTACTTTATCCCACCAGTATTTTTTTTTCCTGATAGGTAATATAAATATAGCAAAAAGTAAATATATTTAGTATTTTTTATCCTGGACAGATTGTTTAGAAATGAACATACAATTTCTGTTAGATTCTCTGAAATTTTGGAATAGTTTAACAACTCCCCCATAGCTATCATCCTCATCTCCAACCTCCGTAATTCCAAGTCCATAACTCCTCAGAGAAGCTCCTTACCCAAAAGTGGATACCAGAGTCTTACATCTCAAAATTAATATCCTATATTCAAATTTCCAAATATTCCTTGGACATTTGTCTGTTACACACAGAAAAATGTCCCAGGAAGATGAGACAAGAGAGAAACAGTAATGTGAACTCATAGAAAATCCTCAAGCTGAGGATTTTGAAAGGCAATAAAAAAGATGCTTGAGGAAAAGTAAATATTTTAGGGGTATATTAGTCAACTTGGGCCACCGTAACAAAAAAAAAAAACATAGACTGGGTGGCTTAAACAACATAAATTTATTTTCTCACAGTTCTGGAGGCTAGAAAGTCCAAGATCAAGCTCAGATAGGGTTTGGTTTCTGGCAAGGGTTCTCTTCCTGGCTTGTAGACAGCTACCTTCTCACTGTATTCTCATATAGTGGAGAGAGAGGGCGTGAGCTCGCTGGTGTGTCTTCTTGTAAGGACACTAATTCCATTGAAGCCGGACCCCACCTTCACGTCCTCATCTAACCCTAATTGTCTCCCTAAAGACCCACCACCAAAAACAGTCACACTGGGGGTTAAGGCTTCAACATATAATTTTTGGGCGGTCCAAACATTAGGTCCATGACAGGGGACAATTAGATATAGTATTTTTCTTTTCTTTTTTTCTTTTTCTTTCTTTTTTTTTGAGATGGAGTCTCGCTCTGTCATCCAGGCTGGAGTGCAGTGGCATGATCTTGGCTCACTGCAACCTCTGCCTCCCGGGTTTAAGCAATTCTCCTGCCTCAGCCTCTTGAGTAGCTGGGATTACAGGCATGCACCAGCATACCCAGCTAATTTTTTGTATTTTTAGCAGAGATGGGGTTTCACCATGCTGGCCAGGCTGATCTCAAACTCCTGACCTCGTGATCCATCCGCCTCGGCCTCCCAAAGTGCTGGGATTACAGGCATGAGCCACCGCGCCCGGCCTGATCTAGTATTTTTCTTCTGGATCTCTCCACCAGTATTTTTGTATATTTGTGGTTTTTTAATGCACAATCAAATCCTTTTCAGATTCAGTGTTTACTTTGCTGTACGTACTGCTCCATTTGCCTCATGTCTAACTTAAGCAGTCCTTCCTTGTTTCCCTCATGTCTAACTTAAGCAGTCCCTCCTCATTTCCCTTTGTGTCACCACAAAGCCAGAGTTACTTTATAAATCTCCTTGCAAATGTCAAATGTCACTGTGAATACTTAAATGTGGTATGGGAGGCAGAGATTTGTTGGGAGTTAGGTTATTGATAAAGGGACTCTACCCACCTGGCTACAGGAGGAGCTGGGGGCGGGCACGGGCCTCCTGTGGACAGTTCTCCTTGCAATGTTCTCACTCCCAGGCCTAGGACTCTCATGTTAACTTTTTGCTTTTGACAACTTCATGCAGCCAGTTATTCCATGTTTGCAATGGGCTTTTGATGTGTCAACTTGGTGAGGCTACCGTCAGCTATTCAATCAAACACCAATATAGGTGTTGCTGTGAAGGTATTTTGTAGATGTAATTAAAGCCCATAATCAGTTGGTTTTCAGTAAGGGAGATTATAGATGATCTAGGTGGGCCTGATTCAGCAGCTGAATGATGTGAAGAGCACAGCTTAAGAGGACATTCCACCCGTGGACGGTAGATTCAGCCGATCCTTCCTGCCAGCCTGCCGTACAGATTACAGACTTACGGAGCCTGCTCCCACAATCGTGTAAAGCAATTTCTTACAAAAAAATATCTTGTACATTTTCTCCTACTGGTTCTGCTTTTCTGGTTGAATGCTGACTGATGCAGTCATCCAAACTTTCCCCAAGGTGTATTTGTTAGTGGAGCAGAGCTAGGAATTGTGTGCAAAAGTTACAGGGCAGTGTCATCATCAAGAGGCAGAATGGCAATCCGTCAGAGAAGCTGTAGGAGGAAGGTCTGCTCCAAGCAAAGGATTCTATAATGCTTTGATAGAGTTCTGCTGATGCCAAGTGGAATTTTGCCATAGTTGATAGTAAACACTGCTACCAACTACATAGGAAGAAGGAGCAAAGACAGAAGAGGGAAGACTTCCATCCAAAGACCATGAGCTTGAGAGAAGCATCCTTCTTGCAGAGACAATTGGAAGAATGAGTAAGCACAGGCCTCTTGAGCTGTGCAGAGCCTGAAATTGCCTCTGCTAATGAAAGTAGAACCCCTTTTCCTTAGGAAGCTGTTCATATTAACTAGAATTCCTACATATATAAGCAGTGTACACTAGACTCAGGGAGTTCTGGGGATCCCTGTAGCTCCAGATCTAACCCTGGAATTTAAGAATGCAACAGATAATGTAGAATTAAGGAGAAGAGAATAGGAAAGCAATGTTAACAAGTCAGAAGTGATACTCACCGGTGGGGAATACTTTTAGGTGCATGAAGTACAAAGCTTGAGGTACAGGCTTTAGAGCCACCAAGACCAGGAGCTTTAGCAACATTTCTAAGCTGTTCTGTGCTCAGCTTTCCCATTTGCAAAATGGAGATACTGCCTACCTTGGGCTTTAGAGCAAATTGCATCATGTTCTGGGCACATGGAAATGGTGCTCCACAAACACTAGGCCCTGTCTGTATGCAAAAACTCACAGGGAAAACAAAACCCTTGCAGGGGCCCTAAAACAAACATTTATAACATTAGATCTTATTCCGTCACTCCTGTAGATGTCTTTGCTCACCATTTGAATTCATATGATATTCTTCCCCTTTTTTAAAGTTGAAAATCATACTGCTTTTTATTCTAGTGAAAAGTCCCTAAATTCTGGGTGCTCAGCAAGCATCATTTATACAAAAAAAAAAAAAAGATGATTGCCATGATGGTGTAATAAATTTTTGAAAAACAGAAACATAGGACTTTCCCAGTATCCTGAGTCAATGACAGAGTCAGAAATAGATTCTAAAATTGCTGATCCATTGTCCTATGGTCTGCTAGCTCAAGGGTTGTTTATTTTAATATCTCTGTATGTTGTTAAGTTATTCAGTTCTGCAATCATGTATTTTCTCCCTGCTTGTAGCTTTTTTGCTGATGGCCAAGGGCATTAACTCCTTTCTGCTAGACAGTGGAGCCTTGGGAAAAAAACTCAAAGAGGAGAAACTCTATAACCCTGAGAATATACCACAAAAATGTAACATAGCAGACATTTGTTGGCTAATGATAGAAAGAGTCACCCAGCAGGTTTGAAACAGAAGATGGACCTGTAATCTCAGTGATACATCAAATACAAAAGTTACATTTCGTAATTCCTGGAAATACCACATTTCCCCATGGTCATCTGCCTCTTTCTCTTCTCTGGAGATTGTTATTTCCTATGCTTTAAAATGAGTTTGCTTTTCTCCCAAGGACCTTCATAAAATTATGGTATTGTTTCACAATAGCAAAAAGGTTTTCAGAGCAGAAGGATAAAAAGATAAAGTATTATATCCCTACTCGAGTCACATGGAATCCTTCAGTATGTGATATGAACTTCAAAAGATCATTGTATACAATAGATTCTTATTTTCCACATTCTCCTCAAGTGGGGAGCAGCTTAATCTCCAACTCAGAGCTCTTTCGAATGTGTATTGTGATCATGCCAGAGAAGAGCCTGCAAATTCAGCCAAAGCAAATTAATCTATTGTTGACAGGTAGCGGCACCAGGGGCTGAGTCAGCAGATGAACGGTTTTGAGAAATTGCTGATTCTTGTGGTCTCAATGTTGGCTATTTTGTTCAAAACAGAATGAAAAAACGGACGATTAGTTCAAAGTAGATTGCTATATAGATTGGACATTACTCTCACCTAAATGTGAGATTGGCTGTCCGAGCATACAATAAAAAATTTTAACATTAAAAAAAGTGGATTGCTATAGGAAAGCTATTCTTGATTTGTTGCTGCTTCTGGCATTAAAAAGTCTTCGCTTCTCTGTTAAGCAGTGTGGCCTTGTTGAAATTGGGAGCAGCACAAACCCGCCTCTCCCTAGTGAAACCAAAATACCCCTGCCTTGAAGTGATTGTTGTCCTAGTTGCTAAGACTCCCTCTGACCAACCAGAAGAGAACTTCTGTTCCCTGCTGGACCTCAGTGACTTTTTCTTACCTTCTTTTTCTTCTCTACCTCCTTGGAAAATAAACCAGTGATTAAATCTTTTAAATTCTATTACCGCTGTCCTGGCAGAGATCTGCCACATGAAGAGAATTGATGCCACCAAACTATGGAAACCAAGTGGGGATTTCCTCTTTCCTGCTCTCACTTGTGCTTATACCAAGAGTCTTCAAAAGAGTTCTAGCTGGGAAACAGGCAGTTAAGAAGACCTCCGGAAATGGGTGGTTAGCTTAAAGTTGCCACTAGTACCAAACCATCTGCCTTTAGCAGGCATGCGTTGCATTGAATGCAATCCTGTAGATATTCCCAGACCTGCCCAATAATAAACGTCCCAAGTCCTCCATGGCCCTGAGCTTCCTACCAGTGGGCTTATTCCTGTGGCTTTACAGGCATTGTGTTCATAGAGCCATATAAAGTGTTAAAATATATATACATACTATAGATAATTGGAGTTTTCATCATTGTACATTTCTATATTTACCAATTTTTCCATAATGTGTCTCCTCCTATAATCAGAAAAGAGAAACCCACAGTTAATATTACAAAGCATACTCACACCTTAACTTTAGGTGTGAATTCATAAACACAACTCATTCATTTGCTTATTGGCTGCCTACTGTGTACTAGGCACCAAACACCTCCCTAGAGGGTTTGTTTTGTTTTATTTTGTGTTAAGAGCTCAAAGCCTTAAGTAAAATGAATACTGGTTAGAAACATATTAACGGTGTGAGGAAGAGCAAAAGTAGATCCAGAAACAACTCAGAATGCTCTTATGTTAGAAAATGGACTGGTAACCAAAGGTAAATGGAATATTATAAAGGAAAATTGAATGGTATTAAGGCATTAGAATAACCAACTTGAAAGATGATTATAAATGAAGTGGAAAATTTCAAAAATAAAAGAGTAGGCATAAACTTACTTAAACATAAAAATGTACTTCTGCATATTAAACAAGAAGGAAAGTATGTGTGAAAGGAAGAAAATGGTGTTTATTGCTCATTGAATGTTTATCTGTAAATTAGATTGCCTTAATCACTTTTTAGAAAAAAAATAAGAGACATCGTCCAGGTTATGGGGTTTTGTTTAGAGTGTGCAGCCTACATGGGGGCCCTAAAAATATGGTAGTGCAGAGGCTTACCTAGGAGAGCCATAAGAAGGGAGGGCACTCAGTCACTTAAGCAATAAAGACATTGCATTAGCTCACAGGAAATGTCTGGAGGGGGTGGGTGGTTCCAGGTTTGGTGCAGCAACTCAGTAATATCCTCAGGGTACTAGCCTCTCTCTGTCCTTTCTGTCTGTCGACCTCAGCATGTTGGCTTTGTGCTCTGTGATCATAAAATGGCTGCTGCTTCTCCAGTCGTCATGATCCGTCCCAGATCTTTTTAGTCCCAGCAGAATCTCCATTGCATCTCATTGCTGAATCTGAGAGTCATGACCACACCTGGACTGGCTAAGGGACATAGATAACCACACCTCATTTATACCAGTCTTGATTAACCAGTCTTGATTTTTATTTCCTATGACTTAGCAGAGATCTACTCTCACTGACATCAGGATGCTCCACCTGTTACCTGAATACAATCTCAAGTTCTTTTAGCTAGTAAGAATGATTGTGAGGTGGGCAAAAACCAATGTCTGCCATAATACTTCCTCTCCTTTCAGACAGAAAAGAAGGGCATAGTATTATATATATAGCTGATGTAATTAAAGTTATTGAATTGCTATATCTAAACTCAAGAAGAATACTGGATTCACTTCTTTGTTTCAAAGAATTCCTGAAACAGAGACTATCCAATTCCTTTCAAGAACATACTGGGTCTAACAAATCTGGTTTATTGAGATATTTATTCTCCCTTTGGTTTCTCAAAATTCATTTAAAAATGTGAATTGACACGTGGTTGGGTTTGTTTAGCAAAGTTTGAAATTTTTTGAGACATATAATTGTGACTGTTTTTAAGAAAAAGTGATCTACTTGAAATGTAGTTAAATAAACATGACATTTATTGCACTGTGAAATGCTGACAAACAGCATCGCTGAAATATCACTCTGTTTTCCTCAAATAAGTATTTGTTCTATGTCTGAGCATTGGTAATATTTTGTTTTTTAGAAATAATCACTCAAAAATAAGTTTGAGGTGATGCTCTTAACCAAACTATCTTCAAAAGACCATTTTAAGTAACCTAATAAACCCCTTTTTTCTCCTTCCTCTCCACATAGGGTATTTAATTATGTGGAGTGTTTAATTATGTGGTATAAAAGCTGGAGACATTTTTTTCCTAGTTGTGACTCATAGTTTTTTCCATAAAGTATAGTGTAAAAATGTACTTTGAAAAATTGCCCTAGTATATATCCAGAAATGCCATGAGGATTTTTTCTCAGACAACCATTTAACGTGGGCATGGGACAGGAGTGGCTACCTATAAAATTATAGGTATGACAGTGAGTTCTACAGCTTTTTGCTTTAAAACTACAATGTGAAGGACTTAACTTTTCTCTCAACAAAGGCACAAAGCTGGGGTTGTTATACATTTTAAAGAAAAACAATTATAGGACAGTTCTGGAATTTTTAGAATGCTTGCCTGTGGACCTATAATATATTTTTCAGATTTCTTTATGTTTAATCTTGAAGTAGTATAGAATTTAAGAACTTGGGCTTAAGGTCAAATATATAGGCTCAAATGTTGCTTCTATCTATTACTTTTCTAAACCTGGGCAATTTGATAGATTTCTTTGAACCTTAATTCTCTCACCATTTAAGTAGGGATAAAAAATTGTTAAAGAATAATTAGTATAAAAGGTAAAATCATGATTCTCATACAAATATAAAATGAATATATGTCAAAAATTCTACTTAACCCATTAATGAATGAGGAAAACAGCTGTTATAACTGGCACAAAAAAAGAGAATTCAAAAGCATGCATACATATGTGCCATCACAAATGCTAAAAGGAATTTGCTAATAGATGCAAAACTAGTCAATGGACATCGCCACCAGAAAAAATGTATTTGCATTTTTATTAACAGGAATCATTTGCATTGCATCTGTTTTCTAAAGCTCACAGGGTTGTGAAATAATTCAGATAACGAAAGACACAGATAACCCAGACCACATGCTAGACAGGGTGTGCTAGAATTCTGCAGTTCTCTGCTTATGAGATCCTCACTTCAGGAGAGAATGGATGCAATAAAAAATGTGAAGGCAATTTTATGCAATCATCAAGTGTGTGAGCATAGACCAAATATCTTTCTATTTGCAAGAGATTGGTTCTTGAGAGTGAAAGGTTTTCCTGAGTCTTAAACACTTCCTTTAAGTATCAAGAAAGAGTCTTTATCTCAAACCAGAAAGCAGAGCACACTCTTCTCACTCCTTCCCAGTGTCATGGGGAGGCTGAAGAGAAAGAGGAGGGAAACCCAGATTGTGACTGAATGTGTTCCTGGGTGCCTCTCTCTAAGTTTTTAACTTAGCAAAGGCAAGGGAATCCCCACGATGGAGTTCCAGATCAGGATTTCAAGAACAGAAGAGACTTGGGCCTGCTTCCCACCTGGAATTCTGGGAAGAGGTAGTGTCACAGCATTTCCTATTCCTGTATGTAGTGCTTGTAATAAAGAAAACATGAGGCCGGGCATGGTGGCTCACGCCTATAGTCCCCAGCACTTTGGGAGGCCGAGGCGGGTGATCACTTGAGGTCAAGAGTTCAAGACCAGCTGGGCCAACATGGTCTCTACTAAAAATACCCAAAAAAATTAGCCAGACATCGAAAATAAAAAATAAAAATTAGCCACGCATCATGGTACATACCTGTAATCCCAGCTACACTGGAGACTGAGACAGGAGAATCGCTTGACTCCAGGAAGCAGAGGCTGCTGTGAGCTGAGATCGTGCCACTGCTCTCCAGTCTGAGCGACAAAGTGAGAATCCATCTTGAAAAAAAAAAAAAAAAGAAAAAAGAAAACATAGTGGCATGGAATATTTAGGGCGTGAGAAAGCTCAATAGAACAGTTTCTATCTCCTTGTGCTGGAGCGGGCCTGGAGGAGATCCCGTGTGTGTGTCCCCATGCATGCAGTTTTTGTGTGCAGCAGTGCTGGGTGAGAAGAGCAGAGTGCTGGCGGCTCAACTTGTAGACCTCAACTGCAGGTGCTGCTAGCACTGCCTGGGGGCAGGGGAGGCCAGGACAGCAGCTGCAGACCCTGCAGGACGGAGGCCAGCACCATAGACCACCAGGGATGAGACATCTTAACAGAGACCAGAGAGGAACAGAGGCAACATCCACCCAACTTCCCCACACTGGATAACTTCCTGAAGTTGGCAAGGGATAAAACTTTGAGAAAGGAGAAAGCTCAATGTCAAGTTTGACCTTTCCAGTGATTAAGTCTGAACTCTGAATTATTTACCCTATAGCATTTATACTCCAAACCACCACAACTGAGTTGCCATGTATGGGACAGAATCAGTTATTTTTACTACAGCATTGTGCATTATACATGATGGTGACACAAGCGAGAAGATTTAATGCTGATGTTTTACAAAAATCCTCTAGAATAAACCCATCCTCTACAATACTCTTATTAGCGTTTGCAAGCACCTCTACTGAAAGCACTCTCACCTTCTTTCATATATTATAATTAGTTATTTATACAAGTATTTCTCCCTTACTAGGTTCAGATGAGGCCCATGGGGCAAGGTCTATGTTTTCTGCATTTTTTATAGCACCTACTCTTGTACATAGTAGATGTTCAATAAGTACTTACAGAAGTGTGTTGTTTCTTTCTATATTAATGCTATAGTATTTCTTTTTTAAAGGTAAATATATTCCCCCCTCTGCAACAATTTCAGAGCTAAAAGGGTATTATTGATCTTTAATGTTGTTTCTATCATGTGCTTTCTGATGGCAAAATCATTAAAGCGTGTGTGTATATACGTAGGCACCAACATATATGGTGACAATATAACACGCCTTGGTAGTTTCTATGTGGACCAGTATGCCTTCAGCATACATGCAGTGGTCTTGTATACTGATGGGGTATTTGGGCAGTAGGGACCTATTTGTGAGGCCTCTATGCCCCTCCTGAAGTAAATATCTGCCTGGCTCTCTTTCCATGCAGCTGACCATGTTGAAGTTGCTGTCAGCCACTGCATACTAAACTTCCATTGAGCTGTCAAAGTGTTTTTTATCATGCAGGGCTAGGTCATTTTTTCCCTGACTTGTTAAAAAATTAACTGGGAATCCATCATTGCATAAAGTCGCTGAATTATTCTTTCTAATAGACATTACCTTTTACTGAATAGTCTTGTTTTTAACCTGCCTGAAAGATGCAGTGTCTGGCACAGAGAGGTGCAAGCTGCATGAATGCAGGACTACACAATGCACAAATCTCAGCATTGCAGTGTGGCTGCTTGGCCCATGCTCTCCTCTCACCTAAAGGACAATGCACTGGCCAAGCCCACCAAGGAGACTGAGGTGGGCTGGGAGGTGGCGGCTTGATGTTGCAGTGAACTTGAGAGAATGGCCAGTGCCACCCACCCCTCTCGACTCTGATGCCTTCCCATTCTTGGTGACTTTTGCCTCACTGCTGATTCTGCATGCTGATTCAGCACCCCTTGTTCCATTTGCTGACACTGGCCGTTCCTCTTTTAACCTGTTCTCCATGATACTTGACTGCATTCCGGTAAGCACTATCCCACTCCATACACCTTTTCTCCTGCTTGCTGATGGTGGCCTCCTGCTACAGAGGTGAGTATTATTCTGACGTTCCTTTAACTCTCTTACTGGACACTAACGAGTTATCTAAAAATGCTCACTCTGTTATCTTAGCTTGCTGGTTATTTGCTTCAAAACACAAGCCAAGAGAAGATTTTATGTATTACTGTGTCACCTCTGCCCCACAAATCAATTCTAATGGCACCTTTAAGCATTCATTCAAGAATGTGCACACTTGTGCCTTACCAAATAGCCTGAGATGTGCCAAGTTCTGGTGGACTGTTCTCAACCCCTGTTAATGGAGTTTTTACTCTGCATGGCTAAATTAAGAAGTTCTATGACTACTGAAGAATGTGGAGGCTTTGTAATCCAAAATATGAGATCTTCATAAAATCTTTCTGCCTGTTAAATGACAACAACTTGGGTTTGAAATGCACAATAGAAATAATGTTCAACAGCATTCAAAAGCAACTTAGTAAAGTTTAGGACCACATTACACAACTTTGCACAATATACTCTTATTTCAGCTTTATTACAAAAGATGACTACCACACATGGGGAGGCCAGTGCCCCTCTTGGCTCACAGAACTTAAGTCCAGGCCAGCTGTGAGAAGAAAATTCACTGCTTACAACCGGGAAAATGCAGATGGTTTATATCATACCTATAAATCTAAATTATTAAAGTTAAAATGTTTAAAATGGCACATGGACTTTATAAAGACTCTGTGCCATAGATGGATTTCAAATTGTTTAGCAACACAATCATAATGGCTTATGTCATTTTCTTAAAAAAAAAAATTCTTTTGAGACTAAATTACTGTTTGATACTGCCCAAAGTTGATTTGTGGGTAGAGGTCTAGTCTGAGAAAAATCTGCTTTTATTTTTGAGTGATAGCAACATGAAAGAAACATATTTTTACTTCTTTTTGACTTGTCTTTTTTTCCCCTTTCAAATTACTGAACTTCATCTAAACCTTAGAACCTCAGACTGTCCTTGTAGTTATGGCTCAAGGCTCAATTAGAAAAGCAACTTGGAAAAAGTTATTCAAAATTTAGTGAAATGGCTTGAAAATACCAGACTACTTACATAAAATAGAAAAGTGTGTCAGCTAAAACAATAAAGATATTGGCCCAGTTTATTACAGCAAATCAAAAATTTGCCAACAGTTACTCCCAAGATACAATCACAAAACAGTCCATTTAGATAAGTGGTTAATTTGGACTTAAAAAAAATTAAACAGAGCAGTTAATTGAAACGTTGTTGAACAAATAGTTTTCAAGATCTCTTTGGCTTTGTGTCTGATAGGTCAGGGACCCTGTGTAGAAAAAAATATAGGGCAACCAATAACTTTTCTATGTAATACATGTTACACTGGATTCCAGTTCTGTTGAGTATAGACTCAATAGAGGTTCCAGCTAAGAGAATCCAGAAAAATGTGCCATTGAATTCAATTGTTGCCAGTTATTTACTTTTGTATAATATATTCCTATTTTGTCAAATTCATACAAAATAGACTTTCAAATGAATAAGGAATAGTTCTGGCCAAGTAATTGTTATAGCTGTTTTTTTGTTTGTTTGTTTTTACCATTATTTATAATCCTTTATACAACAGAGTGTCTTTCTTTCCTGTTTAGGATCACTCAAAGTCGTGTGATCAGAGTCCTAGACTTGAATTATCTTTCAAAACATCACGTGTGTATTTTAAACATAAATGATTGGGCTGAATATGGACCATCTCTAGGACATAAACTGGGAGTTGTTTGAGTTTGGCTTTGTTTTTACATATCAACGATATAAGATTGTTCCCTCTTTCTCTTAAAATGGAGTTATAGTGAGCTAGCAATTATATGAGCCTTCCAAAAATGTTTTACTCTAATATTACTAGCACATCTCAGTTGCACATCAATTTTATAGGTAGCATAATCAGTTTTATCAATATTTTATTTAGCTTAACAAATCATGTTTAACCTATTGAAGCCAGCTATTAAGACTTCATGCAGAAAGTACACAAAATTCAGGAAATATCTAAATTAGAATTCTGTTGCCAATGTTTGCCCAACTGCAGTAGGCACAGAGAATATGTTTGCATTACAAATCATCTTTTGATTTATTTATTATTGCTTAAAATATTGATTCCAAAAGAGTTTAGGGCAAAGTGGGTAGCATAATAATTTTGTGGTGTCTTCCAATTAGAGATCAAACTGTGATTCCATTTGCAAAACTACCAACTGGGACAGAAGACAACCAGCCTATCCAATCAGCAGAGAATGTTGGACATAAGGTTGAATTGTTTATGATCCTTTGCTCCTTGCCTTTTTTTTTTTTTTTTTTTTTTTTTTTTTGAGACAGAGTTTCACTCTTGTTGCCCAGGCTGGAGTACAGTGGCGTGATCTCGGCTCACCGCAACCTCCTCCTTCCAGGTTCAAGCGATTCTCCTGCCTCAGCCTCCCAAGTAGCTGGGATTACAGGCATGCACCACCATGCCTGGCTGATTTTTTTTTTTTTTTTTTTTTAGTAGAGGCAGGGTTTCTCTATGTTGGTCAGGCTGGTCTCGAACTCCCGACCTCAGGTGATCTGACTGCCTCGGCCTCCCAAAGTGCTGGGATTACAGGCATGAGCCACTGCACCCGGCCTCTTTGCTCCTTTCAACATCATTCATTGTGTAAACATTAGTTGAAAGCCTGTTGAATTCCAGACCAAGTGTTGGGTGCTGAGAATACAAAGTTAAATAAGACATCATCCCTGTTTCCAGAATTCCTTGTGGTGTTTCAGGAAGAAGGGGTAATGGATAAACAAATGCAGGTAAACGGGTAAATCACTCATTGACATTTGAGTCATATGACAACTCAGGAGTTAGGGACCTGGTGAGCATAGAAAAAAATATCTACTCATTCTACCTCTAATTCTAGGTTGTTTTGCACACATTGGTCATGCTGTTCTTTAGAATGCAAATGTGATCACATCATCACTACCATTTATCCCTTACTAAAATCTTTTCATGATTTTCCATTGCTTTGAGGAAAAAGACACCTCTTAATATGACGAGCCTATGAGACCCTGCATCACCCGACTCTGCTCTTCCCCCATTTCCCCCCGCACATGCTGGTTATTTTTTTAAGCAGCTTTACTGAGATATAGTTTACATACTATGAAAGTTACTCTTCATCTGTTTTAGGTGTACAATTCAAAACAATTTAGTGTATTTAGAGTTATACAATCATCACCAGAATCTAAGTTTAGAACATTTCCCTAAAAGCAAATCTTACATTCACTTAGTCATTCCCCGTTCCCACTCCCCTAGCCCCAGGCAAGCAGTAATCTACTTTCTGTCTTTACAGATTTTCTTTTTCTGGGCATTTTTTAAACAGAGATAGTTATATAAGGTGTGGTCTTTTGTGACTGACTTCTTTCACTGGGCATGATGTTTTTGATGTTCTTCCCTGTTGTATCATGTATCAGTACTTCATTTCTTTTTCTTGTGGAATAGTGTTCTACTGCAAGGATTTACCACATATTGTTTCATCAGTTGATAGACATTTGGGTTGTTTCTATTGTTTGGGTATTATAAATAATGCTACTATAAGCATTCATGTATAAGTCTTCACGTGGAGCTTTTTCCACTGCTCCTAGATAAATGCACGGAAGTAGAACTGATGGATCATAGGATCAGTCTATGTTTAACTTTTTCTGAAAAACTGTTTCCGAAAGTAGCTTCCACTAGCAATGTATAAATGTTCTATTTTTTCTACATCTTTGTCAACACTTGTCACTCTCTGCCTATTAGCCATCCTGACGGGTATGAAGTAGTATCTCATTATGGTTTTGATTTGCATGTCCCTAACAACTAATGATGTTTCACATGTCGCTACATGCTTATTGGACATTTGCTATCTTTTTTGGAGAAACCTCTCTTCATATCTTTTGCCCATTTTTAATTGGATTGGTTGTCTTTATTACTGAGTTACAAGAATATATTAATCCATTCTCATGGTGCTAATAAAGACACATGAGACTGTGTAATTTATAAAGGAAGAGATTTATTGACTCACAGTTCAGCATGGCTGGAGATGCCTCAGGAAACTTACAATCATGGCACAAGGGGAAGCAAACACATCCTTCTTCACATGGTGGCAGCAAGGAGAAGAATGAGAGCAAAGCGAATGGGGAAGCCCCTTATAAAACCATCAGATTTTGTGAGAAGTTACTATCACGAGAATCGCATGGGGGAAACTGCCCCCATGATTCAATTACCTCCCACCGTGTCCCTCCCAGCACACATGGGGATTATGGGAACTACAATTCAAGATGAGATTTGGGTGGGGACACAGCCAAACCATATCAAAGAGTTCTTCCTATATTTTGGATACAAGTCATTTATTGTATAGATAACTGACCAATATTTTCTCCATGTCATTCAGATTATAATCTGTAGAGAACAGGCTGAATTCCTAGATAGGAACAAGCATATTTGTGTTATTTTTGGCTCACAACTAGTTCAGTGTTCAATTCAGTGAACTATGCAATTCACAAATGTTAAGCAGACGCATTTTAGCATGTAAATGAGGTTCCTTAAGCAAAGAACTTCTGTAATACCAAAAATGTAAGCTCTGATAGTAGAACTCTGCAAAAGCTAAACTATCTTCCAAAGGAGACTGTCAAATAACAGTCTGTAGAATAACTTTGGGTACCACATATTTCTACTCTCCATTTTTTTAATCGCATTTGGAAAAAAATATTGTGACGTTTATAGTTGCAGTGAAAAAAAAGGATTGTGTTGGCACGATTTTTAATCCTTTCAGTTCACATTCTGGCAAAAATCTTTTAAGTTTACCTACTTAAATTGGCTTTTTTTTTTTTTTTTTTTTGGCCCAGTGCAATAGTTTATTTATTTGTTTTTGTTTCTATTGGCATCTTAAGGATTGGATTTTTAAGGTGCTTAACATAAAATAAACTCACAGTGATAAGTTTGGAGCCCAGTAAAATTTTAAAAGCACATATTCACAATGAACCATGAAGAGCTTTGAAATTCACGAATCCAGCTAAAGCTTAGGATGAAACAAGAAATGTTCCAGAAATGACTCCATGGTTTAAAGTTTGTGTCTTGTGTTTTGGTTTGTCTTCTTTCACTTATGTGATGGAAAATGCCAAAATCGACACAATGAGATCATATGAAGAAATGCACACCGCCTGAAATTCAAGAGTTTCATCTAACCTCTAAGCATACTTCTTGGTTATTGCTCCTGTTGCTTATTTTCTTCCATTCTCTATGAGGATACATTTTTTCCTAAAATCTAAATACCAAAGTCAACCTTTTCTCAGATTTGACAGCTAATTTGACGGTGTGGAAGGAGATTCCGCCAACAATATCTGTGTAATGGAGTTGTTTTCTGTGTTTTCTCTTGATATGTATTGATCTTGAGCTGAGTGATTTGTTCAGCTTTTGTTTAAGATAAATATTTCTGCAGATCTTAGCAGGTTTGCATTTAAAAAAATAATGCATCTAGACATTTTTCCAGGCCTAAGAGTTCATAAATTATAGCTAGCATTTTTAGCATTAATGTTTGGTGAGAATAAGTCTGTGCTAATTTGGTCATGATTTAAAGTTACTCTTTTATTTTTAATATTGTTGAAAAGTAATTCCCCTTATCTGCTGTCATTCCAGCTTATTTCATATGCAGGATATTTTAAGGCAAGACATGCATTTTCCATTCTGGCCACTTGAGGGAATCAAACTTGAGAAATGGCAGACAATTTAGGTCTTTATTTCAAAAGAATGGAGAATAATTATTTATTTGTTTCCAAACGTTTCTCATGTCACCTAAACATCAAGAAGATTGCAGAGCCCAAGTTCTGAGATAAATTACTCTTTATATACTTTGTATCCAGGTGGAAAAGAGGAATTGCTGATGAATGGGAGTCCTGGGAGGTACTAAGTGAGGTCCCTGCATACAATTTATGATCACCACTCTTGGACTTCAGAATGATTAATACCATCAATTCTCACTGGAATAAGAGCTGTTTTAGCCCAGGAGAGGACTGTATATTACTGTTTATAGAAGCAGATAACATCAAAGTAACTCACGGCTTGTGTTAAGCAAATACAAAATTCTGGGTCAGTGCAAATTAATCCTAAAGGAGTAACAGAACGTTCTTAATGACTGTGAGATCTGTACATTATCACTTTTCATTCAAGTGGTGGAAAATGGTAGAACTATTAATGAGATTTGCAAATGACCTTCTTTACTGCATTGTGCTAACAGCTGCATAATAGCATATTGTCCAATAAAGAGTCTTATTATCTATACATCTGTAGTTTGTTAATGAAGTGTAGAAGTCTACACAATTTTAAAATTACAGTTGGGAGCATCTGATCCACTTTAATATTATATTTCACAACAAAAATGCAGCAAATCACATTATACTTTATATATTCTTACACTTTAAGTGGCTGTGTGGATGGATAAGGATTTTTCTCCTATCTACATTATACAAAACAGATGTTATTTCAAGGGCATATCATAAAGAAATGTTTTCCCAAATGTTTCTCAATGAATAATTATATATTCCTTTTTTTATAAAGATGAGAAATTTGTAAACAAAATAAAGATATGTAGAGACATTAACTTATTTAAACATGTACACATTTTTAAAAACATCTTTGGGATTTTTTAGTCCAATTCAAAGACCCTGTGGGTAATCAAAGTAAATTTCTCAGCAAACATTTTTATATTTCTCTTTCTATAAGTTGATTTTTGCTTTAACACATCTTTACCCCAAATTTTTATTTTCTTGTCCCATTTAGTTTGTCTGGTATCCATCTCATTAATTACTTCTAAATGAATTACATAATGCCAACCATCTTCAGATAAGAATAGCAGTGAATTTAAACGTATTAAAATCTGCACCACATTCTCTACCTGACATAAAGTATGTACAAAGCAAAGGAATCAGCTCTTTCCCTACAATTTCAAGTCTTTTGCCACTTTTTAAAAGGTAGAGATCGAATTGACATGAGTTTTATATTTTTTTCTCTTTTTACAGATGTTGCTGAAAGTTAAAATAGACCATTGGAAGTCTGAATAATTCACTAATTATTTAATCTAATCTCTAATATATTAAGTTGATTTTCCTTTGGAAAACGCTCATAGGAAAAATAAATGTCAATAAAATTACTGCTGAGTAAAAATTTATTATTTAAATGTTTAAAATTATTTCACTCAAATCAGTGACTTGAACTCATATTCCTAAGATTAGTATTTGATCATAGGTTCTATTATATGATTTAAGGCAGAAAGAGTCTCTTACTCTAAATAATGCTAAAAGAAATTATATTATCCTGGCAAAAGTTTCATAGACATTTTCATTATTCAATATTTACCGATTTGTGTTTGCTTCCTACAAGTCATGTAAAGTTAGGACTTACTTTGTTCTGCCTAGTCATGAAATAGTCCAGACTTAACCACCCCTGGATTTAAGCATTCAAACAGTAGTCTAGTTATTAAACCATCAACTGCTCACACTTAAAATGGCTACAAACCATTACATAATCATTAATATATGCTATTTCTGATGTGATTCTCTTGGAAACTTAAGTCACAATGTAAAAGAGTTTATTACATTAACTTGTTTTATCTCCTTTCTCTTGCAGGCTGCTTTTATAGTGTTGCGATCTGTTAAACCAAGTTTAGCCTAAAGCTGCCTCCTTACATATTTTAAATTCGGCCTAAAGGTATCTCAGTACATAGTGAACTGCAACCTAATTGGTGGGGTAAACAGACTATAACCTACTCTTGTGCCAATCACCAAGCTTTAGCCAATCAAAGGGGGGCAACTGTTCAAACTGTGTTCAAATAAGGCAAACACAGAGCTATAACTAATCCCGCTGCTTCCATAGCTTACTTAAGTTTTCTTAACATCACTTCCCTTTTTCTGTCCCTAAGTCTTCTTCCACCACGTGGCTGTGCTGGAGTCTCTCCTGAGCCTAGTTGGGCTCTGGAAGCTGCCTGATTCACAAGTCATTCTTTGCTCAATTAAACTCTGTTAAATTTAATTTGTGTAAGGTTTTTCTTTTAACAGATCAAAATCCTTACCGATGCTGCTGATGATTGGCAGACAACTAATTGACTTAGACAACCAATCAAATCTATCCAGTAACTTGTTAACAGTGTTATTGTTCCATTAATATGCTCTTTATGTTCCATTTTATATTTGTCAAAGCTATTTCACTTTTGCGGGGGGTGCAGAATTCTCAAAATGACATGAGCCAATCAGGGAAGATAAAACCCCATTTAATAGATGAGAAACCTGAGTCCCAGAGGTTTAAAGTGAAACCTAAATCAGAGTCCAAAATCAAACCGTATATCAGCGTGCCTCAGGAACTGCATGCAGGGATTATGACACCAAGTCCAGGATCCTTTTTAGATGCCAGTTGCACAGTTTTAATAAAGCTTTTCAAAAGCCCTGTTTGGCTAACAGATTATTTCAACACAGCTGTAAACATCATTCATATTAGGCCAATAACTCAAACATTGGGATTCTGATCGGGCTGTGATCATTGTGGATAGAAACCCATGATGAAGACACTGACACAAAATTAGTAGTCCAAGTTTAATTAGTGTATTAAATTTAAACAATGGTCTTTTTGTTTGTTTTGTTTTACTGTTAATGTGCAAGGAAGAAGAAAGGAATTCATGTGTTTATCTACTTGTTTCTTGTTAAAATGGAGATTTGTAATATGTGTATTTATATACACATTTATCTTCTGTATAAATTCCTAAATCAATGTTTAAATAAGAGGACTTTACCTTTCCATTGTGGTATGATAAATAATTATCTCAACTTTTCTCAAGAGCTCCTTCTAGTTTACCCCCACATTAAATGAATACCATATATTTTCCTATCATTTATAAAGGGTAATAAAAATATTCCTCCTTGAAAGAAAATCGCGTAAGATGTCAATATGCTGTTTATTAAAATAGAGTTTATTGCATTCCTGCTTAGAATTTGCAAGTATCAGTTTTTTGGGGTTCAGACCATTCATTTTAATGTGTACTAGCCACTTGGGCTACCCTAACAGTTGAGGGTTTATAGTGACTGTAAATCTATTAAACCACAATTTGCACATAATAAAATGAAACAGCAAGCAGTTAAGTGAAAGGCTCAATTCTGAGCTGCCGAACATTTTCCAGGAAAAGTCGTTGAAACTGCTTCTGCTACTGCTGCCTGCCTTTGAGAAATTCAATCACGCTGATTGAGGAAACCTGGAGAGAGTTGGCTGTTCCTTCCTTCAGTTCATAATTGCCCTGTAGACCATTTAATCATCTGTAGATGAAACAAAGCTGGTGCTGTAGAGGGCCGGAAGCAAAGGCATGTGCTTATCAATTGCTTCCTATCCACCCTGCAGATCCAGCACCCATCTCTGAGCCGTCCCGCCGTCAGGCGGGGAAGCTGCAGGCAGACTGGATCTTCCGGTTGTCAGTACGGTGGCCTTCCTGAATGCCTTTATTTTATTACAGTAAAGCACACACCAGCCAACTTTTAAGGGCTAAGTTCAGGGCAGAGAATGAAGTCTTTCTACTTGCTAGAGAATGCAGATGGGCATAGGTAATACTAGCAAGACAAAAACATGACGGGTACAAATTTGACAAGGAGAAATTAAAGAAATCTTGGTGTTGACTAAGCAAAACAGAATGACTGTCTTCCTCTGAATGACTCTCTGCAAATAAATTTCAATATAAGCATGATTTATATCTTTCCTACAAATATTATCTGTATTGTAAACAAGCAGGTGTTTGAGCATATTTTTGCACATCACCATTAAAACAGAGTTTTTTGTTAACGGTGGGGTTCACTGCTCCATGTTGGTGAGTGACCCTGGCCTAGCACACAAAAGAGCTGGTCAGAAACCACATGCCCAGTTTTATTAAGTAAGAAAGAGAAGACAGGCTGGCAAGTGGAGACACTGAGAACCAGAAAACCTGATACATCATCCTAATTGACTTGGAATATTAGCCTCTTGTAGAGCCACGAAATGTATTTTCCCCTGAATATGGACAATATGCCCAGCAGCTTAAGCCCCACAGGTAACTTTGTGAAGTTGTCATAAACCTTGATACCTGATTTTAAGAATGAATTTGGGTGAATATTCTGTTTACAAGGGGATTCTGTAAAGAATAGTTCTATTGTTTGGCGCTGTCCACTTGATTATTAGAAAACAAAATCTTCTATGCTTTATGTTTTAAAGCTTTTCTTGTCAGTGGGAACTTTTAAAGGAATTTTAATTCTAAAAAACACTCACTCCTGGCTAATGTGTGCCAATTAAGTTCTATTCATTGAATCAACAGTTTTCTGTTACCTGTTCCTTCAGGTAGAACAGAGCCTGATAGCCCTGCCCTTTCCCAGGCTTCTGTGCAGGGACCTTTGCTGCCTGCAAACAGTAGGGACACCTGTTTTCTGAGCAGGGAAGGCCAGCATCTGAAATCTTAGGAATGGGGCTGCTATTAAAAAAGGGGTGCTTGATAAGGCAGCCACTGTGATAGGCAGCGGAAATTTGATAATGAAAGGAGATGCCTAATAGATGAATCTGGCATGATTTGCCAAAACACAGGGTTTTCTGGAAGATTATCCACACTCGCAATAGGAAGCTCTTTGTTTTGTGAAAGTCCCCACTTATCATTGTGTTCTTTATCTCAATAAGAAACATAATGGTTTACTTGTTTACATGCATGGTAGATATATTCAGAGCCGAGTTGTGGGGCTGTGAACTCCCTTTCATTTGAAATGTTTCCAGCATGCCGGTTATTAGCTAAGAGGGAACAAGCAGTTGGACACATATAAAATTTAAATCTGCCTTGCTTAGATTGGCAGAAATGACTGTTATTTCATCCACTGGGAAAAGGTTTTATTTCCTGCTCAAATACTTTCAGAGGAAAATCGCAAACTCATTTGTAGCCATCATATATACATGTGTATATATATTTAGGGCTAAGTGATATGTCTATAGAAATGGACATTTTTTTTCATTTCTGGAACAAAACAACTGGTTATTTTCCACTGATTTTAATTATTTCATTAGCTTGCCGTGTTCCTTCTATTTTGTTCAACTTACCGTAAAGTGTGACTTATACCTTTACATTATTTACATTGACCATGTGGCTCAAATCTAGCCCTTGATGCATCTTGAACAGTACTGCTTTGATTTCTGGAATTGATTTTTAAATATCTCACACATCCGGCAGGACAGGACTACCAGAGCACAGTCCTTCTGCTCTGAAAATAAACAAAAAATATCCCCGTGGTTGAACACAACTTGATTAAAGCACTCCCTACTCTTTTTTTTTTTTTTTTAAGTAATACTCTCTATGGACTGAACTCTTTTTTTCTACTTATACAACATAGTGCTTGCCAGAGGAAATAAATATCTCTGTACAATGTAGTTACAGATAAGAATTCTCTGTTTTATGTGTTTAATGTCTCTTTACTGGATTTCAAATGATTAGGTCTCTAGCCTTTTCTAAGAATAATATTTATTGACTGTTTATAACATGCCAAGCATGGTATAGAAAACTTTTTTTTTTTTAAGATGGAGTCTTGCTCTGTCACCCAGGCTGGAGTGCAGTGGTGCGATCTCGGCTCACTGCAACCTCTGCCTCGCGGGTTCAAGCAATTCTCTGCCTCAGCCTCCCGAGTAGCTGGGATTACAGCCTCCCACCACCACACTTGACTAATTTTTTTGTATTTTATTTTTAGTAGAGACAGGGTTTCACCATCTTGGCCAGGCTGGTGTTGAACTCCTGACCTCGTGATCCATCCGCCTCGGCCTCCCAAAGTGGTATAGGAAATTTTTAGGCCCTGTTGCCATGTAATCTTTTTAACAACCTAAGACCCTCACAACAATTACCCTCCCTGTTGCAGGTGGGAAAATGAACATGAGAAGGTTTAGTAATTGCCTAGGGTTGCACATATTACAGTGACAAAATTAGGGCTCAGATCTAGGAACCTAGTGTCCAGATTGTGTGCTCCTTGAAGTCCCTTTTCATTGCTTCTTAGGTGGTCTAGACTGTCCTTGGTATTCACTACTTAAAGAAACTGAGAGTGAGCTAGGGGTGGCTATCTTTACGGAAGTAGGTAAGGAAGGAATTATTCCCAACAGGAAAGTTTGGGAGGCGTGCAAAATATACAATACACTGCTCTTCTGTCCTGCTGTTTCTGCTGCTGTTGGAGATGTTAGGCCAATGCACAACTGTGAGTGTCATTGCGTCGTATGTGCAAACAGGAGAGACAGGAAGATGTAGAAAATTTTAAAGGGAAAATAGGGGTGGAAATCTGATAAACCCATCAAAAGAGAATGGATCTCAAAAGAATTGTCTGTCTAGACCAGCTGATGGCTGCAAACAAGTTACTGGTTTATGCAGCCAAAAATGGATCCAAGTGCTGGGGAAAATTACCACCAGGTAACATATGGCACCACATGAAAAATGGCATTGAGCCTTCTTCAAACAGACTTTAGAAGTTGAAAGCACTGGAAATCTATTCTTTACATTCACAGTTTTTATTTCATATTTTACAGTTTGTTGAGGGACATATGGCTTTTCTAACTTGCTTTTCCAGTGTTCAGGTTAATCTGAATTGTGGCTATTCTTGGTTAAAAATAACTTTTCACTGGGGGATAAATTCATATCACATAATTTGAAATTATAGTCAAGTGGTCTAACTTGAGCTTGTGATTTCAAGTTGTTCATATACATGTTTTCTAAGATGCTTTCTGATTAATATCCTTCAGGGTAGTGTCACTATATATTCTCATCTATTCAGCATTTGCTTTCATTATATGTATATATGTAAAGTTCCAATTCAAGTTATTTTGATCCATCTAAGAAGAACAACTGTCAGTCGTTCTGGTATCTCTCACCTACAGCAGCACATATTTTCAATCAGTTTATTTATTTAAGGAATAAGCCCCCTCCCGGTAAGTTTCTCAACACAAATGTACGACTGCGTGACCAGACCTAAAAACCATGGTATTTCCTTTTCATAGATGTTAAAACCCCATGAATAAGCAGGATTTCTCACCATCAAGCACCTTCATGGTTAATTAAATCTCTGCACTGAGACACATAGAAGACTCTGTATCTCTGTGGTATAGCAATGGAGTCCCAGGGATAAACACAGGAAAAGAAATTGCTTGTTGAGCTTGGAATGTTTTCACTAGAAGCTGACTACTTCAAATAACTTATTTATTTTTTTTACTACAATCACTCACTTTGATTAGAATTATTTTAAGGAGTAGAAATGGTCATTTTCCCTCCAAAATATTTTAACAATGAGGAGTACTATGTGAAAAAAAATTAATATAAACAGTCACATTAAATTCCTGCTGCACATTTATTGAAAGCTTTGAATCACATTGAACTATCCATTTTTTCTACTCTGTTTTCATGTTAAGCACAGCTACATGTGATAGCCTTGTTTTTGTGCCTTGAAGGTTCAGATAATTCTGCCTAGTGCAATGGCTTACTCAGAATAGAAGTGTTTTTTTCCTTTGTTTCATGAATAAATATTTTTTCCTCAGTATTAATATGCTTTCAGTTCTCTGACACAAAGATTAGAAGCTGATCCTACCACATAAGAAATTTTCTACAGCTTGCCTGGGAAAATGTATAACTACATACTAAATATATCTCAAATCCATCCCCTTGCATATATCTCTTCCACTCTCAACCCTTGTCCAATTCACCATCAGTTTTCACCAGAGCCTTAGAAGCCTCCTACCTTGTCTACCACATCTGTTCTCCAATCTATTTTACACCTTGCAACCAGAGGAAGTATTCTAAGAGTGAAAATCTGACTGCCTCACTTGACTCAAAACACTTTGAAAGTTTCCCATTGCTCTCAGGATCAAGCCAAACACCTGAAACATGGTAGGACCCCTCCCAGGCCCTTCTCCAGCTACCTTTCTGCCCTTCCCTAAATTCCAGGGCCACTAGCCTTCTTTCAGCACCTTGAGCTTTCCGTGTTATGTTCTGCTGTACAAAATTTGCACATGTTGTTCTTTCACTCTGGAGTGGTCTTTCTTCTTCTCTTCACCTTCTTTGGGCAAGATTCCCATCACTTCCCTGGCTCAGTCAAATCCTCTTAGGATTTCTCACAACTCTGGCAATCTCTCTTCTATAGTACCTATTAGTAGAAACTTTATATTAATTTATTCATATGTGCCTCTCTTCTTTACTGGAAGTAAATTCCACGAGACTGTAATAGGGACATGTCAGTTTCTACTCCCTGCTGTGTTCACATAGTAGGCACTCAATAAATATTTGTTGAATAAATTAATTAATGGATAAAATGGAATGCTAGTCTTTGCTAATATATTTAAGCCCTAAGTTTACTAAACCTAAGCTGATGACTCTTTTCAGTACCAAGAATGACAGATCAGGTCACTTCTCATAAGTAGTGGCATAGTCAACAGATGGTGAAGCAAAATAGAGTAGATATATCCCTCTTGCATGCCAGCCTGGAGCTTAGAATCCCCATCAATAATATTGGGTCACTAGATTTCACAGCCCTTCTCAGGGTTGCATCCCATTGCTCCCAACCCATAGACCCCCGGGGGTATACACACTTTCCAGATATGTGAACACTGGAATTGTGTTTACAGGTGAGTGAATGTAGAAAATTATTTATGAAATCAAGCTCTCCTACCTTTTGTTAATTCAACACATAAGTCTTGTGCACCTGTATGTCTTGAGATGAAATTGATGTGGCATCACTAAGAATGCTATCAGCTGGGATGATGAGCCCTAGATGCTACCAGAGGACATCAGGTTTTTCCCCCTATGCTGCCAAGAGAAATGATAAAGCAAAGACCAATCAAAAAGTCTTCCTCCCAGCCATTCCATCTGTTGAGTTGGTGTGTAACAACTTGTCAAACTCATGATTTTTTAACAAACTTATGATGTCCCTGGCCTTCTGCTTGGTGGTCATGTGAATTACCAAAAGGAATAAGGTCACAGTTCCTGCCTTCAAGTTTCTTCATATTGACTGAGGAGACCTGAGGCACAGAGCAATGAAAGATGTTTATTGAACCAAGGGCTGGGGAACCAAAGGGATTATTCACAGAGAAAATTATACCTGAGCCAAACCTTGAAAGAAAAGTAGGGCTAACAAGGTAAAGTCAGGAATGAAGAACAACTTAGGCAGAAGATAGAACTTCATTCAGAGCAGGAAGGTGTGAGACTGCAAGGCAAATTCAGAGAGAGGCTCCCTGCACGTTCCTTTACTTTTCTCTTCATACAAAAAATGGCTTTTTTTAAATGACACCAAATATGGCCACCAATGATTCTTCACTATTATATCTTCTAGCCACTGAGAAGTTGTTCTGTGTCTCTGACTTTCTCACGTTTAATCAGTCAGCCCAGTGAACAGACTTCGATCTAGTGTCTTTTCCCCGATCAATCAACTATAGTGAGTGGGCTCCCTCAATGGGCCTACTCTTACTGACCAGTCTTACAGGGTCATACAAGGCCATGGCAAACCCCTGCAGTAACCATGTCAACCGAGGGGAAGGGCTTCCTGGGAAGAGTGGGAAGAGTCCTCAAAGGAAGGACTCTTCATTTGAAACTTGTTCCTTGAAGTCTAAGTAATTAGTATTAGGTCCTGTTGTATTTATACTGTTTCTTCAAGGTTACTTTAGTTCAGCCCATTAGTGGCTTGCATAGAGAATAATGATCCTAAGATGCATAGTGAAACTAAACTAAAGAAAAAAAAAGGGCTTCCTTGAGCACACAGAAGAACCTCATTAATGGTGGCCTTATTACATAAAGCTTACAGATATAACTGATAGGACCCAGCCCAGAAGTTGAAAGTAGTATCTGTGGCAGGTCCAGGTATTAGAGCCTCACAGCCTTTTTGGATAGCTCCATTGTTTGTAGACCTTTAGCTGGATCTGGAGCTGGGTGACCTGTTGACGCCAGAATCTGTCTGCCAGGCTCCCGAAGGACTTGCTGGATTTCTGGATGCAGTACAAGTTCCTGGTATGTTGGTGCAGTTGAGAAACTTTTTCAGGTTTTTTTTTTTTTTTTTGGAAACCCAATTACACAATGGCTGCACTAAAGTGCTGGAGGAGAGAGAGGCAGAAGGAAGCTGCTGGTCCACAGAACTTTCTTGTTTTCCATGGAAAATAACAAATCATTCTGGTAAACCCACAAGCTGATTCACATCTGCTTGACCTAAGATAACTGGAGGGAAGATTTTTATTTTGATCAGTTCTGAACTGTGATCCTGAAACCCCATCAGTAACTTGAAGAAAGAAAGAAAACGAAAACCCAGTTATTCCACTGTTCTTACTGCATGCACATCAGTCAATAGGAATGGTTAGAAAACTGGTAAACAACAAAGGCAACAATCACTAAATTTTTTATTCAACAACAAATGAGCTTGATGAGGATTCCAATCTAAACCAGAACCAAAGAAATTAAGAAAATCCAGGCCAAGACACCGAGCTCAAAGCAAGGATGTTTTATTCTTCCCTTCCTACTTCTGAGCAGCCACCTTTTCCTGGTGAGAAATTGTTGTAAATAAGGGACACATACACGTCTTTTCTTCACCTTAGCTCTCCAGTCCATTTTTATTTTCCTGAAACACATATGGGAGGTAAATTAAAGTTAGAGGAAAGGCACAAATCTGACCTGTTAGTCTAGTTTTGTTTTGTTTTTTAAGTCTTAGAGCTATTTGTTTAAATGGAACATCTCAAACACTTTTTCCCCAGCAGTTCCACATGTAACCTCATTTGCAACCCCAAAATATAAAACAGAAAATTGTGGAGCTGCCACGGCCGAAATGGAGGGAGAAGACGCAGAGTTCCTTGCACTTCACTTTCCCGCTGTCTCTTAAATTGAGTACATGGACAAAAGTTACACCTCAGTCATGCATAGATAATTAAGAGAAAGACCTAGGGCACTTTCTCCAGATGGTGCTGCAGGTCACGCCTGCCCTATATCTTTGTTATCTAGGTGGTCATTTCACAATGATGAAGATGGGACACAAAGCTGGAAGCAAACAGGCATGGTGGCAGGGCCTGTAGTCCCAGCTACTCTGGAGGTAGAGGCAGGAGGATTGCTTGAGCCCAGGAGTTTGAAGCTGCAGTGAGCAACGATTGCTCCTGAGATAGCCACTGTGCTCCAGCCTGGGCAAGATACTGGATATCTTAAAAAAGATCTTAAAAAAAAGATCTTGAAAAAAAAAAAAAGACAAAGAAAAAAAGCTGGGAGCCACAAATGAGAGACTTAGAAATGAGGAGTGGACAACCTGCAAAACTAAGATGGTCAATTCCCCATGTAGTGAAATTAGGCTAAATTTGCAGGGAAGCAGTAATTGGCTGTCCTTCCCACTCCTAGAAAACTACAAAATGACCATGCTACCATACCAATCACCAGCCCTGTACTTAATTGCTCCCTGGGAAAATTCAATCTCTATCCCTAAAGCAGAAGAAAAAAGGTGAAGGAATTGAGTGCCCCATTGTCATGGTAGCCTGAGCAACTGAGTCCCAGGTTACTCAGCTTTCAGACTAGGCCTTCCCTTAGGTCCCAGCTGTCAACAGGAATAAAGTTAGATCGAGATAATGGGGCTACAAACTAACAAGATTTGTAGAATTTGTGGATCAATTTGCTACCCAAAGGCTTGTTATACATGATCTCTAAAGAACTTAAATCTGATCAATAAAAAATCATATAAGAATAATTTCCTGCTTTTTCCAGAACACAGCAATTCACCAGGCTACAAAAATGCAAAAATTTTAAATCCTAATCCAATTGCAGTTTAAATTTAATTCAATTTCAATACAAATCAGTATATAATTTGCAAACCACTTTCATTTCTCCCCTATAACATCATTGGAAGGTAAACAGCTGACTGCTGCAATAGGTTAATAGTTCACATTAGTGTCAATAGATTGCAACTCTATGTCACAGAGTTCACATACGTAACACAGAATTCCTTGATTTCTCACTCAAGCATGGCCCCTCTCTTTCTCATCTCTACATCCTCCCTGTAACTTATGCTAAATCTTGAGATTTATTTTTAATTCTTCTATTTCCTTCATACTCACATTCAATGGCTTAACAATTCTTGTCAGTGCTGCCTCCATCATATATTCTTAATCTGACCACTTCTTGGCACCCAAAACACTAGTCTGAGCCATCATCATCTTTTGTGTCCTCTTACAGCTTTCCCTACTGCCTAATCTCCATTCTCAAGGTTGCAGTCAGACTGATCTTCTCAAAGTCTAAATCAGATAATATCAGTAACCCTGCATAAAAACCTAAAAATTACCCATTATATCAAGGAAAAAAGTCCCAAATTATCCACCATGCCCTACAGTTCCTAATAATCTAATCAATCATCGTCTACCCTCTACCCTCAACCCCACCTGCCTCTGACCAGGTTGGTCCCTTTTGTGTTTCTCAAACCCACAGTCATTCCCCTTCTGGGTCTTGACAGTGCTACTTCATCTGCCTGAAAAAATTCTTCCCTCAGGTCTTTGCATGGCCGTCTCTCTCTCATCATGTACATCTCAGGTCAAATGTCACCTCCTCGGAGAGCCCATTCTTGACCCTCTGAGCTGACATCACCTTTCCCATAGCATCCAGACATGCTTTGTGTCATTGATCTATTTTATTTCTCTTGTGACATTGATCACTACTTAAAATTATTCATAGATTTTAATGTATGCAATATTCTTCCCAGGCTAGAATGTAAACTTTATGAGATCAGGGATTTTTGTTTTATAGCTCAACTTCTAGTATCTAGAACTGTGTCTACAATATAGTAGAGAATAAACATTAGTCAAATAAATGAATTGGTTTCACCACTGTGGAGAAGGTACTGTAAGTCCTTTGCATGCATTATAATAACAATAGCTAATAAGGGAGGCAATAGAACACAGTGGTTTGTAGTGTGGACTCTAGCACAAGACTACTGGGGTCAAACTGTAACTCATCACTTCCTGGCTGTGAAACCTTGGGAAGTTGGAGCTCAGTTTCCTTCTCTGAAGGAAATAAAAATAAAAATATCCCATAGACACATGCAACACACTTAAAACAATATCTGGCCTTTAATAAACATAATAAATACTAGCTATTATTATCATATTATCTCACTTTATCTTTATAACAACCTAATAATAGTTATTTTCTTCATATTACATCTCAGGAAAAGCCTTCAGTCAGATAAAATAATTCCACCAAGCCAAGGGTCTAGTAGGATATACAGCTGGGGATGAAAGCTCTGCTGAGCCCAGACTTTTAACACCTCCACCGTGCTGCTTCACACTGTGGGCTATTTTCAGGATTCTCAAGATTTCCACGGAATCAGATTTCTACTCAAGTTCTCATGCTCTCTGACCTTTGAATAGGTTATAATCTTCTGTGGCAGACCACCCTTTCTGGGTGGAATTTTCCCCCATCCTCATGGTTTCAGTGAGGGTAGACATTTTGTGACAGTGACTTGCCCCCTTGGCACAGTCAATTGGTCCACATATGGTCACCTAATCTACACTAAACCAATGAATCTGTTCCCCAGGATTTTTGGACTCGCACCAGTTAAAATTCTCAGACCAATTTCTGTCCAATGGTTGATGGTGTAAACTGCTAATGTAGAAGCTATCAGTAGTTACATTTCTCAAGATTTTTTAAAGCCATCTGGAAAGAAAATGCAGCAAAAAATTAAAAAGTATTTGGGGCCTTCAATTTCCTGGTTCCTGCTCTTCCTGAAGCTGAAGTCCTTCTCTGTCATTCACAGGACTTCAATGTTCAACTCTTCCTTAGATGCCACGAGCCACTGTCAATTCAAGTTGAGTTTCTATAACTTACAACCAAAATAGTCTCATATAAGAGTATGTGTGTATGTTCGTGTTGTTATGTATGCCTATTATATTGAAGGTGTATTATATATTGAGTGTGTCCTCTGTACTTGGCATTAGAGATACAATGATGGCTAAGCTACAGTTTCAGTTCAGTAGGAGCCTCTGGTCTGGTGGGAAAAGACAGATGCAAAAGAAAAAACATCAATATCGTCAATGCCATGCAGTAATTATTATAACAAAAGATATGCTTATGATGTTACAGGAGCACAGAAGAAGAAAAGCATGTAAAGAGGAAGCATGAATACTTCCCTGTCATTGTACTTTACTGTATTCCTTGTGCTTCTCAAACTATTTTCTCTCCATGGTGAGCTTACTTTCCTTCTCTCAACTACTAAATAGTGATGTTTCTTAAGGTTTTCCTAATGGTATCCACTGTTTCTGGATTGCACATTCACTCACAGTTTCAGTGACCACCTATATGAGGAAACTCTCTGTTTAAAACCCAGCCTCCTCCTTAGCTCTAGATGCTTCTAACTATCTTAGTCCATTCCTACTGCTAGAACAAAATACCTCAGACTGGGAGATTTATAAATAATAGAAATTTATTTCTCATAGTTCTAGAGGCTAGGAAGCCCAAGATCAAGGTGCCAGCAGATTTGATGTCTGCCGAGGGCTGCTCTCTACTGCCAAGATAGGACCTCCTTGTTGCATCCTTAGATGGCAGAAGGCAAAAGGACCTTTTATCATAACAACAGCTAATAGTTCCCTTGAGCCTTGTTTATAAAGGCATTAATCCCATCCATGAGGGCAGACCTTAATTACAGCTTAAAGTCCTACCTCTTACTACTGTTACATTGGGGATTAAGTTTCAATGTGTAGTTTGGAGGGGATGCAAATATTTAAACCATAGCACTAACTCATGCACATCCTGGATTTCCCTCAAGGCCCTCAAACTCAACATATCCAAAACTGAACTCATCACCTTTTTCTGGAACCTGTTTTTCCTAGATTCTCCTGCCCAGATAAAGGCACCATCATTCACTCAGTCGTTCACACCCGAAAATTGAGACATCCTTGACTGCTCCCCTCTTCCTCTCCCTTGCTTGACCCCTACTGGCACTGCCTGTGGCCAGCCTTCATCATCTCACACAGGACTACCAGAAAGGCCTCACTAGCCACCTACCACACAGTCACCTAAAAGCCGCCTGAATGTAAATTTGATCACGTTCCTTAAACTCTCCTATGATCTTCCATTGCCCTAGAAATGAAATGCCAAGTTTATTTGAATGGAGATCCTCTGGCCCCAACCCATCTTTTTAGCCTCATCTCCTGTCATTTCCTACATCAAACACAGTGTTCTCACAACACTGACCTTCATGTACTTTTCTAAATATGTCTGCTATCTCATGACTGCACATTGGCATATACATAATTTCTGTGTGGGATGCTCTTCTCTTCTACCCTCCTCTTTCCTATAGTTGACTAAGGTAGACTCAACCTTCAGCACTTAATTCAGGGCATCACTTTCTCCAGGAAGCCTTCTCTGATTCCGAGGGCTATGGTCCATGGCTCCACTTTGTGGTCCCACAATATCCTTTGTTAGTTCCATTACTTTGTCCTGGCACTTATAGTCCATTATAATTACTCCCCCTACTCCACTGCAGATTTCTAAGGAAAATGACAGTGTCATTCATCTTTGTATCCCTAGTTCCTAGAACAGTTACTGGAACACATAATAGGACTTCAATAACTGTTTCATGGATGAATGAATAGATAAATGAGTAACAGAAATAATAAATCAGTAGATACAGAATACCTCTAAATCTCTACCTCCTTTAAATGGTAGGCCTACCCACATCCAGGTGGTTCGCGGATTGTCACCTGCAAACCTCCAAGATTGGATGGGGTAAGGGAGTGAAGATCAGGCAGGTTCTCTAGGTTGTTCACATATTACATCATGACTCACTTGTCTCAGGATTCCCTCAAGGTGTGCACACACATCAATCCTTCCTGCAATACATTTATTGCAATCTCCTAATGTATTTTATCTGTGACCCATCATCCTCTGTCACATATAAACTTATTAATTCCATCTTTCATTATTCAATTATACAGTAAGTGCCAACAATGTACCAGACAGCATAGCAGTCCTGCAGATACAAATATAAATAATTCAGCATCCTTGATTTTAAGATTATATTTTAGAGGGGATAACCAAGTGTGATCCTGGCTCCTTTTTTTAAATAAAAACGGTAAATGAATGCCTCTTGCAGTTCCCCATAGTGAGAGGGTAGGGATGACTGCTTGCTGCCTCTGAGCTAAATAAATTTTCTCCTCTCTTTCTGATACATGCATGCATTGCCTTATGCTATCTCTTGGATTTCCTTCAGTCACCCAAACAAACCTTTGGTTGAAGCTACACCCAGAGTTTCCTCCACACTTTTCCTCTATTCATGTGCAGGTGTTCACACTTGTTACATCTAGTCAGCCAGGCTGTTTGTATACAATAATAACTTCTAACTGGAGAATGATGGTGGTTCTAGAATTGACCAGAGATGGCAATGGGGTAGATGGACAAGAAGACTAAGAAGACGGTAGTAATTGTAAGGGGGAGCCCTCAGAAGCTGAAGAGGGAAAAACCATATTGTTCCAAGAAGCAGCAACTTCTGTTTTAGTCCGTTTTCAGTCACTATAACAGAATGCCATAGAAAAGGTAATTTATAAAGAAAAGAGACTTACTTGGCTCACAGTTCTGGAGGCTGGAAAGTCCAAGGGCATGGTGTCAGCATCTGCTTGGCCACCTGGGGAGGGACTGTTTTGTTGTGTAATCTCAAGACTGAAAGCAGAAAGGCAAGTAAGTGTGAGATACTGAGAAAGAAATGGGGTCCAAGTTTCATGCTTTTATCAGGAACCCACCCCTGTGATAACTAACCCACTCCCATAATGGCATTAATCCATTTATGAGGGCAGGGCCCTCATGACCTAGTCAACTCTTAAAGACTTTGCCTCCCACTGCCATTACAAGAAGAGTTTTAAAGGGGACATTCAAACCATAGTATCTTTTTTGTATTTCATCTTTTCCTTGGGGCAACCGCCAACCAATGGAAGAAAATGTTTTGAAGCCACAGAGCTATTAGTGACTGAAGTTTATCAGCAAAAACAGATTTGGAGCTATTACAAATGAATGGCATAAGGTGACAAAAACTATTCTCTACAAAGATTCTTGTACAAAAGTAAAATGGATGGATAGATATATGAATAGAGAGATAGATAAGGAGTTTATATCTTCCTGCTTTTGAAAAATATTTTGTCACCTTTAAATGTATTCTGTATTACCATAATATTATGTGCTTATATGTCTCAAATACCTTCATATTGTGACAAATGTTGAAAATGGGCAAGTAATCTTTCAATTCAATTGCTCATTTGTTTCTAATTTTACCCATCATTTTACTATAATCTTCTTTTTCAGGTATATTTTAAAACAATTTAAGAAATCTGAATATTAGAGCGAAGTGCCTTTATTTTAGCATAATGGATAATCAAACAAAGTTTTTAAACTTTCTTGCTGATCATATGAAATGACACAGTGCTGAGAACATAGCAGGTGTCCAGTAAGTTTGGCACTGTTTTTCTCAATCCCTTTAAATAATCAAGCCATTATTATGTTGTAAATGTCAAGGAGATGTAAATAGTAATTAGCAACTAAATACAAAAATTTCTTTAATATTCTCCATGATGACTTAAACATTCAGATGTGCATTTCTCCTCATTGTGATAGACTCTAGGAAGTCCAACTTTCTGGGAGTTAAATTATGTTCTTCCATTTTATAGCTGTGACATCTTGGGCAAGTAAACTCTTCTTGGGATCAGTTCCTTTGTCTGCAAACTGGGGACAAAAAGAGAATTGTTATAATAATTAAAGAAGATAATAAGTTTAAGGGTATATAGCAGTGTCCTGAACATATGCACACTCTTTGAACCCAGTGGTATAGTTTTTCAGGTTGCAAGCTGAAATAATATTGGCTTCTTCTTTTAAAAAGCACCTGGAATTTTGCAATGTTCTAACCACAGCTCATAAACTAACAACTATAAATAGATACAACAGCAACAGAAATAAGGCAATGTTTTGAGGTACACGTGTTTCTTTTACAGATTTCATGGGATTTATTTGCCATACGTCTCTAAAATCAGCAATTAGCATTTTAGGAATATCTGAAAATATGCCTAATGCAGGTATAAAATAACATTTTCCACATTCTGTAAGATGGTTTGAGGTTGCAAAATTGAATTTTATCCAAACGATATTAATCAAAAAGTAATTTGGGAGAAGCTTAGAGTATGTAATATAGAAATATTACATGTAACTAGAAAGTAAATTATGTTTTGCATTAAGTGGGAAATAACTTCACAGTCTGGATTTGTGAAATTACAAAGAGCTGTTATGGGCTATTTGCATAATAATATGTAGACTGCAGTGAATACAGTCTTGGAATTAGCACCAAAATATACTAGGATATTTTTTGATGACCACAAAGCAAAAATAAAGCAATGCAAAAAATATAAGCATAAAAGTGATTATAAGAAAAAAAATGAAATATATCACGCCTGCACTTCCAACATACACATCTTGAGGTTTACATTTGCAATTCTAATAAGCATGAGACCTCATTGGTTTTCTAAATCGGAAGATGCCACAGCCCAGGGGGTGGCTCCTGAAGAATGTAGAAGAGACATTCTGTGTACTTGGTGCCCTGTGGTTAGCATATCCCATGCAATAATTTCAGGTCAGAAGTCTGGTTTTTAAGTTCACAGTCTGAGACACATGAAGTATGCAACTCACAGCTAACCATTAGGAAAGGTAAGAAGAACAAAGAGCCATTTTAACTTTTACTTGAATTCCTACTTTTTCGTTTTAACAGGTCTTAGTAGCACAAAAACTGTAAGAAAGACCACGAGAAAATGGGCCAAAATAGCTCAGAGAAGGGAGAAAAAAAACAATCTGGAAACAACAACAACAAAAGACTCCTTTCTTTAGGCATTGTTACCTTGGATCCCCATTTCTGTATATTTTAACTTTTATTCTGTTTATCAATTTCCATCTAAAAAATAACGTCTGAGCCAAATTTTCATCCTATGTAACTCTATGAGGATTCTCTTTGCTCTTTTGGAGTCTAATTCTCCCATGGCGTTGCATGAGATGTAAATCTTACCCCTAAGGGAATATTATTTCAGTGAGAGGAGAAACTGCCTTTTATGGTGGCATGGTATCATTTAAGTGGTTTTTAAAAATGCGGTCTTTAAGGGAGATATAAAATTTATAAGTGGTAATGATATCATTTTAATCATTTGAAGATAATAGGCAAACACAAAATGAGGGTGTTTTCTTCTTAAGTGAGCTTAATCAAATGCAGAGTTTGTGAGTCTCCATTTAGAAATACTTCTTTAAATAAGCACTTTTTCTGCTGAGTCACTGTGGTTTTCAGGGAACTGGTTTATGAAGGCTGGAATTTACATGGTTTAACATTTTTTCTTTCTCAAAGAGACTTTCAACCCCTACTCAAACCAGAATTCTCTGGTTCACTTGCTGTCATGTGCTTGAGGATGCGCCAGCATGAACAATCTGCAGTATTATTTGGCTCCATCGCTATGGCCCATGGAGTCATACAGAATCCTTCCTGAAGACCACAGTGAGATCTCAGGCAGTTCATTCTACAGAGACCCAAATCCATTCTCAATAATCAAGCTACCAATCTCACTAGTCATATGCATTATTTTGCACTAATGATTTTTTCCTTTCGGTCTATAAAGATCTGATGTCAATCAACTCTGCTGCTGTATTGTGGTATGCATTTTCAGTGTCTTGCTGTCCAGTAAAGTTTTGGTGTTTTTTTTGTTTTTTTTTTTAAATGGGTGAGTTTTGACAACAATTCTTACTCTCAGCAAAAATACACTATTTATTCCATAAGACCATAGAATGGTCTTATGGAATACATGGATTTTCCGGTTCACTAATAATTGAAGGATAAAAAGAGAAGAAAAATAAATGGTTAGATCAGTAGCCCTCTAAATGGTCACTGTGCATGCTGTTAATCTAGAGAATTTAGGGTTTTCCCCTTTAATATAGACATAGCGTTTCTCTCTTATATTCTACAACAGTGCCGTCTAATAGAGCTTTATGTGGTAATGTAAATGCTTTATATCCGTGTTGTCCAATACAATAGCCACTAGCTATATTTGGCTACTGAGCACTTGAAATGTGGTTAGTGCGACTGAGGAAATGAATTTTTACCTTTACATGATTAATTAAAATTTAAATTTAAAGAGCCACACCTGATTAGGGGCTACTCTATGAGTACAGTTCTAGAGTCTCAAATTTTGTAGTTTTGAGCCTACTTCCATTATATTAGAAGAATTCGATTTTTACATTTCCTCATGTAATTTTCAAATTAATTATGTCATAAAGCAAAAAATTTTGAATTACTTCTTTTTTTTTTGTATCCCAGGGGAAATGTTCTTCATTGTACTCTCTAAAAATATATCCTACTGAAGAAAGGTCATTCACCTTTTAATTATGTCGGGACCAAAATTTATTATATAAAGATAAGTAAAAGCCTGGCTTGATCTTTGTTCTGGGAAACCAGCTCCTAAGTATGATTTTGTTGTCTTTAACATAGCATTACTACAAGGTCAACTTTGATTTGTATTGGCTTTCTAATCATTTCTTAATTTTTAATTGTGCTTTATTGCTCTCCCAGTGTCCTCAGGATCCATGCTGTAAGACCATATCAGAGTAAATTTCTTCCAGTATTCCAGTAACTAACCTCTTTTGGAAGGAACCCAAAATATACCAATTTTATTAAATTTTACACAATGTTGGGATACAAAATAACACTCATGCATTTTGTAATAGTTTCTTGTACGCTTTGTAATTTGTTATATACAATTGAAATTCATTTAGCAAAATTATAGAACAGGTATTTATGATCTAATTTGTGGAATTCTAAATAAACTTGGAGATAATTAGATTTGTGTATTATTAAAATATCTTCTTTTAGTCATTCAAATGTTCTAACTTATAAAAATTTTATAGAGATCAATTATCCAAAAATCTATAATATGGGATTTTAAGTGTTAATATTTTCTATAAATATCATTTGATGGGTTACTAGTGTATCATTTAAAATATTATGCACTATATAAAATTTACATTAACCACTTAAAATAGCATACTTTCAAATAATTAGCTGAAATTTTTAGGTAAATTTAAAAATAGGAAGGATTCCTTAAGACCACACATATATTTCTGATAATATTAAAATTTCAGGGTGGCTAAAAACTAATACTGATCTAAAATGAAATAATCCTTAAAAGTATCTCTAATTACACTTGAAAATATTTCAGTATTAACAATATATAATTATTCTAGCCCTATTAAAAACTTAAGTTTGATAAAGTAATAATAAATAAAGAATAAAGTAAAATAAAGCAGTAAACATGTATTTGCTAAAATAAAATTATTTAAAAGAGAAGGGCAAAGAGCTTCTTAAACTTCTTTCATACGTAGTTGAAATAAAATGGATCTACTGGGGAAACAGATGATATGCAACGTGGCAATCTGAACAAACCATAACGCAAAAGATGGTGAAAAATGATATCTGTGTGTGTAAATCCTCTTGTTACATTATTATAATTCAGATGTGAGGGTGCTAGCCTTGACATTAACTGTTGTCTCATTGTTTAGATGTTTCTGAAGATACAAAACATCTGACCAGGAGTGGTTTCCAACACTAGCCACAGAGCCATGAAGGTCTTTTGACTCGAGCTGCTCTTTGCAGCACTTAATTTTGTGACTTACCCTCTCTGACTACTGAGCTAACAAATGCTTTGCTTGCAAAGAAGCACTGATGGCTTGGGAAAAAATAGAGAAATCCACACAAATTCTCCATCAAATGTTAGAACCACCTAAATATTCTTATGGAACTGATATATAGCCAAATTTAGTAGCAATACAAGTTATTCATACAGCCATAGAAATGGGATACAATTTTGTAGGACCACAGCTCAAATAAGGAGTAATAAATATGAAACAAAGAGATCAGAAGTTAACATTAACAAGGTAATGATTCCCAAGGAATTTAAATGGAAAATTTTGTAGAAATGCTACATTTTTGCTGTTGTTTAATTTAAAATCTGTTAAGGTGGGAAGAAATACGGAAGGCCATTTGGAAATAGAGCCAGTCTCAAGAAAAGAAACATGATATGTAAACTGAGTATAATGGATGAGAAGAGTTCAAGAAGTCATGAGCAAATTCAGGGTTGTTGAGAAACCAGTTGAACTTCTTTGAGCTGTTCATTCATTAAGAATCCTGACTCCAGAAGTAGAAGCTAAGTGGTGGACTTTAAGTACCATACACAACATTATGGTGACTGACCAAGAGTCTTATTAAAATGACTTCAGAGTTTATCAATGACAAGATAGCAAAATATCCTTTGGAAAAATGAACTTTATCAGTGATTTTTAACAACATTCAGAAAGGAGGTACAAAAGCAATTAACACTTAGGACGGTCACGTTATGGCTGTTGTATTTGCTGCTCTAAGAATCATGGTGTAAGTTTGCGATGGCCTTTTGTAAAAAGCATGAATGTTCTGATCTAGGGTTATTGAATTATAGAATCTTAGGGTAAGAAGTCATTTTAGATGTTGCTAATTCATCCCATCCTTTCTGCAGCATCCCTGCTGAAGGCTCATCTGGGTTACTACATAATAACAGCATAAGAAAACATAGAAAGCAGATACGTCTCATTTTCAGGGAGTTTTAATTGTTAAAGAGTTTTTCTTTGTGGATTTTCAGAATGCATCTATGTTTAAATACCCTCCTGTATTACTAGTTCTACATTCCCTAGACACGCAAGTCAGTTGAGCCCTTCTCCCCAGGCAACACTGCCCACTTGTTACGTTTTTCCTTCATAGTTGTTTTCTTTTTTTTTTTTTCCTGGAATTGTGAGTGTGGGAAAAACACTCAAAGTGCTTTTCCTTATTTTCTTTTTTTTCATTTTTTTAAAAATTATACTTTAAGTTCTAGGGTACATGAGCATAACGTGCAGGTTTGTTACATATGTATACATGTGCCATGTTGGTGTGCTGCACCCATTAACTCGTTGTTTACATTAGGTATATCTCCTAAAGCTGTCCCTACCCCCTCCCCCCACCCCACAACAGGTCCCGGTGTGTGATGTTCCCCTTCCTGTGTCCAAGTGTTCTCATTGTTCAATTCCCACCTATGAGTGAGAACACACAGTGTTTGGTTTTTTGTTCTTGCGATAGTTTGCTGAGAATGAATGGTTTTCAGCTTCATCCTTGTCCCTACAAAGGACATGAACTCATCCTTTTTTATGGCTGCATAGTATTCCATGGTGTATATATGCCACATTTTCTTAATCCAGTCTATCACTGATGGACATTTGGGTTGCTTCCAAGTCTTTGCTATTGTGAATAGTGCCACAATAAACATACATGTGCATATTCCTTTATAGCAGCATGATTTATAACCCTTTGGGTATATACCCAGTAATGGGATGGCTGAGTCAAATGGTATTTCTAGTTCTAGATCCTTGAGGAATCACCACACTGTCTTCCACAATGGTTGAACTAGTTTACAGTCCCACCAGCAGTATAAAAGTGTTCCTATTTCTCCACATCCTCTCCAGCATCTGTTGTTTCCTGACTTTTTAATGATCGCCATTCTAACTGGTGTGAGATGGTATCTCACTGTGGTTTTGATTTGCATTTCTCTGATGGCCAGTGATGATGAGCATTTTTTCACCTGTCTGTTGGCTGCATAAATGTCTTCTTTTGAGAAGTGCCTGTTCATATCCTTTGCCTACTTGTTGATGGGGTTGTTTTTTTCTTGTAAATTTGTTTGAGTTCTTTGTAGATTCTGGATATTAGCCCTTTGTCAGATGAGTACATTGCAAAAATTTTCTCCCATTCTGTAGATTGCCTGTTCACTCTGATGGTAGTTTCTTTTGCTGTGCAGAAGCTCTTTAGTTTAATTAGATCCCATTTGTCAATTTTGGCTTTTGTTGCCATTGCTTTTGGTGTTTTAGTCATGAAGTCCTTGCCCATGCCTATGTCCTGAATGGTATTGCCTAGGTTTTCTTCTAGGGTTTTCATGGTTTTAGGTCTAACATTTAAGTCTTTAATCCATCTTGAATTAATTTTTGTATAAGGTGTAAGGAAGGGATCCACTTTGAGCTTTCTACATATGGCTAGCCAGTTTTCCCAGCACCATTTATTAAATAGGGTGTCCTTTCCCCATTTCTTGTTTTTGTCAGGTTTGTCAAAGATCAGATGGTTGTAGATGTGTGGTATTATTTCTGAGGGCTCTGTTCTGTTCCATTGGTCTATATCTCTGTTTTGGTACCAGTACCATGCTGTTTTGGTTACTGTAGCCTTGTAGTATAGATTGAAGTCAGGTAGCGTGATGCCTCCAGCTTTGTTCTTTTGGCTTAGGATTGACTTGGCAATGCGGGCTCTTTTTTGGTTCCATATGAAATTTAAAGTAGTTTTTTCCAATTCTGTGAAGAAAGTCATTGGTGGCTTGATGTGGATGGCTTTGAATGTATAAATTACCTTGGTAGTATGGCCATTTTCACCATATTGATTTTTTCCTATCCATGAGCATGGAATGTTCCTCCATTTGTTTGTGTCCTCTTTTATTTTGTTGAGCAGTTGTTTGTAGTTCTCCTTGAAGAGGTCCTTCACATCTCTTGTAAGTTGAATTCCTAGGTATTTTATTCTCTTTGAAGCAATTGTGAATGGGAGTTCACTCATGATTTGGCTGTTTGTCTGTTATTGGTGTATAGGAATGCTTGTGATTTTTGCACGTTGATTTTGTGTCCTGAGACTTTGCTGAAGTTGCTTATCAGCTTAAGGAGATTTGGGGCTGAGACAATGGGGTTTTCTGCATATACAATCATGTCATCTGCAAACAGGGACAATCGGACTTCCTCTTTTCCTAATTGAGTACCCTTTATTTCTTTCTCCTGCCTGATTGCCCTGGGCAGAACTTCCAACACTATGTTGAATAGGAGTGGTGAGAGAGGGCATCCCTGTCTTGTACCAGTTTTCAAAGGGAATGCTTCCAGTTTTTGCCCATTCAGTATGATATTGGCTGTGGATTTGTTATAAATAGCTCTTATTATTTTGAGATACATCCCATCATTACCGAGTTTATTGAGAGTTTTTAGCATGAAGGGCTGTTGAATTTTGTCAAAGGCCTTTTCTGCATCTATTGAGATAATCATGTGGTTTTTGTCTTTGATTCTGTTTATATGCTGGATTACATTTATTGATTTGCGTATGTTGAACCAGCCTTGCATCCCAGGGTTGAAGCCCACTTGATCATGGTGGATAAGCTTTTTGATGTGCTGCTGGATTTGGTTTGCCAGTATCTTATTGAGGATGTTTGCATCAATGTTCATCAGGAATAGTGGTCTAAAATTCTCTTTTTTTGTTGTGTCTTTGCCAGGATTTGGTATCAGGGTGATGCTGGCCTCATAAAATGAATTAGGGAAGATTTCCTCTTTATTGATTGGAATAGTTTCAGAAGGAATGGTACCAGCTCCTCCTTCTACCTCTGGTAGAATTCAGATGTGAATCCATCTGGTCCTGGACTTTGTTTGGTTGGTAAGCTATTAATTATTGCCACAATTTCAGAGCCTGTTATTGGTCTATTCAGAGATTCAAGTTCTTCCTGGTTTAGTCTTGGGAGGATGTATGTGTCCACGAATTTATCCATTTCTTCTGTATTTTCTAGTTTATTTGCATAGAGGTGTTTATAGTATTCTCTGATGGTAGTTTGTATTTCTGTGGGATCAGTGGTGATATCCCCTTTATCATTTTTATTGCGTCTATTTGATTCTTCTCTCTTTTCTTCTTTATTAGTCTTGCTTGTGGTCTATCAATTTTGTTGATCTCTTCAAAAAACCAGCTCCTGGATTCATTGATTTTTTGAAGGGTTTTCTGTGTCTCCATCTCCTTCAGTTCTGCTTTGATCTTAGTTATTTCTTGCATTCTGCTAGTTTTTGAATGTATTTGCTCTTGCTTCTCTAATTCTTTTAATTGTGATGTTAGGGTGCCAATTTTAGATCTTTCCTGCTTTCTCTTGTGGGCATTTAGTGCTATAAATTTCCCTCTACACACCGCTTTAAATGTGTCCCAGAGATTCTTGTATGTTGTGTCTTTGTTCTCATTGATTTCAAAGAACATCTTTATTTCTGCCTTCATTTCATTATGTACCCAGTAGTCATTCAGGAGCCGATTGTTCAGTTTCCATGTAGTTGAGCGGTTTTGAGTGAGTTTCTTAATCCTGAGTTCTAGTTTGATTGCACTGTGGTCTGAGAGACAGTTTGTTATAATTTCTGTCCTTTTACATTTGCTGAGGAGTGCTTTACTTCCAACTCTGTGGTCAGTTTTGGAATAAGTGTGATGTGGTGCTGAGAAGAGTGTATATTCTGTTGATTTGGGATGGAGAGTTCTGTAGATGTCTCTTAGGTCCACTTGGTGCAGAGCTGAGTTCAATTCCTGGATATCCTTGTTAACTTTCTGTCTCATTGATCTGTCTAATGTTGACAGTAGGGTGTTAAAATCTCCCATTATTATTGTGTGGGAGTCTAAGTCTCTTTGTAGATCTCTAAGGACTTGCTTTATGAATCTGGGTGCTCCTGCATTGGGTGCATATATATTTAAGATAGTTAGCTCTTCTTTTTGATTTGATCCCTTTACCATTAAGTAATGGCCTTCTTTGTCTCTTTTGATTTGTTGCTTTAAAGCCTGTTTTATCAGAGACTAGGATTGCAACCCCTGCCTTTTTTTGTTTTCCATTTGCTTGGTAGATCTTCCTCCATCCCTTTATTTTGAGCCTATGTGTGTCGCTGCACGTGAGATGGGTCTCCTGAATACAGCACACTGATGAGTCTTGACTCTTTATCCAATTTGCCAGTCTGTGTCTTTTAAGTGGAGCATTTAACCCATTTACATTAAAGGTTAGTATTGTTATGTGTGAATTTGATCCTATCATTATGATGTTAGCTGGTTATTTTGCTCGTTAGTTGAAGCAGTTTCTTCCTAGCCTCGATGGTCTTTACAATTTGGCATGTTTTTGCAGTGGCTGGTACCGGTTGTTCCTTTCCATGTTTAGTGCTTCTTCAGGAGCTCTTTTAGGGCAGGCCTGGTGGTGACAAAATCTCTCAGCATTTGCTTGTCTGTAAAGGATTTTATTTCTCCTTCACTTATGAAGCTTAGTTTGGCTGGATATGAAATTCTGTGTTGAAAATTCTTTTCTTTAAGAATGTTGAATATTGGCCCCCATTCTCTTCTGGCTTGTAGAGTTTCTGCCAAGAGATCAGCTGTTAGTCTGATGGGCTTCCCTTTGTGAGTAACCCGAACTTTCTCTCTGGCTGCCTTTCACATTTTTTTCCTTCATTTCAACTTTGGTGAATCTGACAATTATGTGTCTTGGAGTTGCTCTTCTCAAGGAGTATCTTTGTGGTGTTCTCTGTATTTCCTGAATTTGGATGTTGGCCTGCTTTGCCAGGTTGGGGAAATTCTCCTGGATAATATCCTGCAGAATGTTTTCCAACTTGGTTCCATTCTCCCTGTCACTTTCAGGTAAACCAGTCAGACGTAGATTTGGTCTTTTCACATAGTTCCATATTTCTTGGAGGCTTTGTTTGTTTGTTTTTACTCTTTTTTCTCTAAACTTCTCTTCTCACTTCATTTCATTCATTTGATCTTCAGTCACTGATACCCTTTCTTCGAGTTGATTGAATTGGCTACTGAAGCTTGTGCATTTGTCATGTAGTTCTCGTGCCATGGTTTTCAGCTCTATCAGGTCATTTAAGGATTTCTCTATGCTGGTTATTCTAGTTAGCCATTCATCTAATCTTTTTTCAAGGTTTTTAACTTCTTCGCGTTGGGTTCAAACTTCCTCCTTTAGCTCAGAGAAGTTTGATTGTCTGAAGCCTTCTTCTCTCAACTTGTCAAAGTCATTCTCCATCCAGTTTTGTTTCATTGCTGGCGAGCAGCTGCATTCCTTTGGATTGGGAGAGGTGCTCTGATTTTTAGAATGTTCTGCTTTTCTGCTCTGTTTTTTCCCCATCTCTGTGGTTTTATCTACCTTTGGTCTTTGATGATGGTGATGTACAGATGGGGTTTTGGTGTGGATGTCCTTTCTGTTTGTTCATTTTCCTTCTAACATTCAGGACCATCAGCTGCAGGTCTATTGGAGTTTGCTGGAGGTCCACTCCAGACCCTGTTTGCCTGGGGATCAGCAGCAGAGGCTGCAGAACAACGAATATTGCTGAACATCAACTGTTGCTGCCTGATTGTTCCTCTGGAAGCTTTATCTCAGAGGGTTACCCGGCCCTGTGAGGTGTCAGTCTGCCCCTACTGGGAGGTGTCTCCCAGTTATGGTACTCAGGGGTCAGGGACCCACTTGAGGAGGCAGTATGTCCATTCTCAGATCTCAAACACCATGCTGGGAGAACCACTACTCTCTTCAAAGCTGTCAGACAAAGACATTTAAGTCTGCAGTGGTTTCTGCTGCCTTTTGTTCAGCTATGCCCTGCCCCCAGAGGTGGAGTCTACAGAAGCAGGCAGGCCTTCTTGAGCTGCAGTGGGCTCCACCCAGTTTGAGCTTCCTGGCCACTTTGTTTACCTACTCAAGCCTTGGCAATTGCAGGCACCCCTCCCCCAGCCTTGCTGCTGCCTTGCAGTCGGATCTCAGACTGCTATGCCAGCAATGAGCAAGGCTCTGTGGGTGTGGGACCCTCCGAGCCACGCGCAGGATATAATCTCCTGGTGTGCCTTTTGCTAAGAGCAGTGGGAAAGCACAGTATTAGGGTGGGAGTGACCTGATTTTCCAGGTGCCATCTGTCACCCCTTCCTTTGGCTAGGAAAGGGAATTCCCTGACCCCTTGCACTTCCCAGGTGAGGCGATACCTCACCCTGCTTTGGCTCACACTCGGTGGGCTGCACCCACTGTCCTGCCCCCACTGTCCCATGACCCCCAGTGAGATGAACCCAATACCTCAGTTGGAATTGCAGGAATCACCCATCTTCTGCATTGCTCACACTGGGAGCTGTAGACTGGAGCTGTTCCTATTTGGCCATCTTGGAACCACCCCAGTTGTTTTCATCATTGCTTACTTATCATGATTTATGATCTTCACCATCAACTTTTCTGTGTCTTTCCAGTTTGTCAATGTTTCTGTTACAGTAGGGTCCCAAAGCCAGCATAATATCTCAGGTGCTGTCTGACCTAAGCAGAGTAAAACAGAATTTTGCCTTCCTTGAGCAGGCCCTGTGTTTCCTCTTTTTTTTTTTTTTTTTTTTTTTTTTGTCCTTTTAGAAAGAAATGTTTAATAGGGACTTACCATGTTTGTGTCTTGGGTGAGGCCAGACATGATGCCGGATCCCTTTGGTTTCCTTTTAAGTTTGGATCAATTTCTTTGGCAGCCAACTGCCAATCATATTTGTCATGTGGCCCACAATATAATGTTAGCTGCAGGTGTTTTGTAAATAAGGTGGTTCCCTTCTATTCCCTGTTCGCTAAGAATATTTTCCATAAGTGGACCTGAATTTTATTAAGTACTTTTTCTGTGTCAGTTGAAATAATCATATAATTTTTCCCTTTATTCTGCTGAGAGAAACGTCACGAATGCATTTTATACATGTTAAAACAACATTATCTACCTGAAGTCAATTCATTTTGGTCGTAATGTATTGTTTAACTTATGTGTTGCTGGATTATGCTTGTATTTTTTTTTTTTTTTTTTTTTTGAGACCAAGTCTCATTCTGTAGCCCAGGCTGGAGCATAACGGCATAATCTCAACTCACTGCAACCTCTGCCTCCTGGGTTCAAGTGATTCTCCTGCCTCAGCATCCTGAGTAGCTGGGATTACAGGCATGCACCACCACGCCCACCTAATTTTTGTATTTTTAGTAGAGATGGAGTTTCACCATGTTGGTCAGGCTGGTCTCAAACTCTTGACCTCGTATTCTGCCTGCTTTGGTCTCCCAAAGTGCTGGGATTACAGGCATGAGCCACAGCCCTCGGCCACTTGTATGTATTTTGTTTAGAATTTTTGCATCTATCCTCATGAGTAATATCAGCCTAAATTATTATTTTCCTATAATAGCTTTGAATATTAGGATTATGCTGGTCTTATAAAAATAAGTTAAGGAGTGTTCTCTTTTTTTCAATTCTCTGAAAAAGTTTGTTCTTCCTTTTATGTTTAGTAGAGTTTTCCAGAGATCCAACTAGTCCCAGAGAGTTTTGTATTTTGTTATTTTTAAATTTTAAATTTTAAATTTTTATTTATTTATTTTTTTGAGACAGAGTCTTGCTCTGTTGCCAAGGCTGGAGTACAGTGGTGCAATCAGAGCTCATTGCAGCCTCCACTTACCAGGCTCAAGCGGCAATTCTCTGCCTCAACCTCTCAAGTAGCTGCAGCCACAGGTGTGTGCACCATTATGTCTGGCTAATTTTTGTAGTTTTTGTAGAGATGAGGTTTTGCCATGTTGCCCAGGTTGAGCTCAAACTCCTGGGCTCAAGCAAACCACCCATCTTGGCCTCGCAAAGTGCTGGGATTACAGGCATGAGCCATTCTGTCTGGCCAGGTTTTTTATTTTGTTTGTTTGTTTCTTTAGCTGTTGTTGAAATTTCAAGAAGACAGAATTAATTTATCCAATAACTGTGGGGTTTTTGTTTTTGTTTTTGTTTTTTTTTAAAAAAACACAGCTGTTTCAGTAACGTTATGTCTTCATTATTTGCTTCTCTCTCTCTCTTTTTTTTTTATTGAGTTGGAATTCTTTTTCTAACTACCAGAGATAAAAGGTTAACTCATTAACTTTCAACCTTGGTTCTTGTCTTATATACGCATTTAAGGATATCAATTTTCCTATCAGTGTGAAAGTATTGTATATTCATTACTATTCTGTTCAAAATATTTTCTAATTTCCTTTATGATTTGTTTTTACACGTGGGTTATTTAGTGATGTATTATCTATTTTCTAAACATAGGAGAATTTTCTAGATATTGTTTTATTACTAATTTCTATTAGTAATAAAAATTGTATTTTTAATTGTATTGTGGTCATGAACTTATACAGTATGCCTTCTATGGACTTCTTGCTTCATGGCTTAATTTCTGCTGTATTGAGACAACCTTATTGGACACTTAAAAATTTGTAATTATATATTCCTATTAAGAAGATCGGCTGGGCACGGTGGCTCATGCCTGTAATCCCAGCACTTTGGGAGGCCGAGGCGGATGGATCATTTGAGGTCAGGAGATTGAGACCAGCCTGACCAGTATGGTGAAACCCTGTCTCTAGTAAAAATACAAAAAAAAAATTAGCCAAGTGTGGTGGTGCATGCCTGTAGTCCCAGCTACTCAAAAGACTGAGGCAGGAGAATCGCTTGAACCTGGGAGGCAGAGGGTGCAGTGAGCCAAGATCGTCCCACTGCACTCCAGCCTTGGTGACAGAGCGAGACTGTCTCAAAAAAAAAAAAAAAAAAAAAAGAATATCAAGAAATGATTCATCTCTAGTAATATTTTCCTTACATTCTATGCTTTTAATTTGTTTAATATTAATATAGCTTCACCAGTTGTTTTTAGCTCAACAGGGCATATATTTTTTCCATTATTTAATTTTCAAACTTTCTGTAAGCTTGTGTAATAGTTACTACTTTTGAAAACAGCACATGGCTGCGCAAAGTGGCTCATGCCTGTAATCCCAGCACTTTGGGAGGCCAAGGCAGGCAAATCACTTCAGGCCAGGAGTTTGAGACCAGCCTGGGCAACATGGCGAAACCTTATCTCTACTGAAAATACAAAAATTAGCCTGGTGTGGTGGTGCACTCCTGTAATCCCAGCTACTCATTGGGCTAAGGCACAAAAATTGCTTGAACTCAGAAGGCAGAGGTTGCAATGAGCTGAGATCGTGCCACTGCACTACAGCCTGGGTGAGAGAGCAAGACTGTATCTCAAAAAAGAGAAGAAAAATGAAAACAGCACATAATGAGTTTTTGTTTAATTCAGTATTAATGTCTTTTGATTGAATAATTTAGTAAATTTAATTTTAATGTAGTTACTAATGTATTGTATTAAATCTACCATTTTAGTATGTCTTTCTATTTGTTTTGCCTGTTCTTTGTTACTTTTTCACTCTATTCTTGCCTTATTTTAGGCTAATTTTTTAAATTCCATTTTCAGCTTTATTGGTTTGGAAATTAAAAGTTTTCTTGATATTTTATTCTCATACTATAAATTATAATATGTCCTTTTGACTCATCAAAATCTATTGTTAGACTTATACTTTCAGCCAAAATTGTAACAGGAACCAAACTTCACAATTTTGTAATAGGGACCAGTTTTATCCTCTCACCTGACACAACTGACAAAATATATGAAAAAATAGTTATAAAGATATTGGACATGTAAAAGCTAAGGACAGTGATCCCTGATGGGCAAGAAACCAGTGAGGTAAGCTCTATAATTGCCCCAGATTACTAAGTAGAAAAAGTTTCCAGGCTCTAGTACCCAGAGAAAGTACCCAGGGAGAACAAGGTAGTAGTTATGAATTGTGAAAATCTTGAAGGAAGCATAAGTTGCTAGTGTCTATAAAACAGAGTACTGAAAAAAGAAGAGCTATAAAAAGGAAGAGCTCCAGAGATCTGCAAAAGACTTGTCTCAAGTATTCAGTTGAGTACAGGTCAACACATTCATATAAGGAAACTACCCAAGGCCAGGGAAAGAAATATCCAAAATATTAAAAGGAAGAGTGTCCCCCAAATCCCCAGGGACAGGAATAGTGCCTGCTTCCAATAGCCAGAATTAAAACCTCATAATTCATGAATCATTGATTAGATTAGTAAAAAGGGTCAGTAGTGGGGAAAAATTATCCATAGGCAGGATTCCTCTGTTATCCCATATAACAAAGGATAAAACAAAATCCAAACAAATTCAGCTAGTTCCACATTCCAGGATAAAGTTCAAGAAAACATATAGAAATACAAAATAACTAGTATCCAAAAAGGTAAAATAACTTTGTGTGATAGGCATCCAATAAATGTTAACAGGCATGCAAGGAAGCAGAAAAATATAACCCATAATGAGGAGAAACTCAATCAATTAAACTCAACTCTGATATAACACAGATAACAGAATTAACAGAAATGTGTTTTAAACAGTAATGTTAGAGAGAAGACTGAATATGTTAAGAAAGATCTGAGAAGATGCAATCAAATTTCTGGAAATGAATATCACAATGATTGAGATGAAAAAGACACTGGCTCAGATTAATGGAAGATTAGACATCAAAGAAGAAAACATGAGTAACACGGAGACATAATAATAGAAACTATCCAAAATGAAACACTGAGGAGAAATAAAACCAGATGATTAGTGTTCAGTGAACTATGGAACAGCTCTATGCAGCCAAATATACATGTAATTGGAATCTTTGAAGAAGAGGAAGAAAAGAAAACAAATTACCTAAACAATAATGACCAAAACCTTTTCAAATTACATGAAAACGACTAACAGATTCATGAAACTCAACAAATACCAAACACAGGAAACATGAAGAATACTACATCAAGGTTCATCATAATCAAATTGTAATTGCAGTGACAAGGAGTAAATCTTAAATGCAAGCAGAAAAAAAAGGATATGAATGAAGTTAAGGATGACAGAAGATTTCTCTTCAGAAACAATGCATAGTGTAAGACAGTGGAATAACATCTTTAGAGTGCTGAAAAAAAAATCTGTCAGTTTAGAATTCTATACCCAGTGAAAATATACTTTAAAAACAAATATGGAATAATGATTTTTCTGACCTAGAAGAGTTTAATGAATTTAAAAGTAACAGTAAGCCTGTACTACAAAAAAAATGTTTAAAGTCCTCAGTGTAGGAAGAGAATGATACAAAGTGAAAACCTGTATTTACACAAATAAATGAAAAGAATCAGAAATAACTACACAGGTACATATAAACATGTTTTCTTATTAAACATTCTTAAGAAAATTAGGCACCTTAAGTAGCCACTAAAACAACAAAAAAAGAATTATAGTTAATAGGCCAACAAAATAACTGTAATCTGAAAGGAAATCATAGAAACCAACCAACCAACCAAAAAAACAAAAATACAGTCCAAAAAAGGCAGAGAAAGAGAATGAAGAGACAAAAGAAGAGATGGTACCACAGCCAGGATTATAGGCATCTGACCTATGCAGTCACATGAGACCCTACACTTGGAAGAGTCTCATGCTTGCTTTAATGCTCTGCTGTTGGTAAAATTACTAATAACTTATGAACAAGGACTCTACATTTTCATATTGCACTGGGCCCTGAAAATTATACAGCCAGTCCTGAATGGGACAAATAGAAATAAATAAATGAATAAATAAATAAATAACAAGATGGTAAATTTAAACCAAACCAAACAAATAGTCACATTAGATATAAAAGGTCTGAACATTCCAATGAAAAGATACAGCTTGTCTGGTTAGATTAAAAAGCAAGACCCAACTATATACTTTCTATAAGATCCAAACTCTATATATAAAGACACAAAAAGGTTACAAATAAAATGATATTAAAAGGTATACCATGTAATATAAATAAAAAGGAATTTGAATAGTCTATGCTATTATCAAACTAGATTCCAGAAAAAACAAATTACCAGGTATAAAGAGGGTTATATAATGATGACAAAGGGGTCAATTTATCAAGAGGCATAACAATCCAAAATATTTATTCCCCTAATAAGAGAGCTTAAAAATACATGAAACAGAAGCTGAAGCCCCTATGAGAACAAATAGATAAAGTCACAGTTGTAGTCAGAGATAACTGACAGAAATAGAAGTAGACAGAAAATTAGTAAGGTTATAGAAGACTAGAAGAATGCTGTGAAACAACTTAATTAACATTTATAGACCACTCCACCTAACATTAGAATGAACATTTTTTTTCAAATGTTCCATGGCACATGGAACATTTTTCATGATAGACCAAATTCAGGCCCATAAAATAGTTCTCAATAAATTTAAAAAATGTTTTAAGTCATACAATATATGTCCTTTTACCACAGTGGAATTAAGTTAGAAATTAAAAACAAAAAATATCTGGAAAATCTCCACCTATTTGGAAGCTAACACATTTATAAATAATCCACCGGTTAAAGAATGAATCAAAAGATAAACAGAAAGTAGTTTAACTAAATAAAAATAAAAATACAACATACTGAAAGTGTTGAGGTACAGGTAAAGCAGTATTTGCAGGGTAATATATAATAATGTCTGTATTAGCAAAAACATCTCAAATCAACGACTGCAGCTTCCAATGCAATAAACTAGAAAAAGAGAAGAAAATTAAAATACAAGTAAGAAGAATAGAAGCAATAGTAGAGATCGAGTGGAAGTCAGTGAAATAAAAAATAACAAAGAAAGTAAAAAAAAAGCTGATTCTTTGAGAAAAGCAATAAAAATGATAAGCCTATTAGCCACACTTATCAGGAATTTTGACATAGATATACCAATTACTAATATTAGGAATGAGAAAGGTGACATCACTCTAGAATCTATACATACTAAAAAGATAATAAGCTAACTTTATGAACAACTTTCAAATTTCCCAAGAGACATAAACTTCCAAAGCTCACTCAGGAAGAAAAAACCTGAATCACCATCTATCTGTTAAAGAAGTTAACTTTGTCATTAAAACCCTTCCAACAGAGAAAACACCAGGTCCCAGTGGTTTGACTGATGAATTCTAGCAAATATTAAAAGAATAAATAATACCAAGTCCATACATACTCTCCTACAAAATTGAAGATAAGCAAATATGTTCTAACTCTTCCTCTGGGGCCCATATTATGACACCAAAACCAAAGATATTACACAAACAAAAAGAAACGAGGAAGAGAGAAAGAGAGAGAAAGCTGCAAGGGAAGAAGAAAAATAAGAAGAGAAGGAAAGGAAGGGGTAGAGGAAGAGGGAGAAGAAAAGAGAAAATTAGAAAAAGGAAAACTACAGACTACAGACTGATATCCTTCATGAACACAGATGCAAAAATTCTAAACAAAATGTTAGCAAATTCAGTAATATCCAAAATGACTAATATATCATGACAAAGTGTTTTATCCCAGGAATGCATGATTGATTTAACAAGCAAAAATCAATCAATGTAATTGACTATATAAAAGGACTAAAAAAGGAAAAGCACATCTGAGGAGATATAGAAAATGCATTTAAAAGGCTCTCAGAAAACTAGAAATAGAAGAAAACTTCCTCAGCATTATAAACAGCATTTTACAAAGTCTACAGCTAGAAATCATACATAAGAAAGACTGAATGATTTCCCTCTATTATCAGTAACAAGGTCAAAATATTCTTCTTTACCACCTCTATTCAGCATTGTGTCAGAGAGACTAGCCAGTTCAAAAAGAAAAAGAAAAAAAATCCAGATTGGAAAAGAAGTAAAACTATAAGCATAGACAACATGATTATCAAAGTGAAATTTCAATAAAACCTATGAAAAAGCTAATAGAAATAATAAAGAAGTTTACCTAGGTTACAGGATACATGATCAATATACAATAATCAATTCTTTTATATGATCATGAGCAAAGGGAAATTGAAATGAAAACATGATTTACAATAGCATTAAATATATAAAATACTGATGTTACAAAAGATGTACAAAGTCAGTTCTTTATAAATTAGAAATCATTGCTGAAAGAAATGAAAAAGACGTAAATAAATAGAGAGATATACTGTGTTCATGGGGCAGAAAATACAATATTGTTAAGATGCCAGTTCTCCCCCAAGCTGATCTATAGATTTGACAAAAGCCCAACCAAATTCCCAGCAGTTTTTCTCTTTTCCTAGAAAAAGCTGTCCTTAAAACTTATATGAAATTGCATACCACCTAAAATAACCAAAAGAACTTCAAAAGGGAACAAAGTTGGAGTACTTACACTGCCTAACTTGAAGCAACAATAATTAAGAAAGTGTGGTATTGGTATAAAGATAAAATAGGTCAATAAAACAGAGTAGAGAGTTCAGAAATAAGCCATATATGCTGATTTTCAACAAATATGCAAGGCAATTGAGAAAGAGTAATATTTTTATCAAATTGTGCTGTGACAATTAGCTATTCACATGCCAAAAAAAAGCCCAACTTTAATCTGTACCTCACACCATATACAAAAATTAACTCAAAGTGAATCATAAGCCTAAGTGTAAAGCACAAAGCCACAAGACTTTTTGGTAAAAACATCGGAGGAAATCTTTGTGATCCTAGATTAGGCAAATAGATATAACACCAAAAGCCATTTTTAAAAGTTGATAAATTGAACTTTATCAAAATAAAAAACTATGCTGTTTGACACTACTGAGATATTGAAAGAAGTCATAGAGTAAAAGAAAATATTTACAAATCACATTTCTAATAAAGGATTCATTTCCAGAAAATATAGAGAACTCTTAAAACTCAATAATAAGAAAACAAACAATCCAATGTTTAAAATGGACAAAAGATTTAAACAAACCTTTTAGCTAAGAAGATAAATAGATAGCAAATTATCATATGAATAGATGGTCAACATGCTTAGCCATCAGGGAAATATAAATTAAAATCATAAGATAACACCACACAACTATTAGAATGCCTGAAGTTAAAGACTGACCTTCGCACATGTTCATGAGTACGTGGAGCAACTGGAAAGCTAATACAATTCCAGTGGGAATGTGAAATGGTACAACCACATTAGGAGTTAATTTGTCAGTTTTTAAAATGTTAAACATACATATACCATATGACAAACCATTCTAATCCTAGGTATTTACCCAAGAGAAATAAAAGCATATGTCAATACTAAGACTTGTATACAAATGTTCACAGCAGCTTTACATGAAATAGCCAAAAACTGGAAACTAATCATATATTTATCAACAGGCAAATGGATAAAATTGCAGTATATCTGTGCAATGGAATACAACTAATCAATAAAAAGATTGAACTACTGATATATGCAACAACATGGATGAATCTCAAAATATTTAATTTAGTGAAAAAGGTCAGACAAAGAGGAGCACATCGTGTATGTTTCCATTTATACAAATGCCAAGAAAATGCAAACTAAACTATAATGAGAGAAAGTGAACAAGTGATTGCCTGGTCAGTTCACGCTGCTGTAACAAAGTACTATGAATGGGTGGCTTATCAACCACAGAAATTTATTTTTCATAATCTTTGAGGCTGGAAGTCCAAGATCAGGATGTCAACATGGTCAGGCTCTGATGAGGGTCCTCTTCTGGGTTGCAGGCTGTTGACTTCTTGTATTTTCGTGAGGTAGACAGCAGACAGATGAGAGAAAGCAAGCTCTTCTATGTCTTTTTATACGAGCACTAATCTCATTCATGAGGGCTCCACCTCAGGGCCTAATTACCCTTCAAAGGCCACACTTCCTACTGCCATCAGATTGGGAGTTATGATTTCCATATATGAATTTGGGGATACACAAACATTCAGTTCATAACACATGGGAATGCCATGGGGGGAACATTATATGTGACCTAAGAAGATACCACTTTTCTTCAGAGTCAACTGCCTTCTTTTATCAACACTTTACCTTTAAAATGTTCAAAAATATGGCATATTTATAGAATTTTACCATGGAAACTTGTATATTCATCACCATCTAGTTTCTACCTTTAATATTTTACTTTACTTTCTTTATCATATTTATCCATCTATTCATCTGAGAGGATTTTTTAAATTTTTATTTATGTATCTATTCATTTATTTTGCCAAACACTTAGGGACAATAATAAACCAGGATTATTTCAATTCAATTTCAAGGTTTGTGATTTTCTGGACTACCAAGATGAGTCAAAGACTGCAGTCAATGCAGAAACTATTTTTTACTTTTGCTTCATTTTTTCTTTTTAGTGTGAATTACTTCAGAGCATTAATCCAAAGCACACTGTGGTCCACCAAGACTCTCTTCCTTGGCAGACCCTGGACTAAAATGTTTGCTTTCCAGTTCTCCTTTGAGACTACTAACACTGCTTATCCCTTGGGCTACATCTTTCATATCAATAAACACTCCCTGGGCAAAAACAACTTCATATTGCAGACTCTTTTGTCTGGATTTACATCTCCTTATGTAGTTGCTCAGTATCTCCTTAGCTCTTTATTGCTTTTAGAAGGTTATATATATATATAACCGTATATATACTTTAAGTTCTGAGGTACATGTGCAGAAGGTGCAGTTTTGTTACATAGGTATATATGTGCCATGGTGGTTTGCTGCACCCATCAACCCATCACCTACATTAGGTATTTCTCCTAATGCTATCCCTCCCCGACCCCCCACCCCCTGACAGGCCCCAGTGTGTGATGTTCCTCTCCCTGTGTCCATTTGTTCTCATTGTTCAACTCCCACTTATGAATGAGAACATGTGGTGTTTGGTTTTAAAAATATTTCATCCGTATTTTTTAGCTGTCTTAGTGGGAGGGTTAGACTGAATGAACTAGCCTATAACTACCAGAAACATAAATCTCCCATTCTCTCATAACACCATTTAAATCACAATTCCATCCCTGTCACTACACTAAAACAGCTCTTCTTAAGGTCACCAGTGACTCCCAGATTTGCAATTCTAATGGTCAATTACCAATTCTCATCTCGACCTTTCAGCAACATCTGGTATTAAGGGTCAAATCTTTCTTTATTCACTTAATTTCTGAGATATGTCCCTCTCCCGGATTTTACCCCACATCATTTAGTTGTTCTTTCCCAGGCTCCTATACTGGAATCTCTTCCTTGAACTTGATCCTATGTATCCATGTGGTCAGGGCTAAATCTTTGCAAAATTTCCCTTCTGTGTGCCTACTTTCTTGGTGACCTCACCAAGATTTAAATAACATATACAGGTTTAAATAACATATACAAAGATCATGATTATTGAATATTATGAATCAAATCCTTAATCTAAATATCATAGAGACATTTACCTTTCATTTGTTTTTCAATTCTCTAAGCATTATATTTTGGCTGGTTTAATGTCAAAGAGTATTGTATTCAAATAATCTTACAATTTAATAAAGTTTTTACCCATAAAAAAAACAAGAGAAAGCAAAGGGAAATAATTTACCTACTACCACAAAGCAGCCTGTAGGTACAAATAAAAACCTATGGGCTCTGATTTTTTTCATCCATTTGTTGTATATCACATTATCTATGCAACATTTTTCCTAGAGTATCTAATCGGGATCTTAAAATTAACACATCCAAAACTGAATTCTTGATTCCTCCAATCTTACCCCACTAGAACATCTCCTCATTGTTACCCATCTTTAGTAAATAATGCTATTACTCATCCAGGTTTTCAGATCAAAACCCCCTGTGTCATTATAGTATCTATGAGTTTACAGCTTTTATTAGTTGTTAACTGCAAAATTTTTGGCTTCCATATCTTGATTTACTCCTTCTGTTTCATTGTCTTTTCTTTCTTCTTCTCGGACTCAAAAACCAATATCCTCAAGCTTTTCACTAGTTCCATTTGTCTCTTATATATTTCCCACACTTTGTCTCTTTGTGCTTCAATTCTTAACTTATCTTCCAGTTCATTAATCTGCTTTTTAACTACATCTAATGTGCTGTTAAACCCAACTATTAAGTTCTTAATTTTAATTATTTTTCAACATTATAATTTCTATTTAATGCTTTTTAAAATATTCTAGTTATCTGCAGAACTTCATCATATTGTCCTCTATTTTTAACACATTGGTCATAGTGTGTTCTTTTTAAGCTCTTATCTGATATTCCAACAACTAGACCTTCAGTGGATCTGTTTGTCTTCTATTATTTTCTTGGTTTTCAGTCATTTAGTCACACTCGCTGATATGCTTGTTTATTTATTATTGGATATCAGATATTTGAGGCTCTGGACAATGCTGTTTTCCTTCAGAAAATTTACTTTTGCATCTAGCAGGAAGTAGAAGAAAATCTTAAAGAAATTAGAGTTTGAGCGCATCTGGTTTGTCTGTCAGGTTTTATAAAGTCTGCTCTATTTCCAAATAACTTTTACTCATAAGGTATAGCCCTTCAAAACTCCCAGCAGAATGTATGAGTTTTATCAGTGTTCCTCCATCTTGGTGGACCCGGAACTCCTATTTTTTTCTCCTCAGTGTCATGAGACTACTGACAGTTCTGTGCAGTTTTCCAGTCTCTCTGTCACCACTTGTAGATCTATAAATATCTCCAGGTGAACAGCAACACTGAATTTTGGGCTCACTCACTGCATTTATTCTTTTCACAGAAGAAGAGTGACTCTTGGAACTTTATGTTCTGGCTGTCTTGGTAGTTCTAAGATGTCTTTATATCCATGTTTTAAATATTTTATCCAGCTCCTCTAGTTCTTAGTGCATAGTCTGATAAAATCTAACATAGCATAGTCAGAGCAGAACCTGTAGGAGTCAATTTTGATTTTTTTCTTTTATATCACATCCATGGTTGATCTGCCCCAAAGTCCTGTAGGCTCTACCTTGTAAATAAATCTTGAATGTAACCAGTTATCACCACTCTATTCTAAGTCAATATTATCTCCCACTTAAACAATTGTAATAGCCTCCTTAATGGCAGAAGAGTGAGCTTCAGGTGAAAAGTCAGATTTTATTTTGAAATAAAAGAGAATAAATATAGAATGGGTATGGAGAAAGTGGTATTTTGTAGATTAGGTGTTGATGCAAAAACCTGAGGAGGTTCCTCTCCAATCTCTTCTATTTTCCCTGTATTTTAGGAGGTGAAGTAATCTGCTGGAGAAGGGCCAGGAATGTAAGATGAGAGATTTAAGGAGAGTGGAAGAGTGGCTTAACAACAACAACAGTAACAAAGAAGCATTGTTGAGGCTCCATTGGAAACTGGTCATGAATGTGGTAGAACCAAGCTACCATGTCATGTGACACAGAAGTAAATAGTTGGGCTCACCAAACTTCATGCTTTGTAAGTAAATACAGTTAAAAGACAAGAGGTAGAAGAATTTGGGATTATTGAAAAGATGAATTTTATTCCTGGAATGGTGGCCTAAAAGCTCTAATTTGGATAAGAATGAAATAAAGAGAATGAAAGCTGATACATTTGGGTAAACTGAAATGGTCAGTGACCTACAGGTCCCAAGTAAGGTTAAAAACAAAGCTGTAAAATGGAGGTAGAGTTGAACCCTATTTCAGACAAGCTGAAAATGAGAGGGTTGTAGGGTCAGAGGTAGGTGCTAAAATTTGTGATATTGGAAATGGAGAGATTACAGGTGATAACAATGTCTGAGGTGGAGCTGTGGCATGGATGACTTAGGTGCATTGGAGAGTAAAGCCAGGAGGAGAGAAGGAACTGAGAGGCCTTTATACCGGCTGTTGAACCTGGGGCACTGAAGTAACTCAAAATGATGGCGGGCTTGGGGTAGAGAGAAGAATGGTAAACCAAAGGCCAATGTCTTTCACTGGCCGGGAGGTTAGAATGGCCTAGCTGAGTGGCATAGGCTTCAAGCAGGAGGTAGCTCATTATCTCAGAGCAGCAGTGGAGTGAGAAACCACTCCTAGGTCCTAAGTGGGGTAGAGGTGTTAGAAAGCAGCCACAGCTTGCCCAGGCTTCCTGAAAGTGGCTTCTTTTTTCCCCAAATCTCAGAGCTGGGTCAAGGACAAGAACATATATGGCATTTGGGGAATGACAATAGAGTAAGAAGATTGATGGTCAAGTGTTTGTAACAGATAACCTGCAAGTTGCCATCCAACCTTGAGACCCCAGGATAATAAGACGTCATAAAGTGTTTAGATTGTTTGGGCACAATGCTTCTTAAATGAGACAACTAAAAATTGTTATTTACTTTCTGGAAAGTGAACTTATGTTGTAGTATTACATAGCACCTAAATATGAAAAAAATACACTAATGCTATATAATGAGACACCAATGCTGTCTCATTGGACATTATTGCATACTTATGATTTCTCAAGATTTTGAAGGAATATGCTAGTCACAAAAATGACTCCCTTAATTAAAACAGCAAAGCTGCTCATTTTTTTGGAAGTGACCTTTCTGTGTCTAAAAGGATAAATTGTGTGATTTCTCTCAGTAATGTGTCTGTATGGCTTGATTTTTTAGTAAACAGTATGGTTGTATGTATGCAGGTATACCTTCCAAAAAGAGGTAGAATGTAGTCTTATTTTTACATAGAAATTTGGAATAAAGAAATTTTTTAAATGGGTTGATTAGGTCTGAGTTATCCAAAGAGCCCACAATTAACCAGAATCTTGGTTCAGTTTTTTCATTCATTCAACAGACATTCACCAAATACCTAGTAAGTGCAACAAACTCTTTTAAATGCTAGAGATATAACAATAACAGCAACAACAACTAGATTTATTTTCTTTAACAAGTTTTTCTTTTAATTGTGTGGTCCTCTTGTCAAATCTAAGACCACTTAATGAAAAGGCAAAAATGGTCATGTAATCTGATCCAAAGAACAGCAAACAGTCTGGAATAATATGGATTTCTAACAACTCACTAGCTAATTTTGGAAATTATTAAGTTTTAAATGTCCTTACACATTGGTTTATAATATGCTCTGGTAATCAATATTGATATAAGTTGATAAAAATTATGACTTTTTTCATGAAACCACCAAATCATTTCATAATCTACAGAATTGAATCCTTAGGTTGATTAAAACCTAGGCTTATAGATAGGGGGACTAGAGATAAGGGGTTTTTTCTTCCTTCTGTTGCTAGGACAATCCCTGTTGTTTTGGGCAATATTCTCAAAAGCATCTTGGCTTAGAAAATAAAATTTGTAGTCAAGTAACTTACGGATCAATGATCTACAGAACAGAATATACCACCATATTTCAAAAGAAACAAAGTAAACATGCAGGAGCCAAATCTGAATTTATAAAATTACTTTATGATATTTAAGTTAAATTTTTCTATCCATAACCAACTGTGGATTCTCTATAAGTTTTTCTGAGTGTTTTTTAAATTAATTATTTGAAAACAAAAACAATGTTGATTAATGGGAACTTGGGGTTTAGAGCAGATTTTTAATGGGTAGTGACATATGATATTTATCTGCAGAATCAGTAAAAGCTATTAGCTTTTGGTTCCACCACAGAGAGACAGCAGCATGCTATGCATGATATCCAGAAAAAACACTAAAATAGTCTAACAAGCAAATTTCATTGTACCCTCAGGGGTGATTTTTAGTCAAGATCACTCCAAGTCTGCTATAACAAAGGTCAGGATATAAAGAACACAGAGGTACTGTCCAAAGTGCCTTGATCTTTTCTTGGTGACTTACAGTGTAACTGTCACCCACAACATTCCCAATTGACAGTCTTTCCTTTAAGTCTGAAAATATTATTATATGTTTTACTTCACTTGTTTTTCTCATTTGTAAGTTAGTGCATGAAATTTATATATATGCATAATTTGTTTTAAAAGAAAGACTTGCTCTGAAATTACTTTTTAGAATTAAATCTGTTTGGATAGATTATCATTCTATTGCAGCCAATAAAACAAAATTACTCCCTGTGTTTCTGGGGTTAAGAATTTGGCCTAGCAAATTCATATCTCATGTATCACTAAATGTCAGTTCATTAATAATTTTTATGTGCCATACTACACAGATGCTATTCTGAGAAATTTAATTCCATGTAAAGATCTCCTAATGATATCTTTAAAATTTACCAGTACAGACTTAGGGGTGGATATACACCCATTTTATAGATTAAGAAACTGAAGTTGAAATATAAAAATCACAAAGGAGAAAAAAAAAACAAAAAATGTAGAACCAAGTCTTCTGCTACATGAAAAATAGAAATTTATTATTTGACAATTTTTAAAAAAGGATTAGAAAAGATATGGGGATTCCAACTTTACTGTTCTTGGTTTACTCTTTCTGAAAATGTCCAGAATTGTATTGACACTTACTGAGCACTTACTCTGTGCTAAGAATTCTACTGGGTGCTTACTCTACGTTATTTAATTTAATTTTCACAACAATGTTATAAGGTTGTATTCACAACTACTATGAAATGCACACTGAAAAGATTAATTGATTTACCTTGGTCTCACAGAGCCAGGATTCAGACCCAACTGTCTAGTTCCAGAGCACCTGCCTTAAACCACGCTGTTAAACTACTTCTCAGGGTGAGGTTGACCTCTGTGATGTTCAGAAATCTATGAGATTTTACTACCTCCCTTTTGCAGATGGAGAAACAGAGGCTCTAGCCCTGTGCAAGATCACAGTTCACTTGACATCAAAGCAAAACTCTTTACCCTGTGTCACCTTAATCCCAACCATCCTCTGAATTAAAGTAAAATTATTGTATTTTTAAAAATGTACATACTTGATGTTCTTCAGTCTTCCCTTTGTATCATCTAGTACTTCCTTTTTCTTACTGAAAATAATGTTTCTATATGGTTAAAAATAGAACTATTTTTAGGGTATCTATGCCCATACAGTTATGAAATGGCCTACCTCTCCTTGTCTCAGCCGGACCCTTTCATGGTTGTCAGCTGGCATGATCTGTGTGCACATGATGTGTCTGCTTGGAAGACCACGTGATTGTGAGGGTAAATGACACCATCCTAAGCCCATATAATAAAATATCTACATAGCAGCTATTTTTTATCTTTTCCATTTTTTTTAGACAGGGTCTTGCTCCATCTTCCAGGCTGGAATGCAGTGGTGGGATCACAGCTCACTGCAGCTTTGACTTCCTAGGTCCTCCTACCCCAGCTTTCAGAGTAGCTGGGACTACAAATGTGCACCACCACACCTGGCTAATCTTTGTATTTTTTGTAGAGATGGGGTTTTGCCATGTTGCCCAGGCTGGCCTTGAACTCCTCAGCTCAAGCAATCCTCTGGCCTCGGCCTCCCAAAGTGCTGGAATTCAAGGCATGAACCACTGCATCCAGCCTATTTTTGATCCTTATTTGCCCACTTTTTACCGGATGTGTTCACATAATACTTCCAATGTTAGGAAATAAAAACATGAGGGTGGGGATTTTTAGACACTTAAACCACCTTAAGAAGTGTTTTTATTATATATAATATATATAATATATTGTTATTTATAATTATATATTAATATATTATAATCTAGGAAATATATATATGTATATATATGTGTGTATACTAGGAAGTGTAAATACTTCCTGGATTAGCATAGAAGTCCAGTGGTCCCAGTGTTTTATTACTTGCCAATAAAATACTTATACTCTGATTTCTAGCTGTGTGATTTCAGGTTAGGTATTTCTCTATGACTCAGTTTCCTTATAAAATGGGAATAATAAATTCAACTCCTCCAGAGAGTTGTTGTAGGGGATTAAATGAGTTTATTTATATAAAAATCTTAGTTCTCAGAATTCATATAAAGAACCTAGCAATCAGAAGATCAGATTGAAATTTTCATGGTACTAGGATTATGAAGGTACTTACACACACACATACACATACACACACACACACATCAAAGCCTTCCAATGATTTGTTGCTTGTCCAGCTTTCCCCTTTGGCAATATCTTCATGGTAAATCTAACTTTCATGAACACAAATTCCATACCCTCCCCAGTTGCAATCATTTTGTTTTTGAAATTGGAGAAATGCTGAACTACACTGCAAGTGACCCATGACAAAGAAGACATTTTGAAGCTAACAAAGTAAAGAAGCTTACTACTAAAAAATGGCAGCAAAAGTTAGACTGAGAAATTTGGTGAGAGATCATCTTGTCTGTATTCATCTTAGTTATCTTCCAAGATCATCTTGTCTGTATTCATCTTAGTTATCTTCTAATATAGACTGTGGTTATGGTTATTGTCAGCTTTTATATAAAAGAAAACTTAAATGACTATACAGTATAGTACCGTCCAAAATTTTTAGGCAGATAAGATACAGCATATTCCTCATAATAGTGGGAACTCATATTTTTACAAAACAAACCAAATACAGATTTTAGACCTAAGAATATTAGCAACACATTAACCTTATCTATGAAGCAAATGTAATTGGCAACCCTAACATTGAGAGAGTTGTCAGAGCTAAGCATGTATGACCCCAATGAACGTCCTGGAAGTATAATAAAAATACAATGGACCACAGCCAGAACAAAGGGAGGGTAAGCTCCCAGCTATAAGCCATGTTTAGGTAATTTTTAAAGATAAGTGTAATTGAAATGTTAAATCCAACTCTTTGCCAAAGATTTGTTGCCAGAGTTAGATTTGTGTGTATCCATGAATACTTACACTATATGTACTTTTGTCCAATATCATGTGTGAAAAAGTTCTCTGTGAGTTCCATTATTTCAAACTATGGTTTTTTTCCTATAAACTTTGCTCTTATGGCAAGTTTGTTGATTATCATTTTAAATTGGCAATGCTTGGATTTTCTCTGGTGCCTTGTGAGGTGGCTCCAGAACATTCTGGAAAGGTTATAGATTCAAGGCAAACACATAAAGTGAAAGAAGACAAACATGCTCCTGGTAATTAATACAGTACATCACTGAATAAAGCATACAAATCTTGCATGTTTGTGTGTGTATTATGCCTATATTTGTAGTCCTGAGTCAACAATGTGACTGTTATCTTTTTCTATGTACATTGAATGTTCTGATTTAAAATTTCAAAATGCTTTCCTATGTCAATGACAATCTTAATAGAGTCCAATTAGTTCCACAAGGCACTTTCTGATGCACAAGCCTCTGGCTTGATTGCGGTGAATGGTGGGTATTTCCTGTGTTTAAGCCCACATATGGATTGAGTAAGGCAGTGGCAGAGGGACTACTGTTTTCCTTCACTACATCTTCATTTCTTTTTCACAGGCTAAGCCTTTTTGTTTTTCCTGGCTCTGTTGTCAAAATACTGACCAAAGTTTTGGCTCATAGCTTGAAACACCAGGCCAAAACAATCCTCTGGAAACTAGTGTGGCAAAATATATTTTAATCTATACATTCACCATTCAACCATGTGCATAACCACACCCATTGACCCACTCTGTGGTTTAAAAACAACACGAGTTTGCCCCCAGAACAGTTTGATTTATATGACAAGTTTTTTCAAGCCTGCTCTATCAACATTAAAAAATGTTCTGAGGCTTGGTTTCATCACATCTCTGGTGGAAAAAAAAAAAAAAAAGGTTTAGCTACCCTAGATCTTTTTTTTTTTCTTGTTTTTAAAAATAAGGTGAATTTCTTGTGCATTCGGCAGAATTTCTTTGCAAACATATTTAAGTAGAATCAGAAAGTAGTTAATGCAATTATTAATGGTATTTCCTAGTGGGTTTCAAATAAAAAAAGATTAAGAATTTTCCTTGAATGAGTCATCATATTTTCCTTTTAGGTTAATTCAAAGTGATTAATTCCTTGAAGTGTCAGAATCTACTCTTTTTTTTTTTTTTTTGTCTTTTCAGAAGTCCTGTATTTGTTCTTTATTAACTATGTTTTGCAATATAAAAGCTCCAAGAGTTGATTTTCCCAGTCAAGTTTAAATATTACTGGAGAGATAAGATTATCCAGAAGTTATCCTGATGAACTTTATTATCTGTGGACCCTGCTCTTAATTATTCATCCATTTCATTTCCTCCTTAAATATCCACTGAATCCCCCTTTTAAAGTTCTGAACTAATGAATATTTGAAAGAATGCTAATTGCCTTTTATGTCAACAAAAACAGATTTTGATTTGCATCTAAAAGTACCTTCTCCATTCAAGATGTTTGCCTTCAACAAGCCTACACTGGAAAATTTTACTGAATTACATTAAATTTCCCACCTGGATTTTCTCCCAGATGAACAGCAAAAGCTAAAGTAGTCAAGAAAATGTCCTTTGAGTTTAAATTAAGTATTAAAACTTTCAGCAAAAGGCAATTTATAGCGTGTGCTGCAGAGAATTTTACGGTTTCCCCTCTCTGAACTAAAAGAAAAAAGGAAAAAAGGAAAGTAAGGGAGGGGCAAAGTCTTTTCAATTGTAAGCATCACATTCATATTCTTTCTCTCTCCTTTTCTTTTTTTCTAATCTGATTTATAACTCCAGGAGGTCTGAAAAGAATAAAGTTTTTAAAGGTCCAAAATCTAGAACCTCCTTTTTGAAAGTAAAGGACACTGTTGATTTGGGAACATAGCATAAGAGAGAGAAGAGGTGGAAAAGGAATGAGGATGAGGATGTGACTTCTGATTGCTGATGACATACTTTGGGCTAGCTGATAATACAATGTTTATTTTAGTTGGTTGGATCTTTAGACTTAATTGTTCTGTTCCGTATCTTCAACCCAATTACCATTTGCTAAACTATAAATTTCCATAAATCAGAGATGTTCCGGGTTCAAACTACATTGCTAGTTTTAGATTCCCAGACCTAATGGCTTTCATGTGCATTTAGGAAAAGGGTATAAGATCTTGAATTGAAGACAGCTTTGGGGGTAGTCACTGTCTGCCGGTACGTGTGCCTGTTACCAAGGTACCCTGGTTCTCCAAGCACCTAAGAATCCCTGACTGCCAGCAGTCTTCACCTGGAATTCACCAGGACTTCACAACCCATGGTAAAAGCACCAGTGTAATCTGGCATCCAAACACGTGGAACCCGGGGTGGAGGAGGGAGTGCTGGCTATGACACATTGCTAAGTACATCTCTTTGAGGAAGTAGTGCATAACCCAGACTTCAAGGGCCATCCAACTGTCAAGGAAAACCCACAAATGCATTAGAAGGCCAACAGTATACCTGGATCTTCTACATTTAAATGAGCTGTGATTTTCATAAGCTAAACTGTATCTTTTAGTGTGCCTTACAGATGATTAAAAATGTATAGTCATTTTGTAGGAAACAAAAGAGAAAAGTTGAATATACTTGGAGCAAACAAAACACCACTGTTATTTACGAACAAGAGGGCTTATCTTGATATCTGTGATCCATTTAAATATCAGTGCTAGAAATACTGGATATTGAGTATCAAGGTTTTTTTATTAACTATGACTAATAAAATATTTCTTGAAAGGCTCAAAATTTTAAAAAAATTATGCACTATTTTTATTAGAATGTACAGTTTATCACCTATTACTAATACATTCTTACTCTCTAATGCAACAGGAATACATCTGTTTTTAATACTTGCTGTATAGATTCATTAGCCTACCAGTCTTTCTGATGTTTCTGCAGTGGCAGAATAAATATCATAATTAATGCTATTTTTGTGCTTATATATGCCCTTGTTGTACAAGATCAGAGACGTCATTGGGTCTGCTAATGTGACCTTGATTTTTGCCTCAGGTGATTAGTTTAGGAAATGAAGTGTGTCCACTCATTATCCATTGGAGATTGCAAAGATACCACAGACAATCAAAATTATAATTCCAAATGAAAAGAAAGCATGATTCTTTAAAAGTGTTTAGAAGGGTGCACAGCAGGGCATATTTTCTTTCTTACTGGCAAGAGTTTGTAACTGGATATGTTAACATTACTGAGAACATGAAAACATGAAACAAAAGTATTGATTCAAGAATTTACTGAAGAAAAGAATCCAAGTGCACACTGGCTGGTTTTAGTTTATTCTTTTAAAGTACGAGTTACATCAGTTGTTTATGGCAGGCAGGTATAACTTGGCTGGTCCTTCTTGTCATGCATTTTTCAACAAACATGAAAGAAAGTGTTATTTGTATTGCTAAATTTACATTATCTCCTCTTTAATTGCATCAGCTGCTAACTAGATCTAGAAATAATGACATTTAAAGGGAAAATGGCAACCATCTCCAGAAGACTGCATTATAATGGAAGAACCTAATTAATTTAACCTCACAATCCTACATAATGGCTAGCCTTCATCATTTCCACAGATGGAGCTCAGAGGAATTAACAACATCGTGCATCCCCACAGACTCCACAGATTGGCTGGCCAAAGGGAGATTTTTCTTTATGTTCCTTTAATGCACATATTGACAATGTCTGCTTGAAGTATACTAAAAATACAGAGTGTATGGCATTAAGGGGTGAAAATGAAAAACTCATTATTGCAAAAATACTCTGAAAGAGACAAGACATATTCTCTTTGTTAAAAGATGTGAGACCAAGAATTCAATATTACCTGTAAATATTTTTTCAAGTTTAAATTGAGACAGAAAAGGAAAGCAAGGCTTAACCTCAGGAAAATTAGAGATTTGCAGGTGTCTATAACTAGTCTTTGAAAATGTCATTCTTCAGTTATTTCTTCCATGAATAATTTGTAATATTTTCCAGAACTTTTGCTAATATAAGAAAATGGAGATATGTGAGGTTTTTGTATTCATGAACAGATACAATAGGGAACATTTGGAAAAGATAGTTGGATCACCAGATTAGTTTAGCTGCTATGCTATCTCTCTTACAGTAACTATTTCCCGAGGCATTATGTACTGTTCAAAATAATTATCAGTGAAGAGGTCTGGGAGCATCTCTCCCAGTCATTTTTCTTCCAAAGAAATAAAGTTCTATATATTTTTAGTAAACCGTATGTTTGTTACTTCACATTCCTTCATCGTGAGTATAAACATGGATATGTGTTTTTTTAATCACAATAAACAGAGGTAATCTCAGAAAATATTGGCAATAGTCTCTGAAGGAACCCCAATTCTAAGACCCTACTGATAACTTAGATGTATCAGATAAGAAAACAGTTCCTTTAATAGCTTTCCAAGCGGACAGTCATGAAATTGAAATTATGTACTTGGGTCCCATAACGATCATAGAAATAGGGAAAACGACAGCTGCGTAGTGTCACCGGAGAAAGAACGTTGCCGGTATTAACGCAAACGGTCCCGCATTCATTCAATGGCCATGGCACTTCCGTGTGCAAGCTCTGTATTAGGGGCATATTAGGGGCGAGAACTCGCCTTTCTTGAAGGTGCTTACAACGAATGTCGGGTTTTACAAACGTTTTCTGTCAGAGTGGTTTTTTAAGCCGTTGATCGACACCTCCAAAATGTCCCACTTCTTTCTCCACCTCCAGAAAACTACAGCCATCCGCCCTCTGACTTTCTCCAACAGGGCTTTAGGTGGCACATGGCTAACAATTAGCAACCTCCCTAAATGCATTAGCAAAGGTGTTTCTCCAGGAAACGGTAACTGGGCGTCCTTTGCCTCCTGCACAGTCACCTTCCTGATTTCTTGGAAAGAACCCGAGACGGCTAGGACCCGGCTGACCCGTCCGGGCTGGTCGGCCCTTCCTGGCGCCTAGCTTTGTTCTTTCCCCGGACTGTGTCCCACGATTCCCCCAGAGCAGTGGCGGCCCCAGAAATTCTAGGAGGCCTCCGCTAAGGGCAAGAATTGGTTTGGGTCTTACGGCTGGAGGTGGGGGGTCTTGTCTTCAAGCTGAGCTCCACTGCACACTAGCATTTTTACCACTTAGATTGGATGTTCCCGGCGGGCGGCAGGGGGAGGAATGCTAACGCTGGCCCAAGCGACCCTTTAAAGGCTCCACCCCTGCCTTGAAACGGACGGCTTGCACTTGGCCGAGGCTAAGACCGCCAAAAAATGCGGGGATGTCCATAAAGGCGAGAAGAGACTATGCTTTACTTATCGTAATTTTCTGCCCGCGGCCGTTTTTGATAGTAAGGAAATGGTACTGACCACAAAACAGTCTAGAGCTTAGGGATGAAAACGGAGGAGGGGTTGGGATTAGGGCTGGAGACCGTGGATTCTTAGAAATCAGAAAAGAAGGGAGATGAGTTCGGGATTTGTCGCCCGAATCTGTCAGCAAGAGGGCATCTGGGTTTGGGAGTGCTGTGTCCTGGCCTTGCAGCGCGGCATTGGGAGGAAAACACCCCAGCCTGTTGTTACTCCGTACTTGGGTTAGAGGAGATGCACTGGGAATCGGATCCAGAGTCTACGATCCCCTTGCTGAGTGTTCATTCATCGAACACACATTTACTGGTGGGTCGTCCTGCGCCAGGAACTATTTTAGACGCTTGGCATACAGCGATGTCACCGTGGGCAGGTCACTTGACCCCTGGGAATGCTCATTTCTTCTTCAGCAGAACTGCAGGGTTGGACGACTGCAATATCGCTAAGATCCCTCAGGCTGTCAAATATGACACAGGCATGAATGGGTGTGCCCTCTACTGACAGATGAGCCCCCTACTCTCGGCAGTGGGCGGGGAGAAGGACCCGATAGGCCATTTTTCTTTGGTCACTTCTGGGCTGGGGAGATGTTATTGTTCCTCATGCTAAGCCAGCAGAACAGAACTGTGCAGGGGTGCGGAAATCTAACTCATCCTAGTCACAGATGAGGCTCATTTTCCAAAATACTGCGGCAGTCTAGGTGAAAACTCCCTTCGGAAGCTTATCCTCAAGTATCTGACACTCCTTGGTGTCAGAACAGGCCTCCCTTTGCGACAAACGCGCAGCATTAGGGCCCTTTACAGCTAGGCGCCACGGGCCGGGCCCGTCCTCACCCGGCGACTCTTGCTGTGGCCCGGGGTCCCACTCCCGCCTAGCGCTAGGAGGAGAAACCGACGCCAGTCGCTCAGCCGGGGCCACCTCAGTGGCCCGGCCTCCAGCCTGCGCTCCCCCGCGCTGCAGAGCCGATTTTCCTGTCCCTGTCCATCGAAACCTTGTGTGCATCGGTTAGTGCTTCCTGGGCGTTTGCTTCTAGCCGACGCTGACAGTGGAGTGCCAGAAAGAGGGAGAGGACCGCCATGGCTACTCTGCCCTGGTGTCACCATGCGCTCTCCCCCGGCACCGGCGAGGCGAAACGTTTCGCTAGTCCCCGGGAGGCCCCTCGTCAGGGCAGCAGCATCCCTGCACCCTCTCCGCAGGTGGTCTCCCCGACGCCACAGGTGGCCAGCAGGGCGCGGGTGGGGGCAGGAGCGCCTCTCCCCTGCCCAGGCCTCCCGCTCCTTCTCGGAGCGCTGTGGCGGGGTGGAGAGACAGCCTTCTACAGCTAGTCTAGCTCGGCGCGGTTCCCGTCTGTGGCCTCCTAATCCCACAGCCACAGCGCCTTCCTCTAACCTCCCTCGGTGGGCTTAAAGCCTCCCGTTCCTTCTGTCTCATTCCTTCTGCTCCCTCCCCCCGAAACCCCCAGCTGAGAGCTGGGAACCTGCGCCAGTGACTGCGCGACAGTGTTGACGGGCCGCGGCCACTGAGGAGCTTGGGGGAGAGGCGGGGAAGGGAGGGAGGGGCGGGAGAAGACCGAACCCTGGGAGAGGCCGTGGGTTGGGGCAAACCGATCCTCGAAGGGCTAAGCAGAAGCAGCTGCTAGTAATAGGCGCCGCCGGGAGGCAACGCGTTTCCCCGCCCGGGACGCTCGTGGCTGCCGCGGGCGCGCGGGCGGCGGCGTGGAGAGAGCGAGCGCCCGCAGGAGTGATCCGCAGCTTAGGCGCCCGCTCCACCCGCAGGCCTCATCTGCAGACTTACCAAATCTTGAAGGAACTCAGCAGCTCCAGGGGACTTTCTTGATTTGCCCTCCTCACCAAGGCATCATAAAATGCCCCTTACATCCACTTCTCCCACTCGAAGGAGCTCTCTCCTTTTCCTTCCTTGCATCCGAAGAATGGTGCTAAGTAAGTGTTATTCAAAGCTCCACAAGGACATGGGACGGTGGATATCAGTTGAAGTCCCCTCACCTTTTCACACCCAGCATCCTTGCAGAGATGGCCACACACTTCCCATGGTTTCCTGAGGTCAACCAGCAAGGACGGGCTTCACTTAGAAGTATCTTTTGGGTTATCTTTTCCCAAGTACTTCCGAGAAGCAAAATAAGGAAATGTCTGCTGCCGTGTGGGAAGCTTAAAATATTAGACAAGTGTTTGTAAATGAAGAATCTGGAAACTTAAGAAAATGTCTGTCTTGTATGGAAATCCACGACAAACCCAAACGGGCTTTTATCTATCATTTTATCTCTCTCCATTATCCACATGAATATAAAAACCCCGTGATTTTAAGAAGCATTTGGCATTTGCTCTTGTGTTTTATTTCCATATATTCGTGAATTGGCAATTGGCCTTCAAAACCTATACATTTGAAAATATATCCTGAAAAAATAAAGCTTAGCTCAACCTTTCATGCAGTTTTTTTTTTTTTTTAAATTGGGGAAACGTTTTCTAAAGTCTCCCCCTGGCACCCGGCCCCAGGTAGAGTCCCACTGCTTTCACAGCCTCTGGTTCCACTACTTCGGTGATATCTAGCAATAAAATCTTTGCGGTGCCCAAATACAGTCAATCTAGAATTTCTGTCTTTGGATGTTTAGATCATGCAAAGTTTTCATTACAATCTTGTTAACAGGTTTTGTTTAATTCAAGACATGTTAGAAAAGAAAAACAAAACACAACATTCTTATTGGGGAATAATTTTTCTTAAATCTTGACTTGATTGAGATATCAGAAGTAGCACTTTATCTTCTCCTTTCCAAAGAAAATTCGTTTTCGATTTTATTTATCAAATTATGCATCTACATTGACAGAAGTTTGTCTTTTCCCTTTATTTACAATAAATTATTTTTAGCCAAAAAAGGCACATTTTGAAGCAAAACAGCTTCCAGAAGCAGTCCACTTTCTTTTATTTATCTGCCTACCTGTTTAGCTACCCAAAACATATCATAAAAGGGTGTTCTTTCATCTTCTCTAATTCCTGAGGGCTTGACTGCTCTCTAAAGGAATGAAATTCGAATGTCCTGTTTGAAGGAGGTGACACATCTCTGTGTCTTAGATTTGGACAAAGAAACTGTTCATAATCTTTGGTAAAATAATCTACAACTACTTAGAAACAGCCTCAGGAACTGCATCTCTCTTTTGAGGTTTCCCAGCAAAAATCCCCACCACATACTGCTTGTACATTTCTGTCTATAGACACGTCCCTGTTCAGACCATCACCTTCGCTCTTCCACTTTTATTGGATAAGTGCAGCTGTGAAGAACCAAAAACAATACAGACTGGGAAAGAACAATGGAGATTCTCGAATTCTAAAGCTGTACCATAATTTCTAGTTTCACTTCTCCTCTCTTCCCCGCCTCCCCCAGTCTCCTATCCAATTTGCAGGACCACGTGTGCGGTTCTGCATCCCACAGTCTCTTCTCGAGTTTCTTATACAGTTTTTGTTTTTTTCCTCTCAAGTAGTCAGGGAAAAAAAAATGCCGAGGGGGAAAAAGGCCTGAAATCGAATTGCAGATCCACCAGGCAGAGCTATAGGTCGCGCCTGCACACAGTACCAGCTCCCAGAGTCTCCCAGGACTTCTAGGAGACTGCCTCAAAATACACCAGCGTCCTAGGCTTGAGAAACGAGATAAGCCTTGCTAGATTTCCGTAGAGTGAAGGTGAAATCGACGAGAGAAAACCCTTCTACCTGAGGTGAATTTCGCTTAACTATATGAACTAGGCTCAAGTCGTTTCTTGGTCTTTGGTCATATGATTCCTCCCAAGTCGCCACAGACCTGCGGGCGACCCCAGTCCCTCTCCCTCTTTCTCTCTTTCTCTCTCTCTCTCTCTCTCTCTCCCCCCAGCTCAATTTTCATATCAAATGAGCCATCCACTTTCGATCCTTGCAACCACATTTGCAGTATTTCTTAACAGTAAACACTGCTTTGTTATGCAAACGATTTGATCAGCATTTCTAGCTCACAATTAATTTTCTACACGCGTTTATATCCCCCTGTGTCCGGCCTCACTGGCAATCCGCTTCCAACAGCACAGAGTACAGGTAAACAAATGCACGCCACGTTTTGCCTCCGTGGATATCATTGCATCTGCTTGCATGTAAGAATTATCCGAGTTGCTGCGACACGACCCAGACCTATTAAATTAGTGACTTGAGACTGCTAAGAAGTTATACATAACTTCAAAGATTAAAAATTGTTATAAGGGATCACACTGCAATGACCAAAGGGTTCATATGTTTTCTTGTTTACGTATGCGTGTGAATGAGTAACTGGTTTTTACTCCAACAAACATATTGTCCCAGCTGATCAGTAGTTTTCCTTAGCTGTTATTTGAGTTTTCCTTTTGCCTATATACATTCTATGATTTTAAGGGAAGTATCTACATTATGTTAGATTTAGGCAAAATTTGGGCTAGCCATTTACCTCATTATCTTCAGCAAATTAAGTGAAATCCTGGGACAAATATTTCAGAATAAAATGGCCAATAGTTGTTAGTATTCTGTGCATTCTGAAAAATAAATGATAAAATTTATCCTTTGGAGTCCCTCCTTTCAAACTCACCATAAACATATGGTTTTGAGTTATGATTCAGTTTATACACATATTTAATATCATGTAAGAGCACTGGTTTTAACTGATGCTATAAAGCAATTTTCAGTTTTGTTTCTTAAAGGATAGGTTAAAAATAATACATTTATTTGATAAAATAGAATATCTTAGCCAAACAATACACACAAACAAAATATCTCTGTTAGGAGAGAAACCACATGGAGGCAAGGAATAAACAAACAAACAAAAAAAAGCAGACAAGAAAACAAAACAAGTCAACCCCAATCAGCAATTCAGCTCTCTATCTGACAAATACTCAAGGATACTTAGATTTTCATTACCCAAAATAGCTTTTCAGTGCCTCTTGTTATATGTTAAGAAGTAAAGACAATTACCATGTTGGAAACTTAATTTTCCTCACTCTAAATATTTTAGACTTATCAAACAAACAATGTATTGTATTGTTTGCTTTCCTCTTTCCACTACTCCTTTGGCACTAATTTTGGCACATTGGTGGTGCTTGGTTTGGCATACAAGGCAAGGAAGTCTGAAAATTATTTTTACTGCTACCTCTAGGACTATTCTTCAGGTTTATTGTTGGCTAAAGGAGAGCTGCTTGTTTCGTCTCAATGGGCCTCCATCCAGTCTATGTTTTTATAAAATAAAACCTTTAATGTTACATCTTTTTGATGAATCCAAGCTTTCATATCCTGGCCTCTGTGAAATAAGGGTATACCTGTTTAGTTTTGTTTTTGCATGATGATAGAACTCACAGAATGAAATAGATTTTTCTTTTTAAAAAGTTTAACAGTAATTTACAACTGTAAACCAAAGTCAACAAAAGTACTATCAGCTATCGGCCAAAAGCATGGTCAGGAAAGAGCAAATGAGATTGAACCTAGATAAGTGCAAGTAGTATGTCTAGGGAAATATAATCTAAAAGTCATAAACTTGAGGTCCACTCTTCATGAGTCAAACTTTGAAGCATTTCCGTTCTGCTGGCCATTGGGGTTTACTTGTGGAGCATGCAGTTCTGTTCTAAACCATACGGGAAGAACAAAATGATGAATATTATTTTTAAAATTCACCTGCAATTTTATTCTTGAAGAAAAAGGTGCTATTTTAAAAATTCCCTACTTGTGAGAAAAAATAATAAATCTGATGTTTGTTTGTCATATGATATAGACAGTTTAAAACAACAATCAGCCATTGCCTTTTCCAGGGGGAGGGGGAGAACATGTGACTGACACATT